>NC_000023.11:108087542-108712542 GCF_000001405.40 Homo sapiens
CTTTATATTTTGTGCAATTTAACATTTTTGCCATTAACACGTATTGCATTTATAAGCAGAATAAAAAAAGAAATGATGTATAAGAATTATTGCAAGAAGGCTAATGTCAGGTAGAATACAAATGACTGCTACTTGTCACTTACAGAGGAGTGTTACCCTCAGTGTCTTGGATGTTTGTGGATGCTTTGTAGTACAGAAGGATATGAATCATCTTCAAGTTACCCTTGGCTGCTGCCCGGTGCATTGCTGTAGCCTCATAATGGTCCTTAGCATCTGGATTAGCCCCGCCTTCCAGTAACATGACAGCGATCTGGAAAGATGGAGAAGAAAGAAGAAAACAATGCAGAAATCTATCTGTGTTTGTATACACGTTTAGAACTCAACAGAAGTAGCCTAGGATGGAACCATACCTCATGCCTGTTTTTCGAAGCTGCATAATGTAAGGGAGTACAGCCATTTTGATTGACAGCATTCACTTGAGCACCTTTTCCCAGAAGGGCTTTTACAATCTCATCCCGGCCAGCAGAAGCCGCAATATGAAGAGGAGACCAACCTGCCTATAAAAGAAGTAGGTAGTAGAAATACCAGGGGAAAAAGGCACAAGGATTAGTGCTAACATTTAGGAAGGGTTAGCAAGGAGCTTTACAAAGGCAAAAAAATATTTGCCTACAAAAAAGGTTCCATTCTTACTCTTCACAAATCTAATCCTAATATAACCATATCATTAGAATAAATCTCTTTATGTAACAAAAAAGTTATTTAGGTCCTCATTATTCAGGCCATGTTCACCAAAAAACAAAAAATCCAACATAATAGAAAGAGTTTATGGTCTTTTAGGGTTCACCATAACAAGCCCTGATCTGTATGTTTATTTTTGTTTTTTTATTTTTAGAGACAAGGTCTCAGTCTGTCACCCAGGATAGAGTACAATGGCTCACTGCAGCCTCAAACTACTAGGCTGGAGCAATCCTCCTACCTCAGCCTCTCCTGTATGTTTACCTTAAATCACAGAGTATGAGTGGCAAACATAACATTGTAAAATAATGCAACCATGAGTCTCATGCTTGATCACAAGGGCCATGATGTAACTTTCCAGTCATAAAGGTTACAATTTTCTTTATAAGCTTAATGCACAGGCTTCAGTAAACACCAGTCTGGAGTACAAAGATAACTGGGAATTTATCAACTCAACTTTATCAAAGTACTCACATCGTCTTTATCATTCACTGGCACTCCAAGTTGCAACAAAAATTCAACAATTTCTGTATGTCCAGCTGAGCATGCCCAGTGCAATGCAGTTCTGCTGTCCTACAGAGAAGCAGTAATAGAAACATTCTTGAAATAGAAGGCAAAAAAGCAAGAAAAAAAATACTGGTGCTGGCAAATCTATAGTTTGAAAATACGAAATGCAGAGCACTGGATCCTCAGGTAGGTAACCTTAAACTATATTACTTACTGGTATAAGACAGATGAAGGTTTAAGTAACATGGGGAGAATGACATTGATGAACATACGTAATTCTGGGCAGAATACGACAAGGAAAGTAGTAGAGCAAGAAACTGATTTCAATGCTTTGACAGAAATACATCTTTGGTTGTTTTACTATTACATTATTTACGTACTTTTATGTCAGGCACTGTGCTGGGAGTTTTACATGTATAGTATCATTTAATTCCTACCATTCTACACAGTGCTTATTATCTCCATTTTTCAGATGAGGAAACTAAAACTCCTCAGGGTAAGCAACTTGTGGACGGTCATATGGATACTAAATGGTGAAGTTGGGGCACAACTGTCAGTGAAGTTCTGACTCTGAAATCTCTACTACCACACTGACCTCAAGTTAGATGCTGTAGAAGGAACACATGAATCTAATGGGGGAAGAAATGTTCATTAAACTAGTTGAAATTATCTAGAATTTAAAATCATAAATAAATTAGAAATATAATTTAGAAAACACAACACACAGAAAACAAGAAAATTACTTTTTATAAAAAATAATAAGCTATGGCCGGGTGCGGTGGTTCACGCCTATAATCCCAGCACTTTGGGAGGCTGAGGTGGGCAGATCACCCGAGGTCAGGAGTTCTAGACCAGCCTGGCAACATGGTGAAACTCCGTCTCTACTAAAAATACAAAAGTTAGCCAGGCGTGGTGGCAGGCGCCTGTAATCCCAGCTACTTGGGAGGCTGAGGCAGGGGAATCGCTTGAACCCGGGAGGCAGAGGTTGCAGTGAGGTGATACGGCACCACTGCACTCCAGCCTGGGCAACAAGAGCGAAACTCTGTTTCAAAAAATAAATAAATAAAAATAAATAAAAATTAAAAAAGCTATAGTAGTCATTATTTGTCAAAGGGAATCCCTATTTGCAGTGACTGCTATACTTCTTAGCCCCACAGAATAGAAAATGGTATTTTAAACTCTATTACAAAAAAATTTCAAACACAAAAATAGAGGGAATAGAATAGAAACCCACAGGCCTACTGCTTAGATTTAACAACAAACATCTTGCCCTATTTGCTTTAACTAGTTTTTTCCTTGCTGAGCTTTCCAAAAACAAATCCTAAATATCATGACTTTTCACCCTTCTCTTTCAGTATGTAAAAAATAAAGGTATTTCTTATATAACTATGAGACCATTATTACACTTACTAAAATTAACACTAACTCCTTTAGAATGTCTAATATCCGGTCTGTATTCAGATTGCCCCCAACTGTCTCCCAAATGTCTTTTTGCAGTTGGTTTGTTTAAATCAGGAACCAGACGAGATCCATAAATTGCATTTCTTCATGTTTTTTACGTCTCTTGATGCTGAATAGTTCCTTTCCCTTTTTAAGCCACTGACTTGACTGAAGAATGGTTAAATTTCCAATGGAGTATTAAATCTTAATATAAAGTATTACATTTAAATTTAAATCCTTAAATATCACCAGACCATAATGAAGTAAACCAGGTAAAGATAAGGCCATTTTCAGGTTGAGTAATAAAGGAAAGTTCCAGAAAAGAGAAAACAGTCTCTTGATTTCTAATTCTCTCCCAAAAGACACAAAATGGAGATCTGTAAGTATGGGACAGTCTCACTAGTGCTTACGACACTGTCTGCGAAACACAAGGCCATCTATAAATATTTGTGGGCTTACTAAAGGCACCATGAATCCTAGAAACTGAGGATGAAAGCACGAGAGTCCTGTGAGCAGGAGGGCAGAAAGAAACACTTCTAAACTTCTGTCTACCTCTGCTTAGAATGTCCACTCATTCCCCCATGGAAATCCCACTCATGCTTCAAAGTCTAACTAACCTTCCCTTCTTTGCAAAAACTTTTCCAATTAACGACAGTCATATTCAGCATCAGATCCTCCTATTAACGTGTTCTGAAAGCACCATGTAAACTTCTCTGCCGAGTATTTACCACAATTTGTAATCGGACATGTTTTTGTGCTTATTTTATTGTCTGCATCTTCCACTCCACCGTATCCCCAGCTCCTAGCAAACTGCCTGGCACGGAAGGGGCGTTCAATTTCACATGCGTTACTGAATACAGTTACTAGTAAAGGTAAATAAATCCATATAAAAAGCCTTCCTTTTCACTGATTGGGAGTTTCTGAGAAATGCGGTAGACGTTCTAGAACTATCCAAAAATCAGGGAGCGGAGCTCCGGGCCAACGGGAAAATATCTGAGGTCTGTGGGGCTAGCTCCCGCAGGCCTATCGCGAGTCCCGAGGTGACCCAGGGGGACTGCTTGGGGCGGCGGGGGCGGGGTTCTGCTTCTCTCAGAAACGGGGCCTCCGCTAGGGCCGGGCCCCGAAAGCCACGTAGGGCTTCGCCGACGTCGCCGACTGCGGAGAGACCTAGCGTTGCTTTACCTGGTCAGTTCTAGTAGCCAGGGATTTATCGGCCAGAATACTCTCCTTCAACTCTTCCAGCTTCCCGCTGTAGGCCAGGTTGCAGACCATTAGGTTAGACACACACCCCTCCATTTCGCTGTCCCAGCAACTACTTGTCGCGCGAGCAACGCCCGCCTCACGTCGCCGGCTCCGGCTACGCCAGTCAAAACAGCCGTTAGAGCTTCACCAATCACCGGCCTTCCTCGTTCCCTTTTCTTTTCCCGTCGCGCGGCGCCTCTGGGAGTTGCAGTTTGAGAGCAGTTCCGGGCAGGGAGGCGCCTTTGCTGCCCTCACAGACTTGGCCCCTAGCAGTGCAGAACTACAAGTCCCAGGGATCCTAGCGACCGTCCGTCCGTAGTCAAGTTGCCGGTGGAATTGGCCCAGGATGACAGCTGGAGAATGGAGTCAGGTACGGGGAGCGGCTTTGAGTGGAACCGTGTGAAAGAGCCGGGGTGGGTAGTCGCTGGCGGGTCGTTGAGTCGGCCATATGAAACAGGTTCGGGGGCAGGGCAAGAGTTATGAGAGCCTAAAGGTCCTGTCCCCCGGGGTTCCTGACCTGCAGTGGCAGGCGGAAGGGACAAGGGTTGGAGCTGAGTACTACCTACTGAGCTCGAACCGGTGACTGTGGCTACCCTCCCCCTCCCTGCCACCGCCTAGGGAGTGGAAAGAAGTGGGGGTTAATTACTCTGACATCTCGGCGGTGTGGCATCAGGACAGGGTTCTACCACAGCAGTGATAGCATATGGCACCGTACTGAGGTGATGTGCCAGGGTGATGCCAAAGGCAGGGTGTGATGCCGTGGGAGCCACCTGATATCTAAGAGACCTCGGTGAGTCCATAGCCTGGTGACATCACAGCTTGATGAGGGTCATCTTAAGGATACCGGGCTGTGGTGTTGGCATTTTAATATCACGATATTAACTATGTTGTCAAGGCTTTGCTACAACTATTAAGCTAATAGTGTTTCTTTTTATAGAAATCCCAAATAGTGCCATAGCAGAAGCAATGCAAGACTGATCCTTTATAGGGCATATCCAGAGGACATTATGCCACAACTAGGTAACGATAAGAATACATTCAAGAAAGAGACTCATGATGTTTATGTTTATCCTGTTATAGTGTAGAACAGGAGTTGGGAAACTTTCTGTAAAGAGCCAGATAGTAAATATTTTAGGCTTTGTAGGCCAAAAGGCAAAATCAAGAATATTTTGTTGGTACTTTTATGACAAAAGAGAAAACAAATTTCAACAAATTTTTATTGATGAAATTCAAAATATAATAGTAATTGAGTACTTTTTTTGTAATACAGGAAGACTACCAATGAGAAGAATAGAATTCTTTTTAGGGGATAATATTTTGCTTAATTGGGGCTCAGAATTAGTGTTCCCTATTGTCAAAATTGATTTTAAGTGTTCATCTGTTAATGCTGATCTGTTAGGAAATTTTTACCTATTTAATCTTTGAAAATGTCATTTTACATAGATAGGTACTGCCAAATACTGATATCAATTCATAAACATATACTTTTTTATTTTTATTTTTATTTAATTTTTCAAAAATTTCAGAATAGTTGTAGATTTATAGAAAAGTTGCAAGGTTAGTAGAGTTCCTGTATAACACTCACTCAAAATGAGGCACATTTTACATATCATAAAATTCACTGATTTCAAGTGCATAATTAAATGATTTTTGGTAACTTTACTGAAGTGGGGCAACCATCACCATAAATCAGTTTTAGAACTTTTTGATCCCTCCAGTAAGGTCCCTCATGCCTATTTATAGTTAATCAATCCTCTGTCCCATTCCCAGCCCCAGACAACCACTAATCTACTTTTTTGTTTCTATAAATTTGCCTATTCTGGACATTTTATATAAATGAAATCATACAATATGCAGTCTTTGTGTCTGATTTCTTTCACTTAGCATAATATTTTTGAGATTCATCCATATTGTAGTATGTATCAGTACTTCCTTACTTTTTTATTGCTGAATAGTATTCCATTTTATGGATATAACACATTTTTATCTGTCTACTCACTATTAGATAGGCACATCAGTTTCCAATTTTTGGCTACTATGACTAGTGCTGCTAAGAAGATTAGTATGTAAGTCTTCGTGCGGACATATTTTTTTCATTTCTCTTTGATAGATACTTAAGGGTGGAGTTACTGGATCACAGGGAAAATTTATGCTTAACTTCTTAAGAAACTGCAAAACTGTTTTCCAAAATGGCAGCAACATTTTGCACTTCCACTAGCAATGTATGAGAGTTCCTGTTTCTCCACATCCTTGCCAACATTTGTTATTTACTGTGTTTTTTGTTATAGCCATTCTAAGTGGGTGTGAAGTGGTGTCTCATTGTGGTTTTAATTTATAAATTATAATTTATAATACGGTGAGCATATTTTCATGTGCTTATTAGCCATTCATATATCTTCTTCAGTGAAGTGTCTGTTATATCTTTTGTCTGTTTTTAAATTGAGTTATTTGTTTTTTTAGTGTTGAGTTGTAAGGATGGTTTATATATTCTAGATCAAGTCCCTGAGAGATATATGATATGCACATATATTCTCCCAGTCTGTTGCTTGCCTTTTTCTTTTTTTGATGGTGTCTTTTGAAGTGAAAACGTTTTGAATTTGGGTGAGGTTCAATTTATCATTTTTTTTTCTTTCATGGACCATTCTTTTGGTGTTGTACTTAAGAAGTCTTTGCCTAATTGCAAGGTCTCAGTGATTTTCTCCAATGTTTTCTTCTAAAAGCTTTATTACTTCATCTCTTACATTTAAGTCTATGATTCATTTTGAGTTCATTTTTTCTCTGTGATGTGAGGTGAGAGTCTAAATTCATCTTTTTGCATGTGGATGTAGAAATTGTCCTAGCACCATTTGCTGAATCTCTTATCATTAACGTCTTACATTGCTATGCTATCTATGTCACAACTAATAAGCCCACAGTGGTATATTGCTATTAACTATACCCCATGCTTTTTTTTTTCAAGTTTCACTAGTTTATCTCTAGAGATGCTGTCCCATCCAGGATACCACATTACGTTTAGTCATTGTATCTCCTTAGCCTCTTCTGGTTTGTGACACTTTCTCACACTTTTCTTGTTTTGGTGACCTTGATAGTTTTAAGGAGTACTGGTCAGGTATTTTGTAGAAAACCCCTCAATTTTATGCTTAGACTGGCATTATGTGTTTGGAAGAAAGTCTGCAGAGGTCAAGTACCACATTCTTATCATACACTATCCTCAAACATGATTTTAATTGAGCATATTCATTGCGTGGAATAGAATTCTGTTCTTCTCTTAATAGTGCCTTTTAGCATTATGTGGCAGGTTAATCACTTCCAATTGAAAGTTTGGTGAAAGCTGCTCAATTGCACAGTTAAAGGGATTTTGGAATATGGAATATCCTTTGCACTTGCTTCAGGGTTCAAAAACTGCTGCTGGAACTGTAGTCTGAATTCAGAAAATATATATGCTGCAAATTCTTATGGAAATAGATATCTTGCTTCTTGTTTTAACTTTTATTTCATTTTATTTTGAGACAGAGTCTCACTCTGTCACCCAGGCTGGAATGCAGTGGCACGATCTTGGCACACTGCTATCTTTGCCTCCCAGGCTCAAGCGATTCTCCTGCCTCAGCCTCCTGAGGCGCATGCCACCACGCCTGGCTAAGTTTTGTATTTTTAGTAGAGACAGGGTTTCGCCATATTGGCCAGGCTGGTCTCTAACTCCTGACCTCAGGTGATCCTCCCAAAGTGCTGGGATTACAGGCATGAGCCACTGTGCCCAGCCTATTTTATTTTTTATTGAGACAGGGTCTTCTTCTGTTGCCCAGGCTGGAGTGCAGTGGCACGATCACGGCTCACTGCAGCCTCCACCTCCCTAGCACAAGCAATCCTGTCATCTCAGCCTCTGGAGCAGCTGGAACTACAGGCATGCACCAACACACTCAGCCAATTTATGATTTTTTATAGATACAGGGTCTCACTATGTTGCCCAGGCTGATCTCGAACTCCTGGGTTCAAGTGATCCTCCCACCTAGGTCTCAGAAAATGCTGGGATTACAGGTGTGAGCCACCATGTCCAGCTGAGATTTCATTTATTTCTTCTGGGTACTTAACTAGGAGTGGAATTGCTGGGTCATATCGTAACTCTGTTTAAGTTTTTGAGAAACTTTCAGACTCTTTACAAGAGTGGCCGTACCATTTTACCTTCCCATCAGCAATGTTCGAGGGTTCAGATTTATCCACATTTTTTTTCTTATTTTCTTTTCTTTCTTTTTTTTTTTTTTTTGGAGACAAAGTCTCACTCTGTCGCCCAGGCTGAAGTGCAGTGGCATGATCTCAGCCCACTGCAACCTCTGCCTCCCAGGTTCTAGTGATTCTTGTGCCTCAGCCTCCTGAGTAGCTGGGATTACAGGCATGTACCTCCGTGCCGGCTAATTTTTGTATTTTTAGTAGAGACGGGGTTTTGCCGTGTTGGCCAGGCTGGTCTGGAACTCCTGTCCTCAAGTGATCTGCTCACCTTGGCCTTCCAAAATGCTGGGATTATAGGCGTGAGCCACCACATCCAGCCAAATTTCTCCATATCTTTACCAATACTTATTAATATCTATCTTTTTGATTATAGGCATTCTAGTGGGTATAAAGTGGTATTTAATTGTGGTTTTATTGTTTTGACTTGTGACAGCATGGGAAGTGGATAAAGCATCTTGACATTACTTGTGATTCAAATAATATTGTCAAAATGACTTTACTACAGTTTTTTTCATATATAAGCATTGTTTTGCCTTGTAATTTTAGGTTGAATTAATTAATAAACATTATCCAGCCTGCATCAAAAGTTAATTTCCAAAGCCATTCAGTGTTCCCTAACAGTGTTTGAAGGTGGTTCTTCCAACCATTTAAAATTATGAGAATCATTCGTACCTTGCTTGCCACACAAAAACATGAGATGGGCTGAATTTAGCCTGCCAGTCATAGTTGGTATAGAGCAGAAGTGCCCTGCATATTCAATAAATACTTCTCTAGTTGATTATGGAGGTACAGTATCCCTGTGTTGTGGTATTCACAAAGTATTGGGTATAGTGACCTTTCACCATAAAAATGCATCAAGTACTTGGATCTGATTGGTAGAAAAGCTGGAAAAACAATTCCAAGTGCCTTTCCTACTGAGTGACTTGTTTGGGTAGTCTTCTTTTATAAACAGTATATTTTATTTTATTTTATTTTATTATTTTATTTTATTTTATTGTATGTTATGTTATGTTATGTTATGTTATTTATGTGACATGGTAATTAACTTTCAATTCTGAGTCCTTTAAGGCTAAGGGGAAGTTATCCTTTGACTTTTTGAAAGCTGCAAGATAAATAGGTCTTAGAGGAGAAGGTCTCTTCTCTTTTGTGGCTGGCCCCAAGTTATGGAGGAATGATGTGGTTGCTGTTTATGTCCATTAAGAGACAAATGGGGCCCTGTTAGGGTCTGACTCCCTTTCTGCTCTTATGATTGAACGTTCCCTATTGCCTTTTCCACTGATCACCTGGATTCTAGATACTAAAACAAGCTAAGTTCATCTTCTAGGCTTGAAGAATAATGCCAATAATAACTAGCATTTATAGATGACATTGTCAGTTACTGAGCTTATCTTATGCAATCCTCACATCAGCTCTGTGAGGTAGGTACTATTATCCTGCAGCTCCTACCTTTTTTAAAATGAGAAAACAGGCACAGAGGAGAGAAGTTACATGCCCAAGGTCACACAGTTTAGTTGGAGCTATAATAGAAATCCAGGCAATTCTACTCCAAAGTCCTACTACTTAACCACTGCAACATGCTGCTAAATATTGCTGAAAATGGAATTATGTGTAAATGATAATCCTAAATATTGCAATACAAAATGCTGTCAGAGTTCTTTGGGTTGTAACTCTACCTGTGATTTTGGTGAAATGACAAGATTTTAATGCTCTAGAGCAGTGCTGTCCAGTAGAACTTTCTGTGATGATGGTAAACTTCTATATCTACGCTGTTCTAGTATGGTAACCATAACCACATGTAGCTCTTAAAGACTTGCAATGTGTCTAGGAACTGAATTTTTAATGTCATTTAATTGTAATTGTTTTACATGTAAATAGTTTTGTGTGACTCATTATTAATCATCTTGGACAGTGCAGAGAGAGATCATTTCCCCCCACTTGTTCCTTTTTAATTACACTAAATATTTTACCCAATGCAAATATTCTTTCCATAGCACAACAGGAAGTGAATATATTCTATACTGAAAAACAACTTGAGGGTATACGCAAATCAATTAACTGCATGACAGTTGCAGGAACAGGTTCTGGGTTATCCACCATGAAACTTCTCCATTCCCAGCACTTACTAAATAAGGTTCCATAACTGGCTCAAAAACCTTTTGCAATTGATTTTTCACTGCTTACAAATGTAATTTATGTGGCTTATTGCACTTTACAGTTGCCAGTTGCTTGGTTTAAGATGAGACATCTTAATCTGTGGCTCTAATTTTTTTTTATATACAAGTTTTTTTATATAAAAGTTCTGGGGTACATGTGCACAACGTGCAGGTTTGTTACATAGGTATACATGTGCCATGTGGGTTTGCTGCACCCATCAACTCGTCATTTACATTAGGTATTTCTCCTAATGCTATCCCTCCCCCAGGCCTTCGCCCCCTGACAGGCCCTGGTGTGTGCTGTGGCTCTAATTTTTTTTAATCCCGTGTTTTGATCCCACATGTTAAATGTCCTTGGTGTTATATGTCACTGGGCTATACAAACCTTCCCCATTTAAAAGCGATTCCTTCACAAAACTGGCAAACTGTTACAGGCTGTTATAATAAAGCACTTTATATTTACTCCCTGAGTTTTAGCTTCCACACTCTTGTTTTAAGTTGTTTGCTTTATAAGTGGTTTCTTTTTTTAAAAGGGTTTTATTATGAATAAGAGACTCGCAATAATTTGCAAAGATAGTACAGAAAGGCCCCATATAATCTTCATCTGAGTTACTTCAATCATTGCATTTTACATAATTATAATACAATATCAAAACCAGGAAATTGATACTGGAATGATACGTGTGTATAATTCTATGTTATTTTATGATGTGTAGATTTGTTTAACCATTATCGCAATCAAGAAATATTCCATCTCTCCTGTGCTACCTCTTTATAGTCACACCCACCACCTACCCCCACCATTGATAACCCCTGAAAAATACTAATTTGTTCTCCTTTTCTATAACTGTCATTTTAAGAATTTTATATATAATTAAAATGATTTAATTTTTAGAATCATAAAGTATGTGACCTTTTCCACTATTTTTCACTCAGCATAATACATTTGAGACTCATTCAAATTGGTATCAATAGTTCATTCCCTCTTATTGCTGAGAAATATTACACGACATGGAGGTACCACAGTTTTTTTAACCATTCATCTATTAAGGGACATTTTTAAATGTCCAGTTTTTGGCTATTACGAAGAGAACTCTTATTAACATTGAGTACAGTGTTTTGTGTAGATGGAAATTTTCATCTCTCTGAGATAAATGCCCAGGAGAGCAATTACAAGGTGGGACGGTAAATATATGTTTAATTTTAAAAGAATCTGACAAACTAGTTTTCCAAAGTGACTGTACCATTTTGTATTCTCACCAGCAATGGTATGAGAGATCCAGTATCTCCACATCCTTTCCAGCATTTGGTATTCTCACTATTTTTTTTTTAAGTTTTAGCCATTGTGATAAGTGTGTAGTGATATATTACTGATTTAATTTGCATTTATCTGATGGCTAATAAAGTTCAACATCTTTTCATGTGTTTATTTGTCATCCCCATATCTTCTTCATTTAAATATCTCTTTATATCTTTGGCCCATTTTCTAATTGTATTGTATTGTTTGTTTTACTGTTGAGTTTTCAGAGTGCTTTATGTATTCTAGATACCAGTTCTTTGTCAGATATGTAGCTTGCAAATATTCTCTTCCAGTCTGTGGCTTGTCTTTTCATCTTAATAGGATTTTCCACAGAGAAAGAGCTTTTAATTTTGATGACATTCAACTTATTGATTTTTTTCCCTATTATAGATTGTGCTTTTGTTGTTACATCTAAGAAGTCTTCACCAAGTCGTAGGTCTCAAATATTTTCTCCTAGATTTTCTTCTGAAAATGTTATAGTTTTACATTTTACATTCAAGTCCATGATCCATTTTAAGTTAATATTTGGCATAAAATGTGAAGTTTAGGTCAAGGTTAATTTTTTTGGATTATTGATATCTAGTTACTTCAGCTCCATTGAATTGCTTTTGCACTGTTGTAAAATATAAGTATGCCGTACTTGTGTATATCTATTTCTGAGTTTTCTAATCTGATTCATTGATCTACGTATGTGTCCCTCTGCCATACCACACAGTGTTGAATACTGTAGCTCTATAATAAATCTTAAAATTTGATAGAGTGATTCCTCCTAGTTTATTGTTTTCAATATTGCCTGTTCCTTTAACTTTCCCTATAAATTTTAGAATAAACTTGCCTATATCTGAAAAAAGTTAGCTGAGATATTGATAGGAATTGTATTAGACCTGTGTATCAGTTTGGGGAAAACTGACATCTTTACTATGCTGAGTCTTCCAATCCATGAGCACCATATGTCTCTCCCTTTATTTAGATCTTCTTTTATTTATTTTATCAGCACTGTTCAATTTTCAGCATAGAAATCTTGTATGTTTTGTTAGAATTATACATAACCATTTCATTTTTGGAGTGACTATTAATGGTATTTTATTTTGAATTTTGGTTTCCATGTATTCATTGCTAGTATATAGAAATATAAATGATTTTTGTATGATAGTTTTGCATATTGAAACCTTGCTGAATTCACTGATTAGTTCTAGGGGGTTAAAAGGTATTTTTCTAATTTTTTTTCTTTTGTTTTCATTGTTTTTTAGGACTTTCTATGTAGACCATCTTGTCATCTGCAGAGAGGGACAGTGATATTTCTTCCTTTCCACTCTGTGTTTTATGTTGAATAGCAGTGGTGAGAGCTAAATTCTTGTCTTGTTCCCAGTCTTAGGGAAGAAGAGGTCAGTCTTTCAGCATCAACTATAATGTAGTTTTTTTTGAAGTTTAGATCGTTCCCTCTTGATTTCTAGTTGTCTGAGTGTTTTTATCATGAATAACTATTGAATTTTGCCAAATACTTTTTGCATCAATTGATATGATCTTGTGATTTTTCTTCTTCAGTTTGCTAATGCAGTGGATTACACTAATTTATTTTCAAATGTTGAGCTAGCCTTGCATCCTTGGATAAAACACATTTGGATGCGATGTATAATTTATATGTTATATTTGCTCATATTTGCTGGGGATATTTGCTTCTATTCATGAATGATATTGGCTTGCAATTTAATTTTTTGGTACTGTCTTTGTCTGATTTTGGTATCAGTGCAATATTGGCCTTATAATAAGAGTTGGGAAGTAGTCCCTCCTCTTCTATTTTCTAGAAGACATTGTGTAATATGAGTGTTAATTCTTCTTTAAGTATTTGGTAGAATGCTGCAGTGAAATCATTCAGGCCCAGATGGTTTCAATGAAGAATTTTTTTTTTTGAGTTTTAAAATTATATGTTCAATTTTCTTAATAGTTACCAAGCTATTCAAATTATCTAATTTCTATTGAGTTGTGGTGGTTTGTGCTTTTCAAGGAATTTATCCAGCTTATCAAAATTATCAACTTTATACATGCATATTTGTTTGTAGTAATCCCTTTTGGTGTCTGCAAGGTCTATAATAATATCTCCTGTTTCATTCCTGATATTAATGATTTGTGGCCTATCTTTTTTATTTGTCAGTTTTGCTTAAGGTTTGTGAATTTTATGAGGCTTTTCAGAGAACTACCTCTTTGTTTCATTGATGTTGTCTGTTGATTTTGAGTTTTCAATTTCATTGACTTCTGCTCTTTATCTCCTTACTTCTGCTTGCTTTCAGTTTAATTTGCTCTTACTTTTCTAGTTCCTTAGGGTGGGAAATTAGATTATTAATTTCAGACATTTCTTCTTCCCTAAGTTAAGCCTTTAGTGCAATGAATTTCCATCTCAGCACTGCTTTAGCTGCATGTCATGTATTTTTTTTATCACAGTAAAAAACCATAGCAGGAGATTTAGTTCTTAACAAACTTTAAAGTGTACAGTACAATATTGTTAACTATAAGCACAATGTTGTACAGCAGATCTCTAGAAATTTTTCATCTTGAATGACTGAAACTCTATGCTTATTGAGCAGCAACTCCCCATTTCCCACCCCCCACCAACCCCCTGGCAACTACTATTTTCCTTTCTGTTTCTATGAACATAACTAATTTAGATATATAAGTGGAATCATGCAGTATTTACCCTTCTGTGTCTGGCTTATTTCATTTAACATAATGTCTTCAAGGTTCATCCATATTGTAGCATATGACAGGGTTTCTTTTTATGGCTGAATAAGATTCCGTTATATGTATATACCACAGTTTCTTCATTTATCTGTGGATGGACATTAGGTTGTTTCCACCTCTTGGCTATTGTGAATAATACTGCAATGAACATAGGAGTACAAATATCTCTTCAAGATTCTGATTTCAATTCTTTTGGATACATCCCTAGAAGTGGGATTGTTAGATCATATGGGAAATTTTAATTTTTTAAGGAACCTCCATACTCTTTTCCATACCAACCGCACCATTCTACACGCACACCAGCAGTGCACAAGGTTCCAATTTCTCCACATTCTTGCCAGCACTTACTGTTTTTTTTAATAATGGCCATCCTAACAGTTATGAAGTGATACTTCATTATGGTTTTGATTTGCATTTCCCTGACAATTAGTGATGTTGAGCATCTTTTCGTATACCTGTTGGTCATTTGTATGTCTTATTTGGAGAAATGTCTATTCAAGTTCTTTGTTCATATTTTAATTGAATTATTTGGTGAGATTTTTTGTTATTGAGCTAAATAATTTAGATATTGAACCCTATCAGATGGTTTGCAAATATTTTCTCCCATTCTGTAGGTTGCCTTTCATTCTGTTGTTTCCTTTGCTCTACTGAAGCTTTTTAGTTTGAGGTAGTACCACTTGTCTCTTTTTACTTTTATTGCCTATACTTTTGGTGTCATATACAAGAAATCATTGCCAAGACCAATGCCATGATGCTTTCCCCCTATGTTTTCTTCTAGGACTTTTACAGTTGCAGGTCTTATGTTTAAGTCTTTAATATATTTTGAGTTGATTTTATATGTAGTGTGAAATAAACATCCAATTTAATTTTTTTGCATGTGGGTATAAAGTTTTACTAGCACCATTTTTTTTTTTCTTGCGGGGGAGTTGGGCTGGATCTTTGCCCCCTTTTTTTTTCAAAAACTTTTAAGTTCCTGGTTACATGTGGAGGATGTGCAGGTTTGTTACATAGGTAAACGTGTGTCATGGTGATTTGCTGTACAGATCAACCCATCACCTAGGTATTAAGCCCAGCATCCATTAGTTATTCTTCCTGATGCTCTCCCTCCTCCTCCCCCTACTCCCCTGACAGGCCCCAGTGTGTGTTGTTCCCCCTACCCATGTGTCCTCATCGTTCAGCTCCCACTTATAAGTGAGAAGATGTGGTGTTAGGTTTTCTGTTCCTATGTTAGTTAGTTGAGGATGATGGCTTCCAGCTCTATCCATGTCCCTGCAAAGGACATGATCTCTTTCCTTTTTATGGCTGCACAGTATTGCATGGTGCAGATGTACCACATTTTCTTTATCCAGTCTATCATTGATGGGCCTTTGGGTTGATTCCATGTCTTTGCTATTGTAAATAGTGCTGAAATGGACATATGTGTGCTAGCACCATTTGTTGAAGAGACTACCCTTTTCCCCATTGTGTATTTTTGGAACTATCATTGGAGATTAGATGACTGTATATGTATGGATTTATGATCAAGCTCTCTGTTCTGTTCCATTAATCTATATGTCTGTCTTTATGACTGTACCGTACTGTTTAATCCACTTATATTTAAAGTAATTATTGATAGGGAAGGACTTATTATTGCAATTTTGTTCATTGTTTTCTGTCTTGTAGCTTTTTTGTCCTTCCTTTTCTTTCTTTCTCTTTTCCTTTGGGTTTCATTGATTTTTTTGTAGAGACATGCTTTGATTCTCTTCACACATTCTTTTGTGTATCATTTAAAGGGATTTTCTTTGACATTACCATGGAACTTACAGAAAACATCTTATAACAACCTATATTAAGCTGAAACAAACTTAAACTTCAATTACATATAATACTTTACTCTTTTATATTATCCACCCCACACTTTATGTTATCGATGTCACAAATTACATTTTTATATTGTGTATCCATTAACATGTTTGTATAGTTATAGGTATTTTTATACTTTTTTTTGAGACAGAGTTTCTCTTGTTGCATAGGCTGGAGTGCAATGGTGCGATCTTAGCTCACTGCAACCTCCACCTCCTGGGTTCAAGAAATTCTCCTGCCTCAGCCTCCCGAGTAGCTGGGATTATAGGTGCCCGACACCATGGCTGGCTAATTTCTGTATTTTTAGTAGAGATGGGATTTCACCATGTTGGCTAGGCTGGTCTCGAACTCCTGACCTCAGGGGATGCCTCCCAAAATGCTGGGATTACAGGCATGAGCTGCCGCACCCAGCCAATTTTTATACTTTTGTTTTTTAACTTCTATACTAAAATTAAAAGTGATTTACCCACCACTATTACAGTGTTACAGTATTCTGTATTTTTCTACATATTTACCTTTACCAGTAAGATTTATGCTTTCAAGTTGCTGTTGAGCATCTTATTATTTCAACTCAAATGTCTCTCTTTAGCATTTCTTGTAAGGCAGTTCTAGTGGTGAAGAAATTCTTCAGCTTTTGGTCATGTGGGAACGTTTTTATTCCTCCTTCATTTTGAAGGCTAATTTTGCTAGATGTAATATTCCTGGTTGGCAGGTTTTTTTTTTTTCTTTCAGCACTTTGATTATTCCATTCCCTTTTGTCCTGCAAGGTTTCTGCTGAGAAACTCACAGATAATCTTATGGTGATTTCCTTGTACATGATAAGCTGCTTTTCTTTTGCTGCTTTCAAAATTCTTTCTTTGTCTTGGACTTTTGACAATCTGATTACAATGTTTCTCAGTGTGGATTTCTTTGGGTTCATCCTACATGGAGTCTGTTGGGCTTCTTGAATCCAGATGTCCATTTCCTTTCCCAGATTTGACACATTTAGAGATGTTATTTCTTTAAATAAACTTTCTGTCCCTTTACCCCTTCTCCTTCTTGGAATCCCATAATGCATATATTTGTTTGATGGTGTCCCATAAATCCCTTAGGTTTTCTTCACTGATTTTTTGTTCCTCTGACTATATCATTTCAAATAACTTGTCTCTGAGTTCACCAATTCTTTCTTCTGCCCTATCAAGCCTGCTGTTTAATACCTGTCATGTTTTTTTTTTTTTTCAGTTCAGCTGTTATATTCTTCAGCTCTAAATTTCTGTTTGGTTCTCTTTTATGTTTTCTAAATCTTTATTGATATTTGTCATTTTTTGAACTCATAGATGGCATCTTTATGATGGTTATTTTGACTTCTTTTTCAGGTTATTGATATACCTCTCTTTCTTTAGGATTGGTTTCTGGAGATTTATTTTGCTTCTTTGGACCATGTTTCTCTGTTTCTTCATATGTCTCTAACGTTTTTGTTGGGATCTGCACATCTGAAACATTGGTAACTTCTTTCAGTCATCATGGACTGGCTTTGTACAGGGAAAGACCCTTACCAGTCAGCCCAGCTAGAGATTCTGGGGGCCTTTGAAACCTTTTTGGAGGATACTTGACTTCTCTGGGCATGTGTAGGTAATTTCTCAACTAGAAGCTTACCAGTTTCTTTTACAGGAGCTTATAATCACTTGCTCCCTCTGTGTCTACAACACTGCAAGTTTTCTGGTTCTATATCAGTAAGCCTCCTCTCTCTCTTTTTGTTCTCAGTGGTCATCAGGTATCCAGTGTGTGCTAGCTTCCTAAGTCAGTGCCCCAAGTCAGGTGAGACCTATACTAGTACCTTAGGCAGCCTGGTGAAAAGTCAAAATGCTGATGAATATTCCACTTGTTTCCCTCCCTCCTGAGGAAGAAGCCTTAAGTTGTGTATCTCCTCCCAACTGTGCTGAACTGTGCTGGCCACAGCAAGTTACCCACCACTTTCCTTTGTTCTCAGCAGCCTCAAGGCAGCCAAAGTATGCTGGTTTTGTTAGTGCTTCCAGTGGGGCAAAATAGAAACCTCTTCCTGGTTCCTTGAGCAGCCCTCCAAAAACACAGAACATTGAAAACTTTGTACAGTCTTTGTTCCCCCCACCCTGAAATTGAAGGCTGGGATGTTATTTCCTGGTGCTGAGCTGTGCCAGCTTGGGAGAGGGGCTGATGCAGATAAGGTGAGATTGCCCTTCCTACCCATTTTAATGTGGTTATTCTTGACTTTGTGCTTACCTAGGGTATGCAACTTCTTAACTGAATTCTGGAATTCTCATAAAATTATTTTACTCAATATATCATTGTTAAATTGGTCTTCCTGTAGGGGAACAAGGGCTGGAACTTCCTATTCTGCCATCTTGCTCCTATGTCACATATTTCGATATGTTGTATTTTCATTTTCATTCAGTTCAAGGTATTTTTTTTTTTTACTTCCCTTGAGACTTCCTCTTTGACCAACGGATTATTTAGAGGTATGTTGTTTAATTTCCAATTGTTTCAAAAACTTTCTTGTTTCCTTTCTGTTATTGAGTTCTAGTTTGATTCCGTTGTAGTTAGAGAAATACTTTGCTATAGAAACCTTACTTCCCTTTAAGTCTCTTTACTTTCTCCCATCTATAATATAATTTTAAAAATATTTTTCCCATATATTTTTAGAATCACATCAGACAATGTTATGACTTTTGCTTTAACTGTCAAATATAATTTAGAAAACTGAAAAAAGAAGCAAAGTCTGTTGTATTTGGTACTATTTTTTACTCTTATTTTTCTTTCTTCCTTCCTGATACCTAAAGATTCCTTCTTTTATCTTTCCTTTCCAATTCACAAATTTCCTTTAGCCATCCGTTCCTTTAGGTATGTCTGCTGGCAACAAATTCTTAGTGTTTCTTCACCTGAGACTGTCTTGATTTTCCCCTAAAAGATATTTTCACTGGATATGCAAATTTAGATTGACAGTTCTTTTATCTCAGCATTTGAAAAATGTGCCATTTCCCTTTGGACTCCATGGTTCCTCTTAATAAATCTACTCTCATTAAAAGTGTTTTTCTTCTATAAGTAAGGTATTTCTTCTCTCTCACTACTTTCAAGATTTTTTTCTTTTTCTTTAGTTTTCAGGAGTTTGATTATGATATGTCTTACTGTGGAATTCATTGGATTTATCCTATTGGGTTTGCTCAGCTTCTTGAATCTGTAGGCTTACGTCTTTTGCCAAATTGGGGAGATTTTCATATTAATTAGCTTGATTTAGCTATTCCACATGTATACACATATCAAAACATCATGTTGTATACCATAGATATATACAATTTTATTTGTCAATTAACAAAATTAATTGATTGTTAAATATTTGGGAGATTTTCACCTATTTTTTTTTAATACTCCTTTAGTCCCACACTGTTTCTCCTCTCCTCCTGGAACTCTGATGATATGAATGTTTAATGTATCATTAAAGTCCCGTGTGTCCCTGAAGCTCTGTTTACCTTTTTCAATTTATTTTCTCTCTATTGTTCAATCGCATAATTTCTATTGTTCTGTCACTAGTTTCACTGATTCTTTTTTCAGTCTCCTTTTTGCTATTCAGCCCATTCAGTGAGTATTTCATTTTGGTGATTGTGTTTTACAGTTCTAAAGCTTCCATTTGCTTCTCCTTTATGTCTTTTATTTCTTTGCTGAGACTTTCTTTTTATAAAAAAATTTGTTTTCAGCATGTTCGTAATTGCTTGTTGAAACATTTTTAAGATGACTGATTTAAAATCCTTGTGGGATTAATTCCAATCTGTGTCATATCAATGTTGGTGTCTGTTGAATGTCTTTTCTCATTCAAGTTGAGATGTACCTGGTTCTTTTTATCATGAGTGATTTTCTACTGTATCTTGGGCATTTTATGAGACTCTGGATTTTATTTTAATCTTCTGTTTAGTAGGCCTACTCTGACACCATTCTGGTGGGGGAATGGGAGCACAGTTTTATTATTCAGGGAAAGGTGGGAGTCAAGGTTCCTCACTCACCATCCATTGATACCCAGGGTAGGGGTAGGGATGCCATTATTACTAGGAAGGAGTGGAATTTCAGGATCCTCACTAGGCCTCCAGTGACACCACTGACACCTCCCTAGGCCTCCATTGACAGGCCTCTACAACCATCATATGCCGGGGGACTCATTACTGCCTGGCAAGGATGAAAGTCCCAGATCTCCATTCGGTCATTTCTGAAACCACCTCAGGGAGAAGGGGATGTGTGACTATTTAAAACCAGTTGAAGGTAGAAATCTAGGCTCCCTACTTGATTTTTGCTGAGGGCAGTGGAGGGAGGAGTATAGTTTTTTCTGCTGTGGTGTTTGCCTTGGATAGGGAAGTTATTACCTAAAAGTTTTCTGTCTCTCTAGGCTACCCCTTTTCTGTTCCTTTGGCTAGAGATAGCCAGTTTTTTGAGGCACTTTTTTTTTTTTTTTTTTTTGCACCCATGGCATTGCTGGGTTGCTGGCTTCTCCATCACCAGGTCCAGGATACATTACTCAAAAACAAATCCAGGGAACTCACTGCCATATTGTTACTTGGGTCTTGAGATTCCTAGCCACCAGGAATAGAAGAAGCCACCTGCCTCCTTCTATTTACCTGTCAGAGATGTATGAGTTATGTATATATATATATTTATTTATTTATAATGTCCAGTGTTTTTAGATATAGAGGGATAAATAGGGGAAAGTGCATCTAGTCTATCTTTTCTTGGAACCAGAATATAAAAGTGATAACTTAATGAAAATATGGATATTGTGTTAGTTATAGCCTTTCTCCCAGTAAAAATTTAGTTAGGAATGGGGAAAATCACCACGATCACTACCTTCACTGGTATACTTCTTTATTTTTAGCTTTTTTTTAAATTGTGGTGAAAAATATAAACCATAAATTTTACCGTCTTGATCGTTTTTAAGTGTACAATTCAGTAGGATTAAGTATATTCACATAGTTGTGAAACAGATCTCTAGAACTTTTTTATCTTGGAAATCTGAAACTCTATACCCATTAAGCTACAACTTTCCATTTCCTCTTCCTTCCAGTCCCTGGCAACCACCCTTCTAATTTCTCTTTCTATGAATTTGACTACTTTAGATACCTCATATAAGTGGAATTACACAGTATTAGTCTTTTTTGTGACTGAGATATACATTTTTTCTTTATCCATTTATCTATCAATGGACATTTGGGTCACTTCTACTTTTTGGCTATTATAGTGCTGCTATGAGCATGGGTGTGCAAATATCTCTTTGAGACCTTGCTTTCAGTACTTTTGGATACATATCTGGAAGTAGGATTGCTGGATCACATGGTAGTTCTATTTTTAATTTCTTTAGGAACCTCCAGACTGTTTTCCACAGCACTTGTACCATTTTACAATCTCACCAGTGGTGCACAGGGGTTCTAATTTCTCCATATCCTTATCAACCCTTATTATTTTCTATAGTCATCCTAATGGGTGTGAGGTGAAATCTGATTATGGTTTTGATTTGCATTTCTCTGAAAGTTGATGTTGAGCATCTTTTTATATGCTTTTTGGCCATTTGTATATCATCTTTAGATAACTATTCAATTCTTTGCCCATTTTTAATCAGGTTATTTGATTTTTTGTTGTTCTTTATATATTCTGGATATTAACCCCTTATCAGATATGTGATTTGCACATATTTTCTCCCATTCTGGAAGTTGCCTTTTCACTCTGTTGGTTGCATCCTTTGATGCACAAAAGATCTTAAGTTTGATGTAGTCCCATTTGTCTATTTTTGTTCTTGTTGCCTGTGCTTTTGATGTCATATCCAAGAAATCATCACCAAATCCAATGTCTTGAAGCTTTTCTCATATGTGTTCTTCTAGGCATTTTACAGTTTTAGGTCTTATGTTTAGGTCTTTAATCTATATTGAGTTAATTTTTGTATATGGTATATGCTAAGGGTCCAACTTCATACTTCTGTATGTGGATATCCATTGTCCCCAAAATCATTTGTTAAAGAGATTGTTCTTTACCCATTGAATGGTCTTGGCACCCTGTTGAAGATCATTTGAATATGACAGGGTTTATGTGTGAGCTTTCTATTCTATTTCCTTGAGCTATGTGTCTACCTTTATGCCAGTACCATACTTTTTTGATTACTGTAACTTTATAATTCTTTTGAAATTGGGAAGTTTGAGTCCTCTAACAATGTTCTTTTTCAAAATTGTTTTAGCATTTCAGGATCTCTTGAGATTTCATATGAGTTTTAGGATGAATTTTCCTTTTCTTAAATTTTGGTTTTATTAATTGACACACAGAATAATTGTACATGTTTATGGGATACATGGTGATGTTTTTTATAAATATGTGTAGTGATCTGAGACCAGGTATGTGGCTCAGAGCTGTAATCCCAGCACTTTGGGAGGCCAAGGCGGGGGCGGATCACAAGAGTTTGAGACTAGTCTGGGCAGCATGATGAAACCCTGTCTCCACAAAAAAAAAAAAAAAAAAATTAGCTGGGCGTGTTGGTGGGTGCCTGTAGTCCCAGCTACTTGGGAAGCTGAGGCAAGAGGATCCCTTAAGCCCAGAAAGAGGAGGGTGCAGTGAACCGAGATTGTGCCACCGTACTCCAGCCTGGGTAACACAATGAGAACCTGTCTCAAGAAAAAAAAAAAAATGTATAGTGATCAGATCAGGGTAATTAGCATATCCATCATCTGAAATATTTATCATTTTTTTTCTGTTGGGAGCATTCAATATCCTCCTTCTAGCTATTTGAAACTATGTTATTGTTAACTATAGTCATCCTACAATGGTATAGAACACTAGAACTTATTTCTCCTATTTAGCTGTAATTTTGTATCCTTTAACACAGCTCTCCCTCTCCCTTACCACTACACTCATTAGCCTCTAGTATTCTCTGTTCTACTTTTTACTTCTATGAAATTAACTTTTTTCAACTTTCACATATAAATGAGAACATGTGGTATTTAACTTTCTGTTTCTGGATTATTTAGAATGCATTTTTTCTATTTCTGCAAAAGTGTTAGGATTTTGATAGGGATTGTGTTGAATGTGCGTATTGCTTCAAGTAGTATGGACATCATAACAATATTAAGTCTTCCAGTCCTTCTGTCTCTTTGTTTATTTTTGTCTTCTTTAATTTCTTTCAGGAATATTTTGTAGTTTCTCATTGGTATACTTGGGTTTTTTGAGACAGGATCTTGCTCTGTCACCCAGGCTGGAGTTCAGTGGCACCATCACGGCTCACTGCAGCCTTACCCTTCCAGGCTCAAGTGATCCTCTCATTTCAGCCTCCCGAGTAGCTTGGATCACAGGCACGTGCTACCACACCCAGCTAATTTTTAAATATCTTGTAGAGACAGGGTCTCCCTATGTTGCCCAAACTGGTCTCAAACTCCTGGGCTCAAGCACTCCCACCTCAGCTTCCCAAAGTGTTGGGATTACAGGTGTGAGCCATCATGCCTGGCTCTCATTGCTATCCTTCTATATATTAAATTAAAGTCAACTATAAAGTAAAGATTCTTTGCTAAATCTTGCTTTTCCAATAATTTCAGGTTACAGAACTATGATTGGGGTACTTTTCATTGGTCCTACAAATTATTTGCTGCTTGGCAAAATTGCTGCCCATGCCAGAGGCTCTGCTTATTTAGACATTAAGCCTTGGCTGGCTCCTTTACACTGCAATAGAATGGGACCAGAGTCTGCTTCCCATCTTTTTCTTTATTCATTATTATGAAATTTTCCTGAAGACTAGTCACCTTCAGTGACTCTTAACCTGAGGCCCTGGCAGTACTGCATAAGGGTTGCAATCAAGAAAGGGAGCACCAGGCTTTGGATGAAGAAACTCAAATTAAACCCAATTCTGGGCCCTGCTTCCTCCATGAAGCCTTCTCTGACTATGCTTCCCATGTTCATCTCCCTTTTCTGGCCTCCTATAACACTTGCCTCTACTGTGCAAGCTAACACTCATCGTGTCTCACCAAGTAGAGTAAAACCTTGGTTACTTGACTCTTTCTGGGAAAAGGGCTTCTAAAAATTTTTATTTCTTTTAGAGTTGCATTTTCACTGAGTATATTTTATTAATTCTTTATTTTTTAAACATTCTTAAGCAATTATTTAAAAAAAATAGAGACATGGTCTTGCTTTGTTGCTCAGACTGGTCTCAAACTCCTGGCCTCAAGCAGTCCTCACACCTTGGCCTCCTACAGTGCTGGGATTACAGTCATGAGCCACTACACCTGGCCCTATTCATTTTTTAATAATTTTTTAATTTTTAATGTCTTGTGGGCACATACTAGGGATATCTATTTATGGGGTACATGAGATATTTTGATATAGGCACACAATGCATAATAATCACATCATGGAGAATGGGGTATCCATCCTCTCAAGCATTTATCCTCTGTGTTACAAACAATCCAATTATAATTTATTTTAAAATGTATAATTGAATTATTATTAACTATAGTCACCCTGTTGTGCTATCAAATAGTAGATCTTACTCATTCTAATTTTTTTGTACCCATTAACCTCCCCACAAGGACATTTTTAATAACCAGTTTTTCCCAAATGGCTCATGATTTGATCAATTTAAGCACTGTGAGCTTTTAACATTTTAACCATCCTGAATAGTATTTTCTAAAACACAATCTACTTCCCTGACTTTTTTTTTTTTTTGAGACGGAGTCTTGCTCTGTCGCCCTGGCTGGAGTGCAGTGGCGCAATCTCGGCTCACTGCAAGCTCCGCCTCCCGGGTTCACGCCATTCTCCTGCCTCAGCCTCCTCAGTAGCTGGGATTACAGGCGCCCGGCACTACGCCCGGCTAATTTTTTTTTGTATTTTTTAGTAGAGACGGGGTTTCACCATGTTAGCCAGGATGGTCTTCATCTCCTGACCTCGTGATCCGCCCGCCTCCGCCTCCCAAAGTGCTAGGATTACAGGCGTGAGCCACCACGCCCGGCCCTTCCCTGACTTCTTAAACAGTATATAGAATATAAATTTGTTTTGTGTAAGGATCATTATTGTGACTGTTACTTGTTGTATTATCCTATAATACACTGATATTCTGAGGCCTATTGAAATGTTTTTTGGTGTCTTCCCCTGTACTAAATGGTCCCCGAACATTTAGTCTGTGTATGTGTGTGTGTGGGAAACCATACTAGGTTTTTATGATTTTTTTTTATCTCTTTTCTTGTCTTTTAGCCCTTCTTGCTTCTGTCAACCTACTTTTGTAAAATTGACTCCCCATCTCCTAGCTCTGTAGGCTTGTAGTCGATCAAGGCTTCTTCATTGGACTTGATGCCTGAAGGGAATGCTTTTCAAGGGTCCTGAGAGGTTCAGTATTTACCTTCTCTAGTCCATTTTTTTTTCTTTATCTACAATCATGTTCTAGTTTGAAGAGCTAATTTGTGGGACTAATAACTAAATCTACAGAAACAAAAACTACTGCAGACTTTGAAACCAGGTCACCCTACTTTTTCCTTCTTTCAAGCTCCTTGCACACTGCAGCGCTCTCCAATTGGAGGTTTCTTGCTGGGGATACTAGAAAGAATAGTTGGTGACAGGAAGCATTTTAGGCAACTCTGGTGCACATCATTTCTCATCAGAGAAACAGGCTTCAGAAGGTGACACAAGAAAAGACACTGTCCATTGGGGGGCACTGGCAAGGAGTATTTGGGGCACTGACAAGGAGTTCAGAGTGAGGAGTATTTTAAAATTTTGTTATGGGGCTCATGATGGATGGCAGAGGGTAGAAAGGGGAGAGCAGTTTTCAGGGGCAGTTATTGTGAAATTCAGAATTGGGAGTTGGGGACTATGGCACTATGCATGTGTATTAGTCTGTTTTCATGCTGCTGATAAAGACATACCCGAGACTGCGAAGAAAAACAGGTTTAATTGGACTTATAGTTCCACATGGCTGGGGAGGTCTCAGAATCATGGCAGGAGGCAAAAGGCACGTCTTACATGGCGGTGGCAAGAGAAAATGAGGAAGAAGCAAAAGCAGAAACCCCTGATAAACCCATCAGCTCTCATGAGACTTATTCACTATCACGAGAATAGCACGGGAAAGACTGGCCCCCATGATTCTATTACCTCCCTCTGGGTCCCTACCACAACATGTGGGAATTCTGGGAGATACAATTCAAGTTGAGATTTAGGTGGGGACACAGCCAAACCATATCAGTGTACCACATGGGTGTTGCAGATGCAGTTCAAAGTTCTAGATTAGGGAACTAAATCTAGAACTTTGGCTAGAGATGCATCTAAAAGTTGTAATTGCGAAAAGCAGGAAGGATGTTATTAATTGTACTTCTCTTTACATGTCTGTTTTTAGTATTTATTATAATGGCATTGTTTTGACTTCTCAGAGATGTTAGAATTTGAGTATACTTGCTGATCCTGACTCTTTGTTGAAAGCTAGATATGTGGAACTTGAATACAAGCTTTGAAATTAAAGTACTTTTTTTATTGGCTACACCGAGGCACAAGCTCTTATTAAACGCTTAGTTTGGGGCATATTAACATTTCTTGAAAGTTTACAAAGCATTTTCATATTCATTTTCTCATTTGATCCTCACTACGGCCCTGTGGAGAAGGTATTATCTCTATTTTATGGCTGAGGGAAAGAAATCCTAAAGAGCTTAAAAGTCTGGCCCAAAGTGACTTTGCAGTAAAAGGCAGAGCAGAAATAGAACTCAGCTCTCCTAATTCATAGGCCAGCATTCTGGTATTCCGTGGCATTCTAGTCTACTATGCCCTCTTTCAATAAGATTTGGGGAACAAACTTGTTACAAAATAAACTTAGGCACATTAAAATTTTAAAGAGTTTATTTGAGCAGACAGTGATTTATAAATTGGGTAGCACCAAACCACAAGTGGTTTTGCTCCACAGCAGGGATGTGAAGGGAAAACTTATAAGATTCTTGCAGAAATAAGACAAAGAAACTATTTGATTGGTTAAAGTGGAAAGTCCCTAGTTAGAGGTTAGTTGGTGGTTTTTAATTGGTAAAGTCTCTAGTTAGAGGTTAGTTGTTGGTTTCTAATTGGTTAAAATTAAGTGTCATTTTGCTATTTACAGTGACTTGGGTATTGGTTGGCTCAAGTAGGAACCAAAGGCACTGGAGCCATCTCAGCCTAATGACCTCTCAATTAATTTTTTTAACAGACTTAATGTATTTATGTGATGAAGATCATCTAATGCTATAGTAGAAAAGAACAATTAATGAATTTATAAATTTGTAGTCAAAGCAAGTCTGTAAATATAGGTAGCATTCTGCAGTGCTATAAATGGAAAAATCTAATAAATTAGCCTTATAGATAATATCTGAGGCCCCTAACTGCTTGCATTTAGATTTGATGTGTATGTGTGCATGTGTGCATGTATGCGTGTGTGTGTGTGTGTGTGTGTGTGTGTGTGTGTACTGAGGGGTGGGATAAATTCAGAACTATGTTTCTGCTTCTGTTAAATAAGAGATTGTGGTTAGTATAATTTTTACAGTCTATACCAGAAATAAATCTAGTATAGAGACTTACCATTTTCTTTTTTCTTTAATTAAGGTATTCTTACCAGCAGTAAAATGCACAAATTTTAAGTGCATAGTTCAGTGAAATTTTATGTATGTGTAAACTCCACACTGGAAAGTTATAGACATTTCTGGTCCCTCAGAAGGTTCTGTCTTGCCTCCTCCCAGGTAATACCACCTCCCAAATGTAACACCTGTTCTGACCACTGTCATCATAGATTCGTTTTGCCTGGTTTCAAACTTTATGTAAATTGAGTCATACTGTATCTACTATTTTGCATCTGGCTTCTTTTGTTTAACATGATGTCTGTGAGATTCAGTTCCTTTTCATTGCTATGTAGCATTCCAAAGTATGGTACACCACAAATTTTTTAATCCATTTCCCTGTTGATGGACATTTGGGTTGTTTCTAGGTTTTTAAAATCATGAATAGAAGTTGCTATGGACATCTTTGATCATATCTCTTGGTGAACATAAGCACTCATTTTTATTGGATATAAATCTAGGAGTAGACTCACTAGAGTAGGTATGATAAAAAAAAGTTTTAACTTAGAAAAGTCTTAATGAAGGAACTGATGGCTAACCATCTTATAAGAAAACCCACTTTATGAAGAGCCACTATTAGAGATTAAAAATGGGTTCGTATTTTGTTTAGCAGGACATATTCCCTGTCAGACATTAGAGACTATTTTTGCTTCACACAGTGGGCTGGGTCTTTCACACTTGTGAGTAGATATTTATTTTCCTGGTGTCTGCTACATACGGTGCACATCAGGGATGAGGAGCCCTTTAATTGCAAGCTGTATCTTTTTTGGATGGGGTCAAATTGTCTTTTCTTGGGCGATGTGGCTCAAATGATCATAAAATAACATTGGAAAATCAAGTTCACATTACAGAAATGTGCCTTAGGATTAATTTGGAATACATCTTTTGTTTTGAAAGTGAAGGTACGTGTGTAATTTTATGTAATCCCAAAACTTAACTCTGGCAGTATACTTTTACATTACTTCTAAGGTAAAGAATTTTTAAACATCATATGTCTGCTGGCAACATTTACTAATGAGGTGCGATGTTGAAAGGGTATGGGGAAAATTCCTGTGGTATGGGAAGAGGGTGAGGTGGTTGTAAACTGAGGAGAAAACTGGGAAGGTGCTCCAAAGAGTACTGTTTCTGGAAAAGACTCTGTACTTCTCCCCCGGTGTTGTAACACTTCACATGCTGTGAGACAGGGAACCTCCATCCTCCTCAACAGAGAGAATCACTTCCGGTCTTTGTTTTTTTTAACAGAATTTAATTTGATGATGAATGTTCAAAGAGCTAGGATTTGCTTTCTAGGTGACTACTTGGTGCACCACTTCTATTCTGCAAATTGCAGGATACCCAGACTGGATTTTGGGTGTATCCGAAACCCTTTAGGGGCCCCATGAAGTCTGGCTTAAGTCCAGAATTCTGACCAAGGCTGCCAAGGCCAGCATCTCCTGGCTCCACCTTCCTCTCCAGCCTCAACCCTTGCCAGTCCCCGTACAGCATCACTAATTCCACAGTCTCTTAGCCTTCTGCATTTGGTACAAGCTTTCTTTGTCTGGAATGTCCTTTCCCTGATGAATTTGCTTAACTCTCACTCATTTTCTAAGGTCGAGTGCTGCCATCAGCTTTCTTTCCACAGCCTCCTTTATGCCTCGGATTGACTTAGATGTCCCTCTTCTATTCTTCCTTAGCCTCCTATACAGATACTCATCACATACTGCATCAAAATTAACTCTTCCTTCTCTTTCTTCCCATTAGACTCAGAATTACTAAGATATGTTGCTACTGCTAAGGCCTAGCACAGTACTGGTTACATGGTAGGTACTCAGTAAAGGATTGTTAAATTGACATTTGGATGGACATATAAACCAGCTTTTAGGCTTTTTTTTTTTCTGTACCCATCCATTCAACAAACGTTAAACCTTAGGAGAGGACTTATTGCAAGGCACTATGACCAGAGCTGTAGGGGATAGAGAGATGAACATTACATGGACTGAGACTTTAAGGAGTTCATTTCAATAGCAGAGAGATAACATGTCCACAAATAACAATAATCTAAAGTAGAAAGTGCTCAGTGTCATAAAGGAGGTATAAATTAAGGACTGTGGATGTTTAGAAGAAGGAGCAAGTACTCCTTGTTGGGAAAACTGAAGAAGAATGATTCATCAAGAAAGGAGCATTTGAGGTGGGATTTAAGGGCAAGTAGAACATGAATGAGCAAAGATAGAATCTCCTCCGTATCATGTGTTTTATTTTGACTGAAAAGAGTAGATATTATGAAGGAGTAATGAGTAATGGGAAACAACTGGAAATTTACGAAGTGGGCCTTATTAGAGAGGGCTTTAAGTGCCACGTTGATGAGTTTATATTTGATTCCTGTCAGGTGGAACAGTCTTGGAAGCCCATGGAAGATGTTTAGCATTTTATTGTCAACAGCAGAGAGATCCTGTAACATTAGTCTGGCAATGGCATATCTTAGTAAATCATTATTAACTAATTAATTGCTAAGCCTATAGTTTTGCTAAGTAGTGTGGAAAAACCCTAAGGCCTTTAGCTCTTTTACATTTTTGCACCTGTCTTTTCTCACTGGAAATCTAGATGAGGTAACAGATTATATGACCAATTAGTTCTGAAAAATGAAAATAGAAATTGACAGGGGAAAGAAACACTACCAAGACAGAAGTGCCTCATAATAATGTATAGACATATAAAGTGTTGTTTGCTTAGGAACCGTGTCCAAAACATTGCTTTCAGCTGTCTGGAAAAATCCAGACACAGTATGTGAATTATATTGTTAATATTTATTCCTCTGGGAGTAGTTTAGATCACTTTCAGTTAAACATAACTATAATGTTCTAACCTCAGACTGTCTGCTCTTATTGTCCCTTATAAACAGTGGGTATTGCATTGTCAGTTTGTTTTATAGTGTGTTATATAACCAGAGCATCTGGTTTCTTGCTGCCTTAGGCCGGGCCTTCAACACTTTATGCCTGGATTGTTGCAACGACTTTCTCATTGGTCTCCTTATCTCCTGTGCTTAGAATCCAGCTTTTTTTTTCATAACAGCAATGTATAGTGGGAAGAATACTGGATGAAGAGTAATATTAACTGGGTTTGAATCTTGATTATACTGCTCACTAGCTATATGATCTTGGGCAAGTCATATCACCTCTCTGAGACTCAGTTCCCTCAACTCTAAAATGGAGGTAATGGTCCCTGCCCTGTCCCTCTCAAGGGGCTGTCACCAGAATCATGTGAAAGTGCTCTGAAAACTGTCAATAGCTTTACCAAGAGTTGGACTCCACTGGCTGGCTTTATACCTTCCAGAATCTAGTCCCATGCCACCTCTTTCATCTCATTTGTCAATATCCCCCAGAACCTACCCCACTCTCCAATGCATGTAAATGTATGGTGCTGTCATCTGGAATATTCTCTCCTCTTGTCTCTGCTCACCCAAATTCAAGGAATAATTTAAAGACCAGTCCAAATTCTACTCGCTCCTTAAAATCTTCCCTGATGACTCCAGTGCTCAATTTCCTCCTTTTGTGCATTTTGACAGCACTTAGTTATTATTAACACTTGTCTGTACATTACCCTTTATTATTAACTCTTTTACATAAGGTTCCTATCTTTAATTCGATTATGATATTATGATGCCTTCACTGGTTCATTTAACATCCAGTGAATGTTTATGAGGATGCTTCCTTTGTATTCCTCATAGAACCAAGTTTGGAACTTAATAAATAATTGTTGGTTCATTTATTTAGAAGTTCACATACAGACTCTCTTAAGAGAGACAAGTGAACACATCTTCTCTTCCTAGGGCTCGGGGTATTCCTCCTAACACCCCATCCTGCCTCCACGTACTACAGAACCATAAAAAACTCCTTATAATAAAACTGTCCAGTAAATTTTTCTGAGATTCTGAAACTGTTCTGTATCTGTGCTATCCAATACGGTAACCACCAACCACACATGGCTATTGAGTGCTTGAAATGTGGCTAGTGTGACTGAGGAACTGCATTTTTGTCTTTAATTTTAATTAAACAGCTGCATGTGACTAGTGGCTACTGTATTGGACAGTGTAGGTGTGGACCGGTGGCTTTCTAACTTTTTTTTTTATCATAACAACACAATGAGAAATACATTTTACATTGCAACGTGGTTTTTATACACACAAACAAGTTTCATGAAACAATACTTCTTATCTGCAGTATACTGATCTTTTCTATTCTATTCAATTTCATTTTTTAAAAATGCTGATTGCAACCCCCTATATAGATTTCACCACCCACTGATAAATTAGGATGTGCTGTTTGAAAACACACTGCTCATTTTATAGATGGAGAATCTGAGGTCCAGAGAAGTGCAGTAGATTTTCTAAGGTCATATATTAAGTGGCAGGGCAGGACTAGAACACAAATTTTGGGGCTCCTAGAATAGAGCTATTTCTAACAGGGATGTAGGAATTTCCTCCTTTTCCCTTTCCTTTTCCTCCTTCTCCTCACCATGCTGGATATTAAAGAAAAATAAGTCGACACACTATTCATTTTGATTAAATATTTTCATGGTGTCTTGATTCCTAAATGAGCCATGAGCTCAGTATTTGAGTATTGTTGCTTTTTAGTTTGGTTATTGTCCAAAATCAAAGATACAGTACCATGGAAGCTTTCTTTTAACCCACTGCATGGCTTGGCAGCGGCACTAATGTGAAACTGTCCTCCTTGGGAATTCAATCATGCTTTCCTCCAATTTCCCAGTAACAACTGACCAGCAGGTTGATTCTAAACAACAAAACCTGTTGAAGAATCAAGGTGATTCTCACCTCAGTTTGTGAAAAAGGTGCCTCTAGTCTTGAATTATATTGCCAACCAAATATTTTTCTTCATCAGTACATCCAGTGTGCTACCCTTTTTGTATGCCTTATCAACAAAAACGATAGCCTTTACAAAGGCGGCATCCTCTGAGCAGCACCTTGTTATCACAGAGGCATCTAGACTCTCCTTTCAAAGCTAGTCTTTTTATCCTTCTGGAAATGGCATCTATCAAAAAAGAGCAGAGCTATCTTAGCAAAGGCAAAAAGAGGCAGCAATTCAGAGGTGCAGTGGTCTATGTGTTAGTACATTCCTGACCAGTTTGTGTATGGAATCTCATTTCCCCATAGACGTTTCCAAATGCATTTCACTCAGCAGACAGCAGGCAGCAATTTATCCCTAAGTGAAAACAACAAGAAAAATACACTTAAAAAGGGAATAAGATTTTCAAAAGCCTCACTTTAAAGGAAACACAGAAATAGCCCAATTTTGCATTACATTTGTCAGTGGGATTACCATTATGTCAGTAGGATGAATTAACTGAAATCTGTAAGAAATGTCATATTTTCTGGGGCCAAATTATCTATGGCCTGATTAATTTTTCTAGCTGAAAACCAGAGTCTTATAGCTTAACAATTGTCCCTTGCTAACCAGACTGGTTACTTTGCTGACTTGCCCTGAAATTTATCAGGTGTAGCCTCCTCTGCTCCACCACTGCTAACACCAGTCAGTTAAATAGAATCCCATAAAGTCCTCTCTAGCTGAAGGATAACTCTTTGGTTAAGATTCTCTAATGTAAGTTTGAAAATTTCACTGTTGTCTTAGGAAGTCAAAGTTTATACCAGTCTGTAGAGAAATCATTCATGTCTTTTGCATTATTTGACAACCTAGCATTGCTAGGATGTGACTTGCTGAGTAAATTCAAGAAAACTTGCTGTTTTGATTGTGAAAATCCACTTGAAATGCTAAGAATTTTTGCCCAATCTTCTGTTTTCTAAGTTCTTGGTTGTCAGAAAAGCAGGTCACAGGGTGGAAGACAAATGAAGATGGGGCAAGGCCTGTGCACAGGTGAGCAGAAGCTGGGGACTAACAGGGGAGTAAGTGAACCCAGGAGGAAGGGGATGAAAGCATGTTGCAGGCTGGGCCAGAGCCTTGGTCTTCTGGCTGTCTTCCTGCTTTCCCAGGCCCTGCTAATTAACCTGCCATCTATCATGCCTGTTTTCAAAAGCCCTGTGCAGGTTGACTTTCCCTTCACTGTTTTTTAAACCCCTGTCCACAAATCCACTGAGTCCAACAGATTCTGGCTAGACCAAGCTTATTATCTCCCTACCCACCCCCATGGTTTTCTGCCACCGTTTCATCACCAACACTTGAAAACTACAAGTTATTTTTGACTCTCTCTCACTCTCCCCTGCCCCACCCTACACTCAGTTGCTTGCCAAGCCCTTTCGGTGTTCCCTCAATCAGGAATTCCCTCCCGTCCCCCTTACCACTTATATCTTATTTCCATTAAGGCTCAGCTCTGATGCCACCTTTTCTAGGTTGTAGAAAGCCTATTCACCCCCAGTTGGAATTAATTACTGTATTTATTTCCTTTTCTTTCCCTGTCTTCCACATCACTTTCCTTTCACTTATTGCACTTCTGTTAGTTGTTTCCAGACCTAGCCTCTCCACTAAAAAGCTTTTGGAAGGTGGAGACTGTATCTCACTGATGTTTTACCCTCTATACTTAACACATAGTAGGTATACTCTATAAAGTTTATGGAATGAAATATGAATGAATATTCAGCTGTTACCCTACCTATCCCCTGTGGATGTTGTCCCAAGTTCTTTAAGATGTGATTTGATGTATGCATTGCTGAGAAGGCTGTTTTAGCACCAGCAGTGTCCTGGCATGCTGTTAGAATTGAAAGACCTATAAGGAGGTTATCCTATATCTCAGACCCCTCCTGGCCCTGAGATTCTATGGCCTTTTAATTTCACTTTAGAGAGTTTGTGGTGCTTCTTTCTTTAGCACAAGCTCCACAGAATCTAAGATGAATTGACTGAAATTCATGTCATGAGGTATAAGTGTTTTTGTTAAGCCCTGTCAGAAAATTTGTTTTTCAAAGTGATTTTCTCATTTACTTGCAATTTTCCAAATAACCCTTAGAAATGTAGTCAATTGCCGGAAGCCATATTATTAAAGTAAGACATTGGCAAAAATGGCAGAGTAAGTACCTCTGAAAATTCTCTCCATAATAGCAATGAAAAAACTGGCAGAAATAGCATCAAATTTTTCAGAACTCTAGAACTAAAGGCTTGCAGCAATCCAGGGAACATTTACTCAAGAAAAATGGCTGCATGTTGATAAGACCAGTGAGCTTTGTGGCATTAGTATTTTCATTCACCCTATTCCCATCCCTTTCTCCCTGGCTTCAAAATCAATAGCCTTCACTCACAGGGAAAACCAGCAGCCTGGCAGCCACCAGAGGAGACAGAATAGGGTTGGGACTCCTTTACAGCCTCATTTCTAGAGAATTGTCATTATTCGATCTGTCTGGAGTTCCCCCAGAAGACCCCCCACTTGTAAGACTTTATTTATTTGGCCTGACACAGAGCTACAGAAAGCCTTTTCCCCAGGGCCTTTCTTTTGGAAAATGATTAGAGGCAGTCAATTAACTTCTCAGCTGCCTGAAGCAATGGATAACATTTCCAGCTAACCACAAAGCTTTGAAGAAAAAGCTGGGGAATGAGATTCCTTGGGGCTTTGGAAAGCTTGGGCATATTCCTGGGAATCTACAAGATTACACGCATGCATAGGGCTGTGCACATGCTCCGGAAAGACCTCAATAGGTCCTAAGCTCTCACTCTGGCTGATCTTGAGCTTGGCATAAGCAGAAAGTGAAGACAAAGGCAGAAGACATTGTGTGGCTGAGTGTTGAAGACATGCCCCAACATGTACACAGAGTCCCTTGGCCAAAACTGGGAGGCTTTTTGTTTCCAGGAATTTAAGGAAATCTTTGTCTAATTATGAGCTGGCCACTAAACTAACCCAGCAGAGACTTCAGTACAATAATTATTATTAAAGTACAGTGGAACAGGGTGAAGCCTGTTGTCCCTGAGACCTTGTAGAAACTAATTCTTGGTCCACCAAGTTATAGATTTGTAGCTCTGCCTGTATAGTCCCTATCTCTTTAAACAGACAGAAAAGGCAGGGAACTCATATCAGCCTGATATCTGGTTTGTTTATTTTTAAAGGCAAGACAAAGGTAGTTTGTGAAAAATTTAAAACAAAAAGCATTGCTGTTAATCAGAAGTAATTGTATTGGAAATGATATTTTACTTCTGTACCTCATCCACTTCCCAGATTGCTTTTTCATATGAGTTCTCCCTATGTAGGACCTGTTCCTCTTTCCTCCCTAGACCCCCATGTACATAATCTTCCCATCTCACTGCTTCTTGCTTCTGTTAATTTCATTTTCTGTTCTTTCATTTGTTCTATACATGTAGCCTCGATTCAAGGATGGCTGTGGCCTCACATACTGCATTCGGGGTGTCTATCTTTTAAGAGAAGAATCAAGAAGAATAGAGACTGTAATGACCTTCTTGCTGGCCTAGCTAGGCCTGAGAGGGGGTGAAGTGCAAGAGTAAAATTCTTTGGCTGCCATTTTGATCAGAGCCATCCCAAATGAAGCAAGGCAGTTGTCACAAGCTTTAAAGGGCTTTACTAATTTGACGAGATAACTGGCCAGTGACTCACTGAGACAGGGTTGGCAATAGAGAAATGGTATTTCTTTGGCCAGTACTAAAAAAAGACCCAAGGCTTATATGCATACATGCTGTACATTCATCCAATGCCATCCATCCTCACCCCTACCAAGGCAATGCCAGAGAGGTTGCCCTTTTCCTACAGTCTACTCAAGTTACTTATTTTCTGATTTTCTTTCTCTTTTTAGGCTACACTATATGTTCATTTAAACCTGATTTCTTCTGCCTGTGAGGGGTAGAGGGTAGGGTGGGGAGGTGCACAGTGTGATTTGCCCTGCCTCAGTCCACCACCTCCTGGGGATGGCCTGACCTGGATAATCATTTTTAGCCTGGTATTTCCTGGGCATGGGCCAGGGGCTGAGGCCAGCAGCAGAGAGGCTAAGATGGCACAGGCTCCCTGTCAGATTTGGTAGTGATGAATTTTCACTGGGGAACAAAATGGCTGTTTCTAACTTCTTTAGATTTGAAACACTGCAGAGACTATCATCTTAATAATTAAAATATATTGAGGAGAAGGGCTACTTAAATCCTTGAATGACTGGAATTCTGTAAGATATTTTAAGAAAGGTAATATCCCTGGTTAACAGTGTTTCTTTTTCTTTTTCTTTTTTTTTCTTTTTTTTTGAGATGGAATCTTACTGTGTCACCAGGCTGGAGTGTAGTGGCGCGATCTTGGCTCACTGCAACCTCGGCCTCCTGGGTTCAAGCGACTCTCCTGCTTCAGCCTCCCGAGTAGCTGGGACTACAGGCATGCACCACCATGCCCAGCTAATTTTTGTATTTTTAGTAGAGATGGGGTTTCACCATGTTGGCCAGGATGGTCTTGATCTCAGCTGTGTTTCTAAAAGTACTTGTACAAATTATAATTTCAACTTCCAACAAAATATTTATATGATCAGAACAGACTCATTTTTTTTTTATCAGAACAGACTCATTTATATTTAGGAGCATTTATTTCTATGAAAACAACATGCCCTGGCCTTAGAAAACAAAAAATAAAATAAAACAATTTATCCTTTCAAGGGATTTCTTTTAGAGAATCTCTGCAGCTACTTGTAGTTGTACAAATGGCCCCCTACTTTCTCTGTGTTCCCTTCCTCACAGGGGCTGAGGAGCCCCCATGAGTTGAGAGGTGTATGTTGAATATCTTAGCTTTGAACTTGAAATATATTTTCTCATAGATATAGCACCATAAACTGTGAAATAAACTATCAATTTAAATTTTCTAGTTACAGATTAAAATAGGTTTTGTGGACTAGCTTGGAAATATATTTACTGTTTATAATATAATTTCTCTCAGAAAATTATTATTATTTATTTATTTATTTAAAGAGATGGGGGTTGGCACTGAAAGTTCCAAGCTTCTGATCATGGCTTAGTCTTTCTGGTAACCAGCCTCCATCCAGAAGCCCACCAAGAGATACTTCATTAGAACGGAAGATGCTCTTATCACCCAGGAAATTCACTAGGAGCTCTATGTCAGGAACCAGGGAGAAAGGCCAAATTTCAGAAGAAAAGATGCACGTAGCATCCCTGTCACTCACCATAACAAAGGTTTTAGGAGCTCTGTGCCAGAAAACAGTGATAGAAACTAAATATATATTTCTTATTATATCTTAATAGTCATCTGTGAATTCCAAGAACAAGTTATGTTTACTGTTAACTTCAAGATCCTTCTTTGCAGAAGCCATATGTGAATAAAATGGCAAATAAAAATACTGTGAAAACATCTGGCCTTTCAGCTAAAATATTACCATATACACAGGTGTACAAACATTCAGGCTTGTCACAGCACCTTCCAAGCCACTGGCCACTAGAAACCTCACAATACAAACCTCATGATATTCCCTGTGACATGGGCAGGAGTTAGGTATGCAGGTATTGTATCACCTCAACACACTCAGAGTAGGGGAAGCTCGATAATTGGCTATTTACAAAGAAGGCCCCATGGTATAAAATGTTTTGAAGTAACTGTGGCCAAATGATTGTTTAGAGATGGTGTTAAATGGGACCTTGAGAAAGGGAAGGTCAAAAGAGATGGTCAAGAGGAAATCCTTCAACTAAAGGATTTAGAGGTCTTGTGAGTGTGTTTGTTCCTCAAGGAAAAGGAATTGTTTCCATTAGATTCAAGCTGCTGACCTTTCACCTTCAGGGTAAAGGTAATAATCAGTCAACCACAAAGATAAGCCCCTTCTATTAAATTTTACTTGTTTCTTTCCTTTTCTTTCAGTTTTATCCAAGTATGAAGATCAGATTACTATTTTCACTGACTACCTAGAAGAATATCCAGATACAGATGAGCTGGTATGGATCTTAGGGAAGCAGCATCTCCTTAAAACAGGTAAGATTTGGTAGCATTTGTCTGTAAGAACCCAGATGAGGTAGGCACCTGTGGTTCAGGGTTTGTACTTTTTCTTCTTGGGTTGGCAGAGCATTGTCTTGCTCAATGTTAATGCTACTCTGAGGTGGATTTAACTTGTAGTCAAAGGAGCTTAAGCCTCAGGACTTTTGCTTGGACAGGCCCCTTCCAAGGCCCTGAAAGGCCCTAGTAGTGTGTTTACATGGTTATAGGTTTTTGCACAATTTGCACAAGTAATATATTTTTATTCTTTTCCTTAAAGGAGAATCCCCAAATTCTAGAAGCCTTGGGTTTCAAAAAACACGGACCCACTCCTGGTATCACTAATCAGTCTCTAGCCTTTCGTGACTGGTCTACATATTTATTACTCTCACATGCTTGTCTGGCTAGATAAAAACACCCAAGGACTTCTAGACAACCCATGGACCTCAGAAACAATATCAGACCTAAGTTTTTCTTAAGTTTTAGATCTTTTGCTGACCGTAGCACTGTCTCAGTTTATTCTGATTTTGTATAGAACTTTTAGCCACTGCAGCTAGATGGAAAGGAGGCTTGAATTTTTCTTCCTTACCATTACATTCTTATAGATTGGGAAAGAAAGACCTTTTAACCTGAAACTGCTAACAGCCCAGCACCCAGATAAAGCCAGAGCTTGGAAAGAGGCAGCTCTGAGATTTGTGTCTTTCTGAGGAGACATCCTCTTCAGAGGCCCTCACTTAGCGTGGAGGAAGGAACAGGAAGAGGCTGATGAAAAGGCAGGAGAGGAAGTTAGGCATTGTGGAGCTCCTCCTGAGCCTGGCTTCATTATTTTGATTGGAGAATTCTGAACAGTGGAAAGCCTGGAGCTAGCAATTAGGAGACCTTTTGTATTCAGACTCTTCTAACTCAGGTAAGTCACTGTCTCTTTCTGGATCTTAACTTCCTTCAGTGGTACTTAAAATGAGGGGATTTGAGGGGATCTCTTCTAATTCTGCATTCCATGACAACAGGAATCCCCAGGTTGCCAAATCTACTCGTATTCAAATGTTAAATTGGGAAACGCCTCTTAAAATGAAATCATTGCTAAAATGTCCATACAACTTTCCCAGCGTAAAGCCACACAGGAAGGCATAAAGACTGTCAGAGGCAGGAGTGAGGGTGTGGACATTTAAGAGGACGAGCACATAACAGCTAACATCTGTTATAGGTTCACTGCATACTAGTCACCATCCAAGCACTTTAAGTGTATTATCTTTTGAATACTCACAACTCAATGAAGTAGGTACTATAATTCTCCCCATTTATGGATGAGGAAACTGAAGCTCAGAGAGGTTAAGTTAACCAGGTTACACAGCTGGTAAGTAGCAGAGTCAGGGTTCAAACCCAAGCAAAGTATGACTTCGGGTGTCTTACTCTTAACCATTATACATCTGCTTCCCTGAATATGCTAGGCACCGGGGCATGGAAGGGAGGGAAAATACAGATAGCTCAACTTTCCGATTTGCTCCAAAGAAAAGGAAGACAGAAAATAGAAACTATTGGCTAAAAGTAGATTTCCCTTTGTTCTTTTTAAGTGCAGTGACTATAAGTTTTATACAGAATATAATACAGACATGTTGAGAAGAGGGAGAGAGGTGACTAAGAAAGACAGCCACATCTAAGTACAGATAAAAATGTGGAAGCCATATTTGTGGCCCATCAAAGTAAATTTATGTCATAAAATACAAGAAAGCATGCTTTGAAAAAAGACACAAAAACATTTGTGATATTATATATGCATTTAGATTATAAGTGCCAGTTGCACTAGTTGCTATACATTTCTTACACACCTAATTTGCTTAGTAAGACATTTCCTTTTTATTTAAACATGCATGTGTGCATGAACAGACACACATGCATCCACACAAACAAGCCAACCCCTAGTTTTTGTTTTGTTTTATTTTATTTTGTTTTGCTTGAGACAGGGTCTCTCTGTTACTTAGGCTAGAGTACAGTGGTGATCATAGCTCACTGCAATCTCGAACTCCTGGGTTCAAGTGATCCTCATACCTCATTTTTTTTGTAGAGATGGGGTCTCACTATGTTGCCCAGGCTGGTCTTGAATTCCTGGCCTGAAGCGATCTCCCTGTCTCAGCTTCCCAAAGCACTGGGATTACAGGTGTGAGTCGCTGGGCCCAGCCAAACCTCTAGTTTTAGATAAGGGATGATGGGTGCTGATGCAAGATCCAACCAACCATCATTCAGGCTGGAGCTGATAGTCTTGTTAGTGGGTTCTCTAGGATCCTTAATTTTCTTATTCCTTGTCTTTTGGCAATGATCCCAGTGTTTGTAACTGCCAGGACTGTGGAACTCAGTGAAAAGATGACAGGAGCTACCCAAGGTCATTATACCAGTCAAATAGCTCTGGTCAAACTATAGGTTGGGAGAAATACTGAAATTATTTGGCTAAAATAAGAATGGGTTTCCTGTGAATTTACCTAGCCCCATAATAATGGAATTGACTGGTTATTTGAAATTAAGTTAGTAGCTGGCTCAGAAGTAAAGGTGGGTATTTTTAGATATGGTGATTTAATTTTAATTTTACATTTAATTACAGAAAAATCTAAGCTGTTGTCTGATATAAGTGCTCGTCTATGGTTTACATACAGAAGGAAATTTTCACCAATTGGTAGGTAAATCATTTGTTTTACTGTGCTTTATTCCTTGTGGATAGCTTGCCTGAGGTTATCAGTGACTTCATAGAAACCTCAGAATTAACAGTTCACTATAGCAAAGAATTTGATTGAGGAGACTAGGTAAATCTTACACTTCATCCAAAAGTTTCATTGCTAAAGTATCCTTTCACATATGGCTCTATTTCATTGAGGGATTATGACAGTATACTTTTGACACCACCTCCAAGTGTTCAGGCACCAGATGATATTACTTGTTATACTTTTGAGATTAAGGGGGAAAATCACATAATCTTTTAATTTGTATAATATCTGTTAAATTACAATCCACTGCTTTGTGGAACTACATGATTATTAATGAAAATTGTGTCTTGAAAGAAAGAAAATAATTTATTTGTTTTTTTTCCCCCTTATGACATGAAAGCACCTTGCCATTGAGAGACAAATTACAGTAGTTTCCTTGGAACTAATTCTAGGCTGTTACCAGCTGTCAACTAGAAAAAAGGACAGCTCAATAGGTGAAGTGAATATGCTGTCTTCATAAAGGATATACAACACATTTGCAAGTAGGGTGGCCACTTCCTAGTATCATGGCCCTGTAGGAAAAGGGCCTACAAATGGTGAAATCTACTCTTCTAAGAGGAAACTAGAATGAAATCAACCTTTCTGTTCAGTGCCAAAAATGAAGGTCACACAGACTTTTCTTTTCTTTCTTTTTTTTTTTTTTTTTTTGAGACGGAGTCTCGCACTGTCACCCAGGCTGCAGTGCAGTGGCGCCATCTCGGCTCATTGCAAGCTCCGCCTCCTGGGTTCACGCCATTCTCCTGCCTCAGCCTCCCGAGTAGCTGGGACTACAGGCGCCCGCCAACACGCCCGGCTAATTTTTTGTATTTTTAGTAGAGACAGGGTTTCACTGTGTTAGCCAGGATGGTCTCGATCTCCTGACCTCGTGATCCGCCCACCTCGGCCTCCCAAAGTGCTGGGATTATAGGCGTGAGCCACCGCTCCCGGCCCTTTTTTTTTTTTTTTTTTTATTGCTCTCCCCAGAAATACCCCAGTCACTAACAAACAAAAGAACAATCTTTAGTAACCAGTGGTTCTGAACTGTTAACTTTCTCTGGCTGAGGAGCTCTTTGCAAGGCTGGAAAATATTTCTAATTTTACTCTGCCAATATTTTGGCAATAGATGATCTCTTCTTTATGTGGGCCTCATTGCATCTTTTCCATACTAATCTGGCCAATAATCCCAGCATTAGCAAGAGCCAAAAGGCACCCCTTCCAGGTCATAAATTGGCTCCCTCCTTCCCATCTTCTTGTAGTAACTCTCCTTCAGTCCCCACAACTAAAAGAAAGGGGTGACCACCTTGACCCACTTGTCCTACAAGGTTGATGACCCCCTTTGAAGTTAGTCTTCTGAGATCATGTTTAGCATATTTTTCCACTTCCACACTGGGAAAAGAAAACAATGAAAACAAAATATCCTCTCTGCCATACAAGTTATCTGATTTCATTGGCCCCTTGGAAAAGGATATTGAGCTCACCCTGGCCTCAAATGTGGGATTTTCTTTGCATAAGGTGTTCTTAAAATGGAACCTATTGTCTTATTTCGTTTATTAACTAATTTTATACCTTTTAAAGATACATTTCTAATTTATTAATATGGGTTTAAATTATGATCATACTCAAAACATCAAGTATTTGCATCATCCTCTATGGGTTCTAGAACACTTTCACAGATATTCTCTCAGTTCTTACAATACCCACTGATAGTAGGCAGAGTATGTACTATTATGCTCAGCCTATAGGTGAGATTTAGATTAGATAACTAGAGACTGGTCTTCTGATGCCTCATCTAGGGATCTTTCCCCTATTTTACAATGTCCTTCTTGCTGTTCAGATCTTCATAGTGTATATTCAGAATAGTCATGAGCCTTCCAAATCTCTTTGACCATTTTGATGATTGCCTTTGGTAGTATTTGTTCTTTATCTAAGTAAGACTGGCTTCCCTGAGAATTTCAGGGCCATGCAAGTGAGCTATGCAAGGCAAGGTTTGGGTCTGGCAGATGATGACATGGAATGGACTAAGGGTTGGTATTCATACATGGCAGTCACCTACCAAAATTGCATGTATACCTAGAAGTCTTCAAGCAGAAAACATAAGGGACACATTTAGTTCATTTGCTTGTTTTATGTTTGGCCATAGAACCTGTTTTGGTTGACTCAGCACTATGTTTGCAAGTTCCAACCATATACCCAAATCTTGTTTGATCTGTGGGTGTATCTGTCACCTCACTTTTCAGAGTATATATATTTACCTGTCTTGTGTGAGTCCCAAATATGCTGATGTTTCAGGAAAGGGCAATTTGAGGAACCCATATTAATTCCCTTCCATTTTGCCAACAGGTGGAACGGGCCCTTCATCAGATGCTGGTTGGGGATGTATGCTACGCTGTGGACAGATGATGCTGGCTCAAGCCCTTATCTGTAGACACTTGGGAAGGGGTGAGTTAAATTTGTTTTATAAACTTTCTCAGAGACCTCTGCAGTATCACTTGCTGCTGTTGATTTAGCTTGATGCTGAGCCTTGGGAACACTCAGTAACAAACTTGAGGGTCTTAAAATGCTCTCTGCAAGCTCAAGTGGTGGGGCTGACAAGTCAACAAAGCCCCTCATAAGAAGGAAACAGCTAATGTTTCCTTGTGAGTCACCAAGCCAGGGAGTTATTTTCCTGGGACAGAACTGAACATCGAGGGAGGTATGTCATTTATCCTTTCCATCTTTGCTATTGTTTGAGTAAGTCCTTAGAAATGCAAGATAACAAAGGGAGCAGGAAGAAGGGTGTGGTGATTAAGTCTGTTTCTTGACCTCATTTAAGATATCTGCCTGGTGAAGGATGTAAGTGACCTAAAGGAAGTGCATAGAGGGAGCTGGCGCTATTTTGGTTTTGGTTCACTAAGGATGTCCAGCTGATGATGAAGGAATCTTTAAATTTGCTTCCTTGGGAGGACATTTAATTAAGAAAGCCTTCTGATAATGGTTGTTGGAACTATTTTTTTTTTTTGAGTCGGAGTTTCGCTCTGTCTCCCAGGCTGCAGTGCAGTGGTGCGATCTCGGCTCACTGCAACCTCTGACCCCCGGGTTCAAGCAATTCTCCGCCTCAGCCTCCTGAGTAGCTGGGATTATAAGTGCCTGCTACCACGCCTGGCTGATTTTTGAATTTTTAGTAGAGATGGTGTTTTGCCATGTTGGCCAGGCTGATCTCGAACTCCTGACCTCAGAGGATCCACCCGCCTCGGCCTCCCAAAGTGCTAGGATTACAGGCATGAGCTACCGCGCCTGGCTGGTTGTTGGAACTCTTGAGTCTTGCTTTCTTAAGACATGTACATACTTCCCTATGGGCATCTGAAGGATGGGGTTGGCTGGATGCCAGTTCAGGCACTTGGGTGAAGGTCCAGTTGGACTTGGGGATGAGAGAGCGAAAGGACACTTTGGATGAGATTGGGCTGCTGAACTCATTGGCTGTTGCTAATTGAGGTTCAGAAGTATAGAAACATCGTTTTCCTTTTCCCACTGTGCAAACTCACAGATTTTGCTACAGCTTTCAGAGAGGATTGGAGAAGGGCCTAGGGAGGTTTCAGGGCTTGTTACCTTCTCTTCAGGGTTTGGGATATCCTGCTTCCCCTGGATAGTATAATAATTTCCATTTTACAGATGAGGAAACCGAGGCTCAGGGAAGTGATGTGATTTACCCAGGGTAAAACGCAAGAAATCAAAGATTTGGGGATAAAATAAAGATATTCCAACTCCTTGTCCAGTGATTTCCCTTGTTTATACATGCTTCTTGGTGTAGATCCATTCTTACTATTTAATTTTTTTTTCATTTATAACACACTTCAAAATGATTATTTTGGAAGTGAGTTCTGGAAGTAGGGAGCAAACTGGAAAAAAAAAAAAAAAACTCCACAGTCAGCAATCTCAATTGTTTCAATACAAAATCAAGTAGCAGGAAGAAGTTGGAAATAGATCTTGTAGCTAAGATGAGTTAAAAGAGTAATTTTGTAAAGATGTCTTTTGGATTGTTTCCTATTCAGCTATTTTAAAATTAAGGTAGAGTATTCACTTGCCATTGTCGTCAGTGAATATTTAGTGCTATTTAGCAGCCAGCTAATTAGGATTTCCCCAGACTTGGACAATTTGGTAGCTAATGAAAAGAAGTTGGATGTGGTTCACCCTCTGAGGGCTGTGCTGGATCCAAAGTTAAAAACTTTGGTTTTAGAAACACTAGAAGCAAAAGACAACTGAAGAGTCTGGAGATAATGGCCTTTGGCTTCAAGTGTAGTTCAGTCTTTATTTCAAACTCTTTAAAACCTCAGGAGAAAAATTTGTCTTGGACGCAAACTAAGCCTCAAAAATCTGTCCCATTAGACAGCGTTTCTAGAGCTGAGAGGATTGCAGTGATTACATAGGGTTTTTGCAGTTGTCCTCAGCAAGTTACGAATGGCCTCTGTAGGATTTAGGGGGCTGTGCTGAAGGCACAGATGGTATCCGTACAGATGCAGTTATTTTGGCATTGGTCTTAGGGAAACATTGAACACCTGATAGCAAAGGTATTTGTTTTCCCAAAGCTCAGCATGGACTTTTTAAAAGGTGGTGTAAAAACGACAGCATGCAATTTTTTTAAGCTTCCTTAGTTGTGAGCTATGTATATTCCCCTGTGAACTGTCGTATATCAGAATAGCACTTCTTACCCGTGAGATCCTTTTGTCAATGCTGCCAAAATATAAGAGCAAAAGCCATTGCTGTCTATGTGGAGATGAGATGCTATGGCATCTGGCTTATATACCGATGTACTGCCGGGCTTTGTGGTGACCTCCTGTTCACTGAGTAACTGGCCAGAAAGGCCTTTGTGACATTGTTTTTATGTAATATTTATCCAGCTCCAGCCCTTGGGTTAAGTCAGTTCCTTGGTCAACTTTTTGTTTTGCTTTTACTTTATACCCACTGAGTCCTTGAAAGCAATCACTTTCCAGATGTCTTTGTCATCAAAATGAAAGATACTTAGAAATGTTCTAACTTGGTCATCCCTGCCTTCTAGATGTGGTGCCTTTGTTTTTCTTCTAACTTTGTAGTTACAATAAAAGTGCAGAGAGGAATAAACAGTTATAAAAATGTTTCTAACCCATTTTTTTTTCTTAAAAAGACTGGAGCTGGGAGAAACAAAAAGAACAACCCAAAGAATACCAACGCATCCTACAGTGCTTCTTAGATAGAAAAGATTGTTGCTACTCTATCCATCAAATGGGTAAGGTCATAAATCAATAGTTTAAAGGCAGTGCCTATTCCTGTTCCTTCTCTTCCCTTGCCTTATATGTGGCTCCATTAAGTTGTCCATCTGCTTAATTATTTATGCAAAAAATTAAGATTTTGTGGCTTATTGGAAGATCTTTTGCTAACATGTTATTTTTTTCCACATTAAAAACAGCACAAATGGGTGTAGGAGAAGGGAAATCAATTGGAGAATGGTTTGGACCAAATACAGTTGCACAGGTGTTAAAGTAAGTAAAAGAGTCTGGCATCTGCCTTATTCTGCTGTCTCCTATGCTTCCCTCCCTAGACAACTAAACCTCCCATCAACCGAGGTATTCTTGCAATCCCGCTAAGCTACTCCTCCCACTAAACCATCAAATATCTGCCATTTTGCTCAGATGGCTCTTTGAAATGTGTAAGCATGGATATCTGTGTTGGTGTATCAGAGTTATATTCACTGGTAGCAGTATATGTGGCTGTATCCTAGGACTCATTCAGTGTCTCATGCTACAGATTGATGCTCATGTGCCTGGGAGCCATTGGCCTGAGGGTCCCTTTGAAGCCAAAAGTTTCATACTAAGTGGTAGAGGCTAAGCCAGCCTAAGCAAGAAATGGACCCCCACAGGGCTCCCACATGCACTACATAATATTTAAAAACCCTGTTCATTCAGCATTTTCTGTGTACCTTTACTGTGCTAAGTTCTGGGGGTGCAGAAATAAACTTGACACAGTCCTTGCCTCAAGGAACTCACCACCTGTTGGGGGCGACAAACCCCAGGGAAGTCTTGGAATCAGTTTGTCATCTCATAGCAGACTCAAGGTGTCCCAGTGTGGTATTTTTCCAGTTGTCTTGTTAAATTCCAGAATTCACCTCCCACAGCAAGAGGCAAGGTGGAGAGGTCAGGACCAACTTTTTGAAAGCAAACAGGGTGAGTGATGTTAGTACTTACACCTGCAGACCACCTTACCTGTTGTCACTCTCCTTCCTAACAACCTATCACTGGATGGAAACTCCATGAGGGCAGAGATTGTATTTATCTTGTTCACTCTGTAACACTAGCACATAGAACTGCCTGGCATGCATAAGTACTCAATAAGTGCTCGATGAATACATGAAAATGGCCGCCAGAATCTGAGGCCAGATTTAGGGATCAGAAGATTGAAACCTTCTGGCCTCCTTTGGTGTAGAATATTAAGCTCCTGGGCATTATGGGGGAACCTGTTCCATGCAAAGTACAGACAGGACCCTGTTTCCATTACTAACCAGTCTTCAGTGAACTAGAATGCTTTGGGAATGTGTCTGTGAGGACAGTGGCCTGGATTTTTTGGGGACCCAAGGAAAATCTGTATTGACTTTACTCCTTCCTAACAATGTAACCTCTCTGAGGCTGCTCTCTTGCCATAGTCAGAGTGCCTTCTGGGCATCGCTGACTCTGCTGAGTGAAAATCTGGTAGGATTTCAGGAATCACTGTATGAACGTAGTGTGGAAAGTATAAGATATTAGAATGGCTGTGCTGAGCCCAAAACTCGGCTTGAAATGGTTGGTGTTAAAATAACATCCCTCAGAATTTGCTTCTTTCTTCTAAATTTTAAGATTACCAACAACAAAGTGGAAACCTAGATTTTTTTTTTTTTTTTAGGACAGAGTCTCACTCTGTCGCCCAGGCTGGAGTGCAGTGGCACAATCTCCGCTCACTGCAACCTCCACCTCCCAGGGTCAAGCATTCTCCTGTCTCAGCCTCCCGAGTAGCTGGGATTACAGGTGGCTGCTACCACACCCAGCTAATTTTTGTATTTTTAGTAGAGATGGAGTTTCACCATGTTAGCCAGGCTGGTCTCGAACTTCTGACCTCGTGATCCACCCGTCTCAACCTCCCAAAGTGCTGGGATTACAGGCGTGAGCCACCACGCCTGGTGTAGATTTTTTTAAAGAATGTAAATGGGTTCCAATTCATCATGATCATTAGCATTAACAACAACATATTATTATTATTATTATATTATTGTTATTATTCTGGGGAAAGATAATACATCAAAATGAATGAAATACAAGGGTGATGGTAGTTAACCTCTTTCTGGGAGCTACCTGGTAGAGAGAATGTGTTTTCTTTGGTCCAGTGAGACTGGGTTTTACCCACACATCCCAGACGTAGCCGGGTTAAACATGGCCTTACTTAACTGGCAAGGAAAGAAGAAGGAAAGGGAGAAATAGGCAGGGTACTTTACATAGACTTCAGATCATCTCTCTTTTAAAGGGGTTTTCTTTCTAATACACCATAAAGTCCTACAGTTCAGCATGGTGGCTCTCTTCAGCTGCTGACCAGTAAAGCTTGGCACCCGAGTCAATCTGCAGCCTATGTCACTTGAGAGGCACTCTCAGGGCAGCTGGGGAACAGTGGAAGTAATCTCTCTCTCTCTTTCCCCTCCACCCACTGTCTCTATCTCTGGGTTTACCTGGAACATATTCTCCATATTATCTATGATCCCAAACAAATATCTATTTTTTACGGACAGCTTCCTTTTTAAAAGTTTTTTTACAGTTTCCCTTTTGTAAAATAAAAATTCAGTAAGTCAGAATGTCTTTTATTTAAGAAAACAAAGTCTCTTGGGACTTTGAGAGCAGATGCATGGGTAACTTTTCTTTTTTCCCCAGTAGGTGTCCCGTCATTTTGTGAAGTAGACTTCTCCAGGTTGTAAAGCAGAAACTTCTTTTTGAGGTTCAGATACAGTGACTCTGTGGCATTCTCAAGGTCTCTAGACATGGAGCATCCCAGAGCTCTGGCAAAGAAGCCAGAGCTGACCTGAACACCAGCTTTTCTATGGCTCAGTGTTTGGTGACTTTAGGAACACTGGGCATAAATTGTACTGTTTTCTGCTGATATTTCCATCTTCCCAAATTGTGACTTCATTATACATTGCTTTGCAGAAAACTTGCTTTATTTGACGAATGGAATTCCTTGGCTGTTTATGTTTCAATGGATAACACAGTGGTCATTGAAGATATCAGTGAGTTACCAGCCTGTTTAACTTCCCAGCTGATGGGTGATGAGTTCCTCCCTCACCATTCAGTATTCTGGGGCTCAAGAGAGTCTCTCTGGTCTTCCCCACCAGGGCAGGGGAGCTTAGGGGAGCACAGGGCTCTGATTCTCTTTCTTTTCAGCTTTCTGAGAGGGAGAACACCATTAGAGGGGCCTTGCTCCTCCTCAGTGAGGTACCACACTCCTTCCCTGCAGAAAACACAAAGTGTGTATAATAATTTATTCAACCACCAACAGATCTTTCATGGAGGCTCACCCTTGTCCAGGCGTGTGATTCCTGCACTGAGGAGTGAGAGCAACCTAAAGATACAGTCCCTGTCTCAAAGGCCCTGGCAGACTTGAGAAATGAGATTCTTCCAATAAGCCCAGAATCCCTATTGGGAGCTAAACAAGTACCCAGTGGCCAGAATGAAGAGCATGAGCCCTAGAGGAATGGCCTGGGCTTTGTGCAGGCGGGGAGTCAGCTGAGCCCTGGTGGCAGAGGAGAGGGCCTTCTAGGCAGGGTGGGGGGCATGTGAGGTTCCCCTTAGTTTTGATATTGGAATATCTTCTAGGGCTGAAGACTCCTTACTTATCCAATATTCTGTTCTTCCATTTCTAGAAAAAATGTGCCGTGTCCTTCCCTTGAGTGCTGACACAGCTGGTGACAGGCCTCCCGATTCTTTAACTGCTTCAAACCAGAGTAAGGGCACCTCTGCCTACTGCTCAGCCTGGAAACCCCTGCTGCTCATTGTGCCCCTTCGCCTGGGCATAAACCAAATCAATCCTGTCTATGTTGATGCATTCAAAGTAAGTCACTTCTTTCCCTGAGCCCATTGCTGCCTGCCCATCACACCGCCATCTCAGCACAGAGATCCGTGAGCAGCAGTCCACAAGTGAGTTGAGAATCTTGCATTGTCTTTCTCTCCAGGAGTGTTTTAAGATGCCACAGTCTTTAGGGGCATTAGGAGGAAAACCAAATAACGCGTATTATTTCATAGGATTCTTAGGTAAGAAAGGAGGAATCACAAGTAAGTCATCGTGGGCTAGGGGAGGGCGTGGGGACAAGGTTTGCATGGGAGACCAGGCAATTCCAGTTAGTGGGTTCCCGTCTAGCCCAGGAATGCCGTGGCCTCTGGTCAGCTCCTTCTGTCTCCGGCCTAACTGATGGAGAGTGATGTTTCTGTGTGCCTGATGGAAAGCAGGTCCAATTTCAATGCCTTCCTTGCTTCTTGATAAGATGGTTCCATTGCTTTCCCACTGGATAGCCCCAAGGTCATAGCATTGCTCCAGCATGTCTCTCTCCTGCCTGTGGGGCCCAGGGTGGTGGAATTTCAATCCCTTGGCTTTGCCAATATCTCTCTTATTAGGGCCTGCTGGCTCATTGTTCAGAGCTGTGACAGGTTGGGAATTGGAGGAGGCAAAGACAGAAGTACCCCTTTCCCGAGAATGGGGGCTAAGCCTTAAAACCACTAACCTCTTAATGTGGACCCGAGCAAGCAACCCAACATTCCCTGCATAGGAAGGCACCTCTGGAAACCCAGTCTCTTTACTCACTAGCTGTGACCAGAGACATCTGAGGTCCTTGGTACACAAGGTAAGCTAGCCTAGTGCTTCTGAAGCTTTAGCATGCACATGAATCACCTTGAGAGCCTATTGGAGTGCAGGTTCAGTAGGTCTTGGGTGCGGCCTGAGTTTCTGCATTTCTAACTAGGTGGTGCTGATGCTGCTGGTCCACAGACCACACTTTGCATACCCAGGGCCTAAACACCTGGTTAGTGTTGAAGAGCATAAGTTAGAGAGTGATGTGGCCAGGAAAAGTTGGTACAGGACACCTGTTGCAGGGGTGGAATGGTCTGAGACTTGGCCTCAGGAAAGTTATGAGGTCAGATTGGTTGACAGACAAAGGAGAGCTACAGGAGTTACAAGGGAATGGCATGAGGGCACGTGCAAAGGACAGGGTGGAGATGGCCTTAGTTATCCTCCCCAACACATCTCCTCTTGGACATTCAGGGAGGTGAGGTGGGATGGGAACAGACACACGTGGCTTTGCATGCCAATCCCCCACTTGCTAGCTGTGTGACTTCAGGAAAAAGATATCAATATTCAGTCTCAGGTTCCTTTTATGTAAAATAGGGCTAATGCCTGACTCGCCCTGTTGTCATCTTACAGTAAAGTGTTCATCAAAGAGCCAGGCATATAGGACAGTCACTGAAAGGTGGCTGCACCTTGCTTTACCCCAATACCTATTTCCTTTGCCAGCCCCTTCTTCCTCTCTTTAGGTTGGGGGGTGTGGAGCGGGGCGTGGGGATTGCACAGCTGCCTCTGCTCTCTCTAATGCTGCCATCTATTGGTTGAGCCCAAGAATTACAGCTAAATGGAAAACGTGGAGCCTGTAAAGGCTTTTATTTTTCTAAGTATAAAACCTAGTGTTTGGAGTTCTGCAAAATCAGATGCCCTCTGTTCCTAAGCATTTGGGTTCAAAGAAAATGTTGCAAAAAATAGATTTCCAGTTGCTCATGCATGACTTAGTCTCTTCAGGCGGCTATAACAGAATAGTATAGACTAGGTGGCTTTATAAACAACAGAAATTTATGTCTCACTGTTCTGGAGGCTGGAGGTCCAAGATCCAGGCACTGGCAGATTTGGTGTCTGGTGAGAGCCCACTTCCAGGTTCATAGATGGCTGTTTTCTTGCTGCGTCCTCAAATGGTAGAAGAGGCAAAGGAGCTTTCTGGAGTCTCTTTTATGAGGGCACTAATACATTCATAGGGGCTCCACCCTCATGACTAAATCACCTCCCAAAGACCCCACTTCCTAATACCATCATACTGGGGGTTAGGATTTCAACATATGAATTTTAGGGAGACATAAACATTCAGTCCACAACAGTGTTTGAGGACAGCTTTGAAACAGATTAGAAAATAACTTTGGAGGAATCTCAGTGAATAGTGTGTGTGATTCCTGGGTGCCCTGGCCTCCCTATCCCAAGTTACCTACAGAGAATTTCTCCAAGTTGATGTAGCCCTCCTGTTTCTTGAGGCCACTGGGTCAGAGTAGCTTTTGTGAAGTTTGACTACTCATTAAAAAGATGTGGGCAATCCTCAGTTCTTTAATACCCCAAGACAGAGGTTCACATAGTGCCCATTTGCCTGTTAACTTTTATAAGTCCTTTGTGCAAACTTCACTTGAGGGCTTTAAGTCCCTCTGACTCCCCTTTTCTGACTCACACCCTTACTGTTTGAGGTTGAGTGGTCCAGATTGGCAGAATGTCTGAAGGGAGGGAAGAGATGCAAATTGCCATTTTCTAAATAGTTGTCCTGTTCCAGAGACTTCGCAAAGTATATTATCTCTCTGTCTACACATATATACACACACACACACACACATTTATACATATATATACATATATATACATTATATATATAAAATATATATATAAAATGTATTACATATACGTACATATACATATACAAAGTATTATATACATTTTACAAATATATAAAATGTATAAATGTATATATAAAATACATTGTATATATAAATAAATGTATATATAAAATACATTGTATATATAAATGTATATATAAAATAATATATAAATATATAACATAAATGTATATATAAAATATATATAAAATGTATTACATATACATACACAAAGTATTACATATACATTTTATATATATAATGTATTACATATACAAATACATACACAAAGTATTACATGTACATATACATATATACATATATATACATATATATACACATATATACATATATACACATATATACACATATATATACGTATATATATACATATATATACGTATATATACACATATATATACATATATACATATATATACATATATACGTGTATATATATACATATATATATATATATATATATATATATATATATATATCACTAAGGAATGGTGCCATATTGAGGGCTCAGTGTTGGTCTGTGCTGCTGGCAAATTGGGCACTCAGCAGGGGCTGTAGCCAGGTCAGCCTTGGTGAGTGGAAGTCCATGTTGCTGAACCCATGTGTAACCTCTATCCCTGCCACCATGGCCACTTTGTTCATGGGCCCATTGGGTGATGACACGGGTGGCTGAGGAAAAAGGCTGAGTGGTGTCCACAGAATGGGTCATCCTATCTACTTGATTATTAATCAAGAATACACACAATATTTCTGTGAGGTAGAGACTGTTATTTCTGTTTTACATGCAGTGAAACTAAGAGCTAAAATTAAGAGAGATTAAAAAGTTATTTCTTCAAGGTGATTCTGTTAGAAAGTGGTGAAGCCAAGAGTCGATCCCAATTTGATCATCTCTACCTACCACCTTCCATTGCTCCCCCAGGGCCCTCCTGCCCAGTGGGAAGCTGAGAGAGCTCTAGGTGTGGGAGGATATGGCCAGGATGACACTCTGGCCTTCAAATTTTGCCTGCTTAGAGAGAAGGAGATGTTGGTTCCTTGCACTTGGGTATAGGTTTCCACCTGGAGATCCATAGCATTAGCCCTGTCTCTGCAGGTGGTTGGTCAGCCTGCCTTTTCACTCCAGGTCTCACTGGAGACCTTTGTTTAGTCCCCAGATCATTTCTAGAGCTTTTTACATCTATTGTATATCTTTTTTTAAAAAATTTTGTTCCAGATTCAGGAGGTACATGTGTTTGTTTGTTACATGGCTATTACATGTGTAATGGTGTGGATTGGGCTTCTAGTATACCTGTCGCCCAAATATTGAGCATTGTACCCCAATGGATGATGATTAGATAAATAAAATGTGTTATATACACCATGGAATACTATGTGGCCATAAAAAGTAATGAAATCATGTCCTCTGAAGCAACATGGATGGAGCTGGAGGCCATTATCCTAAGTGTACTATATCTCTTATAAGCACTCTCAGAAATGATGCAGCTTGTGGCAGCTTGTGGCCAGGCGCAGTGGCTCACACTTGTAATCCCAGCACTTTAGGAGGCCAAGGCAGGTGGATCGCCTGAGCTCAGGAGTTCGAGACCAGCCTGGGCAACATGGTGAAATGCCGTCTATACCAAAAATACAAAAAATTCGCTGGATGTGGTGGCGCATGCCTATAGACCCAGCTACTTGGAAGGCTGGGATGGGGATCGCTTCCAAGCAGATCGCTTGAGCCCAGGAGGTCAAGGCTGCAGTGAGCCAAGATTGTGCCACTGCACTCCAGCCTGGGAGACAGATTGTATTAGTCAGGGTTCTCTAGAGGGCCAGAACTAATGGAATATATATACATATATATGTGTGAATATATATATGTGTGTGTGTGTATATAACATACATACACACACACACACACACATATATATGTAAAGGGGAGTTTATTAAGTATTAACTCACATGATCACAAAGTCCCACAATAGGCCATCTGCAGGCTGAGGAGCAAGGAGAGCCAGTCTGAGTTCCAAAACTGAAGAACTTGGAGTCTGATGTTTGAGGGCAGGAAGCATCCAGCATGGAGAAAGATGTAGGCTGGGAGGCTAGGCCCATCTCTCTTTTTCACATTTTTCTGCCTGCCACCCTGGCAGCTGGTTAGATTGTGCCCACCTGATTAAGAGTGGGTCTGCCTTTCCCAGCCCACTGATTCAAATATTAATCTGCTTTGGCAACACCCTCACAGGCACACCCAGGATCAGTACTTTGTCTCCTTCAATCCAATCAAGTTGACACTCAGTATTAGCCATCACAAGTCCACCCCTTGTCAACTTGAACCCATATACATATCCTGAGATCATACATCATCTTCAGATAAAGACAATAATAAGGTCATAATTTGCCTAACATAATACAACTATCCTTCGTACAACTGGAAACGCACCAATCCCCAACCCAAATACTATTACATGAACTTAATAATACTTAAATGCTGATGTGAAGTCAATAAATCTTATGTCACATGATAAAGGAGAAAGGAAATAAAATGAGAATATTTTCTTAGTACAAGTGTATACATGCACAAACATATTTTTAACAAAAGAAGGAGGAAATGTTCATGACAATTGCAGTCCTCGTTTCTGTAGCTGGTCACGTGGTCGTAGCTAGTATTGATGACTACCTACTTTTACTACCTATTCTGTATTCCCTTTGCCGTCAGTAAACACTTCAGCAGGTCATGTTTTTTTTCCTGGTGGAGTGACCCAAACCTTCATTCCTGAAGGGTCTGGGCCGTTTGTAGTCCTGCCTGGATTGGGCTGTTGTAGTTTCCCATTGACCTTAATCACAGGGCATGGTAATACTAAGAGACACCCAAATGGATCTCCTGTATTCCATGCATACTTTTTCTTACCTCCATTGTGGGGTAGTAGACTGATTTCATCTTGATAGTCCAAGTCAGTCACCCCAACCAACACTGTAACTCCCTTATTAGCCTGTTGATGTAAAGGGAAGAGGAGCCCAAAGTGTCCAGGTGGCAATCTTAACTTCCAGTTTAATGGAACTGTTGTGTCTCCTGATGGCAGCATTCCTTCCTCTGGAACTAAGAACTCTAGGCCAGCAGAACGTAATGTCGGGGGAACAGGAAGCAAAAATTTTGCTGGTGGATCACTGGGGCTGATGGTGAGTGGTGCCACTTCCACTTCCACTCCTTGATTCCTGGACCTGTGAATCCTGGCTATGAGAGAAAGAGTACCATATATTGAATGCTAATTCAGAGCTTACACAGCCTTCTGGAAAACTTTGCCCCAGCCCTACAAAGTATTGTCACCTAGTTGGCATTGTAATTGTAACTTCAAAATGAAATTCCACCATTCTATCAATCCAGCTGCTTCAGGCTGATGGGGAACATGGTAAGACCAGTGAATTCCATGAGAATGAGCTCACTGCCACACTTTCTTAGCCATAAAGTGAGTGCCTTGGTCAGAGTCTGTGTGGGATACCATGATGTTGGATAAGGCTGATGGGGAACATGGTAAGACCAGTGAATTCCATGAGAATGAGCCCACTGCCACACTTTCTTAGCCATAAAGTGAGTGCCTTGGTCAGAGCTGTGTGGAATACCATGAAGGTGGATAAGGCATTCTGTGAGTCCATGGATGGGAGTCTTGGCAGAAGCATTGCATACAGGATAGGTAAACCCATATGTGGACTAAGTGTTTATTCCAGTGAGGATAAATCTCTGCCCTTTCCGTGATGGAAGAAGCCCAGTATAATCAACCTGCCACCAGGTAGCTGGCTGATCACCCTGAGGAATGGTGCTATATTGAGGGCTCAGTGTTGGTCTCTGCTGCTGGCAAATTGGGCACTCAGCAGGGGCTGTAGCCAGGTCAGCCTTGGTGAGTGGAAGTCCATGTTGCTGAACCCGTGTGTAACCTCCATCCCTGCCACCATGGCCACTTTGTTCATGGGCCCATTGGGTGATGACATGGGTGGCTGGGGAAAGAGGCTGAGTGGTATCCACAGAATGGGTCATCCTATCTACTTGATTATTAAAATTCTCCTCTCCTGAGGTCACCCATTGGTGAGTACTCACATGGCATACAAATATCTTCACAGTTTTTGACCACTCAGAGAGGTCCATCCACATACCTCTTCCCCAAATTTGGCACCAATTTCCCAATCATGCTTCTTCCAAGTCCCTGACCATCCAGTCAAACCATTGACTATAGTCTATGAATTAGTATATAATCGCACATATGGCCGTTTCTCCTTCCATGCAAAGTGCACAACCAGGTGCACTGCTCGAAGTTATGCCCACTGGAAAGATTTCCCTTCAATGGGTCAGAGTAACACACCCAAATGAGGAATGTGTTGCCTCCAAAATCCAAATAGGCCCAAAAGGCATTGTGCCTCTTTCTTGGTTGTAGGAGGGGCCAATTGCAGCAACTTATCCTTCACCTTAGAAAGAATATCTTGACAGGCCCCACACCACTGACCCCTAGAAATTTTACTGAAGTAGAAGGTCCCTGAATTTTAGTCAGATTTATTTCCCATCCTCTGGCATGCAAATGTCTTACCAATAAGTCCAGTGTGTTTGCTACTTTTTGCTCACTGGATCCAGTCAGCATAATGTCATCAATGTAATGGACCAGTGTGGAAGTGAAAAGCGATCAAGGTCTCTCCAAATAAGATTATGACACAAAGACGGAGAGTTCATATGCCCCTGAGGTAGGACAGTAAAGATATATTGCTGGCCTTGCCGGCTGAAGGCAAATTGCTTCTGGTGGGCCTCATGGACAGGAATGGACAAAAAGGCATTTGCCAAGTCAATAGCTGCATACCAGGTACCAGGAGATGTGTTAATTTGCTCGAGCAATGAAGCCACATCTGGTACAGCAGCTGCAATTGGAGTCACCACTTGGTTAAGCTTACAATAATCCACTGTCATTCTCCAAGATCCATCTGTCTTCTGCACAGGCCAAATGGGAAAGTTGAACTGGGATGTGGTGGGAATCACCACCTCTGTGTCTTTCAGGTCCTTGATGGTGGCACTAATCTCTGCAATCCCTCCAGGGATGCAATATTGTTTTTTATTTACTATTTTCCTAGGTAGAGGAAGCTCTAATGGCTTCCATTTGGCCTTTCTCACTGTAATAGCCCTCACCCTACCAGTCAGGGAGCCAATGTAGGGGTTCTACCAGCTGCTAAGTATGTCTATGCCAATTATGCATTCTGGCACTGGGGAAATGACCACGGGATGAGTCTGGGGACCCACTGGGCCCATTGTAAGTTGCACCTGAACTAAAACTCCATTAATTACCTGACTTACATAAGCCCCTACTTTAACTGGAGGACCACAATGATATTTTGGGTTCCCTGGAATCAATGTCAGCTCAGAGCCAGTGTCCAGTAGGCCCTGAAATGTCTGATCATTTCCCTTCCCCCAATGCACAGTTACCCTGCTAAAAGGCCGGAGGTCTCCTTGGGGAAGGATGGGAGAGCGATTCACTGCATAAATTGTCAGTAATATAGTGAGGTCCTTCCTCAAGGGGACCCGGCCTCCCCTTCATTCAAGGGGTTCTGGGTCTGTAAACTGGCTCAAGTCTGGAAATTGATTGATGGGCTGTGATTCTCTGTTTCTGTAATTCAAATTAGTCTTTTGTGCATTCGACCTAGAAGTTTTCTGCTTATATAAATTAAGTAGGAATGCAGTAGGCTTCCTATCAATTTCACTTCTAGGAACACCATGATTAATTAGCAAATGCCAGAGCTCTACACGAGTCAGACTATTCTGATTGCAGTAGTCTGAAAGCAATAGTCAGACTATTGCTTTGCCTCTGCTGTCCATTACGGTAGCTATGCCCACCTTGCCTTTGATGGTTGAGTGCTGCCACTTGGCCCCTGCCACCTCAGGATCCAATTATTCCCATTATATTTAAATTTTGTAGTTGAGTGATACAGTTCCCACTGTTAGATCTGACATACAGAGAAGAGCAATTACAGTACTCTTCGAAGATGCATGTTCTGCCCTCACAAATCTATTTTGCAAGGCATTGGTCAAGGGTATATCTTCTGGACCCTCCCAGCTGGGATGAATAGGTCTGAAGTGACTAATCCACTCCACCATCCCAATCTCCCTAAGCCTTTGGATCCCTTCCTCTACATAAAACCAAGGGAGATCAGGCATTTCCATCTCGTTCACAGTGGGCCATCTTTTAATCCATATTTCAGCTAACCAAGCAAATAAGCTATTAGAACCTTTTTTAACTCCCCGAGCTGCAACATTAAATGCAGAGTCTCTAACATAGTGGGCCCAAATCAATAAATTCAGCCTGATCCAACTCTGTGTTCTTTCCACCATTATCCCACACCCTTAATATCCGTTCCCATGCCTGTTCTCCAGGTTTCTGTTTATATAAATTAGAAAACTCAAGCAGTTATTTTTGAGTATAGTGCACCTCCTCATGGGTCACACTCTCAACCTCACCTCCAGGAGCCCACCAGGACTTTAGTCTAGTTGAAGTCTGGAAGCAAACAGGGGTGTTGGGGGTGGCTCCTGAGGAGAATCAACATTATCTTGCCTGGCAACTGCCTCAGAGGAGGCCATCACTGTTGCTTCAGGCAGCACAGGGTTTATCTCCTCAGTCAAAGGTGGAAAGGCTGATGACAGCATGGGCCGGGGAGGGGATATTGCCACTACTGGAGATGGGGAAGCTGTTTCTTCTGGCAAAAAAAGTTCATCAGAGTTTACAAACTCAGTGTCCCCAGCTTCATCAGGGTCCTCCCACACGTTCCCATTCCAAGTTGCAGGGTCCCATTCTTTTCCAATCAATGCCCTCACTTTAACAGTAGACACCTGGCGAGGCTGTGCATGCACCTTTTGTTGGAGGCCAGTCACTCGCATGATAAGAGCTTGTGTCTGTTTTTCCACAATTTCAGCTCTTTCTCTACAGGAGATAAGACTCTCACTTAGGGCAATCTTAGCAGATTTTAGGTTCAATATCTGCTTCTGAAGCCTGGAGCTAGAATCCCTGAGTTCATCATTTTCTTTCATGACTTTGTCCACTGAACTTAGGAGCAACCAACTAGCTTCATTATGTTCCTTGGTTTTCCACGTATGGTCAATTGTATTATGTATAGTCACTGAACTCCTTGCCTCTCACGAGCGATGATTCAGGTGTGTCAAATGCATTTATTTTGCATAACTCTCTAAACAGTTCACACCAAGGACTATCAGTGTTCCCTATACTATTAGAAGTACAGTCCTTAGCATTTTTGGGTCTAATCATATTAAATAGCCAACTCCAGAAACCCCAAAACCAATGAAAGAACTTCATCCTTAATATTCTGTTCCTCTAGAACAACTCCTGGTACCAAAATCTGTATCAGTCAGGATTCTCTAGAGGGACAGAACTAATGGAAAATATATATATATATATATATATATATATATATATATATATATATATATATATATATGAGTTTATTAAGTATTAACTCACATGATCACAAGGTCCCACAATAGGCCATTTGCAGGCTGAGGAGCAAGGACAGCCAGTCTGAGTTCTAAAACTGAAGAACTTGGAGTCCAATGTTTGAGGGCAGGAAGCATCCAGCATGGGAGAAAGACGTAGGCTGGGAGGCTAGGGCTGTCTCTCTTTTTCACATTTTTCTGCTTGCCACCCTGGCAGCTGGTTAGATTGTGCCCACCCAGATTAAGGACCGGTCTGCCTTTCCCAGCCCACTGACTCAATGTTAATCTCCTTTGGCAACACCCTTGCAGACACACCTGGGATCAGTACTTTGCATCTGTCAATCCAGTCAAGTTGACACTCAGTATTAACCATCACACAGAGGGAGACCCTGTCTCAAAAAAAAAAAAAAAATGATGCAGCTTGTAAAGCTCCACTCCATGCACATACACACACACACACACACACACACACACACCACCCATGGGAAAAGGTCCTGGTCAGAGTCAGAGAAGATGTTATTATTCTCAACACCTTAACTCCAAACATCCCATTAGATGACTCAGTTCTAACCCTGTTTTGGCTTTCTGTTTTCTTGCCTACAACTTCCTTTCCCTCAGACCTTTCTGTGGTCTTAGGTAGGCTTCCTTCTAGCCATCTTGGTTGCTCTTTAGTGTAATCTGAGGCTTTTTCAGTATCACTGATCTTGCCCACCTGTGGTCTAGGGGAAAAACATCTACCTTGACTTTCATAAAGCAAGTCATATGGGGGGATTGATTTCTATATACTCTTAAACATGCATTTGTAGGAAAATACTGTTGATTTGCAGTAAAATATTTCTCTGGCCACTTTCTATTTGTATTGTGTTTTAAGGATTTCACAGAGGTGAAATCTTCTGGTCCTTGTAATATACCATGAGGCAACTAGAACAGGCCCGATGACCCTAGTTTAAAAACAAGAAAATTAAGACAGAGTGAATTAAGTGGTTTGTCCTTGGTTTATGACAGAAAAATGTTAAACTTTTCATGAGACTTCAGAAATGAACATATTCTTTGCTGACAGAAACATGTAGATGTGCCCAACACAATCCTGGATACCATTCCAGAGGGAGTCTTTGGGGCATCCCTCCCTACCCCAGTCTTTGGCAGCAGGTAGATCTCTCCTTGCTCGCCTGATATAGCTGAGCACACAGAGAACCAGATGGCCCTCAGGCCCGGACAGTGAGGCTGGGGTACCTCTTAGGCACTTTTGCCTCCTCAGCCTGTGGCTGATGAACATTAGAGGGACTGTCAGCCCTTTGAATACCAGGTCAAAGCAGAAATTTTATTATCCTAAACTCCTCCCATGTTATTTTGGGGCTAGACTTTTTCAATTTAATGAAGCATAGCTTATATCTCTTGTGTCAAGGTCAGTCATCTCAAAGTGAATTTTCCAAGTGAGCTGTATCTGTACTGATGTCAATGTGACAAAGGCAGTGCTTTCTGACAGGAACTTACTAACTTGCTAATAAGTACTAACTTGCTAGCTAATCAGGACCAGAAGTCAGCTCACTGGTTTCTCATCCATAAAGAGTCAGCATTCCCATTCCATAAAAAGTCAGCATTTCTTTTGAAGGTCAGGACCTCCTCCCTTACCAGAGGTGCTTTCTGAGCATGGGGCTGAGAACCAGCAGTCTAGCCTGAGATGCTTTCCAATGTCAAAAGAGGCAGAAAGCTCCCTAATGGTACCTGGGCCCACGACCTGGTGACTCCACCTACCGCCTCTTTGCTACTGCTGCTCACAGAGCCTGCCATGCCATCTGTGGTCTCTCATTCCCACATTTTCTCAAACCTGTCACTTTCCATTTTGGGACTTGGACTTTGAGGAGATGTAAATGCTAGGGCACATCTTCTCATTGAATGATAAGATTTGGGCGCAAGTGGCTTCCTTTAAGCATGCTCACCCTGGCTTCAGGCTTTCTGTCATTCCATTCTCATTGTCACCAAGGGAGGGGTTAAGAGAACCAGAGTGCCTCCTCCCAACAACAGCAGTGGGCCAGGACCGGTAATCCTTTGAAGGTTAAGCATATCTCCTTCAAAACAGGTGACGAGCTCATCTTCTTGGACCCTCATACAACCCAGACCTTTGTTGACACTGAAGAGAATGGAACGGTTAATGACCAGACTTTCCATTGCCTGCAGTCCCCACAGCGAATGAACATCCTAAACCTGGATCCTTCAGTTGCATTGGTGGGTATTCGTAGGTTGGGTGGGCCAGGAGATACGATGTGTACAGATTGGTTCCCTGGGAGTTATCCAGATTGCTAGGTAGGAAGGCAAGAGTATGTTTGCTCACTATCCCCATTAGAGGCAGTAGAGTGTAGTGGGGAAGGAATGGACCCTGGAGCCAAACTGCTCCAGTTGGAATCTTGGCTCTGCCACTTACTAACTGTATTAGTCTGTTCTCCCACTGCTGATAAAGACATACCTGAGGCTGGGTAATTTATAAAGGAAAGATGTTTAGTTAACTCACAGTTCCACATGGCTGGGGAGGACTCCCAATCATGGTGGAAGATGAAGGAAGAGCAAAGGGATGTCTTACATGGTGGCAGGCAAGAGAGCTTATGCAGGGGAACTCCCATTTATAAAACCATCAGATCTCATAAGACTTATTCACTACCACAAGGATGGTATGGGGGAAACCACCCCCATGATTCAGTTATCTCTACCTGGTCCCACCCTTGACACGTGGGGATTATTACAATTCAAGATGAGATTTGGGTGAGGACACCACCAAACCGTATCACTAACTACGCACTTAGGAGGAGTCACTTAATCTTTCTGAGCCTCAGTCTTCTCATCTCTAAAATGAGGAAAACAATAGTTCGTTCCTTATGGGGTTGTATGAGGTGCAATGCATGTAAGGCACTTAGCACTGGGCCTGGCACATTGTAAGCATTCTATAAATGTTAGTTACTCTTTCCCCTGTTTCCTTCTTGTCCTCAAATTATTGCTACCCAGGCACAGGGAGGAAGATGGGATATCACTAGGGAGAGATAAGGGAGCAAGATGCCCTGGGTGCACACAATCTAGGAAGCTGCAGGATTTTCCCCCAGAAGTATGGCTGGTGTCTACACACACTGAAGGGGCATCTGCCTGTGAAGTAGCTGGTGGTTCTGAGGCCTGTCTGCATCCTCTCCTCTAGTTTAATCCAATTGTCAGTATACCAGTGACCAGGAGCTGCAAGTCCTCCTCTTGTGAACCATTCTTTCACTACTCTGGGATGGATTTGAGGTTGAGAAAGCACAGACTGATGGTTCTCTCTATTCTGATAGATAATTTCCTGAAGGTCAATGCCATCTTCTTAAGTATTGCCTCTAGCTAAAAGTACCATTTGGCTTTTGTTTGTTGGCTTAATTGAATGTTCTTTGGAGATGTGTGTATTTGTACACTGAAAGTAATGGAATTAACCCTACACTTTGAAGATGATCTTCAAGTTAAAATATCTCGCAGCATGAGGAAAGAGGGAAAGGGACAGAGAGCAAGGGTGAGAATGAGAGCAAGACTGAGAGAGTGATATGTATGTCTGAGTAAGGCAATGAGTTAGGAGAGAGAGAAGCCCAGGCAGTCTTCCTTCTTTATTGCTGAGAAGTCACATCCACAGAGACTGGCCCACATCCTAATTCTGGGCCAACAGCTCCATTGTGCAATACCAAAGGTAATTCTAAGTTGTGTTCTTTTGCTTTCCCCCAAGGGATTTTTCTGCAAAGAAGAAAAAGACTTTGATAACTGGTGTAGCCTTGTTCAGAAGGTAAAGCTATATGTTTTTCTTAGTCTGAAAAATGAAGTTACCCAATTTTATTCCTTTTCAAGATTGTTTTTCATAGTAAAAAAAAATCCTACTCTGATACGACTTTACTGCAAGAGAAAGAAACTAAGGCAACAAAGAAACTATCAGGTGTGGGGAATTGTGCATAACTTCGGGGAAACTGAACAAAAATTTTGGTTTGAAATATGCTTAGCATGTCAAGGGAGTGATATTTTTAGTGATGAAACCTAATGTTTTATCTCATTAATAGACAATTATTTTCTAAAGGCAATACTTACATTTTAGAATGCAGCAAAACTGTATTTATGTCACATTTAAAGGTGGAATGAGAATTTTCTGATAAGACTATGCCTTTTATTTTATTTTATTATTTTTTGAGACAAAGGCTCGCTCCGTCACCCAGGCTGGAGTGCAGTGGCGGGATCTGGGTGCACTGCAACCTCCGTCTCCAGGTTCAAGCGATTCTCCTCCCTCAGCCTCCCGAGTAGCTGGGATTACAGGCGCCCACCACCACGCCCAGCTAATTTTTGTATTTTTAGTAGAGACAGGGTTTCACCACATTGGCCAGGCTGGTCTTGAACTGACCACAGGTGATCTGCCCACCTCGGCCTCCCAAAGTGCTGGGATTACAGGCATGAGTCACCGTGCCCAGCTAAGACTATGCCATGTAAATTAGGATATATACCATACATGTTGGACTGCCACTGAAACCATGCCAATATGTAGCAATAGTCTCTTGGGGCAGATTTAATTTCACTAACTGACATTTCTTTGGAGCCAGTGCTTCAGGAACATGTCACCCCTAAAGTGAGCTGGACCCATGCGTCTGGCACAGGCACTATGCCTCATGATGGAGAATAGGCAGTGAGTGCTGGCCTTCATCAGATACTCCCCGCAAAGTCCTTCCTTCCTGGCTAAACAGTATCTAGAATTGAAGATGGCTGAGTCTTCAGATGGTTCAAGTAGAGGATGCATGTATTTTCTAGGCCCCTGTTTTCACCTGGAAACCAGCAGACCACTGTCTCAGGGTTTGGGGTCAAAGATTGCCAATTAGAAATGTTGTGACTCTGAAGTATTTAAAACTGTTTTGTCATCTCCCCAGGAAATTCTAAAGGAGAATTTAAGGATGTTTGAATTAGTTCAGAAACATCCATCACACTGGCCTCCCTTTGTACCTCCAGCCAAGCCAGAAGTGACAACCACTGGGGCAGGTAAGCTGTTGTTCAATGGCTCTCAGCTAGCAGACCCACATATAGCAGTTGTTTTATGAGAAAGAAGAATTGTGGCCCATGCTTTCTGTGGACAGTAAAATTTCTACTCAGCTGGAGTGATAAAAAAATGGCACTTCTGGTTATTTTAATCTTCTGATGAGCTGATATTTACCAATTTCAAAGAATGATAATAGAAGAAAATGAGCTCATTGCAAAAGTTCTATGCAAAATCAAGATGACTAGGATTGCTTTTTCATGGTCTGGTTCAGAATAGCAAATTGAGGCCATCGATAATTCAAAGGTATCTTGAAGGGCTTTCAGAGCCTTGGCCACATCACCGTCGTTAGGTTTATGTAACAAGTCTGGCTATTTTGAGTCTTTATAGATAATTTCTAATACTTGGCAGTAGTTCTAATTGTAAGTCTCCTCCACACAAGTCTTTCTTTAGTACAGCAATTAAAAATGCTTAGTCTTAACTACTGAGTAAAGTATTTACTGACCACTTCAACCCAAGTGTCAAGCTTTTCTTCTTTCTCATTTCCGTATTCTGATAGAATTCATTGACTCTACTGAGCAACTGGAGGAGTTTGATCTGGAGGAAGATTTTGAGATTCTGAGTGTGTAGAATCCTGGGAACTCAACTTGAAGGTCTGTCTTCCATCTGGCACCATAAAAACATGAACTTATTGCATAAAACTTTTCTAGTCAGCAAGTGCCTGATATGCCAATAGCATACAAACTCAATAGCAATCATGACTGAGCCAATCACTGTTTCTCAGAAAAACAAAACAAAACAAAACAAATGACAGTAACCCTTCCCCGGAAAGAAATAGAACAATCATGGAGCCTAGGAGCAGAGAGATGAGGAGGAGTTCATTGCTTCCCAGCTTGTGTTATATGGCTACAGCAAGTCTTCAGCTGCTGCAATGAGGAAATGGGCATCTGGAAGACAAACAGCAACTCTCAGCTTGCTTCAAGAACCAGCAGATAAGAGATGGTTAAGCTGTTCTTCACCCTTTCAGATGTGACCTCTTTTGGACTAAGCAGCAATCTGTTCTCTTGCTCAAATAATAAAGTGACTGAATCAGGGAGGAAAAGGTTCTTGTTAAATTATTTGATTGTGTAGTTGAAGTAATTATAATTTATATCAAAACGTTTGTCAAAGAAACGATGTCAAATATACACTTCTTGATCTCCCTTCTGTTTGCGGGGATCTTACTATTTGATGGGTCACTGTCCCCATTCTTACTGATACTTTTGTCAGATATCACCCTGTCCTTAAATCATGATCACTTAAATCAGGGGTCAGCAAACTTTTTCTGTAAAGGGCCAGACGGGAAATATTTTGGGCTTTGCAGGCCATGCGGCCTCTGTCACATCTACTCAACTCTGCTGTTGACATGCAAAAGCAGCAATAGACAATATGCGTGTAAATGAGTGTGGCTGTAATCCAAGAAAACTTTATTTACAAAAGCAGGTGGAGGGCTGGGTTTGGCCTGCAGGCTGTAGCTTGCCAATCAGTGACTTAAATTGTTGATTTTTGTTTGATAAATTAAAAATAAATTGTGTTTGAAGTATACCCTACTTGGTTGACAGCCATATTTAGAATTATTCATGTGGTGAATTACACATTTTATCTGTGCATCATATACAATTCCAAACCATTTGAGGCTAGCAACATAATAGGTTTTAAAGCATGTATTCATCAAATTAGCTTTGCTAACCACTTTCCTGTGAGGATGAACCTCAAGCCCCAGCAGTACCTTCTCATTTTCCTTTTCTTGCTTCCTTAACTTGCCTGCATTTCACCCCCATCCTTAATCAAGTCCCGAGGAAGGCCAGCAACTGGAAGCTAGCACCAAACCAATCTGCTTGTTTCCTTAGATTCCATGTTTTTCTTTTTCCCCCCGTATATTCCAATGGTTCAAAATTCAAAAGATGTAAAATGATATTCAGTGACTTGTCTCTCTCTCCGATAGGTCAGTTCCCTCCCTTGGAAATTCCCAATGGTATTAATTTCTTGTTTATCCTCTCAGAGGATATATTTTATACATATATAAATATATGCACACACACACACACATATACACACACACACTCATACACACACAGCTTGGATTTGATTTTAATGACTTTAACATTCTCTACTTTTGTTTTATCTACAAATGATCCTAAGGCCACAGAAGTATGAAAATGCCTTTCTTGAACTCTTTTTTTATTCAAAAAATTTATTTATTTTTATCAACCTACATCATGCTTTGATATGTTGAACTCTAGCGTGTGACAGGGATAAAAGCAGGCATAGGCTTATCTTGAAGCAGCTTATGGGTTTGTTGACTGTTTGTTAGAGGACTGTTTCAGCTCTTTGACTTTGATCATCTTCTAATTTTTTCCTGCCTCAGTGTTTTGTTACAGAGTTCGACTTGGCAGTAGCAGAAACCTCTCAGGCTCTGAGAGGGACTCATAAATTGCAGTGAGATGGACATTAGAAAAGTTTTCATAAAGGAACATCAAAAGAGTCACATGTTCAGATTTCATTTATTTTATTTGCTATGTACAAAACTGACACCATGCTTATTACTCAGGAGGTAAAGATAACAATAATTCAGATTATATTGATTATGCTTTGTCTGTATTGGCACAGTTTATATAATACTTAAGGAAACAGAATCACCTGGAAGGAACTGCCTCATGTCAACATAGCTAAGAGTGTTCTGGAAAACTGGTAATTAAAGAAAATGGCTAAAACAAATTCCCCCAAACAGAATACAATGTACTGCATAGCCAATTCAGGCTTGCTTTAGGTCTGCTAACTGCTCAAGAGAAGAGTGTGCTAGATTTTTATGAGGTTTAAAAAAACATATTAAAATAGTTTAATAGGCTACCTGTGAAAGAGCAATTGGATAACCATTTAACAAAGTCTTTAACATCCTCAGAATACAAGGAAACCAACACTGTGCAGCTTCAGTTTGCCACATTGCACACATCTGGATGGCATTTGGAATAAACAGGGACTTCTGAGAAACTGGGATGTGGGATTTACCTTTTTGTTCCTGGAGTCAAAAGCAAAACTCACACATCCTTACGCACCCACCCCTCTACTTCTGGCCCAGGAAAAAAGGCTGTCATTCTCATTTCCTTTGATAGGCTTGGCCACATTTGTTGCATCCTCTGCTTTACTTTGAACCAGGCCACATCCTCTGTCTCTGGCTGGAGGGGGAGCCGGCAAGGAGGAGATGGTTTGTCTAGGACCATATGCCATTAATGACCACCACCCCCAACCCAGCTGCTGGCCTTCAAGCCTCTCTAAGCCATGTGGGGCCCAGTCTTGCTCATTCTAGAGAGAGCTAAAGCTCACTCTGGGCTACTGGGTGGCACCTCATTTCAATTCTCTTGCCTGCCTAGACACAGTGGGCCTCCTTGAAGAGTGAGGACTTGCTCTGTGCAGACTTGAGCCATCCATGAATATTCGGTTAGAGAATTTAAGTGTGGAAACACTGGGTTCTGGTTTAAGCCAAATAATGTGTGCTGACCTCTGTACATGAAGAAATGACTGATTAGCGATTAGGAAGAGCTTTCCGATCAAGACGGTAAGGAGAAAGCTAGCAGTCTAAGACAGTTGTGGCCCATCAAATCTTTCTGAGGTAGCCATGAATAGTCACACAATCATCCAAATCAAACAGTAGCACCAGCTTGACAGAAACAGGACAGCAGATCTCAGCAGGGTGGGCTCATCTCTATGGACCCGAGGGCTGGGGTGACGAGTGTCCGGTAGTCTAGCCCAAATGAGACTCCAATGTACAACTTGACAGGCAAAGGGGCTCAGGCCTTCCTTCTTCAGACCATTCAGGTTTGTGAGGTGACTGTTGTGAGGGGCAGGGGAGGGCAAGGGGCAGAGTGGCAGGTGCCACCCTACAGGCTTTTCATACACACCTGGCAGCGACTGACTCGAGTGTGGAGCTGCCCAGCTTTCAGCGTTTCAGACACAGGCAACTCCCCAAACTGCTGCCTCTCCTCCACTGTGGTCAACCAGAAACTGTACTTGTTTGCAAAGTAGTGGCAGGTGCCTCGGGCACCACTGCATTCGATGAAAGGAGTGGCCCGAAAGTCCTCTAGGCAGGAGCCAGGTGAGACCAGGGACTGGCCTCCACCCTCGGCACCAGCGGCAGTGTGCTGAAACAGACAGGAGATTAGTGCATGAGCTGTGCCTGCCAAGGGTTGGTGTGGGGAGGGGATGGGTGCTCCACTGCTACAGGGGCACATGAGCTCCATTCCTAAGCCCTGGTTCCTTGTCTCAGCCCCCAGTTCAAGCCAGCATACCAAGAGCTGTGTTTTAGGGGCAGGGGCTGCTTGTCCTCCCTCATAGCAGCTTTCAGGGCCAAGAGTGCCCCCTTCCAAGCTCCCTAGTGCCCTCCTAACCCATTATGTGGGCAATGACTACATGTCAAGCAGCAATTCCCAAACTGCTACTGTCCCACTGGGTTCAGAGGTGTGTTAGGTACCCCCTTGCAAAATTTCCTCGGACAAATGGATCTGAGAAAAGCTGAGTGAAGGAAAATTCAATAGGCTTCTGGACTGCGGTTCTCAGAGCCCTCTCTCAACCATGCATTGTACTCTAAGAAGGGAAAGAAGGACAGTCCAAAACCTACTGAAGTTCTCCTTAATTTGTTGTATTTGGCCCAAATACCCTGGCCCTCACCTCAGAGGGCTCTCTCAGTATTCAGTTTCAGGGCTACACATGAGCTGGTGGTTTTCAGTTACTATTCACATAGACAGCAGCTCCTGTCTCTCCACACTCCTGCCTGTTTCTCTTCACTTTAGCCGGGCTATCATCTGGACCACAAGGAGATAGGGAAGAGGCCTAATACACAACCGTGTCAGCAAATGGCCAATGAGACAAATGCCCAAGTTGGCACACAGGGACTCCTTACTTTGCAGAACTTTGCAAGAGTGAGAGTCTGCATGGGACCTTTCAGGTGACCTTTCCTGACAACCGAAGCATCAAAATTTTCCTCACTTTGACCCTGAGAATCAAAAACTTTCTAAGATGCACAACACATTTTCCTGCTTTGCTAAGTAGCAGACACTAGGTTATTTTAAACTTTGCAGATGAATCAGGCTTGTCATTGTGAATGTCAGTTTTTGTGGGGGATGATTATGCAAGAGCCCCACACCAAGGGGTACGGCCCGTAGAATCCTTGGGCCTCCTTTGAATTATTTTCTCCTTTTTAATAGGTATGTCTCATTGCTTCAAGATGCCTTGCTAGGCAGTCCAACTTCTCACCCTTACATATCTTCAGGAATAATATTCTAGTATGTTAGAATTAATGTGTAAAGGAAGAGTAAAGAGATTCTGAATAAGGGCTAAGAGCCCTCCCATAAGCAGGGCACATGAGATTTAGTACACAGCATTTGTACCATTTCCTGTGGAAGCTCAGGGGCCTCTTCTTATTTCCTGGTCAGGGTGGTGGACAGGACAGAAGGACAGGTGAGGTGATTCTGTATTACACTGGGATAAACTATCCAATGTCCAAAGACACAGCATAACAAGGAAAAGTACCTTTCCCCAGGTAGGTACGCTAATGTTGGGGAGCCTGCAGCTTTGGTCATTTTTAAAGACACTCTCTCACCATCTCACCCTTGGCAATTCAACAGAGAAGCTCTGGCAAGGCAGAGTACTTCAATGGGTGCCACAGTGGTTTTCTCTGGGGGATGTCCTGACCCTAAACCTGACCTTTTATTTGAAGAAACATCCCCAGGTATTCACAGGATATTATGTGAGGGACTTGATGCCTCTTTGGGCCTGCAGATATTCTTTTTCTTAGCAAGACACACAGCATGGCTGGCCGCTGCCTTCACACCGAAATGGAGAGGCAGCAAAAATACCAGCAAGGACATATAAACACAGCATGCACTCATCAAAGCCTTTTGGGAGGAGACAGCAGAGGCCAGAGGGATCTGGGAGGGTGGAGAGAAGAGGGGACAGTGCCATGGCTGGACTGATTAGTGAAACTGTGTCCTGGCCCCAAGTGGTGACAGCCTCTCCCTCACTGTCCTCCCAGATCTTAGTGTGTTTTGCTCTTCCCTTGGGTGTGGCATAACTGAAGCGGGCATGGAGACGGCGGGGCATTGACCTATGACTCACAGATATTCTAGCCCCTGAACCACTGGGTGCAAACTGCTGTCTTTCCGCTACACCCATAACTACCTGCCATTCATGCAGAACTGGGTTCTCCATTCTTTAGCCAAGCCCAGTCCAAGCATTTCTCTTCTTTTCAAACTCTATGCTTTCTACCTGGTGTCCCTTGAGCCTGGGAACCAGTCCAAGGGGCCCTTTGCCTCCAACTGGGGGAGGAGACAGTGCAGGACCTTACCATGAGGAAAGAGTACCCAATCCAGAGGCTGCGCCAGCCCAGGGGGCACTGCGGGATGGTGATGTCCTGGCTGTGCACAGCAATGGCTTGCGAGGGTGCCTCACACACAGAGCAGCGGCTGATGTACTGGGGAATCTGGGTCTGGCTGACGGGCATCATGGGGATAGGGGCGGTAGTGGAGAGCCAGTAAGATTTATCATTGCGCCTGGCATAGTGGCACACCTCGTTGATGTTGCAGTAGATGAAGGGCATGGTGCTGAAGCGGGGCAGACAGGAGCCAGCAAAGCCTGGAAGGAGAGAAAGTGGGCAAGGGCAGGGGAGGTCTGGCTGAGGGGCTTTGACGAGATGGTGGTTTGGGTTTACATCCAACCACTTGCACCAGACTGAGGCAGCCCTCTCCTTCCAATCCTGTAACATTGTACATGTGCTGAAGTGTGTTGAGCAAATTCTATTTTAAATGCACCAGGGAAATTTGATAATAACAAGAATCTTTTTATAAGCTGTATAATTCTGCCCTAATTAATCTGCTTTGAAAGAAACAGCGTTTAATAGACTGAGTCTGCTTTTAAGATTTAGCACACCTGCAGACAACAATTAATTCTCAGGTAATCATCATTGCCCTGCAGGTCATATTATTATTATTACTACTACTAATTGCTAACATTTAATGGATGCTTAAATGCCAAATGTTGCTCTAAGCAATTTACATTGGGTGATTGATTCATGCAATCTTTCCACCAGCGTGTGTGATAGATACTAGAATTAGCTTTGTTCCATTAAGGAGGAAGCCAAAGCCTAGAGAGGTTGAATAACTAATGCAGTGTACACAGCTAGTAAGTGATAGAGCCAGGATTTGAATCCAGATCCACCTGACTCCAGAGCTGATGCTTGTAACTCACTACACAACAGTGGACCTAGAAAGGGCTGGGAGAAGAGAGGGGTTGGCTGTTGGTGTTTGTGGGGACAGGTGACCAGGGCTGGCTGTCAGAGCTGGTACCTACCCAGGTCCTGGTTGTGGGCTTTCTCTTGCCCCTCCACAAACAGTAAGCTGTACCCCACCCACAGCTGGCTCATCCCGATGGGACACGGGGGCACCTGTTCCGACTGGCTGTGCTTTACCAACGTGTAGCCCACTCTCATGCTCTGGCCAGGCATTCCAGGCATCCCGAAGGGGCCTTGCTGCCCTGGAGCTCCTGAGAGAGACAGATCATAAAAGGTGAGTGTGGTGCAGCTAATGACAACATCAGCTACTCACATTGTACCACACATTGTCCAAGGCATGTTATACACATGTATTATCTCACTCAATCCTCACGATGACCCTGGAAAATGGTATTACCACCCCAATTTTTAGATGAAGAAATTGAGGCTCAGATGTCCTACAGCTAGTAAGTGGTAGAGCTACAACTCTATCTCAGATGTATCCAGCTACAGACGCCCCATTTTTCAAAGTACATTGTTAGGCTTCCTTCCCATAGCCACCTGGCCTTGGGGTCTCTCTGAGTGGGGATTAGGGTGTGGAGAGGGATACTTCTCAGGTCCAGCCTTGCAGGCCCTCATAGGAGATAACTATGTAGCTGCTGAATCAGAGTCATCGAAAGCAGGGTTAGGATTAGCAGGGTAAAATCTTGCCCTCCTCTCCTGCCCATGACAGACATGACAAATCAACTGCCACAGTTTCCCACCGAGCCTCTGAACTGTTCTCTACTCAGGACAACTAATTTGTCATCCCCAATATAAAGTGGGACACAAATAGAAGAGGTATATGGACAGCCACGCCTTAACTCAAGTGTTGTTATCCCTTGAACATCCCCCTCTCATGTGTGTCAGAATCCCTGGGTAGAAAAGGGGAGGTAAAGGGCAGGGGGCCATCTGTAGTATAAAGTCAGACCTTTTAAGCACTGGAAGAGAGCCCAGAAAAGGATTTGGATTTGGAACAGTCCTTTGCCTTCCAGAACGTAGGGTATCCCTTCACAGGCTCAGAGGGTAGTGGGGAGTGAATGGACTTAGAGCCCAGTTTTTGAGCATCTTAGGAGTGTCAAGCTCTACCACTGGGTTTATTAAGTTTCAGACTTGAAGTTTTACTCACCCCCAGCCTCAAACCCTCCCAGACCACCATCCCCGCCCCGCCCGCCTCCTAATGTGGCATCATCAGACCTTCAAATCCTGGAGGGCCTTGCAGTCCAGGCAGACCAGGATCACCAAGAGCCCCAGGTGGGCCTGGGAGCCCACTGGGGCCATCTTTACCGGGGATGCCAGGTAAACCTTTGGAGCCTGCAGGAGAGAAAGCCCAAAGGAGGGTACTCAATGTAGAGGGTCCCCAGGCACCTTCCCCAGGAAAGGGGACTTATGTGTCATGCCCAAGACTCACTAGGAGACGATGCACTTGGCTGTCGACTTGGTGTGCACACTGCACATCAAGGCTGCAGCCGCCTGGGCTAGTTCTTAGTTCATGGGGGCATCTCTGCCCTGGGGCAGTGCCCTCAACTTAGCCTTTCTGAGCCCCTTCATGCCCACTTCCTCCTCCCTTCTTCTCATCCTCCTAGCAACAATGGAAATTATGCAGGGCAACGGCGAGCATCCCATATCAGAAATGAGGACACCGAGGCTGGGCGCAGTGGCTCATGCCTGTAATCCCAGCACTTTGGGAGGCCAAAGCAGGCAGATCACCTTAAGTCAGGAGTTCGAGACCAGCCTGGCCAACATGGGGAAACCTTGTCTCTATTTAAAATACAAAAATTAGCTGGGTGTGGTGGTATGCACCTGTAGTCCCCGCTACTCCGGAGGCTGAGGCGGGAGAATCACTTGAATTCGAGAGGTGGAGGTTGCAGTGAGGTGAGATGGCACCAATGCACTCTCAGCCTCGGTGACAGAGCAAGACTCCATCTCAAAAATAAAAAAAAATAAAAAGAAGAAGAAGGAGGAGGAGGAAGAAGAAAAGAAGAAGAAGAAGAGGAAGAAGAAGAGGAGGAGGAAGAGGAAGACGAAGAAGAAAAGAAGAAGAAGAAGAAGAAGAGGAAGAAGAAGAGGAAGAAAATGAGGACACTGAGACCCAGAGAGACTTCTAACTTACTCCAATTAGAGGCCAGGTTTTCTGTCCCCCAGCCTTGGACTTTTTTCATTGTCTTGTGTGGCCCTTTATTCACCACCACACTCCCTCCATCTCTCTGCAGCACATTAGAGAGGGGCGAGTGGTCTGGAGTAGCAACCTTGCTCTGCCCTCACATCCTCTAAAGCCAAGTACCAAGTACAACCACCCTGCTGGTCCTGCTGGCCCTTCTTCTCCCCAACAGGAAGCTTGGGAGCTTTGTGAAGGAAGAGAGGCAACGCTTGATGAAGACACACCCTTGGAGGTGGACATCCAAGCCAGCCTCTCAGCCAAACTGTCTCAACTCCCCAACAAATCTCCTTTTTCTGGCACCCTCCTCACCTTGTAGGCCTACAGGGCCTTGAGCCCCAGGGTCCCCAGTGAGGCCAGGGATGCCATCGATCCCTGGTAGACCCAAGGGTCCAGGAGGAACCTGGACAGCTTCTGCAGTTGGTGTTTGTCCAGGATCACCTTGGAGGCCAGAAGAGCCTGTGGGCAGGTGGGGGAAATAAGAACATCAGGCTGAGGCAGAGGGAGGTGACGGGGGCCCCAGAAGCCTTCTTTACTAACTTGCAATCAACAGCTTTCTATCCTGTTTGTCCCCACAGGATACCCGGGTATCTCCAGGATGGCACTGTGTGATATTATACAATCTTTATCCATCTCTCTCCCCAGTGGTTGGGTAGCTCCAAGAGGGCAGGAACTGGGTCATATTCATCCTGTCTCCTCAGGGCCCAGCATTGTGCCCAGTGGGTGACAGGCAGTCCAGAAGCATTTGCTGCTAATATGGTGAGCTGAGCCTTCTCTCAGGGCTGGGGTGGCTGGTTTACTCACTGGTTAGAGCACAGTGCCAAGGAGGCTGAGGGGACGCTTCTAACCCCAGAGGTTCAGTTGGCATCCCAGCCTAGGAACCCGGCGCCAGCCAGCTGCCTTTCTAATAGCATAATTTGCTTAGTAAGTCATTGAACAAATATTTCCCCAGTGCTTATTATATGCCAGGGTCCTGGTAGCTCTGGGGATAGAGCAATGAATATGACAGACATTTATGGAGATTATGGTCTGGTGATGAAGATGAATAATGCCTAACTCGACAAATACTGTTAATCTGAGTGTAAGTTGGGAGAAGTGTTGTGGAGGAAAGGACTAACACAGGGACACTGGGAGGGAGCAGAGGGTGGTATGGGGTGGAGGCATCTGTTTTAGAGAATGATCAGTGGCCTTTTGCAAGCAATGACATTTAAACTGAGACCACTAAAACATTAGAAGGACTTTGCTATTTAAAGAGTAGAGGGGCAAGTGCACTCTGGGAAGTAGAAGTAGCATGTGCAAAGGCCCTGTGGTAGGCCAGGACTTGGTGTTTTTGGATAACTGAAAGAGGCCAGTATGGCAGGAGCACAGTGAGCAGCAAAGGGGAAGGGCTGGCCATGAGGATGAAGAGGGAGGCATCACACAGGGCTTTGCGTGCCACGGTGAGTTCATTCCTACGCCATGGGAAGCCACTGGATGATTTATGTTTTTATAAGCTCTTTTTGGCCACTATGTGGAAAAGTGACCACTAGGGTCGGGGGAGGAAGGGTGCTGCATGAGAACTATTGGTGGCTTGGATCTGGGGGTAGCAACCAAGGTACTGCGAGGTGAACAGATGCAAGGCACATTTAGGAGGTACAAGCCTCAGGGCTTGCTACTAGATTGCATGTGTGTGAGTGAGGGTGGGAAAGGATGCAAAAGACGGTTCTTTATTTCTGAATTGAGCAAACGGGTGGGTGGTGATCTGAGTGCAAACCCAATGCCCACTAATGCAGAGATTAACACAGAGAGGCAGTCAGTAGCAGGATCCATGGTGGCAAGGCAGCAGTGGTCTTCAGTCCTGGGAGGTGATAGAGGCTGAAGGATCCCCAAGGTAGAGAAACTGCCTCTCTGGGGTACCTTGATCCAGCTGTTTTAGACATCCAGACTTTCTTGGCGTGGTGAGCAATGATGCCTGAAGGAACCTTACCACCAGGCCCCTCCCTCGAGCTCTGGATCAGCCCAGCACATGCTCTCAACTTACCTCTTGGCCCTGCCTTCCCCTTCATTCCGGGAAATCCTGGGTCTCCAGGTGGCCCAACCTTGCCTGGAGTCCCCATGAAGCCAGGCTCACCTCTCATGCCTGACAAAGCCCAAAGGAAGCAAGTCAGGTCCCGGCATGGTAGGGGTGGTAGGGGTGGAGGATAGGCAGGGGTGAGGTAGGGAAGAACATCAGCCACCGGCCTCTCTTCACAGGACTGCAGGAAGGAGTCCTGGCCGTGGAGTGGGGAAGGGCCCAGCAGCCAGCCGAGCAGCCGTACCTTTCAGTCCTAGCTCTCCAGGGAGGCCAGAAAAACCTGGAATTCCTTGGTCTCCCTTAGGCCCTTTAGGTCCAGGAATTCCAGGGAAGCCAGGGTCTCCGGTGTCGCCTTGATTCGAGGATGGCCCAGGGGGACCTGGGGGTCCAGCGGGGCCTGGGCGGCCTAGGGATAAGATCGGAAGAGGGGCGAGGGGCAGGTGAACAGGTAGTAGCCACTGCAGAAGGCCTAGGGACTGACAGGACTCCAAAGCCCATTCCCAGGACAGAGAATGTTCCCTCACCATCGGTGGGGTCCTAGTGCCCAGACTTTCCCAAACCATTTTAGCAAAATGCACTTGGCTCAAGTCCCCTGTGTCCCCACTCGGGGAGGGATGTGAAGCCAAACACGCCCACATATGTCCAGCAACAGGGACTTGGCTGCGCTGTATACATGACTTCCCCAAATGTCAGACAAAAGGTGGTGGCTAGCCCTCTTTTGGGCTTCCTGTCTTTACCTCGTTCTCCATCTAGGCCTGGTCGCCCGGGGTCACCAGGCTGTCCTGCTATGAGTGAGGGCAAGGAGATGCCTGGGGCACCGGGGAGACCAGCAGGGCCCTGGAGACCTGGGAAACCTGTAAAGAATAAATAAAAGGGGCTGGATAGGCTCTGTGTGCCCAGAAGATGGCCAGGCTCTTTCAGAGAAAATGGAAGCTCACACAGAGAAAATGGAAGCAGTTAGGTAGGAGCCAGACCAGAGAACGCCAGCAGAGGGCTCTTCTTCCCTAATCCTTCCTTCCCAGAAAGCAGACTAACTGACAAGGGCTCAGAGACTCCCCTTTTCCAGCTGGAGCTGCATTTTATTGGAAAGTTCTAGCTCCCTTACCTCACTGGTAATGGAAATATTTTAGGCCAACTTCCCCCACACCAGAAAGAAAAGAAGGCATGACTGAGCACCTGGACTTTTAAGTTTCCAAAGTGATTTTAAACCTGTCTGTGTCAAAAAACACCTCTTAAGTTAGCCAGTTATGTCTGATGCTGCACAAAGGTTACAGAACGTAGGCCACAGGCCCCAGCCAGTCAGAACAGACACCAGGCCGATCAGAATGGAGGCAGCAAGAATGCGGTGCCTCTGTGTCTTCTAGGGCTATCTTCTGCAATTTCTAGGCAAACTGGAAAACAATCTTTTATAGGTCATTCATGATATGAGCCAAGTGATTGCTTAATTGCCTATGGAACAAATATCTCTGTACTAAATCCCTCCCCCCTTTTTGGCCAAAGAGAATAACCACTTATTACAATAGATACAGAATACTCATTTGCTCTAATTTTAATACTGCTTTACATGTTTTCTGTTTGTGGAACTATTTCTATTGTAATATGTTCAAAACCAAAACTTTCATCTGATCACAGAAGATTTATTTAATGTTCACATATCAAATACATAGATGGTAATCTTGATGGGAAAACACAAATGTAGGTGTTGATATTATACATGTAGCATGGAAGATATATATTTATTACTTTGGGATATTCTAGAAGATATTCAAATGAAGATAAATGGATTCAAACTGGTTGATAAACTGTTCTGGTGGTTGAGATTCTTAATTTTTGTTTGCGACAAGAAAATCCAAAAATGTTAATATCGAATTTTATCTTTTGTGACAAGAAAAATGCAAAAATATGCTGAATTTCTCTTATTAAGGTAAATCCATGAAAATTTATAAAAGTGATGGTAGATTTGGGTGTTTTTAAATAGCTCATTAATTAATTGAATCTTGAAATTTAGACAAAGAAAAAATAAATTTTGAGAAAAGTCTCTCTAGGTTTCTTAGGTCCGGAAAAAAGAAAAAACACAAAAAGAAAACTAGTAGCTAAGCCACGTGGTGGTACTCATAGCATTGTTACTTCTGGTTTGGTGAACCTTTGAAATATTTTTCTTTATCCCCAGGGTAAAAATCTGAAAAGAAAGACATATTGTATACTTTTTTTCTGAAAATACAGCTCTACACATATATTATGTATATATACATATAAAGCATATATATGTATAGCTTATATATATAAACTGAAATTATGCAAAACTAATAAACAAGACACCACATGTGTAATAGAGTAGGCAGTGGTGGGCAGTACACAAATTATAAAAGTTCCCATGGCAGTTTTTGGAGACTTTTTCTCCCTTTACCTGTTTCTTAATTTTATAATTACACTTACGTGTTATTAAACCTGAAATAAAGGCACTACTGACTTCAAGTATTGCAAAAAGCTCATGCATTTCTTTAACAATAAAACACTTTAAATGAGCAGATGAAAATGCAAAACAGCCCATTTTTCCAACTCAGTCCAGTGTCAAAGCCTTGAAAAAACAAAATACATAAATGCAGCCTCTACGTATTTAGTGCAAATATGAAAACAAATAGTATCATTGAAAGTTATTTAGATAACAGTACTGTAATGAGAGGGATTGCTCTATGAAGTTTTTTTATTGGTTAGTTTGTTTGAGATAGGGTCTTGCTCTGTTGCCCAGGCTGGTGTGCAGTGATGTGGTCAGGACTCACTGCAGCCTCAACCTCCCAGGCTCAAGCAATCCTCCCACCTCAGCCCCCGAGTAGCTGGGATTACAGGCGCACACCACTATGCCCTGCTAATTTTTGTATTTTTTGTAGAAACAGGGTTTTACCATGTTACCTAGGCTGGTCTCCAACTCCTGGGCTCAAGCAATCTGCCTGCCATGGCCTCCCAAAGTGCTAAGATTACAGGCATGAGTCACTGCACCCAACCACTCTGTGATGTTTTCTTAGGAGTAAATCATCATATTGCACTGACTCCCGTTGTCAAATCAAAGATAGGTTCCTGTGGGGGTGGGGTGGGGCGTGGTATGATATTTCTTGTATTCTTTTTAAAGAAATTGTTTTAATTAGATATTGAGAAGATATGACATAATATTTATAATATGCAAAGAATAATTCAGATACAATGAACACTTGTGTTTCAACCACTCAACTTAAGAAGATGTCACTTGTTTTGAATTTCCTTGTGTGCCCTCCACCCTCTTCCTTCCCTTCCTCTCAGAGGCAATCACTCCTGAATTTTGTTCATCATCCTCTTCCTTTTTCTTCAGTTTGACCATGTATATCTCTAAACAATGTATTGGTTGGTTTCGCTTATTTTTGAACATTTATTGATGGAATCATACCAAATGTATTCCTCTGTGACATGTTTGTTTTTTGTTTAGTGCTATGTTGCTGAAATGTATCCTTCTTGACCTGTGCTGTTTACTACATGCATAATTGTGATTTTATTATCTCAGATAGCTAAAGAAAATGAATAATCTAATGACCATCAAGATTTGAAAACAAAAGAAAATGTCCCTGTGTTTTTATCCAGTCCCCTTTTCCCTATATCCCATGAAAGAAGACAGTCTCTGGGCAGGCTCGGACCCTGCTTTGAGCCCTTCCTCTGGAGAAGCTGCTGGCTTTCAGAAAAGAACAGTTTGGTCCAGATCAAAGGGAAGAACAAACACAGAAACTGCAGATGCATCAATTTAAAATGCAGCAGGAAATGAATTAATATATGAATATAGTCCCTCGGAAACATACACACTGTACACAAACATGCACATAAACAAAATGCGGTGAGACCTCAAGCCCCAGAGCAGAGAGAAACAGGAAATTTTGCAAATATGATTTCCCCAGGTAACATGCAATAATATTCTTAAGTATATACTATGTGCCAGGCACTGAGCTTTTGTATATCTTACCTCGTTCCTCATTGATTCCTCAAAAAACCTATGAGGTAGGTTCTGTTATAATGTTCATTTTATGGAAAAGGAAAACTAAGGGCTCATTTGGGATTGAGGAACAAGTAACTTCCTTGTTTAAAGTCATATAGCTAGTGAGAGGTATAGCTTGAATTTGAACCCAGCTAGTCTGATTTCAGAGCCCATACTCTTAACCATGATGCTATGGTGAATTCATTTCCTGGTTAACATGGAGTGGAATGTACACGGGTTTTTGGAACTTTCCTGAGGAAAAGTTGAAGAACACAAGTCATTCTTACTTTCTGAGAGGTGGGGAAAGGGAGACTCAGAAAGGGACTTCAGGCCATGTGATGAGTCAGGGGCCGAGATTAGGGTAGAACCTGCTTTCTAGTAAACCCAACAAATTCTAGTTGAGGGTATGCTGTGGTTCTGTCCGGTGGAGACTTGTATCATCTTAGTCTTGGGATCCTTCCCGCAGCCACACTGTCTTCCCAGGGCCCTGGGAGTGCCATCCACACTGGACGCTGAGGAAATGCCAGCCAACCTCTCACTAAATGGACAAGCCCTGTCCCTCAGGACCAATAATTGCAAGCTCTGACCAAGCATGCCAGAGAGGCTTGAGGTTAGTAAGGAGGAACAGAAGAGAATCTGGAGGCTAAAATGGACTTGGTGAACTGTGCCCTGACAGTCTTCACTGGAAAATGCTAAGCACAGCCTAACCTCTCTTTCTCAGCAGTCATTCCCACTGGGTTGTGAGACTCCCAGAGATGTGAAGACACTCACAGCCCAACCCTGTGAGCCACATGGCCCTGCTGTACCCTAAACCTGACTCTCCCAGCAAGGCCTCACTCAGCCTCTACAAGGCCTGACTTGGACTCACCTCGATCACCTTTTTGCCCTCTCAGGCCCGGCTTCCCTGGAGCTCCGATGCCAATTCCTGGATATCCTTTTTCTCCTTTGGGTCCAGGGAGACCAGCAGGCCCAGGCACACCGGTGATACTAGGTCCTAGGAGGAGATGCAGGGGTAGGGGGCAGACCTCAGTGGAGGTGAGGCCTTCCTGCCTAACTCACTCGCCTGTGGCCTGAGAAGCCTGACTGACAGACACCAGAGGCAGAGTACTGAAGTAACAAGAAAGAAAGTTAATCTGAGTAGAAGAAAAAAACCCATCCTCTTTCTTCTCCATATCAAGGGACCTCAAATTGGAGGTTAATAAGGAGAGCTATGAGTCCAAGGATATGGGATACACCACAGTCGAGAATTCATGGCCAGCCCTTGCCAGGCTTCTGGAAGAGCTGATGCCCTCCTCTTCACCCTGAGGGTCTTCCTAACCTGGAGTGCCATGGGTACCCTTGGTGCCCGGAAGCCCATTCAGTCCATGTAAACCAGGAAATCCAGGGAAGCCTGAGGGGAGAGAATGTCAAAAATGGCTCCAGCAACTCTGAATCATGAAGCATCAGCAAGAGGTAGCTACCTGCCCCCAAAGGCATTGCGAGGTCCTTATTTTAAAGTCCTGGTCTTTTTTGAGGCATTTACTTAATGCCCTAAGGGAGAAGAAAACACTCCCAACCTATATCCTACACCACAGGTTCTCATGACTCTTATCAGAGACCAATACAGCTTTAGGAGTAAGATGGCAGCTCATTAGGTATCTTGAAGAAGAACTCAGAGTAGCAATGTCAAGACCTTGAGTTGTCAGCTCCCAGAGACTGGTTCCAGAAACTCACTGCCCAATCTCTAAGTCAGGGAAAGGCTACACATGCCAGGGCAATTGCCTTCCTTGCTAGCTCTTCTCTTCATGGATCCCATATTCTTCTCTTCACACTCATGCTTGCCTGCCTTCATTACTCTTCATCTTCCTTTCCCATGATTCCTCATGTCCAATGACTCCTGTAGGCATGGCTTAACCCTAGCTAGTATCTTCTAAGATAAAGTAGTTGGTGTCCTTCATCGAGGGAAAGACTTTTCCCCACTGCCTGCTCCCAAATACACATACCTTTGGGTCCTATTAATCCGGGGGATCCTAGAGGCCCAATTGCCCCTTGGTGACCAGAAGAACCTGGAAGTCCTGGTTCTCCTCTCATGCCGGCAACTCCTGGAAATCCTAAATGTGAAACCAAGGCAGAGGTTCAGAATGGGGCATGGCTTGAAGCTAATCCAAACTCTTTCAGAATAAGGTTATCATGTGGCATGGTACCTGGAGCTCCAGGAAGGCCAACATCTCCAGAAACACCAACTTTTCCATCTTCACCTTTGTTTCCAGGGAAGCCTATATTGCCTATTAGTCCATCTCTTCCTTTTGTGCCTATAAAACCAAGAAAAATGCTGAGTGATTAGGCCATATTTCTAGCAGTGTATTCCTCTATGGGAAAGAGTAGATTCTGAATTGCTGAAGGAGCTAGACCCAATGAAGAAACTCTAAAAAAGATAGTGGTGGCTGTTTTCACATTAGAAAGGTGCCCTACAATTGAGAAGCAAGTAAATTTGTTATGAGTATCCCTTCAGAAGTGGGAGCAATAAGTGGAAATGTTCAAGAAGGACAGTTTAGATAACAACTTCTAAACTAAGGGGATGTAGGCCATTATCCCAAAGGTCTTTGCCAGTCTATGAGTCTTGAAGGAAGAGTAGGCTGATTTGCTTGGGGAATTGATAGATAGGAAATTTTCTGCACTGGATAGAAGTTGCAGAACTTGGGGTTGACCTCCAAAATTCCTTCTAATCCTCAGTTTTGTGGAGTCTGTGAGGCAAACAAGACAAAAATATAGCAACCTTACCTTTAAAACCAGATTCGCCAGGCTGTCCCTTGGGTCCTGGGCTACCGGAAATTTCAACTGTCTGGCCGTTGTCTCCTGAGGATTCCAATACATTGTTTAAATGGCCAGGAGAAGCTATAGCTCATTTTGCACCACTGAGATCTTTTGAACACATTTTTTTTTTCAGATTCAGTGTAGCCAGAGGAGCTCCTTGACAAAATTATCTATTGGGTAAAAAGTGATGAACCACCATCCAGGAGCTGGGATGCTGCTACCAGACTACTGGCATGAAATGCTGCTACATACAGCATATCTCCATTGGGAAACACATCACTAGGCTCAGTATGGGCAGAGAAGATGGTAGGCAGGGCCCTCAAACATCACCAGAATGGAACAGTGATGCCAGCAAGAATGGGAAATTTTCCTGCCTAGTGGGCTGGGTTTATCAGGGGAAGAGACTGGAGCCGAGGTTCTCCTCGCTGCTAAGTCTGGAAAGCAGATGGGCAAAACCACAAAGCCAAAGGACAGCCTTTTCCTTGGATCCATGAAAGCCACAGAGAGAGATCTTGGTAAGTACCATTGTTTGTTGCATTGTCTGTGAGGAACAAGGACTGCAAAAGGGGTTTGGCCAAAGGGAAAATGTAAATTAATTGACTTTCCCCTAAACACAGACTCTCCGCTACCCTCGCAAGAGACCCTTGGGATGGCCAGGTGCAGTGGCTCACGCCTGTAATCCCAGCACTTTGGGAGGCTGAGGTGGGCAGACCACGAGGTCAGAAGTTTGAGACCAGCCAGACCAACATGGTGAAATCCGTCTCTACCAAAAATACAAAAATTAGCCGGGTGTGGTGGTTAATGCCTGTAATCCCAGCTACTTAGGAAGCTGAGGCAGGAGAATCGCTTGAACCCGGGAGGCAGAGGTTGCAGTGAGCTGAGATTGCGCCACTGCACTCCAGCCTAGGTGACACTAGGTGACAGAGCGAGACTCTGCCTAAAAAAGAAAAAAAAAAAAAAAAAAAAAAAAAGAGAGAGACCCTTGGGCCTGCTAGAAATCTACCTTGCTCTAGAAGAAAACATTAAAAGAAAAAAAAAATGCTCCTTACCTTTCAGGCCTGGGAGACCAGATGCTCCTGGGAGTCCAGGCGACCCTCTGATACCTTGTGAACCCTTCGAAGCAATATGGGAATCATCATTTCTGCCCAGAGCTCAGGACTGCCCACCCTCTTACTTCCTCACCCCTCACTGAGCCACTGCCTGAGAGATGTCCATCATGTATTCTGTGGCAAGGGTGGACTGTGGGCTGGAAGTGGGGATGTTATGTCCTGCAAACGGGAAGGTGATGAACAAAGGGCAGAGCACATACTTAGGGTTTGTAGGGGAAGGATTCGATTCCACTGCTTATCAAAATGGGAATCTTAGAAAGTCACAGTGTGGCCATTCTAGCGAGTCTCTCAGAAAATGCAGAAGATGACAGGCCAGGCACTCAATGGACTCAACACACAGTTGGCTACCACTGTCCTTGCCAAAGCTCTGGAGCCATTATGCATAGGAAGAAGTTTCACTTCACCCTGCAGGGTTAGCCCTCTGCCACAGGTTCCGCAAGGAACACAAGTTCTTTCTGCCACCAGGTAGCAGGTGGTATGTGTGCAGGTGCTGGAGTCTGAATTTGGGCAAATGTTACCATTTTCAGAGGAAAATCTGCCTTCACTGGCTAATGTCCAACACACTATCTGAGTCTGGGAAGTGGCCATGTCAGCTGCCATCAGCAAAGTTCTTTTCTTGATATCTGTTATGGTTTTGGTTCATTTTGAGATTTACCCAGTATCCAGTAAAGATTTATGCCACTTAGTGCTTTGGGTAGGAGGCTGAGTACTGGGCTGGGTCACTGTGTGCACTGGACCACTACCCAGGACACCCCTCCATCGTGGCTGCTTCCTTGCCCGGCTTCATCAGGCACATTGCCATATCTTCTAATTCTGAGCCTCTGTTCATGCTGGGACTTCTCCTAGAATGCATTCCCACTTTGTTTTCATCCCCCTAGAATGTAAGTAGTCAGGACTATCCAGTCTAGAACTATTTATTTTCAATTGCTTCAGGTGTGTGTGTGTGTGTGTGTGTGTGTGTGTGTGTGTGCACGCACACACCAAGTTCTCTCCATCAGATGGACTGACACTTTTGAAGTTCAGGGACTTTGCCTGCAAGGAGCCCAGGTGTTCTGTGATTCAATTCATTGAGACCATTTGATACATCTGCTATTTATGCAGAGCCGGCTATGTGCCAGACACAATGTTAAGAGCTTTACATGAGTCATGTCACTTAACCCTCCCTACTGTCTGAAGGCTATTTAAATATTATTCCCAATTTTTACAGATGAGGAAAGTGAGGTTTAGGTAAGGTAAACAGTGTGCACAAGATCACAGAGCTAATGAGCAATGGAGCTGAGGTTCAAATCCAGGTTGGTCTCATTGCTAAGCCACCTCTTCCACCTTGCCTTGTATGAGCCCAGATAAGCTGGACTTGATTCTTTGCTAGTCGTTGCACCTTGTGGAGCTTCAAAGACCTTTCTAGCAAAACGTCAAGAAGTTTTTACGAATTCTTACAATGTGCCAGGCTCAACATGAAATGCTGGCAGTGGGGTGCAGAGAAAAAAGCATGTAAGGTAGTTCTTGTTCTCAAGCTGTAACAATCTCATTGAGGAAGTCAGACCCACACAGAAGCAACTAGAATTGATGTCAGCAGTGATAAGTATAGAGTGGCAGCTGGGTGGGAGCTCAGGGACTCCTGGAGGAGATGGTGCCTGGGCTGGGGACTGAAGGGCAGGCAGATATTGGATAATTGTAAAGGCAAGAGAAGGCTCTGCCATTTCAGGGAGATGTGAACAAAAGAACAGAGGAGGAGATGTTCAGGAAAGGGTGGGAAGACCTGTCAGACTCAAGGAGAGAACTCTTTCTGAGGATGTCCTGGGAGAAGGGGCTGAGAAGTAAGCTGGGATCAGAGAGGTGGGCAGTGGGGGTATATCCCCGTGAGATGGGGGGCCTTTTCTGGTATAAAGACAAAGATCTGGTCACACTTACACTTTCTCCTGGCATTCCTGGGAAACCTGTGATCCCAGAGGACCCCTTCAGGCCAGGTAAGCCCCGGATTCCCATGAAGCCAGGGGGCCCTGGCTTTCCACTAACTCCTTTGATAATGCCTGGGAGGCCAGGAGCTCCAGGTAGGCCTGGTGGTCCAGGTCGACCAGCCTCTCCTTTGTCACCTGTAAAAGAAATAAAAAGACTTGGAAAAAGACACTGGGCAAGAAAAACCCAGCTTGCCAAGATGCAGGTGCCCCAGGTCGCAGGCCAAGTGCAGGCTCAGGGAGCAGTTAGCTTAAAGGTAAAGGTGAAGTGGGGAGAGATGCTTTCAGTCTTATGGGGCATCGACAGAGTTGCTTCTGCTATACCACTGGGAAAGCAGCACAGTGCTCAGGGTCCTCCAGGGGTACCACTGCCTGTGGTTGAAAACCTCAGTTCTACAGTGGCAATAACAAATGGCAGTCTCAAAGTCCAGGCAGCCTTCAGGCCCAGGGGAGGCAGCCTTCTTGGATTCCTTGCTGCCAGCCACACTGCTGCTCTGAGGTTGGCGATGGGGGGCTGTACTTGAGGGCCTTTGCTCAAGAAGGAAGCCAAGTTTGGTTATGAAGCCTCTCTTGAGCATTTCTCCTATCCATCCCCTGCCCCAGCACCTCTTGGCCCAGGAAATCCATTGGATCCGGCTGAGCCTTGAGAGCCTTTGTCTCCTTTGAGCCAAAGGTTTGACATTGGACGTCTTGGACTAGGTATTCCGACTGGCCCCGGATTGCCTCTGTCTCCTGCAGGGATGGAGATCAGCATGAGAAAGAGAGCTTAGACGCAGGGTCAGGCAAAGGCTGACCTTTCACATCATTTCTTCCCATACCACCACAGCCCTCTTTTGGGGCCTTTCCATCTTATTCCCCACCCCTATTCCCCCAACTTCACATTTCTGTGTATGTCCTCTTCTACAAATCCCAAGTCTATCAGCAACTTTAGACTCTCCTCAAATCCTTCCTCCACTGGTCTTCCGGGAATGGGCACACATGGCCTTTAACATGCAGTGTTAACTAAGAGGGGATTAAGTCTTTTGGTTTAAAAGGACTTAATTCAGAAGCCCAAATTTTTATTATCTAACATAGATTTGGTACAAACCACAGGAATAACCAAGTCAACAAACAAAATATATATATTGAAAAGCATGGGCAGCAGTTCCAGAATTCAATTCCCCAGCTCACCCTTTTCACCAGGAGTACCAGCACGTCCAGATGGTCCCATTTTTCCAGTTGATCCTGGAATTCCTTTTAATCCTCTTGTTCCAGGAATACCAGGCAGACCTGGTATTCCTGGAAAACCTACGAATCCAACAGACCCCTTCTCTCCTGTTGAAAAACAAGAACTTTTATTATCACTCCCATTTTACATACCAGGAAATGGAGGCTCAGGGAGGTTGAGTAACTTGCCCAAAGTCATACAGCAAGGAAGTTGCAGAGAAGGAATTCAAACCCAGGTTTCTCTAATTCCAAAGTCTTAGTCATTACCAAACTCTTATTTATTACATATTATACTACCTTCCTGAATAGGGACATGGCACTACACAATACAAAGGAAAGAAGTGGGCTCCTCTCGGCCGGGCACAGTGGGTCACACTGTAATCCTAGCACTTTGGGAAGGTGAGGCGGGTGGATCACCTGTGGTCAGGAGTTCGAGACCAGCCTGGCCAACATGGCAAAACCCCATCTCTACTAAAAATACAAAAATTAGCTGGGCGTGGTAGCGGGTGCCTATAATCCCAGCTACTCGGGAGGCTGAGGCAGGAGAATTGCTTGAACCTGGGGGGCAGAGGTTGCAGTGAGCTGAGATCGTGCCACTTCACTCGAAAGAGCAAAACTCTGTCAAAAAAAAAAAAAAATTGGGCCCCTCTCTTATGATTCACCGAGTTATAGCTCATGTGTGATACAGGAAAAAAAAAAAAAGCCTAGGGCCAGGAGGCAAGGAGATGAGCTTTAGCCTCGTTCTGCTGCTAACCAGTTGTGTGACCTTAAACCACTCACTTTCCCTTTTTTTAAATGGAGATACCACCTGCCCAACTACCAATGGCTATCAAGGCAATCATAGGAAGTGAGTGCTATCAGCCTCCATGGTAGGACTATGCAAATGAGTAAACCCAGTGTGGCTGGTACTGCCCAGGGTTTTGCTGACCATGATACTCAGCCTAGTGTTCCACCCAGCAGGCAGTGAGGGTGACTCACCTTGACCAGAGGTCCCCCTTTAGCACTAGCCTTGTCCAACTATCTTGACACAAAAAGCCCTGTCCAAGTCCCTCCCCATTTCCCATTCCTAGGCAGAGAGGAAGGAGCAAGCTGCGCAGCTGAAATGCTCCTTTTTGGCAACCACTGGTCACTTCACTGATCACTTCACTTACCCTTGGGTCCAGAGAGGGCTGGCAACCCAGCGACCCCTGGAGAGCCTGGGCTTCCTTTCAGTCCTACTAGGCCTGGATTTCCAGGAAGGCCTTTTAGCCCTGGCAGCCCTTTCTTTACAATTGATCCAGGAGGACCTTTCTTGCCTCTTGTTCCTTTCTTTCCAGGATGTCCTGAATAAGCACAGGAGAGAACACAGGACAGCTGTCAAGTGAGGCTCTGGCCAGATCTGGGCCACTGCCTATATCATAGCTTCTGATTGGTTTGGCTTGTTAGGTTTTGTAAATGGCCCTTTAACAATAGCACATGCAAACTGCTAACAGGCAGAGTTCTTAGTTGGCTGAAGCGTTAGCATCTACTACCCAGAGTGCCACGCCAATGGTTATTACTTCCAGCATGGCACATTAGCTGGCAGGGAGAGCAAACCCCTTCTGATTATAACTTTTTGTCTCTTTGTGAATGTGGTTTACACTTTAGCCCCTGAATGGAGCTCTAGGAAGCCAGGGTGGCAAGTAGGCTCCAGTTTCCTGGTACTTCCAGTCTGAATCACGCCACAATGGCTGTTTCCTGAGCCAATCGGTGAAGTAGAGGTTAAAGCTGAGCTGTTGTTTCAGCCTCCCAGGGAGCCTTGGATACAGGGCTGCCCTTTTAATCCCTCAAGCAATCAGTTAAGTCAGCCAGTTCCTTGGCATTAAGGTTGAAAGACCCCCTAGTGCCAAGTACTGTAGAAACCCACAAGGCCCATTTGGTCTCCTAGGTATTCTGAGACGTCTTTCACCACGCTTTAAAGTTGGTCAATGGGATTAACCTCCTGAGCTGCTGCCAAAGTGGAATGTTCAGGTACAAAGCAAGGAAATTAAAAAACGAAAGGATTAAATCATGACGACAGAGGTATTTGGGTCCCCAAGGACCCAAATGAATGGCTGACTTGGCTTTCTATGGATTGAAAAGCATCAAGTAGCTGCAAGCCCCAGGATTCAAATGGGAGGCTGTGAAGGGAACTCCACAACAAGGGAAAAATTCAATGGGAGCCAACCCCACAGCAGGAGCTCAGGGATCCCTGGCCTTGTAAGCAAGGCCATGTTATAGTGTATAATCAGATACATTCCTGAGTGGCAGAGCCATTGGGGGTGTTAGTCTGTGAGCTTGTGTGCTGTGTTTTCTCACTGAGGCAGCCTATGTGAAGATCTCAGAAACACAGAGAGACAAAGGGAATAAAAAGGACATTAATGGCTCTGCAAATAACTCAGCTTCAGTCACTAGGCCAGGAGTAAGGGGCGGTTGGGAATGGTGCAGTCACCGAAGCAGGTTGAGGAGGGTGGTGCGAGAAAAAGGCAAAGCTGCAAACACGAGTCTGGAAGCAGCAAGTGTCAGGCCCCACTGCTGAGTAAAAGACACTTGGCCATGGGTCCTTGGAGGCATGCTCGCCTGAGAGGCAGGCTGCCGGTGTGGTCACACTCTGCTCAAGCTTCTCCCCAACCAAAAGCAGGCTGCCCACAGCACCAGTGAAGGCATGGAGATGGACTAGACTCCCTCAACGATGAGGGTGGCTTCTCTAACTGGGGAGGTCGGGAGAGTTGAAACCTGAAAACTGGGCATGAGGCCATGGAGGAGGCGGGGGGAGGGGAAAGATTTGTGGCAACAGTTTGGAAGCTAACCTGCAGCAATCTGTTCTGCTTGGTACTGCAAGGGTGACTTGAGATTTGAAACTTGAGAGCTTAGGAAAGTCAAGTCTCATTCTAAATTCTGACCATGTCCCACTACTGCTATTGCCCCCCCAGGGCATCTGGGCCCAGGGCCTAGCTGAAGTCTGTCAAGGTGGGACTCTTCCTCTGAAGGACCTACCTGAGATGCCTGGGAAGCCTGGTGCTCCTGGGAGCCCAGATTTGCCCTTGATGCCATATGGACCACTAGATCCTGGGGTGCCTGGCTGTCCCACCTGTCCTGGTGTCCCAGGGCTGCCCCGCTCACCTTTGGGGCCTAGTAAGCCAGGCTTCCCGTGCACACCTGATAAAAGAAAAGGGCAAATGATCACAGCCTGGAGAGATAGCAGTGAGTGGGTCAGCAAACCAACTTCCAGGACTTATCCCAGGTGCCACTGTCTTCTCAGCTCCAGCCTTGTTGCTATTCCCAGCCGTAACCCAGTCTTTGCAAGAAATTTGACTATTAGTTATGGTCACTTTTGGAATTACTAAGACAGTAAAGTCGACTCAGGCTATTTAAGGAAAATTTCACAAAAGGGAGGGACAGAATAAAATATTTCATTTTAACCCCTTAATTAAACCATCACCCCAGATTCATGCAAGTATTCATGGAAGTATACGAATTAATATAAGGCTTTCTGTAGATTGTTAAATAATTGGGGCAAAAAGATTCACCCTTGAGTCCTGGAAGGCCAGAGTCTCCAAGAAATCCTTTGTGCCCTGTTAATCCTTGTAGGCCTTGTTCCCCCGGAGCACCATTTTCAGCACCAAAGATGTCACCAGTGGCTCCCTTGGAACCAGGTAAGCCTGGACTGCCAATCATCCCAGGCAAGCCATCTTTTCCAGGGAGCCCAGGAAACCCAGGCAAGCCCTTCTCCCCACGAGGTCCAGGAAATCCTAAACGTAAAAAGGCGAACATAAAAGACCATGGCTGTTTAGAAGCAATTTGTCTGAGTACAGATCTCTGAGACAGATTTTTCTAATATGAAAGCTAACATATTAATAATATATGTCACTTCTCTTGAAGGTCAGGAGTCTCTGTTCCTGCAAGGCCTTGTGCAGAGGCAGGGACTGTGCCCTGCGACCTGGAGGAGGTTCTAGTTCTGGGAGGCAGGGCTGTGGGCGGAGGTCCACAAACTGTTCCTGAGGGTCCTACAGTTGTTGAAGAACACACGCCACCCCATAGCATCCTGAGAAAAGTTCAACCTCTTCTGGAGTTCTCTAGCTTCTGCTGTCATGCCTCCTTCTTCTTGGGTGGGGAGAGGGTACTGGAGGGGACCCTGGAGCACATGGTCCAAGATGAGCCCCGAGCCCTAGAGCAGTGCAGTTCTCAAATCTGAGCAAGCATCACAATCACCTGGGGTAACAAGCAGATTACCGGGCCCATCCCCAGAGGTTATGATCAGCAGATCCTGTGGAGAGGCAGAAAATTTGCATTTCCATCAAGTTCCTAGGTGATGCTGATGCTGGCCCATGGAGTACAGTTTGAGGACCACTAGTACAGTGAAGAATCATGAAGCTCAAGTTGGAACAAGAGAGTGTGAGAAAAGGGATAGAAATGGACAACTTCCCTCTGACTGATCTCAATCTCTTTCACTGGCCCTTAAGGAGTTGATCCAGGAAACTCATAGAACTGGCAGACAGACAACCTGGCAGAGTCCTAGCTCTGTCACTAGTGGTTTAGTGATCTCGGACAAGTCATTTCCCATCTGGGCCTCAGTTTCCTCATCTGAAAGTTAAGGGGTTGCCCCAGCTGATTTTGAATGGTCCTTATTGCTCTAATATGCTGTCATTCTATGGCTGTATGCTGTGTCTTGCCAGGGTATAAAATTAAACAATCCTACCCACACCAGAGAGCAAACTTGGCTTCCTGTAATTGGCAGAGGACTACCACAACCCAAATACACACACACACACACACACACACACATACACACAAAGAGAAGCAGGTGAGGAGACACTCCTTTTCTTACCTGGTAATTCAGGAAGATGAACCAATCCTGGACTCCCTGGCTCTCCTTTACTTCCACTTGACCCAGGCTGGCCTGGGGTCCCAGGGAGGCCTCGAGACCCTTTAGGGCCTGAAAACCCAAATGTAAGCAATGAGGGGAAAGGAAAGTCGGTGTGCTAGGTATGATTTGTGATGTTCAGTCAAGAATCCCAGTCTCTTGGAGAGCCTCTCCTTGTCTCACCTCCCCACACTGCCCTCTCCAGCAGCCATCCTGTTTCCTCAATCCCCAAGGCTGCCCTCAGGAGGAATGTGGATCCCCAAATACTACTGGGCTATCCTCTGCTTCCTTTGCCTTATGGCCCTTACAAGAGTGTTTAGTGGCTTTCTCTGGCCTCATTCCATACCTGGGAATCCGGGAGTGCCTGGAAATCCTGATGGACCGTATGACCCAGGAATAATACAGGGCAGGGTGATTCCTGTAAATGGTAACATGTGTGCATTCAGTGAACCCAGAGTTAGGGAAGATTTCTCCCTAGTACGCTCCTTTACTTCTATTCCATTTAATAGGACAGCCAAGCTCTTCCCACTCAGCAGCTGGGAGCCCACACTGGAAAACCTTGGCATCATTAGCTCTGGGGAGTTACAACCAGTACAGTTGCTTACAGATGAGAATGCTCCTAGTGTCCAAGTGCTAGGATATCACTTATCAAACCACTGATGCCCAGTGGGCAAACAGTCACCTATGCAGCAGATGTTACCTAACAAGGTTTCTTAGAGATTGCCTGTGCAGGAACAGCAGCAAACAGCAATTGCCTACTCACCCTGCCCTCAGATAGAGCCTCTCCCTAGGATGGGTGTTGGGGGTTAGTCCTAAGGGTCCATTATGCTTATTTGACTAGATTGGAAGGTTTGAAGCCAAGATCCCTCAAGTTCTCATGTTTACCCTTTCCTTGGAATGAGGTTTTCCCCAAACCACTGGGTTCTTTTGATGCACTTCATTTGGGATCTGCTGAAACCTATTGATTGTCCTTGGTCAAATGTACCAGTATGACTGTACTATGCAAACACTTAAGACCACTCTCTTGTCCGTGACAGGCAAGTGGTGACCCTTCCCTCAGCTCCTTATTTGAAACTGTCAACTCTGCTGCTCAAGGAGAAAAAGTAGCAATTTTAATATTCAAGATGTCAAAATTGGCATGCATAGCCCTTCCCCTAGCAAATTCTCCCTTGCCCATTCATAATGCAAATAAAAAGAATCTATAAGATCACAGAGGGGAGGTTTAATAAAATACTGGTGAACAAATTGTTTGCGGGCTCCCTCAAGTGCCATTTACAAACAATTGCTATGCTAATTAAATAAGCCTTGCCTATTCATTAAAACAATCCCCCAAGGTCTGCTTTAAACCACAGAGCCAACAGTTTTAATAAACATCTATAGCTTTTGCCTGTACTTAAATCACAAATTACATTTCTGAAAAATATGTACACATCCTATGATTCAAACTGCTTACTGAACTCGCTGGCATCCTCCCCTGATCCCACTTCTATTTTCTTAAATCAAGGTTGGGAATTGAACAGTATAATGTATTGGTTAACAAGTTGGGCTCTGAAGCCAGACAGACCTTAGCTGGTATCCTAGTTCTGCTGCTAACCAGCTGCGTGGACAAGATACTTAAACCTCTCTGAGCCTCATGGCAAAATGGGAACTACTTCTACTTTTCTCATATGGTGTGTGTGAGGATTACATGAAACTGTGCACTTAGCACAGTGTCTAGCACTCTGGTACATGCTCAATTAATAATAGTTCTTATTATCTTGAACTATTATCTTATGTAAGAATGAGTACTCAGTAGAGCTCCTGCAAGGCCATCCTCAGGTTAGTGACACTGCTTGTAGTCTGGGCAGCACTTTCTGCCTTCCAGACTTCAGGTTTCTACAGTTATATTTCCAGAGGTGAACAGATGGCCATAGGCCTGGATCCTCCTCCGTAGGTGGTCAAACCCACCTCCACCCTGCCAGACATCAAGATGACAGAGCTATTTCTGATAGTTATTTCCCTACTATGGAAATATGCTCTACAGGTCAACACTTTATGGTGAGATGCTTCACTGGGAGGGGGTTTTCAACCTTGTGCTTGGCTCAGGCCTGGGCTCTTTGAGTTAGGCTGAAGAATTTCCTCCAGAGGGTGTATCATGAGAGGGATCCTGCAAAAGACTCTCCTGCCCTCAACAATCTCAATAGCTCATTGGCTCCAATGTGTCAAACTCTAACATTACAGTTCCATTGTTTTACGTCTTAGGAAACAAACTTAGTAAAATAAAAATATCCCTGGGCTGGGTCCAACTATTAAGCCATTCATCCTTAATTTATCAGACTGATTTAATTGCTTCTTTTCATCTGTGACAGCCAGATAAAAACAAAGCCTTTAGAATATGAAGCTGAGGACAGGCATCCAGAAAGGTTCCGGGATGAGAAAAACAATGGTCAAAGGAAAGATGGTTAGAAACCAGAGGAAATCAACGACATATTTCTCTCAATAATTTTGTCTTATGCCTGTATGCCACACCACACTTGTGTATTGTAAGCAGAGGTTCAAAATGGTGAGAGGGAAGGACTTCAAGTCATATTGGTATCTGGCTCTTTTCCTTTATACTGTCTTCTACTTTACATTCCTGAATTCAGAGCCTTCTCAACAAAGCAAAAATCTGCTCTACCCATGTTCTGTTTAGTAATTGCAACAAATGACCTAATTATTCAGAATTTTTCCCATTAATGCCCAAATCCATCTTCAGAATAAAAAGAGTCTCTGGTTCCCAAGATTTTAACATCCCAATTTGTTCTGGGCCCAATGAATAAAGTTCAGACATGTGTGGATCCTTTCAGGTACCTCTCAAGGCAGATTATGGCCCCAGTGAAGTTCAGAAAATGAATTTGCTTAAGGTAGAGATCAGCCAAGCTATCGACATGCATGGTGAAGGAAATCAGCCCCTCTCAGAGACTGCATGCCCACTCAATCCCGTACTGCCTGCTGTAAGAGGTATGTGCTAAGGAGCCTCTGAAGCAGTGTTGGTGTCAGCCTTTGCATCCCAGCCTTAGACTCCCCACTCCCCAAACAGGGCATCCAGTGTGGTGCTCAGGCCATCGTGACTGTCTGAGACAAAGGTAAACAAAAAAGGGGTGTTTAGCTAAGACTAGTGTCTGAGAGCTTGTAGACCTAGCTAGCTCTCACCTCTCTCTGTGTCTAAGTCTCCTTTACCAACCTCTCTACAGCAGCAGTCACCTAGAGCAATCAAGTGAAGAAGAAAATTAAACTAGGACAGAAGTTCCTTGGGGCCCAAGGGAAGTCTTCTCAGCAGCCCAGATATGCCCACCAACCAAATCCCTTGTCTGAACTTAGTGGAGAGCACTTGCACCCACATGAGATCAAGCACACAGTCACCACAGTTCAGTAATAACCAGGGTGATTGATTACTATGAGCATCTGGAACAGAGCCTCTTTGGAAATAGCCAGTTGTCTGCTTGCCCAAAGTTTTTAATAATTCACACTAGTAGGCTGAAAGGCTTCTGATGATTGCATCCTCTTTCCTGGCAATGCAGCTGTCCTAGTCTGGGCTACCATTGATTGGAGTGGGCACATTCAGGAATAGCATCTTAGTTTTTTTCTAGCAACAGAAATGGCTACAATGCAAATGTGTGGGGACCACAGGTTATTTGTTTTTAAAATTGTGCAGAAGAAAGGTAGGTTTGAAAAATTATATTTGTTTGTCATAGAGAGAAAAAGAAAGCTAATGCTCTTTATTAAAGTAATTTCTTGAAACTCTTCATACTGCAAGAAGGACATGGCTATGGTTTGAATATGATTTGTCTCCACCAAAACTCATGTTGAGACTTGGTTTCCAGAGTGGCTGTGTTGGGAGGTGGTGCTTCTGAGAGGTAATTAGGTTGTTAGGATGGATTAATCTCTTTCTCGGGAGACTGGGTTATTTCTCAAGGGAATGGATTAGTTCCCACAAGAGCAGGCTGTTATAAAGCAAGGTTGCTTTAGTGTTTGGACTCTTTTGCATATGCCCTTCTGCTTTCCACAATGAGTTGAAGCACAAGGCCCTCAACTGATGGGCTGCCCAATCTTGGACTTCCTAGCCTTCAGAATCATGAGCTAAATAAACCTCTTTTCTTTGTAAATTACCCAGTCTCAGATCTCCTGTTGTAGCAACAGAAAATGGAATAAGACAAACATTTTCTGCATAAGGCATCTCCCAGGCTATAGCTTACCATATCATATTCCTAATAACTTTCTGTATCCAGGGACTAGTGATGTTTGGGATAAAAATGGTCCTGCAAGCTTCCTTCTGTTCACTCAGCTGGTTCTCAAATAGTTAAAATGTTGCTAATAGCCAGAAGACTTGGAAGTGTGTAAGTTTATAGGTGTCATGTTATTATAACTCAGTTTAAAACCTTGTTGCTTGCAAAATGGTTTAACCTACAATGAAGACCCAATTACGGGAGGAGCAGTAGAATGACCATGAGTAATGTCTCTGGGAACAGAGCTAGAAGCAAAGCTATAGCTGACACTAGGACTTCCAACAGGCAGAATGATTTTATTTGCTAAATCCTTATGGCCAGGAGCAGTGGTTCACATCTGTAATCCCAGCATTTTGAGAGGCCAACGCGGGTGGATCACTTGAGGTCAGGAGTTTGAGACCAGCCTGGCCAACATGGTGAAAGCCTGTCTCTACTAAAAATTCGAAAATTATCCAGGTGTGGTGGAGGGTGCCTGTAATCCCAGCTACTCAGGAGGCTGAGGCAGGAGAATCGCTTGAACCCAGGAGGCAGAGGTTGCAGTGAGCCAAGATCATGCCACTGCACTACAGCCTGGGTGAGAGTAAGACTTCATTTCAGAAAAAAAAAAAAAAGGAAAATGTCCTTACAACCTTCACAATAATTTGTGAAATGATATATTGACTCGGTTTAAAGAATCTTGAATTATCAAGTTTTAACCTGTACCATCTACCATCAACCTTATTACACCGATTCACAAAAATAGATTTGGAAATAAATAAAATTTTGCAAGACCTGGTATCCTGTCTTCTTTTATTGTAATTCTTCAAGATGATAAGGTGGAAACAGGAGAAATATGTTTAAGAAATAGCCCCTTGGTTATTGGGAAGGCTCTTTCTTCTGCAAACAAATATTAGTCTCCTATGGAACACTGCACTATGCTAGGCATGTAAAGAAACTCTAAGAAGTATTACCATCCCTAGTATCAAGAGACTTACAATGCAGTTGGGGAAAGTAAAAGCAGTAATAGAAGGAGATATATAATTTAAGTAGCAATGACATACTGTGGAGGTCAAGGGAAAGCTTAATGGAAGAAGTGGGGTTTATCTTGAACCCTGAAAGAGGAATATGATATGACTACACAAAGAGGAAGAGCACTCCAGGAAAAGGCAACATGGTAAAATTTTGGAGCTGGAAGTGAACATATTGTGTTTGGGTATAGTGAAGAAGACTGGTGTCTTAGTTTTTTTGTTTCAATTAAGAGCATGATATAAGGTTGAAAAAGTTGGTTGTATCCATGTTTGGAGACTTTTGAATTCCAAGTTGAGGAGTTTGGACATTATATGATCTCTGTTCAATTGGTACCATATGTGGCTTTGAACTAGGGGAGTTACATGATATTGGCACTTTACAGATATTAAATTGGCTGCAGTGTTCTTAATAGAATTGAATGTAAAAACTACTTAGGAAGTTGTTGTCATTCACTCACTCATCTATCCATCCATCCAACCATCCACTTACTCCAACAAGCATATAGGTATTTGAAAAACTAGGCATGAGATAATGAGAGTTTAGTAGCAATAAGAGAAGGAAAGAATATAAGAGGAATTGCAAAGGAAATAAGAGATAATCTCAAAATTTTAAACTTCAGATTATTATAAGTGTGGTGTCACTAATGGAAGCATAGAAGTTGTGGAAACCCAAAAGTTGGGATGAACAGCTGTTCTGGCTGTATTGAAGAAGATTAGTTATTAGCATAGCACCTTCATAAACTATAAGCAGGACTGTTACACATAATTTCTAAAATTCAAGTAGAAAAAGAAGTTATATAAAGAGGAAGGAGTTAAGGGATAAAATGGGGGATTAGACTATAAGCAACTAGATTTCTGCCCAATCTGAGATTCCATGAGTTGAGGAAAGGTTTTTCCCAGCTGATGATATTACCACACAATTTAGAGGGCACCTTGTCCAATCTCCCACTCATTGCTTTGATGACATTTGCAACAAGTGGTCATCCATCTTCTTCTTGAACTCTCCCAGGGATTATGAGCTCATAACCTCCCTCAGTAGCTCTGTTACATTTTCAGACTGCTCTGGTAGGAAGTTCTTCACGAAGTAGGGTGGAAATCTATGTTATTCTGCCCCCTAAGCTTACCACAATACAATTATAATACTTTTTTTCACATGCAAATCCTTCAGGGGGTTGAAAGTAGTGATTATGGTCAGACAAGTCTCTTCTTATGATACATTTCATGCACCTGAGTCATAACCACTCTACAAGGGGTCAAATTTCCAAGTCCAAAGCCATCTGATTCTATGACTCACCCTTAGATCCGGGAAGGCCTTGTTGTCCCGGTAATCCATCCTTGCCTTTATCTCCAGGAAGCCCACGGGGTCCAGGAAGTCCTGGTAACCCATTTCCTGGGAGGCCAGGTGGACCAGGATGGCCTTTTTCACCAGGAAGTCCAGGTAACCCCTTTTCACCTGGGAAGCCCTGTCCACCATCACCCTAGACAACATATAAAACAAAGAATGAAAATTCAACTCAGAGATTTATCTGGACAGTCCTCTGACTACAGGAAAGAGGTAGCCAGTGTGACCAATGCTTTGTGTTTTGTTAAAATTATCTATCATCACCATAGTTTATCTATCAGTCTCCTCTGACTTTAGTTAGTGGATATGAATCTTGTCTACTCTGGGTGATCTAACAACACAAAAGTTTCTGGATAGGGGTGAGGAGACAGGGCAAGAAATGAGCAGGATAATAACAACCCCAGAGATCACAGAAAGTGGCTAGATTACTTGAGGAGAAAAGTCACTGAGAAGCTGAAGTATTTTTAAGTCATATGGTCAGGTGTTACTAGCATTTATCAAATGAGACAATGATCCATTCTGAGAAAATGATTCCCACTTTACATAAAGGAAAAGCAAAAAGCAAAAAGTTTCAGTGGCAGAGGCAGGGCAAGGTCCTCTAGACTCTGTTCTTCCCTGTTTCATGGTCCAGTGGCCATCAGACCCCCCAACAAAGTCAGGTGTGAAGATCTGTAGAGCTAATCACCTAGGAACGATCAACTTACCGGAAGGCCTGGCAGACCTGGTAAACCTGGTACTCCGTCCTTGCCTGGTTCTCCTATTACACCACGGAAGCCCTGGGAGCCAGAATCACCCCGATCTCCTGGCATTCCTTGGATTGTACTGAGAATTGGTTCCCCCTTCTTTCCTTTGGGTCCTGAAGGACCCAGAGGCCCAACTAAGCCCTGACAAAGAAAAGAGAGAAGAGGGAGTAGTCAGAAGATGTAGACTTCATAGAATTCCGGCACCTAGCATTATGACTTAGAGCAGAACCTTGGGTACATATTGGCACTGTTCTAGACACTGATTATGTTGTAATCTTGAATAATAGTTGCCCATTTATTTCTGCACCTTTTGTAAATTTTGAAATCTTTGAAGATGTAAACCTCACCTTAATTCCTATTTTATCTTCATGGGCCAGCACATTGCTAGGCAAAGGTAAACAATGTTGTGGAAGGAAGAAATTGTGGAAAGAGAAAAGGGAAAATAGGTAGGTTAAAGCAGAAAGGACTTTAAGAGACTCTATAGTCAGATTTCATGTTGTAGATCAAAACCCCAAAACTTTGTTTTAATCCCATCTCTCTTGTATGTGCTTTAGAAAAGTAACTGGGGGGATTGAAGGGCACTTGAAAGATTCCATTGCTTCCTCAGGGTCAAAGTTTGGCAAGACTTACTGGAGCCCCTGCTGGGCCCTGTGCACCCCCAGAGCCTCGATCTCCTCTGGCTCCTTTAAGGCCTGGAAGGCCTATGAGACCCCATGGACCAGGTGGGCCTGGTTCCCCGGGTGGTCCAGTGTTGGGAACACCACCGTCACAAGCACAGAAACCTGAGTCTCCTGGGAGAAAAAGACAACATAGAACGAAGTGGGTCATTTTTTTCCAAGAAGAATAAAGAATTGATCATGGTTATTTGTGACTTGAACAACTCCATAGAGGGAATCTGAAGGCTTGCAGAGAACACACTCAAATGAACTTGGTTCACTCTCCAGCAGAGTATGTCTGTGTTAGTGGTTCAGATTTTGTTAGTCAGGGATGAGGCTCAGCCATCAGTGAGTCTAAAGTATAGCCATAGTTGAGAACCACTGACCTCTACTAACCAGCTGAGAGTCTGGAATTCAAGCCGCTCAAAGATTTTCTTTACCAAAATGTCTTTTCCCCTGACTTTTGTACATATGACACAAATGTGTACATATTTTTGTAAATGTTGAGACAAATGCCAAATAAATAATGATAGGGATTTCAGCAAAGCACCTTTGAAGAGGTATCAAGGAGTCACTAGCACTATGTTCTAACTCCCTATATCTTCCATGCTTATTGTCTGGAAAATAAGAATTGGTGCCAACATAGGTGACCCTGAGTTTCCCTAAGATTCTGAAGGGCCCCTTCTTACTTTAAGAAAATTGATGATTCCTAAAACTCTAAGAGAATAGTCTGTTCTTCAGATTAGTGTTTCTTGAGTGTGATCCTGCATGAATCATCTGTGATGCTTATTTATAAGGCAGCTTGCTGGGTCCTATCTCAGTCCTAATCGATCAGTCTCAGGAGGCCAGACCAAATAATCTAATTTTTAATAACCTCCCCTGGGTGATTCTCATGTATAATGAAGCTTGATAATCCCTATCACTATTCCATACTTAGAGAAAATCTTTCAGCCCCATGGAAATACAGAATGGGGAGCATCAGAAATGTCCCTCTTTTAGGACTGTGAATGGTATCAAGAAATACATCAGCTTTGTAGTGAGTTAGGTAAGGGCCAAAATTAACATCTAAGTTAACTTAATGCCCTTTTCCATCAAATAGTTTTCCTGGGACCTGAATAGCAGAGAACAAGCTTTCAGGCATTTCTTAACCAGACTCTATATACTTAGGTAATGACATTTTATGATGGAGCAATGAGAAAGGAGAGGAGTAAGTTAGAACATCTCTGTTTGAGGCTGAGGAAAGCAGTTCATTCCTAGAGATCTTGCATAACTGAACCCTAGGCCATCCCAAAACCCCTCTTCAGTCAGTAGTTTCACTTCTTCCTTCCCCTGGCCTAAGCCACAACCATAATTAATTGACTTATTGAGCATCTTCCCCTCAGAGTAAGTGATAGAAGGGGGAAATGACCCAAAGGCAGCTGTGGTCATTGATCAGTTCTCCAACACCAGTGGGGGCTAGGGTTGTTCTCCTGGAGCCAGTTGGGTTTTTCAGAGTCCCAGGTCTTGACCTGTTTAGAGCACTTTGCTTAAGGCTGAAGGTAATAAGTGGCTTACATCCTTGGTTTTGCAAACTGGGAGGGGTAGCAGCATGCACTGGTTAACAGCCTGGGCTGCAGGTGGAGGAGAAAGAAAAAGAAGCCTGTGAGCAACTTGGTCCTGTGTGACCTCCATTGCCAGCCTCAGTCTTAGAGACCCAAATATAGCACTTCTAACAATCCTATAATCAAAGCCCCAAACAAGATCCACAGTTGCTTCTGTTTAGGTTCCCGAGGCTGTTGGTTTTCTCATTCCCCAGGAAGCCTTCTCTAAGGAGTTTGGAGGACCAAGAAACTCAAGGGGACAAAATCACCTTTTATTCCTTTGAGGCCTAGGTTTCCTTTTGGACCTTGTTCTCCTCGGAGACCAGGGAACCCTGACTCTTTGTTGTGTAGAGTTTCAGTCTCAAATTCTGGACCTTTGGGTAAAAAAAAGATAAAGGATTAGCAACTTGTATAAGCCTGATGACTTCCCTGACTCAACACAGCAGCTCAATCACCAAGGCCCAAGTCCTTGAGGCTGAACAACAGAGCAGAGACAAAAAAATAAAATTCAAGACCGGGACCCCAAATCTGCAGCAAGGAGTCAACAGGACCTCTGTTGGCTCAATTCACTCTACTAATATTTACAGAATGTCCATTATGTTCCAGGCACCGTATTAGACAGTGGGGTTAGAGGAATGAACAAGGTAGCTTCCAAAACTCAGCAGTCCCAATGTCTACCCCAGAAACCTCCCCTAGGACAAAAGAGGAAAGAGGTGCAAGCCGCAGTGGACATGGGCTTTAAGGTACAGAGAAACATTCTGGGCAACATTTCCAGCTTTTCTCTCAGAATCTAGAATCTCACACTCAAGTAGGAGATCTAAGAAGGATAAGCCCTGTGTAGGCTTTTAGCAGCCACCTCGAGGGTCCAGGCTTGGCTTCTTTTTTTCTCAGTCTCTCAGCCCACCCCATTGGAGCCTTGTGGACCAGGGCAAGCTCAAAAGAACCAATCCTGCTTCTTTAGGAGCTGAAAAAACAAAGGCTTAAGGGCTGAGAACAGTGAAAGATGGAGTGGGAATGGGTACAAAACTTGGAAGGCATTAGGCCCTAGTTTGCTTGTTCCTTGATGGAGAACACTCTGCTGTTATCAATAACTGGTAGAGGCAGGGATCTGACTCAGAGACGACGGGGCCTTCATGGCTGCCCCTCTGCAATTATCATGTATCCTGGCTTAGCTGTTTCACCTGTGAGATGCCCCCTCAAAAATCATGACTGTTCTGCAGTCTGGATCACATCTGAATCTTGAGACCAAAAAGAGAAATGAGTAACTTACTAGGTGGGCCTGGTGGACCTGGTGGGCCTGGCAAACCATCTCTGCCAGGGAGGCCAGCTGCTCCAATTGTGGTACGGCCTGGGTTTCCTTGGTCCCCCTTCAGCCCTGGAAATCCCTGAGGCCCTAGGGCTCCTGGGACACCTGGAAGAATAAGCCCACACACAAATGCTCATTATATCACCTTACTCTCTGGAGTATTCCTATCTGTGGCATATGTTGGAAACAAATCCAAGGAAGAATTTAGGGAAGCATTTGCCCTTCTCTTGTATCAGAGTTAGAAGGATCCTTAGGGATCAATTAGCCTAACCTCTTGGGAAACAGAGACCCAAAGAAGAGAGGAAACATGATCAGGGGCCCAGCATTTCTCAGTGGCAAACCTGAGAGGAAAATCTGGGTCTCTAGCCTTTCATTTCTTGATTTTTTTCCAACTTGGTCCTGGGGCCAGCTGTACCATTTCCAGGTGGCTGCTTTAAAAACATAGGTATCCTCACAGCAGCCCATCTCCAAGGAATTTAGAAACTGGTGGCTTTAAAAGTAAAAGTTGAACTTTATATCTGGGGCATCACTGCCTCCCAGACTCTGGCATGCCCTTTTCCCACATGTCACTATAGAATGACATATGGATGTGATTAGTTCAAGAGTGTTACCCACAAGATCCTGGGACCATTCAGTGCCTGGCTGAATCCTACAGCAAGGTTCTGGGTACAAATCTTCCTCTGGGCTTTTGCTAGCCCCTCTTGGCAAGCATCAGCTGGGATGGCACATCCACAGGAGGGTGACACAGCTCCAGCAACTCAACCCAGGACTCCTCTTGTTGCTGCAAACCTCAGTGACAGTCTAGGATTGCCTGTCCAGCTATGATACATTATTTAAGCCAAAAACAAAAGCTGCTCACCCAGGCCCTCACTACCCCCACATACGTTAGCCTTGGGCTGGCAGTCGGGAACCTACTGACTACAGTCTACCTCTTGTTTGACTTTGGCTAGGTGTGTGCCCCGACCCAGAGGTATAGAAGGGAATGCTGGGAACCACAGTGTATAGAGGACTGATCTGTGTAGGAAATGGGTTAGTTTTTTTCACCTGATAATGCTGGCAATCCAGGGACACCAGAAGGGCCACGTAGGCCTTGGATGCCTTCATCTCCTTTAAGGCCTGGGAGGCCAGGTACACCAGGATCTCCAGGATTACCTGGCATTGTAATGAAAGAAAATAGTAAATAAAGACAGAGGAGGCCCACAGATGCTACAAAATGCCCAAGAAGAGGTGCAGGAGCTGTCCTGGCATTAGAAGTGCCTTTCATGCCTTTCCCAAGTCTCTAATGCTAATGGCCTCACATGATAATGGGTCTTCTGGAGCCAAGGGGCCTTCTGGAGCCAAAATTAGTGTACTAAGAATTGTTCTGGCCAAGGCCTGCCTTTCATGATAAGCTCTGGTAAGTACTTCTTCTTCTTCTACCACTAATCTGCTGTAATGCCTAAAATGTCTACCATTTGGATTAAGATGTTGAAGTCCACTATTTACGTTATACATATATGTTTCCTGGGAGTGGTACACAGGAAGCCACTGTCAAATATTAATACCAAACAGGGCATGGGCCTTAGAGGATGAGAGGAGAGGGATAAGTTGGAAGATCCATGGAAGAGTCACTACAGTAGAAGCCTTTGGTCAAACAAGAGGTAGCTGGAGATACTGGGCATCTCAGTCTTTGGAGAAGGTAAAGGGAAGAGTTGGGCACACAAAATAACTAGGACAAGGAGAGGTGAAGACAGACTTTCTAAGCATCACACTCTTGAGGGCTCTCAGCCACTTGCTCCCCTAACTAAAGGTACTTTTCCACTTCCTATGAAATTGTCAAGCTCAAGCATACATGGAATCACCTACATGAGGCCCTGAGTATTCCATAGTATCAAACTGAAGTCAGCCCAGCTTGGGGGTGGTTATCAATCCTTCCCAAAGCATTGCCAGGAGAACCATTTTCATCAAATTCAGGCCCAGGCAGACCCAAATCCTAGGCTTAGTGGACTGAACACAAAAATGGGGTGCTGGGCTTGGCTTCCCTGACCAAGAGATTGGAGATAGCTTTATTCCCCAAGCTCAGGAGCCATGAGGGGCTCTTGGGTGTGTCAAGTTTAGCAACAATCGAGTAACTAACAAAGTATCCTTTTAATAATTACAGGGGATATAGGATTTAACTTCCTGTCTTTATTTTCCACTCAAATTAATGAGAAGTTGCACCTGAGATCACAGCACCATCTATATCGATGAAAACATCTGGGCCTGGCAGGCCAATGTCACCCTTTTGACCCTGCAAAGATTAAGTACATTAAACACAAATATTTCCATTTCCTTATTACCCAAGATCTATGTGCCATTAAAGCCCATCCCTAGGAAAATGAAAGGTTCTTCCTTCTATAACCCCAGATTTTCAAGATCAACTAGTCCATAGGTTAATTTCAAAGTCCCATAAATTTAAGATGAAGGTGACACAAAGCAGGCCAGAGGCCTAACATTCAATTGGAAACCTGTCAAGGACAAGGGATCCCAATTTTATTTTGCAACTCTACTCAAGGACAGTCTGCTCTGGGCCTTGGCTGTACCTAAGTAGTGCTAAGGAGAGAACAGAGTTTTAACTTTTTTCCACTCTCAACAGGCCTGGGCCTCTACTACCATCACAACCCTTGTTAGTGGATGATGTCAGGCAGAGGAAATTAAAGGAATTCTAATACTCCCCAAAGAGGGATTTAGGTACCAAAAACACATACAGTGGCATATTCAGGGTGTGATGGTGGCAGTTATATGCTCCAGGTGTAGGCAAAAAGGGGATGCATTGTCTGTAGAGAATTTAAAACAATAGTGAAACCAACAGTTGGCAATTCTAAGCAATATGAATAAAATTTTCCTCATCTTCGGGATGAACTTGCTCCCACCAGCTCCTGCCCCTTAGTTTACCACTGATCAAGTAGTATCTAAGAAATGCTCATTAGCAGCTTTGTGTGTTCAAAGCAGATTACATGCATTTCTTAAGAAAAAATTGAAACTTAAAAGGTCAAAATATTAAAAATACTTCATCTTATATACAGACATTTGTGGTAATTCACTCTTCTACCTACCAACCCTGGATTTTTCACTTCCCAACATTACCTCAATTCCTTGGAATCCATTAAGCCCAGGAAATCCCAGGGTCCCTTTCTTGCCCTGTGACAGAAACATAGTTACCACTAAGTGGAAAGTATGAGAGCATAAGAGAGTCTGGTCTTTGGATTAAGCCAGGGCAAATGGCACAGGGATCTTGGATGACATTGCAGGGTATATGTGGCTTCTATCTGACTCTGGAAGCTGTAAAATCTTCCAGAAGACAATACGGCAGTAGGTAGCCAATTTACATATTAGGAGGTACAAGGGCCATAAGGCTAGACACGGATACAAGCAGGCTGGCCTTGCTAGTCCCTGACAGCATGCCAAAGATGTATGACCACAGCATGGCATGGCAAGGCACGGAATTTGACACTGGATACCCATGTTCTTGAGTGAAAAGAAAAGAGGACAGTGGCTAAGATTATACCAAAAAAAAGGGAGATGAACAATTTGCATTATAAGTAATGTCTCCCTTTGGCCATGTTAGGTAAAGCAAGGGGGACTTTTGATTGGGATTTTATACCCCAAGGCTTTAATGATATTAACCAAAATACCTGTTGCCCTGGAGGGCCTTGGACTCCTTCTGAACCCATGGGACCCTGTAAAGAAAATAGTTACACCTTAGAAACAGCAATAGGCTACCTAGAAAAAGCCACTAGACTTATATAACAAAGTTATCCAACTGAGTTCAGGATTTAGCAGCTCCTAAAATCAGGTAAGCGAATGTTCCTAGACCTAGCTTAACGACTTTTTTTTTTTTTTGAGATGGAGTCTCACTCTGTCACCCAGGCTGGAGTGCAGTGGTACAATCTCGGCTCACTGCAACCTCCGCCTCCAGGGTTCAAGCGATTCTCCTGCCTCAGCCCCCCAAGTAGCTGGGGCTATAGGCGTGCGCCACCACGCTTGGCTAATTTTTGTATTTTCAGTAGAGACAGGGTTTCACCACATTGGCCAGGCTGGTCTCGAACTCCTGACCTCAAGTCATCCACCCGCCTTGGCCTCCCAAAGTGCTGGGATTACAGACATGAGCCACCGTGCCTGGCCTAATGACTTCTTTCTAAGCTCTAATCCATCAGGCTAAATAGCCACATGGAGCATTTTTTAATATCTAAATAAATGGAAACAGTTTAAGTAGTAGGTGGAATTTGATAGAAAGGCTGGGTGGTATTATACTTAGTCTGCATTAGTTCCAAGTCAGGAGATCTTTAAATAGATTATGGGAGGGCCTCGTCTTCCACCTCAAATGCATTCTTTGTTGGTGATTATATGTATTTTCAAGACAAGGAGCGGGGGAAAGTAGAGAAAGAAATGGCAGGGTAATGGATAAGTATGGCTGAATACTCAAAAGACTCTTACTAAACTTCATAGTCAACTTAACAACACAATTCTCTAAAATGTTACTTCTTTGAGGCTAAGCTTGGCCCACTGCTTCTAGCTCAAGACCTAAGTGCCCGAAGCTAGGAATCAGAGAGGCTAATAGTTATTTTTCCATTTCAAATGAGATTATTATTGGAAACTGTTGACTCCAAACATCACTCACTATGTTCTAGAACTTTCCAGGCTTGTTTCTGTCCTATAAAGGTTGCACTTGGCCCTCTTTCTTCCATTCCTGTGCCACTTCCCTGCTCAATTCCCTCAGAATAGAATGGAATGAAAGCAAGGCAACACTTGCCTTGCTTTCTTTAGCAATCATTCTTTCTTGGTATCATTCTTTAGCCCAGAAGACAATGATACATGAGAGCAAGGAGATGAATAGGCTGAGGAGCCACCTAGAGTAGGGGGTGCCTCATTCCTTTTCAAGGGAGCCATTCAATCAAGGGAATGGGGCTAAGAGAGAAGGAGGTCTTAGGAACCTGCCATTGGGTTGAGGAGAAACGAGAAGCTTAGGTGGCAATCAAGTTGCAAAACATAAAGAAGCAAACAGGAAAGAAAATGGACTAGATGACTTGACAGACCCAGGCAAGTAACATTCGAGGTTCATACCCTAGGTCCTGGCAAACCAGGGATTCCCTTTTCTCCCTTTTCTCCCTTTTCTCCAGTAGTTCCAAGGCCCTAAATGAAAAAAGAAACCACAAGTTATAACGTTTGTTTTCTTGTCGGTCTCCTGGCTTCATCCAAAGCAAGGAGGCTATTTTAATTAAGCTCCACTCTCCCCTTAGGGAGGCTCACCATGCTGTCTCTTGTCACTGCCTGAGAAGCACATAGGGTCTGAATATAAATTGGACCATTCATTCAAGGTTCCCTTTTGGTTCTAGAAGTAATGTCTCCCCCTACCCACAACACTGTTCCATGTATTTATAGTATCATGGGCTAACAGTATAGAAATGATTAAATATCTAACCTTGTTGATTTTACAGATGAGGAAACCAACATCTAGATGGGTTAAAAATGAATGAGAAAGCCATATCTTGTGTTTTTCATTCCGGGGACTTTTCCATTAAAACAAGCTGCCTTCTATCATCTAGGAACTTGATGATTTGACCCACAAATGGAGGATTATGCAAATTCTTGGGGGTTGATACTAGGGGGAAGAGCAAGAGCTTTTCCCCTTTGGAGACATAATGAGCACAACATCCTTTTCAGTGGTAAGAAGTATTTCTATCTAGGCACGGACTGAAACCCTGCAGCTCCTGTACTGGGACTGTAGGGCTCTTGCCTGGCCCTAGAGATAGTCCAAAGGGGACTGTGAGATGGTCTCCAAGCCCTCTTGCCCTGCTCATCAGAGGTGAGGGTTTGTAGCCATGAATATGACTTGGGGATTCTCTAGGGAAAAGCAGGAACTCCAAGAAGCAGAGTGAGTAAGAGAGAACTTCCCTCTGGGTCCAGGGAAAATGTCTGGGCCCCCAAGATACAGAATAGTTCAGTACTAAAGTGAATAATGTTTTTCACAGAAAACTTAAATGAGGCCACTTTGTTGTTGTTTAAAATTGTACTTTTTGGAGCATAGATTTAGCAAACAACATCTTGGCTTATTATGAAAGTAAAGGAGGCAATGAAGAAAAGGCACTAAATGTTGTGGAACATCTGTTGTCCCTTTAATGTGACCTGGCTCACCTGCTCAAATCCCATTTGTACCTTTTTCTTCCTTTTACATACATACTCAGTGCACTCCCATGAGTACTGAAAGCTGGTTAAGGACCCCTTGGCTTTCTGGGCCCAGGGTTTTTCATTTCTGTTTCCTTTTGGCTAGTCATGTTTTTGTTTCTTTAATGTGGGTTGTTTTCATTGTCTTTTTATTGGGAGGAGTGTGTGTGTGTGTGTGTGTGTGTGTGTGTGTGTGTGTAGGATCCAATTCAAAGCAGGCTTTGGTCCCGTACTTACCTGTTCTCTTTTCTGCATTTAGTATAACTGTGCATCAAATAGCTCAGCCTTCATGCTACATTAAATTTCTAATGTGAAAGGCTCGTGGGTTAAACTGAATGCAAACTTATTTAAAATATGAGTTTTTCTGCATCAAACCAAGGCATGCTGCGACTTGGTGGAATGTCTATTGGCTTCTGAGGTCAAACGCTTCAGGAAGCCTTCTCTGACCTGTCCATGAAATCTGTGGCAGCCCATGCTGCCCGAAACTCTTAAAGTGCAAAGAATGGTTGCATATGAAAGTTTTGTAAGCATGAGACCTATATTACACTCTCTTTTATCTTTCTCCAAGGCCCATTACTACAGTCTGAACACATACAAGGTGGTCCAGTAAATACTTGTTGAACTGAATGGAATAATGGCCAAGAGAACAAAACTGTTGCAAAGGGTGAAGGAAATGATGTTCAGGAACCATCTTGTGCCCCCATCTATCTTGCCCTCAGTTGTAAATATAAGGGGGCCTTGTACTCCTTCTCCAGAAAGCAGAAGAGTCTTGCTTTCTCAGAGGGCCTGAGAGCTTATGCTATAGTGTGAACAAAAATAAATATGTAAAAAAAAATGTAAAAAGGAAAAAAAAAGACAAATTTGTGTGGGGGTTAGAGCCAAGAAAAGATAAATAGCTTGGCAAGACACTGGCTGTGCTGTAGGTTCAACTTGTCTCCCAGAATAGGGAGGCACTGTACAGGGACCCTGCTGAACAAGCTGTTCTAGCAAGATGCCCTGGGACTGGCCCCGTGACAGTCAGTCCTCCTCATGAGTAATCTTGCAAATGCTGCTCCCACACTCCTACTTACCCATGGCCTGGAAAGCCTCAATGGGGCTAGGTTAACTGTTTCCAGGCCTGCTCTCCTGGGCTCTGGACTCCTGATGCTCTTTGGTTCTCAGGAGGCTCAACTGAAGAACCCCACCTACCTAGTAGTTACCCCTACTGGGTAGGTGTGTGGGTAACTATTGACCTACTCAATAGTTACCTCAGGATTTGCCAGTTTCTTCTCTTATCCCTCCCCTCATCTATTCCATTTTTGCCTTCCCCTGTGTTTGCTAGTCCCTTGAACAGAGGGCACATGGATATACAATTCTCTCTGATGACCTCCATGGAAGGACCTGTGGCCTACAAGTGTGAGTGTGTTGCTGGAGACAATGGGATAAAATGTGTGAGGTGAGGACTGAGCCAGAAAATCAGGGATGTTTGGTCACTGCAGAGGGGCCAAGAGAAAGAAGGTAAGGGGCAAATCTGTCAGGTTGGGCACTTTGTCTCTTACAAAGATTTGGACTCATATAGGAAGAAAACAAATAGTTAAAAGGAACATTTTGGATTCCCTAGAGATTTCTGTCTTCAGTGCTGCCTTGTTTCTCGGTGAGTGTGGATAATTGAAAGCTGATGTGAAGGCTTTGGATTTGAGAAGCACATTTCCTCTGAAAAGCCCAGAGTATCACAAATACATTACCACCTTTCTCCTCATAACTTTTCTGTCATAAGCCATTCATATAAAGTACCTACGAATGTTCCCATTAAACAGATAGAGATATGAGGACTGAAGGAGTTACCTGATTTGGCCAAGGTCACACATTGAATCTGTGCCAAAGTGGGCTGAGAACTCTGGTTTCTTAATTCCCACCGTATGAAAACATGCTGTTCCATGTAAAGGGGTTATTTTCTAGCTTTGATGTCTTTACAATCAACTGGGGTTTCTATTTTTCAGCCCACACTCTGAAACACTGGAAATACTGAGTTTGAAATGGTACTGCAATTTATCACCGTGCATTGTCGTCAGTCTCTTTCTTTTACAGGACAAAAGGGAATGGGTTGAAATTGCAGCAGGGGAAATACTCTGGGTTCGGATGTGGAAGGGAAGGGGAGGGAGGCAGTGTGAGCCAGTGAAGCCAATAACACCAGAGGAGATCATAAAATCCTTTTCAGAGATTTACAGATAAAAACCCCACCACGGCAGGGATTAGAGCAAACTGGACTGTAGGGGGCAGTATGGTATGGGGAAAAAGCCACCAAATTGGCTAGAATTCAAGAAAGCTGAATTTCAATCTCAGCTCTGCTAATAATTAGCTGCGTGATTCTGGACAAACCTCTTCACCCGTTGAGGCTGTGGTTTCCTCATCAGTACAAGGAAGATAAGCCTGGCTCACCTTGCTTACCTCACAGGGACAATGCCAGGTGGCTAGAATCTATGTGAAATGCTCTACAAAGAAAGGTGAAAACCTTATTCCCAAACTCACTTGCAAAGTACTTTATATCTGTACTGTCCAATAGAAATATAATGTGAGCTACTATGTTATTTTCATTTTCCTAGTAGCCACATTAAAAAAGCAAAGTAAACAGAGATTAATTTAAATGATATATTTTACTTAACCAAATATATAATAAATATTGTCATTTTAACACAAGTAAAAAATGTTACTGAGATATTCTAGATTTCTTTTCATACTACGTTTTTGAGATCTGGTGTGTATTTTATACTTACAGTACATCTCATTTCAGATCAGCCACATTTCAAGGGCTCAGTAGCCACACATGGCTGGCTGTTATCTTATTGAACAGGACAGCCTTATATTTTGTAAAGAAACTTCGCATACATTATTAGTTGGGTCTTAAAAGAGTAGCTATATGCATGTTCTTACTCATATGCAGAAACTAAAAAAATTTATCTCATGGAGGTAGAAATTAAAATGAATAATACCAGTGGCTGGAAATGGTGTGAGTGTGGGGTGGGGGGAGAGATGGAGAGAGGTTGGTTAATGGGTACAAACATACAGTTAGACAGAATGAATAAGTTCTAGTATTCGATAGTGGAGTAGGGTGACTACAGTTAACAACAATGTACTGTATATTTCAAAGTAGCCAGAAGAGAGATTTGAAATGTTCCCAACACATAGAAATGATAAATGTTTGTGGTCATGGATATCCTAAATACCCTAACTTCACCATTACACAGTCTGTGCATGTAACAAAATATCACATGTACCCTATAAATATGTAGAAATATTTTCTATTAATAAAAAGTATAAATATGACCATTGTCAAATTACAGATATAAAGAGAGGTTCAGTGACTTGCCAAAGTCCCAGAGCAGGGGCTGGGTCTAAAGTTTGGGTGTTCTGTCTCCAACACTAGGGTTCTCTTCCTTTCTGGTTCATTAGATACAGAGGTGATTAAAATCAAGTGCATTGAACAGATGATTTTCCATGCCCCCTTTATTTCTATGGAGTAATAAGAATCATCATAGAAGGAACCTGTGCCACTGGCTCCACTGGCTCTGCTTTCTGGCCACCCAGAGAGACCCAAACTATCTCAAAGTACTGTAGGGAAGGAATGGAGTCATCTATCCCCACTGGCCCAGCAAGCACAGGCAGGCCTAGTCATCTTTGATTCATCCATTTCCCACCTGATCCCTATTCCCAATCCATGAAAATCTTGTCAGCTGTTTCAAAACATATCTTGTAATTTAAAAGACACATTAAACAAATGTAATGTATTGGTCTTGTTTGGCCTCTCATTGAAACAAGGCAACTGTAAAAATATATATATACCTATAAGACAATCAAAAATTTGAATTCTGCCTTGTTAACTGATATTAATTACTGATCACAAATTACTGATGATGATATTGTCACTATGTCTTAAAAAGCCCTTACCTTTTAAATATTCAGAGGTATTTGTGATGAAATGATATGATTTGCTTCAGATTGGCCATAAATTGCTAATTATTAAAACTGTGTGATGGGTACACGAGGAATCATTATGACATTCTCTCTGCTTTTGTAAATGTTTGAAATGTTCCCTAATAACAAGGTTGAACATTTTTACATTTTGAATCTATCCACTTCTTTCCATTTCCATTGCTGTCACTATAGTCTAAGTCACCACCACCATCTCTTGCCTGGACTACTGCAATACCCTCTGTGTTTGCTCTTCCACCCTTCCCATTCCCTCTCCCCTTCCTCCCACAGCCAGAGTGATCTTAACAATACAAGTCAGAGCCTTTGAACGGCTTCCCATTACATTAAAAATAAAACACCACATTGACCTATGAAGGTAGCCAAGATCTGGTTCCTACTTCTCTGTCTGGAATTATTAGCCTTGCTTACTCTGTTCCACTTACTCACCTTCTTACTGTTCCTCAAAAGTACTGAGGTTTTCTTAACCTCAAGGTCTTCGCACTTACGGTTCCCTCAGCCTTAAACCCTCTTTCTGATCTTCACAAGACGTGCTCTCTCATAATATGCAGGTCTCAGCTCATACATCACTTCCTCAGAAAGGCCCTTCTTGACCACTCTGTCCCAAGTAGACCACCCTGTTCCCCATCCACATTTCATCACTTTACCCTTCTTTCATCTTTTATATATATGAACTTATATAACCATTATATGAACTTGCTATAGATTCATCTGTTTACTGGTTTCTTGTTTGTTTTTTCCCTCACTCCCCCATTACAATGTAATCTCAAGGACAGGGACTTTTACTTAGTTACTGTTGTAACCTCCAAGTCCAGCAGAATGCCTGGCACATAGGGACCCTCAAAAGGTAACTGATGAGTGTAAGGATCTAAGCTAGAAAGGCAGATATGAAAGTGGAGGTAGGATTACTAAGATTAGCTACCATTAACTGAATAATAAGTGCTAGACATGTAGTAAGCCCTTTTCATGCATATTATCTCATTTAATCCTCATAACCACCCCATCATTCTCCCCTTTTTTGTAGGTTAGGAAACTGAGGCTCAGAAAAGTTAAGAAACTTATCCAGGTTCACATAGTTAGAAACTGGCAAAATCAGCAGTCAAGCCTAGGTCTGTTTTAACTATAGAGCTTGAGCTAATAACCTCTAAGGTATACAGCCTCATGGAGAACCATGCTTACGTCTCCATGTGTTTGAGAAACAAGAACATCTCCTTAAATACCTTCTAATAATAAAGATGGTGGCATTCTCTACAATATCCATGGGAAGAGGTCTTTCTGTTAGCCTTCTATTGCTACAGCTTTTGTCCAATCAGACCCTTGTATACATATTGATCAAATAGAGAGACTTACCGGGAAGCCTGGAGGGCCACTTATGCCTGGAAAACCCTTAGGCCCTGGTTCACCCTGGAAAATCAGCCCAAGGTTAGTAAGTAGCATCAGGAAGCAGTGAACGCACAGTAGGATGGCTCTCCACATGTACTTGGACTGAGGAGTGGGGAACCAATGAAGTATCAAGATTAGGGTAGCAGAGAGTGGTGCAGATTCCCCAGGCTCCCTAACTAGCAGCTGTACCAGGATGTCTTAGTTCATGGAGCTCTTTGCTGTGGGAGAAGGATTATGGACCATAACTGTCTAAAACAGAATGTCAAATACTGAGGCTAATTGGGAGACAGAAAGGATGATTGTCTGTTTTCTTTCTAGTGGAAGAAGCTGTTCAGTACAATTTCCTATAGCAAATTAGAGGCAGCAGAGAAATCCATAGTTTTGGGAAAAGGGTAACAATTACAATTTGGATAGGGACACATAACCATCTGATCTGTCATTCCCTGATATGTGAATTTATCTATACGTGCCATGGAAAAGCTCCCTAAGTTTTGGGAATGATCAAGGAAGCAGACAATCTCTTTCATGTTGCCAGACCATTCCCAAATCAACGACTACTTCCTGTAAACCTGGAGGGGCTTGGAGTTGTTACAGCTTCCACGAAGACAAATTTAAAGAAAGGAGACTAAACACATTTCCCTGCCTAGGCCCCTTGGCCATGGGAACTGAATCACAAAGCTTAAAGGAACCCTGGCAGGAAATGCAAGTTACTGAAAGATATCTGCACACCTTAACAGTACACGGCCATTCAATTACAACCATGTAGGTAGTATACAGTGACTCACATAAAAATACAGATCGTAAAATATTTCAGTCAAACAGGTCTATAGTGTAAGCCTTGGTAGTTCAGATCTGGTAAATTAGGGCATCTCTTGTCACCACTTGGTGACAGTATATCCTATTTTCAGGGTCAAGTTTTAAGAGCAAATAACTTCTTTAAAAAGATAATTCAAGAGCAACCATTCATACCCTATGTGTTCTGTCACAGTACTTTGGGGACACCATAAGTATTGAGAGGGTTGGGAGTTAGGAGGAAAAACACAACTATTTAATGTTTATGTTATTCATCATATCAAAAATTGAATCTGCAACACTAAAACAGAGAAAATAGCGCTTAAATGAATATTCAGATGCCCAGGCACACTCAAACCTACACACCAAGAAACATACTCAGCCTTTTAAGAAAGCTTTTCATAAGGGGCAAAACAAAGAAGGCTTTTTACTCTCACTTCTAAACAAAAATCCATTACCCAGAACCCTCTATTCTTCCAGTATTGTCTGGTTATTAGAGTTAAGTTCTTGTATTATAATTATAGGAAAAGTTTTATTAATTTTTTCCTATTCTTAAATGTTCACTACCTTGGATCCTTTCTTCCCTTTGGGGAATCCCATGAATTCCAGCTCTCCAGTAGATGGTGGAGGTCCTGCTGGGCCAGGGAGGCCAACATCCCCCTGTAAGATCAAATGGAACATTAAGCAAAGTGACAATCACACCGACCGTTTTTCCAGAGTGGGGGTTTGTCCTCTGGATGTAACTCACAAATAAACTGTCTCTTACTTTGGCCTCTTCACCCTCATGCCAATGAGGAAACAAAACTCTCACTGCCAAAGGGTGAGAAGAATTATAAGCCCGACCAGTGAATTTTGTACCAGCACTGCAGAGGGAAGAGCAAGATGGATAGAAGGAAACTTTAAGTTCATGGTTGCTATGAAAGGATGTTTAGAAGAGATTAAAAAAGGAATCAGAACGAGGTGAATGGCTACCTCTTGGCAACAATGATCCAACTCTAAGTGGTCTAATCCTTGCAAAGAGCACAATCAGAGGCAATGATGTTCATGTTAGAACATTGGAGGCAAGAGTTGTTCCTTCAGAAGGCAGTGCAATTGTAACAGAAGGGTGGGAATGGCAAGTTCTCAGCCTCGCTTGAGGCTCTGAAATCACAATGCAATTTGTAAAGAGAGAAATGAGAGAAGGAGGGAAATAAAAGAGAATGGTGAAAGAGAGGTTAAAGAAGAGAGATAGAGGAGAGAGAGAGAGATACAGAGAGAGAGGAGGACAAAAAGGAAAAGGAGGAGGAAGTGGAGGAGGGGGAGGAGGAGAAAGGGTAGAGAGAAGAGGGGAAGCAGAGACAAGGAAAGAGAAGGCAACAGAATACACAAAACACCAAGGAAAGACCCAGATGGAAGGAAGAGAAAGAATCTATTTCAAGGGAATATGTTTGTAAGACATACACCTTTCACAGGTAGGAAGCAGGGAAATAACAATATTTTGAAGGGAAAAGAACCACAATAGCCCATGTGTGGCATGTACACATGTAGCCCTCAAGAGATCCCACCAGAGGATCTATGTGGGTTGGGAAATATTCATTTCCCAAGGCGAAAAAACAAATCCTCTTACACAAGCAGGCACATGTGTGTAATCAGACACATTTCTTGCAGCATATGGAAGGCAGACTGTATTTTTTAAAAGCTGTTTACCTTGACTCCTTTCTCTCCTTGAAAACCTAGCCCCATATTCCCCTAGGGAATAGGGATATAGGGAGGAAAAACAAAATCGATTACTAAATAAGCTCTGGGAACTTAAATTGGAATGCAATCTTTTTTACCAGAAAGTAGGGTTAACCAAACCAGTATCTCTCTGGGAAATCCAGAGTACTTAGGAGTAGGAAGCAAAATGCCCTAAGACAAAGTATACTTACATCAGGACCAAGAGGACCAGGAGGCCCTGGAGGACCCTAGATTTTTTTTAAAAATAAGAAAGAGTTAGCACTTGTTAGTTTCAGTCAAAAAGAACACGGCATGTTGAGAGTCACTCCCCAGTAACTCAGCCATCTTTCCTGCTTTGGCATAGTAGATTCTAGCTGTCTTTCCTATGGTTCCCTTTTATCTCCTTTGAAATCCCCCAAATTGACCTGGTAATCACATTAATGCTAAGGTAGTGAAGACTTCATGTGTCATTCCTCCCAACAGGCCAGAAATTTTAAAATGATGACCTTTGGTGAAGCTAAGCCAAAGTACTGAGTAATGGGATTTCTTGCACTGGAGAGAACAATCTGGGGACACAGCTTTCCCAGAACCACATAGATGACTGGCTATGCTTTTCCTCTACCAGTGATGATAAACAGGTTTTGTGTCAGAAAAATGGGTAGGTAGGTAGAGCTGCCCAAGATGCAGTGTTAGGAAGGAATTTGAAGCTTCTTCAGTATTCAGGGTGGGTGATAGTGATGGTGGTATGATTAATTAGCAATACCTGTCATGGGTGAGGAAATGGAAGGTGGCAAGAAATGTGTCAGGGATCTGCCATCCCTGGGCTATACTTTAGGTTGAGCTAGGGTGGGAGGCTTTAGAGGCACAGATTGGATGGTCAGATAGACTCTGATAAATAACTCCAATAGCTCCTCGCAAGAGCATGCTTTACTTTAACCCTCCAAGAATGGAGGTTGCCCTTGCTCACCCAGGAGGACCTAAATTACACAGGTTTACATTGAATCCATAGTATGTAGGGAAAACAACCATGTGAACACTGTGATCACAAACTAGGCTTAAATTGATCTTACTTGTAATCCTGGTGGTCCTGCAGGTCCTACAGCTCCAGGAAATCCGGGTGCTCCTTGTGGGCCCTAGAGAGGCAAGTTTTTACCAAGTTCAAAAAGCAAGGCAGTTTTCCAAGAAAAATGAAAATATGTATGTCCACGAGAACTGTACAAGAATGTTCATAGCAACTTTATTCATAATAGTCAAAAATTGGAAATGTTCCAGTTGTCCAATGATACAAGGATAAACTCTGATAGATTCAAACAGTGGAATAAATGCCTACAATAAGAAGTAGCAAACTACTGATATATGAAACAATGTGGATTAATCTCAAAATCACTGTGTTAAGTGAAAAGCCAGACCCAAAAGGCTAGAGTTTATATCATTCCCTTTACATGAAGTTCTAGGACTGGCATAAAGGAGAAAAATCAGGATTGTGGTTGCCTTTGGGGTGAATTGGGGCAGAGATTGACAGGGAATGAGCAGGAGGGAACTTTCTGAGGTGATAGTAATGTTCTATACCTGAATAGAGGTTTGGATTACATACAAGTATGCATTTGTCAAAACTCAGCAAACATACACTTAAGAGTTAGGTGTTTCATTGTATGTAAATTTTATATAAAAAGAAAGAACTGCAAACAAATATTGAAGTCTAATTAAAGATAGGCATGCTATAGGATTTAGGAGTAACTGAACTCTTGTCTACTATTTACTTTGACATTCATTAAAAATAGGATGGATTAAACACCGCATGTTCACACTTATAAGTGGGAGCTGAACAATGAGAATGCATGGACACAGGGAGGGGAACAACACACATTGGGGCCTGTCGGTGGGTGGGGTAGGGGAAGGGAGAGCATCAGGAAAAATAGCTAATGCATGCTGGGATTAAAACCTAGGTGACAGGTTGATAGGTGCAGCAAACCACCATGGCACACGTTGTTTACCTATGTAACAAACCTACACGTCCTGTGCATGTACCCCAGAACTTAAAATAAAAATTTAAAAATAGGATGGATTGATGGACAGAGAGAGGGATGGATAGATAGATAGAAGGAGGATAAAGCAAGTACAGTTGGCCCTCTGTATCTGTGGGTTCCACATCTGTGGATTCAACCAACTGATTGAAATTTTTTTTTTATAAAAGGATGGTTGCATCTGTATGGAACATACGCAAATTCTTTTTTGTTACTATTCCCTAAACAATACAGTGTAACAACTTTTTACATAGTATTTACATTGTATTAGGTATTATAAGTGACTTAGAGATTATTAAAAGTATAGGGGAGGATGTGTATAGGTTACAGGCAAATATGACACCATTTTATACGAGGGATTTGTGCATTCATGGATTTGGGTATCCATGAGAGGTCCTGAATCCAATCTCCCATGGATACCAAGGGATGATGTATAGTAAAATATTAATGGTATGTGTGTTCATTGCAAAATTCACTCTACTTTGCTCTATATTTGAAATTTTTCCTATTAGAATGTTATAAAAAAACAAAAAATTTTTTAAAAAAGCAAAAGTTATATTAATATCAGATAAGGTAGGCTTCGAGACAAATAATATTATCAGAGATAAAGAAGGACATTTCAAAATGATAAAATAGGTCAATTTATCAAGAAGACATAACAATCTTAGATGCCTATGCACATAATAGCAGAGCTTCAAATTACATGAAGCAAAAACTAACAGAACTTCAAGTAGAAACAGTCAAATCTGCAATTACAGTTGGACATCTTAACATCCCTCCTTCCATAATGAACAGAAACACTAGACAAAAATATCAGTCAGGAAGGACATAGAAGATCCAAACAATAATATCCATTACCTTGACCTAATGGATATTTTTAATATCATTATACCCAGCAACAGCTGAATACATATTCTGTTCAAGTGCATATGGAATATTCACCAAGATAGACTGTATGCTGGACCATAAAATAAACCTTGACAAATTTAAAAGAACTGAAATAACACAGTGTTCACTGTAATTACAATAAAATCAAACTAGAAATCCATAATAGAAAGATAGCTGGAAAGTTACTAAATATTTGGACACGAAGCAACACACTTCTAAATATTCCATGGGTCAAAGAAAAAATCATAAGGGAACTTAGAAAATTTTTGAATCAAATAACAACAATGTTAAACATAAGACAGTGAAATCACAAGAGAAAAATGGTCTGGTGAAATGCAAGGGTCCATTTCCAATTGTGGAGCAGGAATAACTTGACATGGGCCTGGATAAGGGGCGGAGAGGGTAAGAAAGGTTGGAACTCAGACAGGAGGAAGAGAAAGGAGGGGTTCAAAGGGCCTCCAGAAATAAATGATAGTCTGAACATTGTTTTGAAAATAACTAGCCACCTGTGATCACCTTGCTGATCACAAATATCTTAGCCACCAAATGCCCTCTCCCCAAATTGAAGCAGTTTGTATATCATGCCTGTGTATGTGGACAAACATTGAGCCTTTGTGGGCAGGAAAACAAGTACCTAAGAGAAGCTATGCAGCAAGTACAGTGGATGTTGTTCTGTAAATTTAATGAATACACTATCTAAGCCAATTGTTTTGCCCTAGGGAATATGTATGGCCTTGGTCCTTATTCATCTCTGTTTTTGTGTGTGCTTGCACACATCCCATTTTTTTGCCTACTTTTTCTCATGAAACTCCGTAACTCTCTATTTAGAAAGTCTCCTCCCACTGCCAGCTAAACACCATTCACACTTCTCACAAGCTACCTTCTGTCTCTTAGACATAAAGACTCACATGACATATCCTTAAGTGAATGGCATCTCTTCCTCTAAGTTGCTGTGGAATTCTTATGCCACATTCCTACTAGTTTTTCCCACCCTTGGGGGCAGGGACTGTGTCTACATTGTCTCAGAGATTACTGAAAAAAGATAGAGCGAAGAAAGAAAGAGTGAATACAGGAAAGGGAAAGAAAGAAGAGGAAAGAAAGGTTTTTTTCTTAAGCTGTTTCAAAAAAAAAGTGACGACAATGTGGAATCTCAAAGAAAAATAATGCTCTTATTAACATAACTCACAGCCTTACATGGACTCACCATTATCAAGAGTCCCTAAAAGGAATTTCTGTGTGGAATACCTTTTAAAGCAATGTGCTCTACTTCTTTTGATTTACTCACAGCACTCGACAAACAGAAAACATTTAGTAAGTGCTTGCTGAAGGAAAGGCAAAATACATTCCTAGGGGAAAGTACATCCCAGTGAATACATGTCTCTGGCCTAAAGTCTGAAAGCCTGCTTGTCATGCAACTTGACAGTGGACAGTTCATCCTCTCAGTGCTTTCTCATTTGGAAAATGTCAATACTGTGACCCATTCTACTTCAACTGTCTAGATTTTCCTTGAGGTCTACAAAGACCTTAGAACATCATAGAGAAGAACGAAAATGCACCATTAGTGATTTTTAGTCAACACTGAGAGCTCAACACATAAATAACAACTTACAGTGATTCCATCCAGTCCAGGCAGCCCAGGATCCCCCTGAGAAACAAAGGCAGGACACTGAAGAGTTTAATAAATTAAGCCTGCAATATTTCAGATAACTAACCTAACATTTATAGGGACAAAAACACATCTCTGAACCTTGGGCCTCCTCTGTCAAAGTCTTGTGTTTTAAATAATGTATGAATTGGACATATTCGACTGTTTAGATTGTTTATTTTTTCTGTAAGAAAAATCTGGACTGTAGAAGACACATATTATAGCCTTGGCTGAACAGGATTTCACATTTTACTTGGATTAATTAATTTTCACCTTTGCTAGGTACTTATCAATTAGAAACTACTTCTGTGGGCTAGTGATTTTCCTACTCCTTTTGGAGGAAAGCAAAGCTACCTTCCTGTGTGCCTTCATCCCCAAAGATTCTGTGCCCATATGTATACGATGCAAATCGGTCATTTCAAGGGAAAATCAACAGAGCATACACTCTCTGATTATGTTTTAATTACTTTGCTGCATGTTTAGTTACTGCATGAATCAGTAATATAACCATCTTGTGAAAATTGTTGTGTTCCACTGGATCCAGGGTCTCTTTGATATTTGGCAAAGCCATTTAATCAATGTTTTCTAAGACAATGACCAAATTTTGACACCTGCTAGTCTTACTCCACTTGGCTTACAGTAAAAAATCAGCTCTCTGTAGCATGGAAAGAGCACTGCCTGAGTTTTAGCTCTTTAGTGAACTGGCTTTGAGCAAGTCACATAGCCTCAGTACACCTCAGTTTTTCTATCTGTAAAATGAGCAATACGAGTCCAAGAATCATGAGGTCCTTTCCAACTCAAACATTCTATCTTCTACTATGGCATCTATAGTTAGAAGCCCATACCCTAAATCTTGTCCGGCTCTCCAGCCACCCACCCCCATCACTGCCTTCCAAAGTGATTTCCAATGTTCCAGGCTCTATGCACTAATGGAAGACAGAAAAGTGCCATCAATTAGCTGAGTGAACTTGGTGCATCTTCTCCTCAGATGTTGGGCACATACATTCTCATTTGCTACCAGGGAAATGATGGACTCCTGCCCCACTCTGCAAGGGAATAGGGCCAATCATTTGGAGCCAGGGTTTACTTAGGCCCCGCAGGATATCAGGCAACACAGTCACAAGAACACAGAAGGTTCTTGTCAATTCTGGAAAGAGATGAAAGATTCCAGCCAGCCTCAGGGCTGATGGGCAATTTTTGCAGACATCCAGGGGCCCAGCTAGGGTGATGGGTTGGTGTGTAGTGACAGAGAAGGGCAGAACCAGGATCTTTGGCTAAAGGCCATGTTGAGATGGGCAGAGACATACATGGCTTCAAACCAAGGAATACAGACAACAAGGATTCTGGAGTAGATAAAAGGTATCTGCCTCCGGGAAATGTCTTGGTTTGTGAAAGAAAATGATACCCATGCAAACTGTTTGTTTGCTGATCTGTCTCCTATTTTTGGTCTAGATCCTGCAGAGCAAATCTCTTTGACAGTATAGTTGCAAACATTTATGTCAATGTTTCCACCACAAAAAGCTCCAGATTCTTTTGAATCCAGCTTGGTCTGCTCCTTAAATAGAGACACAGATGCTAGTTCTGGAAATGTTTTCACTGGAGGTGGGGCCCAATGCTGGGGAACCCAGCTTATAGCCTACTCAGCTATCTGACTTACAGGTTCTTACCTTCATTCCTTTGAAACTACCTGGAGCAAGGACAGGGTCACCTTTTGATCCTTTCTGACCAGGAAGCCCCTGAGTAAAATAGTTTAAAAAATTGAAGAAATACACACACTTACAGTCTTTTTAATTGCATTATCTGATCAGATAGAGGATGGGACAGCAAGAGCCTGAAACCATGTGGCTTTTTCTATGGCAAAATTGGCTGTACTAAGGGGCAAAACACATTCCTTGACCGGGTGCTCTGATTCAGAGCTATATGCCCTCCCAATCCCCAAGCCAGAAGTCTGTAAAGGGAAAGGGTTTGAATGGGTCTGAAATGTGTTAAAGTCAGATACTTTACATCTATTCAGAGTACTGGTCTGAACAACCACAAATAACTCATGTAATGGAGAGTTCGCTGCTTCACCCCTCACAGGTATAGGTCACTGACAGAACCTTTGTCTAGGACAGAGGTTAGTAAAATTTTATGAAAAGAACCAGATAGTAAATAATTTAGGCCTTTTGGGTCATATCTAAACTCTGTTTTATACTCTTCTTCTTTCTTTCTTTTTATTTTATTATTTAAAAAAAAAAAAAACAGGCCACAAGCCAAAGGCCATGTGGTCCAGTTTGTAGACCTCTGGTCTAAAAGATATCTACAAAACTACCTTCATCCTGTACTTCTACCACACAACTTCAGATTCAAAGTCTGTCTAAGAGGCTGGTGTATCTCACTGCTAACATGAAAAATGGTTCAAAGTACACAATTCCAATCTTTCAACTAGATTTTTTGCTGTCTTACTGGCAGATGCTGGCTAATATCTGTTAGAGTTTGTACACCTGGGGATAATCAACGTCCCTACACCTAAGGGGAAGTCAGGATTAGTATGTGGGGTAGGGCTAAGCTTTGTGGACTGAAGCATTTATTGAATGATTGATTCCTTCAGCACAGGGATTATTGGTATCATAAAACAACAACGTGATCCCAGGAGCAGAAACCGTTTTTTTTTTCTCACTTTTTTTCCTAACACTGCCTGTTTCACTTTATTCTTGTGGCCACTACTGTCTTGAAAGAAGCTTCAAAAAAGCCAACTGAATGATCTGTTTGGTATTCAGCAAAGGATACATCTCCACTTAGTAAAATACATGCCCAAGTTCCTATTTAGGCTTGAGGTTAAGTTAAGAGACAGAACTAGGTTTTTTCCTTTGTCCTTTGTCAATGGGTATTTATTACCTCAACATTTATTTTCTCCTTTTAGGGGGTAGCATGTCCTTGCTTTGCTGGATTTTCATGGAAATGTTTTGTTCTATACCTGGTTGCCATGGCAATCTTTGGAGAACTTTGTAACCCACTTATCTCATCCTATGTTAGCAATACATCTTTCCTTACCTCCCCACCCCCCGGCATATTGATTTGGTCCTTAGGTGTCAAAGTCCTATATGCCAATCTGGGGCTTGTGCTTTGTCCATCTATCTCATTTTCTCACACATATACCCACACCCCAACCTGGTCACTGAAGGTGGTGGTGCTGCTCTTCCAATGAAGTGTCAATTAATTCATGTAGCTATAAAACATGTCTCATGAATGGAGTGATTTCTAGTTAAATATCTCAGATCAGTGCCCTCATGAGTTTAGATTATTTCAAGGGAGGTTGACAATGAGTCTGAAATGTGTTATTTTACTCTTTCCAGCCACTTGTAAAATCAGCCTGGAAGGGCATTGTATTTACTAGAGATCCCTTAGATCAAAATATCTGAGCCCTATCTGGATGAATAGAATTAAATAAAAGTGGTGACACTGGAATCCAATAAATACCTTATCAATACCATAACCAAGGGTTATGATGTGGGAGTGTAGCCACAAACTCTGTTACTATAGAGTAGGGTTTCTCAACCTCAGCATTATTGACACTTTGAGCCAAATGATTTCTAGATGTTGGGGAGGGGGCTGTCTTGTGCCAGTAGCACACCACCAATTGTGAGACCTCAAAATATCAATAGTAATTGCCAAATGTCCCCTGAGTGGCAAAAATCACCTCTGGTTAAAAACCACTGGTATAGACCAAGCTTGCAAGCCCCTTTGGGTTTTGGTTAGTGCTTCCATGATCCCATATAAGTCTTCCAAACATTCCTCAATATTGTCTGATGTGGGACCATGTCAAATAGCCCAAGTGTGTATTTTGCCATGAAATTTACTACAGCCTTTTAACAATCTTGCCAATTTCACAAGCTGCATTAAAAAAAAGGCAACCCTAAGCAGTGTAGCATGTGCACACCCCACTGCAACTGGTATTCTTCTTTAGACTTTTACTGTTGTGGTGCTGCCAGTATTGACTCCTACATTGGACAAGGGTGTGTAGTGGCTGCCCCACAAAATCTTGAGGTTTCCAGAGAGGCAGAAAAAGGGCACACGTAGAGACAAGCAAAGCCATTTGAAATAAAATGCAAATATCTGGCAGCATACGGGTGGTCCGAGAAGCCCAGGATAGCCATCAGGGCCTGGAAATCCAACAGCTCCTTGAGTTCCATTACAGCCATCCAGACCAGGTGGGCCTCTGGGGCCTGGTTGTCCAGGGTGGCCCTGTTCAAAGAGAAAAGAAGGGATCAAGTTAGCCAAAGGACTGTCAGCTATTCTAAATGGCTCCACAGCGAGAAAAGCCAAGCATGCTATTAAACTGTGGCTCCTTGTTCACTCCCTTAGCCCCATCATGTATGTTTGCATGTCTTTCCTTTATACTCAAGCATATGTGTCTAATCATAGCTCAATGTTGCCCCTCCCAAAAGGATGAATGCTTTAATAGGGACCAAGCTGAAACCAAAGGGATCAAGCATGAACAGATGGGATACACAAGGTCTTGCAACTTTACCTTCCTTGTATACAAAGATGTACTAAAATTGGGCTTAGCTGTCTGGCAGCTGAAGTGATACCAACAGGGAATCATGCCAGGCCTTGGGATTCCTCAGGCCAGACAGAACCTGAGCAGCCTGGCATGACATTCAGTATTGGAAGCTCTGCATGGGAAATGATGCTGGATTTTGGTTAACAGAGCAGAAGCAGTTCCCACAGCACCCCCTCTCCTGAAAGTTGCTTGGTCCAAAATAAGCAAGTCCTGCAAGAATCACATTTTCAATCTCATTTTATCATGCTCACACATCAGGCTATTGCTTCAGTTAGAAAACTGTATGTTTTCCTCTCCGTACTAACGACTGAGGCAGTTGTTTTGCTGGGGAATTAGTAATCATTCTCATACAATTCATCTGAATTCAATAATTTTCCAGAGTTGGGCTTCCTTGGTACATAGAGTCTACCCTTTTGTAGATAATATACCTTTTTTAATTCATCAAAAGCCAATTGTGTGTTGGGCATGGAGCAAAGAGATGACCAGAAAGACCAGAAATATAGACAGGTCAATAAAAGGTAGATGTCCCCCCTGCCGATGCAAACACACTTTAAAAGCCAAGTATATATATTTAATGATTTGAGAGAAACATGCTATATGTTCAAAAATGAACTTTTCAAATTATTAGAGGAAACAACCTTTTATCAAATTCTTATAGAGAAAATATTCTATAGAATTCTGTTTCATTTTCGTTGTTATTATAGTTGTAAGAGCTAGACACACTGTTAATACAAAAGTGTGAGTCTAGACTACTGGACTCATGGAATGCGAAGTCCAGAGGAATGGTCAATAAACTTGTCTTTACAACAAAGTTGCTGCAATCTGTGCCTCTGCAGACTCAGGTGATGATTTTTAGTTGCACTGGGGAAGCTGATGCAGCTCACTAAAGTTTGCAACTTTTTATTAGTAACTGGGATGGTTACTCTTGTTTGCCCTGAAGATCTACACTCTATCTCCCTCAGATCTATGTCCTAGGAGCCTGGCCTCTATGGAGGCAACCTAGGCTCCCTTTCGTTCTGTCTTCCAGTTGTATTTGGCCACTGGGAGACACAGACTGGAGAGATCAAAGCAGGACGAGAAAGACACAGGTTATTTATTTCTCCCATGCCCTCCCTCCTTGGCTATATTCCAAGGAAATGGACAAATTTTTCCATAGTCTTAGTTCCTATTCGGCAACAGCTTTTTCATGGTTCCAGATCTCAGAGGACTCCAGTAATTACCATTCCATTTTTTCCCCTTTCGGGTCTAGGGGTAGCTTTGAGTTAGTCGTTCCACCATCCATTGTTGTTTCCCTTAATCTTTCCCACATCTGTTAAATATAGCCTTCACTCAACTCTATTCAGTTAAACTCTTCAGGTGAAATGTCTGTTTCCTGCTGGGATCCTGATCACCACTATTATAAAATGTCCCAGCCAAACTTGCTAGGGGTTATCTCTCAGCTAGGTTACAGGGATAAATTGATGCAAAACAACAGGCTGGCTCAGTGCCAGGAGTCTTCCTCACTCCTGAGCCCTTGTTTCTGTTTGACACCAAAACCTTTGTCTGGATTCTTAACCTTTGGTATCCACATCTTTTACTTAGGCCTTATCCTTTTCTAGTTTTCTTGCCTGAACTCCTGATATTTCCTACCTGTAGGATTTCAGGGATACCTGTTTACACTTTCCTACCTTAGCTGAATTCTCTGGAAATAAATCTTTGACCTCTGACTCAGATCTATCAGCCCCTTTTCATCCAGCTGATACCAAGGAATGGGTAGACAAGGCATGTTTTGAGCCAGTTAGACTTGTGCTCCAATCCCACTGTTTCCCTTCCCCAGCTTGAGCCTCAGTTCCCTCATCTGTCAAATGGTGATGACTAATACCTACCTTATAGAGTCATTGTCAGCATTAAAAGTGAATAATGCCTATTCCACTGGGTTATGGTTAAAATAAGTGAGACTAGGTTTACTAAGTAGGAGCTCAATAAATGGTCTTCTCTCAGTCAAGTCAGCAAGGGTAAACCACAGGACTGAGCTCTACCTCCTCTCAGTTCTCAGAACCACAGAATTTCTGGCACATTGCCCTTCATTCTTATAGCTAATGATTTTACATATGTGTGTGCCAACCCTCCAAGAGCGTATAGCTCTTTGAGGGGGGAAACCACAGTTCTATATTGCCTCAAGGGACTGAGCACATGGAATAGGAGGATCTGTTGTATTCCAGAAAAGCTAAAGCAATGTTCCTCAGAACCCAGTTTCAAAGGAAAAGTTTCCATTTGGTGAGTGGTGTGTGTTCACTTTGAGGATATAAATCTCATGTGCTCATTTACAAGTCTCCAGGCAGGGAACTAGAGATTCAGGATTGACTCCATGGGGAAAGCTAAACATAAATTGCAAAGTGAAAATCTCTGCTCCCAACTGCCTTGAACTGAAAACATTTGATAAACACACATTTCTTGTGGATGCCAACAGGCCCAACTCACAGCTGGGATATCATTAAAAGCCACAGCCCTACTGTCCCTAGTCTATGTTGTTCTAATGTTGACTATCTTAGGAATGCTTGTTTGCTCACTCTCTTGATTAGTTGCTGTGCCCTTTAGTGCAAAGACTTAGGTTATCATGAAGTGACGACTAACCCACTCATGTTGAGATTGTCTACATGACAGCAAAAATGGAGTTTTGAGAACAAAGCTAGTGACACATATGTTAACAATCAGCTAATATTAAGAGGGGAAGCAGATCTGTGCAGTGATCCAGTTTAGTAAGATGTGTTGGGAAAGCTGTTGGTTTCAGCCAAATTGCTTAATATGTGTTACTGAAAGTTGAACAAAATAATCAGTCTGACTAGGCCTATGGTGTCTGTGTTTTTCTGTCTGGGGGAGCCCTGACAGTCTAAGAACTATTGCTAGGCACTAGAGGTTGGAGTCAGCCTCCACCGCAATATCTTTAGAGTGTTTACTCTATGCAGAGTTTGGTCATGGGCCTCTCAGGCTTCTGAGAGGAACGGAAGATATAATCTCTGCTTTCTAGGAGCTGGATGAGACTATCACAAAAAACTATCTATCACTAAGTCCCATAGGGCTGTAGGCTGTAGGTAGTGAGGCACTGGAGTATTTGAGACGGGTACCAATGACTCCTGGGAGATTAGAAATGGAAGGAAGAGGTAAGCACTGAACAGAAGATGTTCAACAAATACTTCTTGAGAGGCTTCAAGAGAGAGAAACAACAAGAAAGTGGGATTTTATGGAGTAATGAGGTTTGGAGCCTGCAGCTAGGGCAATCAGAAGTCAAAAGAAAACACATACAATTTTTGGTCAAGGAAAGGAAATATCAGGAGTTCAGGCAAGAAAACTAGAAAAGGATAAGGCCTAAGTAAAAGATGTGGATACCCCACAGGGAGTGGGGACTTCTACTGGGAGCAGTAAGCTCATTAAGAGGGGTCTGAACAGCTGCAACTCATTCTGCCAAGCAATGAAGCCTCGAAGAGAAGTGATCAACTCCTGCAAGCTCTAGGGCTCTCTTGGCCACAGGTTGGAGGCAAGAGTATCCAGCTGGACTCTGGGGCCGTTTCCAGCTCAGAATTGGAAACAGCCTTAGCCTCACAGGATTCACTTCCTTCCAGCTCCCATTAAAACAAGACTGCAGGAGGAAGGGCATACTAAGACGGAAAGCTCCAAGTCCTCCACTCATCTCTGGCAAAGCCAGGTCCACAGGATGAATGGAAGAGGCTGCCTCCAGTTTGCTAGTTTCCCTTACCCAGTGGCTCCCAGAAGATACACAGTCTGGGTGGAGACTCTGGCTAAAGGGGCATAGGAACACAGCCATAAGAAAATGTCAGGAGACATCACAAAAGGATGGCCAACCCTGTCCGCTTATTTTCCCACTGGTCTATTTCTGGGCATTTTTGCAGACTCTGCAGTTGAATAAAATGCTGAAGTCTGATGGCCGATTTGTTGATACATGCAACAGATACGAGGTAAGTGAGCCTTCAGTTCTTCAAATTCATAAATTTCTACTACATCAGAGGAGACAATGAATCAGATGATACTATCTTTCAGGGCAGAGCCACATGATTCCTCTGTATACCCAAGGTTGAGTGCTAACATACAGCAGGGGCACGTTAAATATCTATAGATTGGCAAAAAGAGATTTGAACCCCTTTTCCTGACATTAGATTATTATTGAGTATAACACAAAAGCTGTTAATTATAGGGCCTCCAAAAACCATGCTTTGATAAGGTTCAGAACAATCTCTGAGAGGCTGTTGGAAGGATAAAAGCAGGCTCTAGGACCTCCCACAAATGGAGGAGCTGCACTGTTTTTTTCTGTTCTATATGCTGAGATTCTGTTCTTCTATTAAACAAGATTGAAAACTGCTGCTGTAGACAAACATAGCCCAGACTATGGCTTAAATATATAGAGAAGTGTCAAAGGGAAAAACTAAAAAAAGATAGCCAGTAAGTTCCAAATATTGTATTTTAAAGGCTGGTGCAATGCTACCATGGAATCACCAGTGGTGGGATAGGCACAGATACAGGATGAAAATAGAGAAACTAAGGGATTAGGCTGGGTGGATGGAAAAAAGAAATGTCTGCAAGTTCCAAACCTTCCACTTCTCTTGGGCAGAGCAGAGGTCCACAGGACAAATTTTGCAAGAGGCTGCCTCCAAGTGATCTTTGGAGTAGTCACTTTGTAAAAACTTTAAAGGAAAATTCACTCTGAAATGAGGTATGTCTGAAGAGAACAAATTACAAAATGGAATGTATCAAGATATCATGAAGGATTTTACCCTCTAATTTCATGTACCATCTTAATTTCCCTATATGAGGATATATATCCTCTAATGTGGCTCTGTCTTTACACCTTAGAACCAGTTCCTCATCTCCAATCAAAGCTCCACTCAACCCACAAGACTTAACTCATGTTGGCTAAGATATTGATGTTATGGCTACACAGGTCCCTCCGCTCTCCAATCATCCGACATAGGGCTGCTTGTGCCTGAATCCAAGGGCAATTGTGTGTGACCACTGCCCTTTAAACCTCACCATACATATCTCAACACTTGTTCCTGAGCATGCTTGCATGAGACAGGATGTTGCTGAGGTCAAAGTGTCCAAAATATGAGGCAGAACCTAAAGGAGGATATGAAAAATTCATCTGTGGACACACTCACCGGAATCCCATTGATGCCAAGAAAGCCAGGAACTCCCATGGGACCCTAAAAAAAGGAGTAGGGAGAGGAATGTAAGACACAATCCAACTGATGTTTGTTAGACTCAGTAGGTTTATGAGAGTCAATGGCCTACATTTTTAAGAAGTGTTTCGTACCCCCCTCCCCATATTGTATTCCCTTGATTCCTACTGCAGTTCGAAGTGACCATTTACCTCTACCTAAGGCCTTAGACAGGTCTTTGTTCCGAAACCAGCTCTTTTTTTTAAGGGAGTATAGTCGAGGTTTTAAAATTAAGGCTTACTATTACCTGCTGCCATCTGGGGAAAACTGGAGAACCTTGAATGACCTAATCACAAGTTTCCCTCTCCATTATGCTTCTACAGATAAGGTCCCCTAGCCGAACAACTCTCCTTATCAAATGGACCAGGTGCAATTCCTGCTTATCCTGGAATAGCAGTTTCAATTTCTTGCTGGCCTACTGGACTATTCAAACAAGCCAATTGCATCCACCTTCAGGAACCAGGGGCACCCTGCCCTACTGATACTACAAAGTCTGCTTTGCACAGCCTTTTCTTCTAAACTCTGTTCCCAAGTGCTATCCCTATGTGGCCCTATGTGGTGTGTGGTATCTTCCTCCCCTGAGCTGTGAGTATATGTGACTAATAAATTGCTGTCAACTTCATCTGCCCAGTGTCAGGTGTCATATCTTTAGTCATCCCCATGATCCTAGTGAGGGAATCGTTCCCTCACCAACAGGGCGAATAGAAGGTGATTAAAGTAGGCAGGGAACATAAACTGAGCTGCTGAACAGTCAGCCTGCCACCATGACATTATCACTCTCGTTTCTTGCAGCTCTTTCCCTATATTTGTGGCCTAGATTGCTTCTAAGCACTCTGACCCCTTTCTTCCCTGTATCCTTGCTTGGATTCCTGATCTGTGCTGCCCAGGTGATTGGACTTCCGGTCCATGTACAGTTCAAACCCACCTGACTTCTTACCACAGTGAGCCCACTTGTTTAGCAAGCAGCTAATACATTTACTTTATGGTGTGCTTGCTATGGGAGTCCTTCCAGAAGTGGGCTGATCCATTGGCAGGCCATCACCCATCCCATCTCTTATTAAAATATGCAGCCTGGGTGGGGCATGGTGGCCCATGCCTGTAATCCCAGCACTTTGGGAGGCTGAGACTGGTGGATCAGGAGTTTGAGGCCAGCCTGGCCAACATGGTGAAACTCCATCTCTACTAAAAATACAAAAATTAGCTGGTGGCAGGCACCTGTAATCCCAGCTACTTGGAAGGTGGAGGCAGGAGAATCATTTGAACCCAAGAAGCAGAGGTTGCAGTGAGCCGAGATCACGCCATTGTACTCCAGCCTGGGCAACAGGGCGAGACTCTGTCTCAAAAAAAAAAATGCAGAAATGCAGCCTGGCACCAAACTACTCAGGAATGACATCATAAATGAGCAGAACTGGGATGGAGAACTTCTGATCTTTACATTTGTGGCCCATGCATCAAAGAGAAATCAAGCTTTGCTGGTCTTACCTTATCTCCTTTTGGTCCATAAGGTCCCAGAAGGCCTGGGAAACCCCTTTCTCCTTTCAATCCCGATAAACCAGTAGAGCCAGTGAATCCTTGAGGACCTGTTGGGCCTTGAATTCCAATTGGTCCAGGTCGTCCCTAAGGTGGACAGAAGGAGTGCAATTAGTCAATAGAGGACTTAGCATTAATACTTCTCATTTTCCCACGCACAAAGAGCACTGTCATAACTTCACTGAATAATTTTGGCTAAGAGATCTGTGAGGCACGCCAAAGTTCCAGACACGGATCAGAAAAGGCTATTTTAGGGATTGCTAAGCTTATTTGGATAGAACACATTTTATAAGCACATTTAATAAGATTCATGTGCACCAAGATCCTTCAACTTTGTACTTCTTAGGAAATCAGTTATTCAGGATGGATAATATTGTCCTCTTCCTAGTTAATGCCAGGCCATCCATCAGATTGTCAAAATAGTGAAAGAACAGAGCGCTGGAGAGCATCATGACATTTTATAACTCACGTCCAAATGGCCAACCATGTGCTTGCAGTGAAATCCAGAAATGGCTGTGGCTAAAGAACATTGCCCCAGGGGGCCAGAGTGGGCCCAGAAACCTACAGGCTGACAAACCTGCAAGAGCTCATCTTCGTTGGCAGATCCCAGGACTCCATCACTGCACCTAGTAGCAGACATTCACAGGGAAAACACACATACACATGCACATATACACACATGAATTGCTTATTTGTTCTTTCTTCCTATCCCTCTCTCCTCTCCTCTCCAATCTGTAAAGTGTTGAATGTGTAAAATACAAGAAGCCTAAGAATATCTATTAAGTATCAATTATGATAGCAAGAGGGAACAGCCTGAGGATTTTAAATGCCCTGCTTATAAAATGTCTGTAACAATTAAGTCTGAGAGTTCAGGCTGACATTTTAAAGTGGACTCAGACTGAGTATTAACCCTAGTGGGTGCAACACAGGCAGGCTGGTCTATCATTTAGAACAAATCCCAGTAGGGACTGAATTTTCTTGGCAGAAAAATGAAAACCATTAGTAATATGCATTACCTCTCAGAGAGCACAACACCGTATCAGGTAGAAAGTCCATTTTCATAAATGCTTCCCATCTCCACCTCTTGGCCCCTTTACTGACTGTCCATCATTTCCTACAAATCTGTGAAAAACTTTGAAAAGAAGCCCATTAAGCATGCCCTTTACTGTTCACCTTCAAGGCTTACTTTTTAAAAGGCTGAAAATGGGACAGATGCCTTATGCTGTGGCTACAGTTAAGTACTGGAGATGCAAGTGGCCACCAGCTGTGATGATCCTTTGGAGTATAATTTTGAGTGTCAATCAGGCCCACGAAGACCTACGACCCTTGCAAGGAAGTAAAAGATGCTCTGTCCAAGGAAATGCAGTTCTCTTGGGCACCACCTACCACTTAACCTTTTCCAATACCCAACATGTGGCCTACAAAAAATGATAGGTTGCAAACTGTTTAACAGGCTTCATTCTGGGAATGATGGGGGTGGAGTAAACTTTCAATTTTTAGGCTCCTACCTCCCATTGTTGGAACTTTGTTTACAGTGGTTCTGTTATTTATTATTATTGGGATTTTCACAAAATCAATAAATATGTGTGTATATATGTATATGTGTGTATAATGCATATTAATAATATAAAAAGAGCAGTACTTAAAAAATAGTGCTGGGGTGCTGTTGACAATGAGTAGGAGGTCGAAAGCATGGGCCTACATCAATGATAGACTGGATAAAGAAAATGTGGCACATATACACCATGGAATACTATGCAGCTATAAGAAAAATGAGTTCACATCCTTTGCAGGGACATGGATGAAGCTGGAAACCATCATTCTCAGAAAACTAACACAGGAACAGAAAACCAAACGCTGCATGTTCTCACTCATACGTGGGAGTTGAACAATGACAACATATGGGCACAGGGAGGGGAACATCACACATGCGGGCCTGTTGAGGGGTGGTGGGCAAGGGGAGGGATAGCACTGGGAGAAATACCTAATGTAAATGACGGGTTAATGGGTGCAGCAAACCACCATGGCATATGTATACCTGTGTAACAAACCTGCACGTTCTGCACATGTATCCTAGAACTTGAAGTATAATTTTTTTAAAAAAAGAAAGAAAATGTGGGCCTAGGTTTCAAGACTAATGCATACAAAATCACAGCAAACAGTACAAATTTGGAACAGAGCCTAAGTGCTGTGGGAACATGAAAAAAGAGTTGGCAATGGAGGGTTTGTGGAAGGCTTACATTTTGCCCATGGCTGGGGGAAGTCATGGGCCGCACTGGAAAGGTTGATTGGAAAGGTTCCAGCTGAAGCGGGCCTGGAAAGCACCGCAGAAAAGTCGAAGTCGTGATGTGGCAGGACACAGGGAACCCTCAGAGGTTTGGGAACAGGGGAGAGTTGGGAGAAGAGCGGTCTTTCAGGGCTGAAAGTCATCAAGAAGCATTCAGGATAACATGTGTATGTCAGAATGAGGCCAGGGCTGCCTGCCTGAGGCTGGGACAAGGGAGGCAGATAAGAAGCAGCTGTTGAGGAGGAGGGAGCTGCTTGATGGGAGAATGGAGGGCAGGATGGGCTTGCAGAGGCCATGTTATTACTAGCAGAGAGGATCCAGTCAGGGCACTGAATGCTTGACCCAAATCCAAGCCCTGACAAAAGTTTTCCCACATCAAGGGAAGGAAGGGGAAGAGGACAGTAAATCACTGAACAGCTACTGAGAGAGCAGGTTGTGATGTGGCCCAGTCCCATCCTGCTCACACCATTAGAGAGAAGAGTCCCAGCAGCACCCAGCATAGGCACAGGGACTGGCACCCTCTACCTCTGGTCTCTTACCTTTGCAAGCACATGCTTATCAGCAAGGGTAAGCAAGGAGACTTAGGAGGTAGGCAACTCGAGGGCTGGGCCTAACTGGAACTCTGATTCCATGTAGAAAAGACAGGGTCCCACAGCCTGCTTCCTTTCTCCTGGCTTGGTGGGCATGCAGAATTTCTTGACCCCTGTGTTCCAACAAGAGAGCTGAAAGGAACTCTCCTAAAGAACTCACATATATTTTTTAAATTCTAATTCTTTTTCCAAATAGAAGTTTGAAAAGGCACCCCCTAGAGGAACATGCACTTCTGGACTGGCCCCAGGTTCCAGCTTGGGTTGGCGGGCGTGCCAGCAGCTCAGTTTGAAACCTCTCACATTGAATCAAGGGCCAGAAGCAGGGCCTGTGGGAAGTTTCTAGGCTTCTGCTCATCCAGAACTGTCCCCTCAGCATGGTGTGAGGCTCTTATGGAGCCTGCAGTCATAGGATATGAGACAAAAAGCCTTCCCATCCATGGATGTCCTTTCATACACTGGCACAGAACACCGGGAACAAATGAAGGTGACTGAGAAAAAAAAGAGGCAGACCCATTTCTTCTGCGGGTTGTTTTGTCATCCAGATACGCTTACTTTGTGCTTATAGCTGTATGATCTTTTTTCCTCATCTCTAATGCACAGGATTTCTGCCTCATTACCCATACAGCTAAAGCTTAATATTAACTAAATCAGTGGTGAATTCCTTTCCTTTCCCACCCCGACACTATCAGCGACATTTTTCATAATGGCCAGCAGAGGTCAGTGTGAGAACATAGAGACTACAGATAAGCAGGTGGGTAGGTGGGCCTCTCCCTCTACAGAGAAAAAGAAATCAAACCAGTGTCAGAGAAGTCACAGAATGTTCGAGCAGGAAAGGCCCTTAGAGACCATTCAATCCGGGCTTTATTTTATACATGGGGCGGGGGGCGGGGGGAAGGGGGAAGGCCGAGAGAAGAGGAAGGACTTGTTTAGGTCACGTAGCTAGTAGGAACGGCATGGAACTAAACAGACCACCTGCTGCCAGTATGTGGCTGTTTCCCTGTTTGCCAGTGGCAGATGTCTTAGGGGGTCCTTGAGGCTGCCCCTCCACTACCCTGGGCCCGCCCCTGGGACTGTCCCCATCAGTAGGCTGCAGCAGCCAGATGCTCACACATTATTTCTTTTTTCCTAACCCTGATCATTTCACAGAACCAATCTGAAACACCATCACTGTTTGGACAGCTAGCAGAATTTCAATGGGCTTGGACTAATGCCCTGTTCTGATACATGTCATTTATTTTGGCAAATAGACCCAGACAGGGCAGAAGGAACTCCTCCAAGTCTTTCCAATGAGCTCTCCTGCTTCCATCTGCTCAGGATTTTAAATATGCACATCAGGGTCTAATTCTCAAGGGAATGAGTTGGGACTTGTGCTTAAGGCCAGGAACCGCAGGTCTGCAACCACAGCCCAGGCTGGCTGCCTCCTGCCAACCACAGTGAGTTGGGATCAGTGTGAAGTTTAAGGTGGCCTCTGATCAGACCCAGATAACTAGGGTAAAAGACCCAGAAATGGGGCTGCCTATAAAGTAGTAGACATATGTAGATATATCATCGAAGAATCTTAAAAGCATATGCCTCACACTAGACAGGACGGTGAAACTGGTGGAGGGGGCTGACTTTTCATAACTTAGTCCCTTTCTGCCTTTTTATACCTCCGTTAAGGTTCCAGTGTTCTTCTCCCATAAAATTAACATTTGTTCCTGAGGAAGAATCTGAAACTCATTCCCACTGAGGCGTTAATGACTGACAACTTAGAGCTTTGCTTTTCCCAGAGGGATTTGTAAAGCAAAGCATTAAGCTAGGGGATGCAAATGGTATTTATGAAGCAGGGAAGGGAGAAGGGTGTGCACAGGCCTTCCTAAGGATCCAGTTGTATTGTAGAAGGTGATGCAGTGCTGTTAGGTACACTTTAAATGAAGTCTCCTTACTGCCAATTAAGTTATGTGACCTTGGGCAAGGGATATAACCATCTTGAGTATCAAGGGCTGAAGTGTAATAATAGCTCTTACGTTGGATTATTGTCAGCATTTAAATGAGTTAATACATATAAAACACCTGGCAGATAGAATGAAAGCATTAGTTCCCTTTTTCCTTTAGGCATCATTTATGGCAAAATGGAGAGTTTAGGATTGGGCACCAATGCTCCTTCTCTTAAGTTTCAGTTGGAGATGCACAGACATCATTGAGCGACCCTCTTTGGGGGCAGAGATGTGTGCTTGGGAATAGATGAGCATGTATGCCAGTACCCCACATCTGTGAGAGCATTTCTCCTTTTACATAGCAATGGTGTCCTGGTTCTCCTTGGTACTTGGCTTCTCAGTGTTTATTTTTCCTCCTGAAGGGCTTTAATCTACATACTAATGACTCCCAAACCTGAACCTCCAGCCCAGATTTCTCTTCTGATTGTGCCAGATCCTTATAGTCAATGACGTATAAGAGATCTATTCAAATAAATATTCCAACTCAAACCCAACATGCCCCAAACTGAACCACATTGGCTTCTCCTCAACCCCATTCTCCAAACCAGCTCCCTTTTTCTGAGTTAACTCAGTAAATGGCACCATTCATAAAGTTGATGAAGCCAGAAACTCAGGGGTCCTCCATGACCCTTCCATTCCCTCATCTCCCACATCCGATCCATTAGCAAGGACTGTGAATTCTACCTCCAAAATCTAACTGAAACCTGTTCATTGATCTCTAGCCCCATGGTCTTAGTTCAAGTCTTTCTCATCTCTCGCCTGGAGTGTTGCCACAGTCTGCCAAATGGTCTGTGACCTCCAATCTTGCGTTACTCTCTCCTAACCTCCTACTCCAGGGCCTTTTTATGTGCTTTTGTATATGGCTCTGCTCTCCTGGCTACCACTTCTGTATCTTTTGGGCTCTAACCAAGATATCAGCTTCTCCAGGGAGCTTTCTATGATTACCCCCACCCAATGTGTGGGCTAGGTTGCCTGTTTATGTGTCTATACCTCCCAACAGACTGAACTCCTTGAGGACAGGGCTTATGTCTTACTCTTTACTGAATCACCTGTGCTCAGCACTATGCCTGGTACACAGTGGGCATCAGTAAATGTTTGCTGAGTGGAGAAATGATTGAGAAATGACTGAGAAGCCAGTGGCCCAGGTACAGCAGTATCTTGTTTGGAAGTCTAAATAGTGTTGAGGAAAAAGTCAAACTCTGTAAAATATTTGAAGAGATTTATTCTGAGCCAAATATGAGTGACTAATGGCCCATGAAACAGCCCTTGGGAGATCCTGAGAACATGTGGCCAAGGTGGTCAGGCCACAACTTGGTTTTGTACATTTTAGGGAGACATGAGATATCAATCAACACATGTAAGATGTACATTGGTTCAGTCTGGAAAGCTGGGACAACTGGAAGCCTGGGGCAGGGTGGGGGGGCTTTCAAGTCATAGGTGGAATCAAAGATTTTCTGATTACCAATTTGTCGAAAGAGTTATTATCAATAGAAGAGAATGTCTGGGTTATAATAAGGGGTTGTGGAAACCAAGGATATATCATAATAGATGAAGCCACCAGGTAGCAGGCTTCGGAGAGAATAGATGGTAAATGTTTCTTCTCAGACGTAAAGAGTCTGTTCTATCAGTAACTCCAAAAGGGAGGAGAGTATAATGAGGCATGTCTGGTTCCTTGTTCCTAACATGGACTGAACTAGTTTTCCAGGTTAGCTTTGGAAAGCCCCTAGCCAAGAGGACGGATCCATTCAGATGGTTGGGGGGACCTTAGAATTTTAACTTTAATTTATGATAGTTGCAATAGAGTGCAATCAGGAAACATCTGATCACAGAATCACTGAAAAGAAAGCTGCATAAGACTCAGGAATTGATCCAGTTCAGGATGGAGAAGTTGAAGGGCAGAAAGAGAATGGGACTTACCCAAGTTCATACAACATCCACTGTAGACTTTTAAAACAATACCTTTTAGAGCCTTTGAAAACAGAAATGGTCTACATCTAATGTAGTTTCTGGGCATTCTTTGTTCTCTGAGATCTCTGAGTGAAATGGCTTTGATTCTCATCCTGAATGGAATTCATCCATTCAACAATGATTTATTCAGCACTTACTCTGTGCCAGGCACAGAGGTTAAGATGGCAGGTAAAACATAGTTTCTGCATTCATGAAACTTATAGTTATGTTATCCCTTGAAAACAGATGATGCATGGCCCATCACCAACCTAATTAAACACTTTTCATCTCATGCTGAGTTTTGTGCTTGGCAAGTATGAATATACATGTAGGGGCTGAGAAGGCAATACACAAAAGAAACACACTGCATGGCCCATGCCCTCAAGGAACATTTAAGCTTGTTGGGGGAGATAAGGCCATATCACAAAAAGTATTGGAGATAAGGTCATTGCATTAAAGGAAAGAGATTTAATTGACTCACAGTTCAGCATGGCTGGAGAGGCCTCAGGAAACTTATAATCATGGCAGAAGGGGAAGCAAACATGTCCTTCACATGGTGGCAGCAAAGAGAGGTACAGAGTGAAGGGTGGGGGAAGCCCCTTATAAAACCATCATATCTCATGAGAACTCACTCACTATCAAGAAAACAGCATGGAGGTAACCAGCCCCGTGATTCAATTACCTCCCATTGGGTCCCTCCCACGACATGTGGGGATTACGGGAACTACAGTTCAAGATGAGATTTGGGTGGGAATATAGCCAAACCATACCAGTCATATGCAATGCATTTTTAAAATTATACTGTATATACCACAAGTCCAAGAGGAATTCAGAGACGTGTGAATTGACAAGGGAGCAGAGGGGCAAAGAAAGACCCAACAAACTGTTAGTGAATGCATTCTAAACATGAAGAACAACATGTTGATGGGAATCAGCGAATTCTGTAAGCGAGGGCCAGTCAGAAGCCTGGGTCTGGCTGGAGCAGAGGTGAGATCACAGAGAATCAGTAAGAAAGGGCAATAGAGAATAACCTACAAAAATTTACAGATGCTGAGGTGTTTAATCTGGTACATTAGCATGTTTTGTTTTAAACTTTAGTTTGGCTTCCAGTTTGGTTCAGAATTTAGTGAAGTGAGATGATATGCTAGCTAAGTGTACAGGGTTCAGAGTTCAGAAGTCTAGGATTCAAATTCCCTCTTCACCACCGTAGGACTTTGGGACAAATGGCATCTTCAAATTTCTTCAGCTGTCAAGTGAGGATAATATCAGTGTCTACTTCATAGGGTAATTATGAAGACTAAGTAAGAAAATTCGAGTAGATCATTATTTTCGCTCCTTAGCATGCATCAGACTTACGCAGAGGTGATTAAAACACAGATTGCTGGGCTTCAGCTCCGGAGTTTCAGATTCAGTAGTGCCGGCTGGGTCTAAAAATCTGCATTTCTAACAAGTTCTCAGGTGGTACTGACTCTACAGGATCAAAGACCACACTTGGAGAATCCCTGTTGTAAATCATTTAGCATTGCACCTTGCATATATTAAATGTGCAATAAAAGTTATTTGTTGTTATTGATGTATTATTATTCAGCAAATGATTATGGCTTGTGCAGGTTTGGAGTTCACAATCTCTGAAAGGCCCTCAGCATTCCTTTATCACTATGACTTAGGGCACCTCTCCTTCTTCCTCATTATGACACACCACAAGAGGAAAGGAGTGGATGGAGTAGCAAGACTGGAGACAGGGAACCCCATGAGGGGTCTATGACCTCCTGAAGAGAAATAATGGTGACATGGACTAGGTTCATGGCAGTGGAGACAGGGAAAAGACATAGTTGAGAGATATTTCAGAGGCTAAAAACTATAAGGATTTAGTGCCATATTGGAACTGATGAGCAAAACAGAGGAAAGTGCAAATGATGACTCCAATGTTTCTTGATTGGGCAACCGAGTGGATCTCTTTGATGACATGAGAGAACTTAGAGGAAGAAGAGTCTTGGGTGGAAGATGAGGAATTCACCTTTGGACAGGTGGAATTTAAGATGCCTGGGCAAACATCTAGGGAGATGTTTAGCACATTTTTCCCACAAAACAGGAAGATTTGAGGAAACAGAGTGAGGTTTGTTCACCACCATATCCCCGGAGATGCAGTATTTGGTGTGCAGTAGACACACAAAACATAATTGTGGGGAAAATGCATAATTATGAAATGAATGAAAATAGAGAATTAAATATGCACTGGGGAATCTTTGAGAAGGCCACTTCCAAGTCTCATTTGCTAGGAGCAAAATGGAATTAAAAGAATGTCACTATCCTAAAAAACTCCTTGTGGCCTTTTGAGAAGGGGGAGCAGAGATCCTTGACCTCCAGCCTAGAAACAAGGTGGCTTGATTTTTACAATTTGTCTTTGCTTTACAACTGAAATTCTCATTTCAGCTGATGGTTGGGGGGAAATGCAAGAACTTAACAAACTTTACCTCAGTAGCCAGGGATCTTTCTCCTAGCAATGAAATGTGGTAAGAAAGATACTAATAATAACACCCCCATGAGTAGAATACTTAAACTTCACAGCAGTTTTCTTTTCACCATTCCTTTGGATCATCACAATACATCTGCAAGGCAGGCGAAGGGCACCAAGCTGCAAAGCAGTTAGCCAATAGGCTGGCTAATGTCACACAGCTGCACAGTGGAAGAGTTACATCAGAGCCTCCCAGTCAACTCTGTGCTCTCTCTGTTGAAACAAATGGAGATGAGTATCCATAGAGCCATACACTTCACTCTCCTAGTAACAGCACTAATGAACTAGCATTGCCTGCAGAAGTAAATAAAAAAGAAAGAATGCTGGTGGTGAAGAATGTGTCTAGCATATGGCAGGTAAAGACTCATATCATGCAGATATAGAGACCTATTTTGTGGCCCAAGAAGTTTTGGATCAGCTTGATAATGTTAACATCACCTACAATTTACCAACAAGAGCAGTGACCCTTTCCATCTACATACATACATACATACATACATACATACATACATACATACATAGTGACTGATGTCTTGCAAAGGCAATTTTCAGGTCTGCCACAGCTAATAAATAGTATCAGAGTCTCCCCCTCAACACTCAAATGGAATCACATTTCTTTTCTAGTTCTTCATCTATAATCAGCGTTTGAAGCAGCCAGCCCAGGCATGAAGACATGCATCTACACGTTTTGTTTTCAAAGATACATACACCCATTCCACTGGTTATTGTCAGCATGTTGAAATTTTTTGGAAGACATATCCCGACTGATAAAGTTAACTCTTGCTAGGCAAGACTTTGCATCCATTTCTTCTACCTGTTTACTGATATTTCTCTTCTAAAACATAATAATAACTTTCTTTTACCAAGAGTTTATAAAGTGCTATTCCTTAAATTCACCTCCTCTATTCTTTTAACAGCCCCAACAGGTGGGTATTAATCTCATTTTACAGATGAGGAAACTCAAATACAGAGAGATTAAGGAACTTGCCTGAGATCACACAGCAAGCAACTGGTGAAGCCAATTTGCTGATATCAAAGCCTCTGTTTCTTCCACCAAGCTACACTGTCTCTGCATTGAATGATGCTCTGAACGCAGAGACACAAACCCATGAACAGGAGCAGTAAGAGCTACACTGCGGAGAAAATATTGTTATTTTCATTGATACCAAAGCAATTTATCTCAATTTACCCACACTTTTCATTGGAATAGGTACTCTTTAATAGAAATGTACTAATATAATTAATAAATTAAGAAATAAGATGCACTTCAAGGAATGGCACTCCCTAGAACTTAAAAGATGGGGGATTTCTTCTGGTTCCACAATTAAAGTGGTCTTCTTACCTGGTCAGTGGGTAATGGTTAGTTTATCTAGGCTCTGGTAGACAAATTCTGATGTGCTATGAGTCTCCAATGCTAGCATATTAGTTTAGTGGCAGAAGGAATATAGGCACAGTATGCTAACTTGATGGTCATTAGGTTGAGCAGAAATTGGAGAACTAGTCTTTAGACATGTCATATTTTCCCTTACCCCTGGGAAATGTCAATAATTGTTAAAATAGGATGAAGTGGAGATGCCTAGATAGAGGCAAATAAATTCATGGAAGAATCTTCAGGTCTCCTTTTCCTCCATAACACATTCATAAAACTATTATCAGGAACCATATCAAACTTCCCTTTTGTGATATTTAATGGGAATTGCAAGAATAAAAAAATCACATAAAACTGTAAATATGATCAATAGTTGGACATAAAAATAAAAACAGAACAACTAAACACCTTTGTAACTATTATAAATGGTTGAATGAGCCCCCATATCACTTGGAATGGGCATTCAGTCTATACAAAGATCCCCAGTGTGTACCGAGTTTCCAGACTGCATGAGAAAATAAATACAAGTTTACTTGGGATGAATTTAACCTAAAACTAATATACCTGTTGGAAAAACATTAAATACTTAATTTGAGAATGATTTTGATTTGAAAATTTTCTAGCAAACTTGAATTGATGTCACCTTTGCCTCTTAAAAAAGTCTCCTGTTTGAAGCAGAAGAGTTAGATTCAATTCCCTGCTCCAACCTTCTAGCTGTATGATATTGAAAAAGTTAATTAATCTCTAGGCCTTTGTTTTCTCATCAGCAAAATGGGGATATTACTTGCTCTACCCATTTCCTAGGTTGCTTTGAGCATCAGTTGAGACAATGCCTGTGAAAAGGAGCTATAGTTTCATTCCACTGACAAAACTTTGCTTTTGGAGAAAAAACTCGAATAACCAAACTCCAATTGTCCACCAAACAAACAAACAAACAAACAAACCTCATTTGCTAGACTCATGAGGCCGTAAACCCTCAAGGAAGAGCTTTCAGTAGAAAAAAGATTGAATAAAAAAAGGAGCAGAATTTAAAGCTGTGAAAGTTGGGAGCAAATTGACTGTCTTTCACAGGAGTCTCATTTCAGTTTTAAAATGATTAGATCTACATTATTACAAATGTACGGTTTATTTAAAAATACATGGTTTAATTACAATCTGGAGCCAATCTTTTTCTTTTAGTTTTTCTAGCAAAACACAGCTATGGTTTTATAATAAAAATCAAAGTGAAACAGGACTTGCCAGAAATTCACTTCAGAGCGATTTTTGCTGTAGTGTATCTATTCCATTAGACAAGGGATACTTTTGGCATTATTCTCTGACATAATATATTGCCCATCATTGATATGCTATACAACCTTTGGTCCAATACTGAGCTGGTGGGAGCTGATTGCTTCTGGATCAATGCTGACTTCCCTGATTCTCTGGTGAAAAGCCACCAAGTTTTGGGAGTGAGAGGTAACTGGGAGCAACCAACTACTATTCCCTAAATAGAAGGAGTAAAAAAAGGGTAGGATCAAAGAAATTATGTCAGGACCTCCTTGTCAGAGAACTCAGGGAGCTCTGAGATGGAAGGGCAAGGAAGAGAGGGAAGCAATTTACTTACATAGTTTCAGTGTTGTTCCCATGCAAACTCACATCCCTGTATTCATTTAGAACCAGAGGAGCATTAATATGCACACCTATGCTGATAAAGGGATACACATTCCACTCCAAACACACATGCCCACAGGCACAAGAGCCTGCTAAAATGGTAGGGCCTGCTGGTACTCTGGCATAGCCTGCCATATAATCATGGATTATCATAGACAATCATGGATTTGAACTCAAGAAGATGAGATGACACAGCTCCCTTCCCTTGACCCTCACATCAATATATAGTAGTCCCTATGGACTAGTAAAGCCCTCTGCACAGACACACGCAGGCAAAAAGATGGGAAGGGAATGAGATCTCCACATTTGTGATATATTTTCCCTTTCCATCATGGACAGTTGGAAGCTGAGATGAGATCAAGTTCTGTGTGCAACAGGAAAGATGGGCAGTGGAGGTGGTGGCAGCTGTGGTATTGTTAGAGTAGAAGCTCTAGAGCTGTTGGTGGCATCAGGTCTAAGAGTTACAAGTTTACGTTGGTGAAGTGCTTCAGATTTCAAAGTGTTTTCACATGTATGACTCCATCTAATGCTCATAACAACACTGTCCTCAATGTACTAGAGAAAGTAATTGAGACCCAGGGGTTAACTTGTCCATGGCCATGCAGTTTATGGGCAGCAGAGCAAGATCTTTAGTCTGAGTCTAGCAGCTTTTCCAACTATTCCCTTAATAAAGTGATAGGTCAATTCTTGGTCAAAAATTCCAGATAAAATGTCATGTAACTCCACCAAAAACCCTGGGTCTGGAGTGTATTGAATCCTCTTGACTCTTCCCTGAATTCTTCTTGCTGCCCAGTGGCACCCTTAGCAATCAATTACGTAGATGCACAAAGGACAAAGAACTCAAATCAGTCTACTTGTTCCACTGACAACTCATCGGTTCAGTAAATCGATGAGGCAATTTTTTAGAGATAAATCAGGCAATTTGTTGATTGCTGACTATGCCATGGTGCAACATGCTGGAAACACAGAAATGAATGCAACATGGGCCTTGTCCTTGAGGAACTCTCAATCCAAGTTAGAAAAGAGAAGTTATGCATGCACATGAGTATATACCATAAGGCATAGAAAGGCAGGAGGGATATGATTCTCAACCCAAGGACTGTTGATGGGTTTATCTTGGAGATAGAGGAGGGCTTTTTATTCTTCCAAACTAGAGAGTAGAAGATGTATAAAGAAAAAGACCCAGGACACATTTTGGTAAGTAAGAGGGAAGTGGAGAATGTCTATTTCAAATTGATCTCAATTTTCTCAACAAATGTAGGAAGTGAGGTCATGAGTAGAGAGGGGAGGTATTTGAGGTCGAGGATGACTGGGGAGGGCCAGAAGGAGATGCTATGGAGGATGTGGCAGGATGTCAATTGTTAGAAAAGTGTGAAGGCCTACCAATCAGCACTGAGAGCTCCCCCGACACTAGAGAACATGTTTTTATGTGTGGAGGAAACTTCCTCAAACAATAGTTGGCAGCTTAGGAGCAGGAGGAAGCAAAGCAGGTGGTGGGGTTTTCCAGGTCTGGGCACTGGCAAATATATCAGAAGTACTGGGGCTGAGGATGCAGGTGAGGGAGAGGGATAAGTCCAATAGGAGGAAGGTAAGAACAATGTGGAAATAGCTGATCTTGGGCTCCAGACTGGAGAGAGAGCCAGAGGGGAGCCAGCAATTCCTGGTAAACAATGATTTATAAGAAAATTTGCCCTTGCTCAAAGTGAGATGCTTGAACCACCTAGAGGTATAAATTATGTACAACATTTAGTACTTGAGCCTGTTCTGTCAAGACAAATCTGGAGTCAGAGAGAGCAACCTGAGGATTCACATGTGGGAAAAATCCACTAGACTGTTAGCAACCTCACCCCACATCTACCTCAGGCTGAAGACCTTGTCTAGCATTTAACTCAAAGAGAGATGGTTTCAGCTGCTGGGGAGATAATGGTGCTAACTCCCAGGCCAGAGTCTATGGCCTGTATAGGGAGGAGAGTAGGCAGCTCATGTGTTCACAGCTCACTAAAGACTCATGTTTTGTCAGGGTTCTTCATCCTCTGTACCTTCCCAACTTTCACACCGTCATCTACTTTTGGTTATATCTCACTCTGCCCAACTGTTTCCTTAGAGTTTGTAGCAATGAAAACACTTTAAACAAATTAACAGTCCATTATCTGGTTCTTAGAGAAAGCAGAGCTAGGGATAAATCAGGAAACCATCCCTAAAGGTATCTAGATGGGAAATCGAGGAGGGGGGAAGTGGCAGTCAGAAAAGCAAGCAAAACAGGCTAAATCCTACGATCTGGGGGAGAAAAAGAGGTGAAAAGGAGTTGGCCAGACCAGGGGCCTGGCCGGATGGTGAACTGGGCAGGAAGTCCCATGTTCTGCTTACCTTCCACCTCCATTATTGCTTTTTTTCATTCTCTAGTTTTATGAGGATTTTAAAAGCTTTTGAATCGGGTGCTGGCAATCTTTCAGAAAAAGTTAATACAGAATTCTGTAGAGATAAAGTCCCCTATGAAGCCTGCCACGGCCAACAGTAGCAACACTTGTCCCTTAAAGCTGAGTGGAAAACAAATCTTCAAGTACTTTCCCCTTCAGGGCTTTGAGTGCTTCAGGTCCTTTGGCCTGAGAACCAAGCAGCTAATCACATCCCTTGACTTGCAGACTTGACAAAGGCAGGTATCTTTGTTAGTCCAGTTTCAACCAGTCTCCGGAACCCAAGAGAAGAAAAAGTGAGGGGTTGTTACGGGGGTGGGAGAAGCTCTAGTAAGTGTATCTGCAAGAGGAAAGATCTCCCAAAGGCAAAGCTAAAGAGCACAATTAGGGGGAAGGTGCACACCAAGATACAGCAAGGCTAGCTTGCAGTGAGCACTGCCAGGTAGCTGCTCCAGGGATCCTAGCCCTTGGGACCCTACTCCAGTAACTATTCTGGACTGGTTGCTTTCCTTTCATCTTCGAAACATGCTCTGGAGTGCCTGATACTAACCAATAAAACAAACAAAAATGCTTCCTCTGACTCCCTTACTCCCGTTCCCTGTAAGCTACGATCCCATCTCTCCATTGCCTTTCCAGAACAAACTTCATGGTAAACCAGCCAACACTCACTGCATCCATTTCCTCTCCTTTCACTCTCTCCAATCCCTGGCAATCTGGGCCTACCAACTCCTCTCTCTTGAGAGTACTCTCTGGAAAGTAACCAGTGACCTCTGTTAAATTCTAATCCCATAGACCTCTGCAGCATTTGTCATCACCGAACACTCTTTTCCCTTCTGAAACCCCCTCCTTGGCTTTCACTGCACTATACTATGGGCTCTTCAGTCCTTTGTCCCTTCATCATCGTCTTCACTGGCCCCTTCCATTTTGCCCAAAGGCTCTTGTCTCTCTCATGGTGACTTCATTCATCTCCTACAATTTCCACCACCTTTGCTATAAAGATGAGACAGCATTCTAATTTATTTCTCAGGTCCTGCCATGCCACTCTTATTAGACCCTTTAGGAACCAATAACCAAAACCTAGCTCAGTCCCTCATTAGCTCTCACCTGGATAATGACAACAGCCTCTGGAGTTATCTCTGTGTCCAGTCAAACATTGCAGCAATCTATCTAACACTCTGTGACAGTAATTGTCCTAGGTCTGGTCCTATTGCTCTCCTGCTCAAAAATTGTAAACCACTCCATATTACTTTCAAAATAAAATCCACACTCCTTAATCACACATTGAAAGCCCTTCACCGTTCAACTCCCACCTGTCTTTGCAGGCTTATTTTCCGCAAAACACCCCTACCTGCCCTAGACTTCAAAAATTACAATCTCCTTGCTGATACTTAAACCCATCTTGTACTCTCTCACCACGTGGCTTCCAACCAAGTTGCTTCCTCACCAAAAATACCCTTCTCTTCCAGAACTTTCTACCAAGGCTCTATCCATCTTTCAAAGCTCAGCTCAAATCTGCCCTCTTCCAAACAGACTTCTCAGATTTCCCTGGTTGGAGTTGATGTCTCCCTTCCAAAATCACTTAAAAATTTTGGGGGAATGACTCAGCTATAAAGAGCCAAGTTAATTACATCTATTAGTTTATAATAAAATGTCATCATTAGTCCATGTCCAGCTCCTCATTTTGAAAAGATCTTTTCCTTCATCCACATCCCCATTCTCATTTCTATCCCTCTCAGGTATCTTCTTTAATATATTTGATATGAGTCCAGGATATCTAACAACTATCTCTCCCTTTCTCTTTCCCTCTCTCCCTCTGTCTCTATCATCTATCTATCTATCTATCTATCTATCTATCTATCTATCTATCTATCTATGTATCATTTATCTATCTAAAATCTATCTCTATCATCAATCTCGATGTGTCTCTGTTATCTATCATCTGTCTATCTTCTATCTCTATGTGTCTCTATCTATCTGTCATCTACCTATCACCTCTCTATATCTATCTATCTATCTATCTATCTATCTATCTATCTATCTATCTATCTATCTGGTTTTGGGTGTGTGTGTGTGTGTGTTTTTTTTTTTTGAGATGGAGTCTTGCTCTGTCACCCAGGCTGGAGTGCAGTGGCATGATCTCGGCTCACTGCAACCTCCAGCTCCCAGGTTCAATCAATTCTCTGCCTCAGCCTCCAGAGTAGCTGGGATTATAGGCGCCTACCACCATACCCAGCTAATTTTTGTATTTTTAGTAGAGATGGGGGGGTTTCACCATCTTCGCCAGGTTGGTCTTGAACTCCTGACCTCGTGATCCACCCACCTTGGCCTCCCAAAGTGCTGGGATTACAGGCGTGAGTCACCACACCCGGGCGTGTGTGTGTATTTTAAATTGATATTGCTGTCTTTGGGTTATAGATCACATTCTATTTCTCATTCTTGCTCAAGAATGTCTTCAAGATCTATATTACTATTTGCACAACTACTTTGTTGCTTCTAACCCTTATGTAATATTCAAAAGTATGCATTTACCACATTTTACATGTACATCTCTCTATGGATAGACATCTAGTTTGCCTCTAATCCCTTACACAAAAAATTCTGTGATAAACAAATGATTCTGTGAAAAACATCCCCGTAAGTGTCCTATTTTCAAACCATGGAGAGGTTCTGCAGGATATATATGCAGCACTGAGGTTTCTGGGTATAGGAATACATGGTTAATACCAATGAGTGCTGTCAGATTGTAAGCTGTAACAGTTTACACTTCCATCAGCAATACATGAAAAATCATTTTTTCTCCTCATGCTAACAAACACTTGGTGTTATCTGACTTTAAAATTTTTGTCAATCTGATAAGTATAACTTGATATCTCACTGTTATTTTAATTTGCACGTCTCTGAATACTAGCAAGGCTAATCATCTCTTCATAGGCTTGTTAGCCAATGCAGTTTCTCCCCTTCTGTGGTCTGTCCATTCTGTGAATATGCTTTTCCCATTTTAACAATTGTGTCTTCTGCCTTTTTCTTGTCGATTTACCAGAGTTCCTTGGACATTGTAGCTATCAATGCCTTATCAGTTTTAGACATTGCAAATACCTTCTCCCAGTCTATCATCTGTCTGTTACCTTTGTCTATAGTGTCATTCATTGAACCGGAAGTCTCAAAATTGATGTAGTAAAATTTATGACTTTCCACCTTATGTCTTGTGGTTTGGGGTCTTATTTAAGAAGTTCTACACTATTTCAGGTTATAGAGAAATTCTCCTACATTTACAGTTTTACCTTTCACATTTAGGTTTGTAATCTATCCAGAGGTCACCTTTGTATGTGATATAGGGTAGCAATCCAACTCTATTTTTCTCCAGATAACAGTGCTTTTCTTTTCTTTTTCAGGTAATCGAACCAAGAGGATATGATAGCATATGCTTAGCATAATGTGGTAAATTGGTAGGACTGCTCATAGTCACCCGTGGAAGCCACCAGCCTGGGAGCTCTGGCCACGTTAGGTTCTTCCTGGATATCCTAAGGGTCAAGAAGATCAATAGCTCTGTAAACCTATAGTCCATTTATAGCTTGTAATGTGACACACTGGTTTGGAAGCTCTGTCACATGATGATCTACCCATTCCAATACCAAAAATCCATCCTTCCCTTGATGTAAAATTACTTTTATCTCATCATCTGTTTCTGAGCTCTATATTCTATTAATTGGTTTACTGGCCTTTTACTGTGCACTCCTACTTATTACTAATAATAATATGTCTTTGCAGCATTTCTCAAATTGTAGAGGGGAAAGTCACCTGTTCTTTATTCAAAAATCAATTTAAATATTCATAGACATTTATTCTTCTATCTACATTTTAGAATAAGTTTTTAAAGTTCCTTAAAATATCCTGCTGGTATTTTCATTAGAATGGCATTGAATTTGGCTGGGTGTGGTGGCTCACACCTGTAATCCCAGTACTTTAGGAGGCTGAGGTGGGCAGATCACTTGAGGTCAGGAGTTTGAGACCAGCCTGGCCAACATGGTGAAACCTCGTCTCTACTAAAAATACAAGAATTAGTTGGGCGTGGTGGTGGGCACCTATAATCCCAGCTACTCGGGAGACTGAGGCAAGAGAATCATTTGAACCCGGGAGGCAGAGGCTGCAGTGAGCCAAGATTGCGCCAATGAACTCCAGCATGGGCAATAGAGTGAGGCTCTGTCTCAAAACAAAAACAAAACAACAACAACAACAACAAAAAAGAATGGCATTGAATTTGTAGATTTGGGAAAAATTGACATCTTTACAGTAAGTCATCTCATCCATTAACGTTGTATATCCCACCATTGATTCAGATCTATTACATCTGTTTGTAGAATTTAAAATTTTTATCTATAAAATGTCCAATATACTTTTTGTCAGGTAAATTACTAATAAAAAAGATATGTTACAGGTTTCCTTTTCTGTTGTTATTGTAAATGGTAATTTTACATGTAGAACTTCGCATTTCTATTATCATATTCAGAGTGTGCTTTGGACTAGAATTCTATGTCTAAGGGCCTTTTTCCCAAATTGGGCTTGGAGCATCTAAAGACAAGCCTTTGTTTGGTTCACCTTTCTTTCCACTACTGTGCTTTGCCAAATTAAGTGCTCACTCAATATTGGTTGAACTGAATGAAGGGGGCTGTGAAGCACTTCAGAATGCTTTGAAAATTACTGTTCATGCAATTTTCTGACAAAAATGTCACATGACTCTCATTTAAAAATAAATTAGCCATAGTGCTTCAAATTAAATATTGGAGGAAACAGAGGGGAGAGGAAAAACATTACTAACTATGGTTTTGCATTTTGAATCATGCTAATGTTTTCTACAATCCCCAAATTAACTTATGAAAAATGGAGGGGGAAGTATCTCTGAAACTGAATAGAAACAGAAACAAATGGAGTTAATTTTGGTGGGTAATAACTGGGTGGGGGCATATAGGAAATTTTGGGGTGATGATAATGTTCTGTATCTTGGATCTGGATGGTGGGTACTTGGGTATGTTAACTTTACGCTTATGATTTGGGCCCCTATAAATATCATATAATTTAGAAGTTATAAAAAATGTAAAATGAGACATTATAGCAGTTCACAAGTAATATAAATGTATATAAAACACTTAATATAATGCCTGACACATAATAATAATACCTACACTTACTCTAACTCAGGCCTGTGCTAAGCATCTCATAAAGATGGTACCATAGAATGCTCAGAAAAGCTTATGAAGTAGGTACTATTATCATTGCCATTTTATGTATGAGGGAAATGAAGCAAAGAGAAGTTAAATAACTATTCACAATCATACAGTTGGAAAGTGGTAGAAATACCATTTAAACCCAGGCAGTCTGATTGCAGATTGTGTACTTTTAATCACTATGCTGAACTGCCATCCAGGAAATAGTGCTATTATGATTCATATATTATATATAATCTTATATATTATTCATATATAATAAATATACATAATAATATAATATATAATAGTAAATATATATATATATATATATATAGCCCTGAACAAAAAGTGTTCTGACTGAGCTGTTTTCAGAGTAGCATAGCTTGGTGAGGGGTGCTCTACTGCACCTTAGCTACCATCATTTCTAAGGAGCTGAACCTGGAAGCTCTGGAGAAGAAAAGGGTTCTACCTCTTGGTCTTCTGCCAGATTATTCTAATGGTCCTTTCTACCTCCTTTCCAAAATGATGGGTCAAAATAGAATCCATTTTCTTAAAAAAACTTTCTATTTTGGAATAATATTAGATTTATAGAAAAGTTCAAAGATAGCAGAGAGTTCCAGTACACCCCTAACCCCATCACCTGGTTTTACTAATGTTAACATCTTATGTAACTATTGTACATTCATCAAAACTAGCAAATTAACATTGGTAGATACTATTAACAAAACTCCATATTTTGTTCAGATTTCACCAGTTTTTTTTTTTTTTTTTTTTAAGAGACATGCCAGTACATTGCCCAGGCTGGTCTCAAACACCTGGCCTCAAGTGATATTCCTGTCTCAACCTCCTGAATTGCCAGGATTACAGGTGCAAGCCACTGTGCTTGGCAGATTTTACCAGTTTTTATACTAATGCCCTTTTTCTGTTCCAGAATCCAAACCAGGATACCTAATCACATTTAATAAAATGCACTGAAATTTGTTTTTGATCATGGTAAAAATACCTAACATAAAATTGGTCCTTTTAGCCATTTTTAAGTATACAGTTCTGTGGCATTAAGTACATTTACACTGTTGTACAACCGTCTCCACCATCCATTGCCAGATCTTTTTCATTTACTCCAACTGAAACTAGTAAAATAAATTTTCACAACAACAAAGAAAACCTGTAGTCCAGAGTAGCTGGAGCCCAGAGAAACACCACCGCACAATTAACTACTAAGCTGTAACAAGACCAGACAGAATATGTAGAAAACATCTAGATTGAGTTAGTGGTAAACCCTCTTAATAAATAAATATTTGGCAATAATAAGCTAAGCAACCTATTTGAGTGAAATCTATAGCCTGAACAAGAAGCTGCAAATAAATGGTTTTTAGAAGACACAATTCTGTGAAAACAATCCAAAAGTAAACAAATCACCAGGAAGAACAAGAGGACTATACTCCTGTTTTCAGAAGAGAACCTAAAAGTGGTCGCTTGACTCACTCCCTGGCAGTTACCTAGCAATGTGCATGGCACCTGAGTGAGTGATGAGACTTACCCAGTCTGGATGTCTTCGGTGGCCCTCTCAAACTCACCAGTGCACCACCTCATGTATTCTGTACCATTAAGCAACTGTTGGAAGACTGCACAGTCAAGCACCTTGTTCTGAGAACAATCCCATAGCATATAAAAAGCTCACATAGCTACTGTTGCAAGTATTTGGCAAAATAAAGAAAGAAGAAGACTCTCTAGATTAGAAACATGCTAGATACTCTCAATCAGTTCTTCTCAGCTGTCCTGTGTCTACAAATCGCTTAGGAATCCTGTTAAAAAAAAAGGTTCTGATTCAGCGGGAGGCTCAAGGTTCTGCTTTTCTAACAAGCTCCCAGGTGATGTTGATGCTGCTGAAGCGACTTCACATTGAACAGCAAGGATATAAAATAGTAGTTCTTAACTTGGCTGCATATTGGAATCACCTAGGAGATTTGGGTCCCATTTCCAGACAGTCTGATTTAATTAATTATTTTAGGGTATGTTATGAACTGAATTGTGTTCCCTTCAAATTCATATGTTGAAGCCCCCCTCCCCCATGTGACTGTATTGGAGATGAGGCCTTTAAGGAGGTGATTAAGGTTAAGTGAGGTCATAAGAGTGGCACCTTGATCCAATAGAACTGGTGCCCTTATAAGGAGAGGAAGAGATACCAGAGTTCTCTCTTGCCATGTGAGGACACAGCATAAAACCAGGCCACCCCATAAAACCAGGAAGAGAGACCTCACCAGAACCTGACCACACTGGCACCCTGATCTTGGACTTCCAGCTTCTAGAATTGTGAGAAAATAAATTTCTGTTGTTTAAGCCACCTAGTCTATGGAATTTTGTTATGGCAGTTCAATCTGACTAAGATAAGGCATGGCCTGGACATTGGGGTTTTTAAAAGCTCTTAAGGTGATTCTAATGTGCAGCTAAGGTTTGGGAACCTCTGCTCTAAATAGTAGTTGAACTGAATGCAATGTCAAAGATGCATCACTCACATACCCATGCATCACTCACATACCCATGCATCACTCATACACAAAAGCTACAGAATATGCTTGGAGAAACATCAACCCAATTCACCAGTTAATTACAGGATAGACATGAACACCCTCCTACACAAACAACTTAGTCATATTCATCAAGGACATCAGTGGCTTCCCCAAAACCTGGGAGAGCTTATGTGATGTTTATAAAAGGACAGCGGTCACATTTTCTCTTTTAGTTCTCTTCAGGAGAAACACTGTGGACAATGTTATTATTTGTATTTTCTTAACCAAGACATATGATCCTTTTTTCTGAGTGGGCATATGGAAAATCCTGTGAAGAATAACCCTTCAGGTATGTTCACCAATTTTTTTTTTTTTTTTTGCTTAATTCACAGGAGAATGATAAGAGAGCTATCACTCTTCTCTGATCACACCAAGCAAGGCTGGGCTGCCATAACATGTTATTTAGTGTTCACTTCTAAGCAGCATTCTCAGAGCTGGAGTTCTTGAAATCAACATTGAATTCCATCAGAAAAGAATATATCTACCTTGAAAGACTTTTATAGCAAAATCAAAGGATTAGGGCGAAAACCCATAGTCTTTTTTTGGTCATCTACTGTGTGCTATTGGCCACTAATCACAAAAACATTCTACTGTGAGCTCAGTTTACTTAGGCTCTGCTTCTTCTTGGCTGACCAATAATGCTGCAATTCCTCACGTCTTAGGATCAGGGCACCTAGAAACACACACCTAAGCATTTGACCTGCTAACCAACTGAACTACAGCGTTGCCCCTCATCATGGAACTTTCACTGGGTTGCTGTAAAGATTAAGTCTGAATCTTCAATGGAAAAGGGCTTTAGAAAAGGATTCAGTACTTCGTGAACAAGACCATAGCATGATGATTAGGTCATGAGAATGTTTGAGGGTGCTGAAATGGTTGGAATGAGTAAGCTTTAGGTTGGTTCAACTGTCCTAACCACCACTTCTTTCCCAGATGCAGATAATCAAGAAATGATCATGAAAATATCTAACAATTTCCTAAGGTTCACTCTTTCGCTTGTTAGCCCCAGGGACTCATCCAAAAAAGAGCCAGATCAGGTGGCCACAGGGCTAGGCTTGACCCAAGGAAAAGAGATTTCTCTTTTCAGACACCATTCAGATGTTCCCTTACATTAGCAGAGACTAAAAAGATATTCCTGAGGGACAAGTCATGTGCTACAAAAGGCAGGCCTTCACAAATTCTCTTGCAAACAACAACTTGGCAGAAGTAGGGTTTTCTGCTTTAACTGGTGAGAGAAGTTTGCTGGGGGTAAAATCACAGAGGAAAACACTTCATCAGTACATGTGACAAGACAAACGTCTTTCATGAACTTTCCCACCTAGTTTAAAAGACTATTTTAACAGAAGGGTGCGTGCATGTGTGCACACAAACAAAAAGGTCAGTCCGATAACATTCCCAATGCCTTTATCCAAGAAGTCTTCTTCACCACTCTGCAGTTTGATCCTCCTTCCCTTCAGATGCTTCCAACAGAAGGCTCACTGCTGTGAGATATTTTTGTCACTAATTAGCTCAATTAAATGGTGCACTGAGCAGAGGGAGCACCATGTTATTGTCAGCATTTACAGGAATCACATGGAAGGAACTCTGGGTCTAGTAGGTAAGGCTGAAAAGCTAAATATGCTTAAACCTCCTCCCACGTACTCCCCCAAAGCTGTGACGTATTGGCAAGTATCTTAGCATTTAGCAAAGCAAAAGCTCGAGATTGCTAAGCCTGGAGTGAAAGTGGTAATCTGCCCCAGCCACACTGAGACGATGGAGGATTGCCTATCAAATAAACTTTTGTGGTCATCTGCACTTGAGCCACCTCGAAAGAGGGTACAGACTCCATATTTCGATATGCAGGTGGCAGCAGTGAGCAAGCCTTACACCCTGTCCTCAAAGGGTGCATATTTTAGCAGAGGAAACAATGACTTTGGCTACTGTCAGTCTGGATCCAGTGTAGGTCCCAGTGATCTGGAAGAAGGAATTCAAGCTCTACGGCCTAATATAGTTCTGAGATGCAACTCAAATGAATTCTGAATTTCTTAGCAAGCAAAAAGCTGGCAGATGATCTGAGAATTGATAGGTTAGTGTACCCTTTTGACAGAGGCTTAAACCAACATTTCAATAGACTGTATAGAAGTGGCCAAGAGGGAGATAAATGTGTCAGAACCAAGCTACTGATATCTCTATTCCTTTTTCCTCTCACTTTCCATGGCCCTGATTACTTGGGTTCCTCTGAACTACTGGGGGAAAATGATTCTTTTCTCCAGTATCTCAAAAGAGGCCTGGGACTGCTAATTGCTCCATCTCCATTTTCTTTATCTCTTTCATGTATGATAGAGTCAGATTTGGGTTGGAATTTCAGTGATTTTACTTACTATCTGTGTGATCTTGGGCAGATAACCTGTCTGTGTCTGTTTTATTATCTTCAATATGCGATTAACAATAGCATCTACTTGGGAGGGTTATTATAAGGATTACATGAGATAATCCATTTATATCAGTTAAAGTTCTTGGCTGCAAGCAACAGAAGTCAACTCTGAATATATTAAGCCAAAAATGGATTTACTGGAAAGAGCAGGAGTGGTCAAACTTTATCTGCTAAGAGTCCAATAGTAAATATTATAGGCTTTGTGGACAATACTGTCTCTGTTACAGCTACTTAACTCTATCATTGTAGCACAAAAGCAGCCAGAGGCAATAAGTAAACAAATGGATGTGGCTGTGTTCTAACAAAACTTTATTTAGAAAAAGAGGTGATGGGTCAGATTTATGGTTTGCCAATCTATGATATAGACTTCCAGAACAGATGAAAAGGTGAAGGAGACTTTTGAAGCTACATAGCAGGAACAATCTGGCCAGGGTATCATAATCGCAGCCGCTGACTACTACTGTGATTGAACTCTGGCTCATGATCTTAGCTTCAGTTGCTCCACAGAGAAAGTGTCCTATTAGTCCAGCCTAGGACCTATGACCACTTCCTATCTACACAGGGACAGGAAGGGGGGTATCTGAACTCCTTTGGCTTCCGCAGTGAGAGGTGGGCCCCAACTCACATCAAGACTCATACAATGAGGGATTCTTTTCAACTAGCAAAGGCATTTTCCTGCTGAGTGATTAAAAAATGACAAATATTCACTATACCTCATAAAGTTCTTGACATAGGGCCTTGCATATGGAAAACTCTTGGTGATAATGATGATGACGCTTATTAATATTAGAGCACTAGTACAATGCCTGATCCATGTGGACACTCGATAGGTTCTAGTCTGTTCCTCTGTTCCTCCCTTTTCCCCTTTCCCTTGTGGACTTTCCCACAACTCACCTCTCACCCCTCACTATTGAGAGGCAGCATGGCACAGTGCTCACAGGCATAGATTCTGGAGACTGCTCAGGTTTGAATCCTTACTCTGATCCTTCCTAGCCTGTGACCTTGGGCAAGCTGCTTTATCTCTGTTTCCTGTTTATAAAATGGAACGATGTTAATAAGAGCACTTGTTTCCAGAGATGATAATGAGGATTAACAGCATCAATTGATATAAAGCACTTAGAACAACGCCTAGTGCATAAGTGTTTACTATTTTTATTCTCTCTCTTCTCATAAACTTTCTACTCTCACCATATCAACACCCCAATCTGTGTCTCCTATCCAATTATTCTCCCTAGCTTTATCCCCACATTTCCCCCTGCCCTCAGACCATGTCTGCTGGGGTGCTGGGCTGTCATCTGAACCAGTTAATAATTACCCTTCCCCCACCACCCCCAACTTGAGGCCTCAGACTTGCCATTGATTCTCTTCCCTCCCTTCTCCCTTCATCCACTATTGATCATTGAGATCTGCCTATGCTTCCTTTGAAATACCATTTGTATCTGTCCTCTCTTTTCTATTTACATAGCATTTGCATTTCCGGCATGAAGTTTTGAAATAGCCTATTAACTTGTTTCCCTGCTTCTACTTTTTGTCCACCTGCCCCCCACTGCCACCAATTCATTTTGCACACTACCAGATTCAACTTCCTAAAAGATTAAAGAGTATGTACCACTAAGCTACTCAAAAGCCTTCTGTGCCTTTCTCCACCCAGAGAAACTTAAACTGGGGTATAAGAATGGGCTTCAGGAGGTCCATAGCCCACTCCTTTCCTTGAAATTAACTATATGAAGAAAATGTTAAGCATCTGTGCATACATTTCTGAGGAGAGGAGAGGATATGTAGCTTCCATCAGATTCTTAAAGGGGTCTGTGGTCCCCAAAATGTTTAACAGATGCTCTAAAGCAGTGGTATCCAGAGTAGGGGTACAGATACCCCAGGGAGAGTACAAGATGGTTTTCTGGGGTATGAGAAGAAACTATCAGAACTATTTTGTTCATTGTATTACATCATCCTGTATGATTTTGTGTATGTTTTATAATGTACTAATATATTAGTATAAGTATACAGTATATGAATATACATATATTGAGGGTGTGCTATTTTTCTTATATGTGTGTATGATCAAAAAGGTTTTGAGGATACTGCTACAAAAGATCAAATAAATATTCCTTTGCACTTCACTCTGTGGTCTGAAGCTATTTTTTCTACCCTTACTCTTTCATGTGAACTTCCACATATATAATGGGCTCATTCCCACCTGTGGACTTTGGTTTATGTGCTTCTCTTTGCACAGACTGCCCTCTCCCTTCTTCTCTGCATATTAAAATGATATCTGTTTTTCAAGGCTCGAGGAAAAATCTCACCTCCACCAAGAAGCTGGTTCTGACTGATCCACCTGCTACACCACTACAAAACTCTCTGTCTAACACTCATTGTATTACCTAAGCAGATGGTTCTTAGATATATATGTTACATGTTTTATTATTGACATATCTTCCACAACTAGAAAGCAAGCTCATTAAAAGAAGACATAACCTCTATAGCAGGGGTTCCCAACCCTGGGGCCACAGACTGGTATCAGTCTGTGGCCTGTTAGGAACTGAGCTGCACAGTGAGAGGTGAGCAGAGGGTGAGTAAGTGAAGCTTCATCTGTATTTACAGCAGCTTCCCATCACAGGAATTATCACCTGAGCTCCACCTCCTGTCAGATCAGCAGCAGCATTAGATTCTCATAGGAGCGCAAACACTACTGTGAACTGCACATGCAAGGGGTCTAGGTTGCATGCTCCTTGTGAGAATCTAATGCCTGATGATCTGTCACTGTCTCTTACCACCCCCACATGGGACCATCTAGTTGCAGGAAAAGCAGCTCAGGACTCTCACTGATTCTACATTATGGTAAGTTGTGTAATTATTTCATTATATATTACAATGTAATAATAATAATAGAAATAAAGCACACAATAAATGTAATGCACTCATATCATCCCGAAACCACCCCACCCCTGGTCTGTGGTAAAATTGTCTTCCATGAAACCAGTCCCTGGTGCCAAAAAGGTTGGAGACTGCTGCTCTATAGGACCTAGTACAGTGCTGGAACAAGTGTTTAGTAGAGACTTCCTGAATAAACTGCTTGGGATACAACAGGATATAGAGTCCTCTCATATTTCTACTAATTATAAGGCTATTGACTGGCAAATGAGGAAACTCATATGAAGCAGGGAATCTTTAGTTATTGCTGATGATCTAGAAACCAGGTGTCAAAGAGTAAAAAGCCTGAGCAAACACAATCCTGTCCAGCCATCCCAGAAAGCTTTATACTTCTAGTCCATTTCCCCAGGGGTTCCAATTTTTGCTGAGACTAATTTATTAAATGTATTTGAGGGGTAAAGCATTAATGACTGATAATGTATTTAATGAGTGTCCCAATCTCAGATAATGACAGCACTCAGATATCTTCATAGGGGTGAAGAATGATTGTCAGGAATAGCTGGGGAGGTCTGCACTTGGGGTTTCCTCATGTCCTTCACATCCACCCCAAAAATGAATAGGGAGAAAAGGAAAAATGGAGGAGCATCAGGATTTTTTTTAACCACACAAAGAGGTGAAATGTCTGTCCGAGGTAAGAGTAAGCACTAGAGCCTCTGTTCTCTCCATTCCTCTCCAGCGCTATCTGCCTTCCACAACATCCACTTCCTCCCTTTCAGGAGTCTGCAGTTGTATAATATACAATCCATGATTAAAATGTCTTCCATTGCAAAGTTCAAGGTAGGTTGCAGTGAAGTGACATGAGGGACACGGAGCTTGAAATACTTCAAAATCCAAATAACTAATCTGAAGCTGGATTTATTGCAATGGGTCAACCCCCCTCAGGCTGTGGAACTGTGCAAACGAAACTCCAGGAACACAGAATGGCATCCAAGTCCCATCTCTGTTCAGCAGGAAGTCTGGAGGATCAGAGAAAGCAAAACAGCTGGCCAAGTTGGGAAACTATAAATTTCTAAACAATTTCCAATTCGCTTTAATGTAGCTGTTCTCTATAGAGTACTGCCTTTTACTTCAAGTCTTTCTGGTGGTAGTAAAGGAGCTCTGAAAGCTGGAGGCAAAGATTAAGACCCCCAACAAGTTTCTGAGAAGGGGCCGAGTGAGAAAACGTTTCTCGGTGTTTAAAACTTCCCTCCACTACAAAGTGGCGAATGAGCATCGGGCAAACATCCTGAGATGAACTCTTTATTTATCTCAATTCCTCTTGGCCAAAGTCTATGAAATAATTAATTCTAGCCCCCTTGTCATCACTTAGATGATCTAGAGAAGTTCATGGACATTGATGACAAGGCTGTCAACCTCTCCCTAAAGCACCATTCCTTTGTGTGCATAGGCTCCCCTTCAAATCTGCTCAATCTCGGGAGGACAGGGCCCTTTGTCTCGAAAATCCCTCCCTCCACAATACAATCAAGGCTTAAGTGACTCCCTGGGCCTGTAGAACCAGTCACAATGCCCCATGCTTCCTGCCCTGAGAGCCCAGAATTCTGAGAGCCCAGAATTCATGACCGTGCAGATAAATGAATTATACACTTGGCCAGAGATTAAGCCTGGTCCTTTGTACAGCAACCTCTGAGGTCTGGGGGAAGATTTGACCTGTCAGGATCTGTGTTCATTCTGCCTTGATGAGAGGCAGAGCAAAGCAGTCCTGGCTGTACAATCCCACACCCTGGGGTGTGATAATCAGCAAATTGCAGACAAGGAATTGGCTATTGCCTGATTCTCATTGTCCGGGGCCTAGGCTGAACTGTTCAGTGGCTGGCAGGCTGTTTTTTTGACTCCAGATGGTGAACCCATCTCTTGCCAGGCAAACCAAGAAATAAGAGCCTTCTGAGCTGAGGTGCTAGCCAGAAACGGGTCACAGGGGAGTTTCAAGGGGCCAAATGCACAGAGCTAAGTCTAACTCAGGATTCCACATGCGGACTGAGGCAGGAGGGAAACTTGAGTCTGAACTTTGTTTCCTTGGCTTTAAACCCAAAGATTTAGATATAGATGGGAGAATGAAAACATCTTTTGAACAGGAAAAACACAAAAATTGCTATCAATCAAACTGATTCCCTAATATGTCAATCAAACTGATTCCCTAATGTATCAACCAAGTAGCCTGCAAATGTGAGTCATTTGAAACCAAACATCATCAGATTTCCAGAGACCTTTGCAAGCCAGATGTGAGCTGTCTGTTGTCTGATTGTCTTGGCTAACTCCTTCTCTCTCTCTCATGTCTCTGCCTAAATGTCTCTTCCTCAGAGAGGCCTAAACTGTTTCCCCAGTCTACATCAGATCCCCTTGTTATAATCTCTAATCGTATATGTTAACTTCTTTCATAGTACTTATCATAATTTTAAATTATTCATATTTGCTCATCTGTTCAACAAATATTTATTATACATTTACTGCCTCTGTAGATACAACAGTGAATGAAATAGACAAAATTCCCTACCCTTAAGTAGCTTACATTATAGGAGGAGAGACAGATAAACAAAAGTAATGTTATAGAGTAAATAAAGGCACAAACATAAATTTCCATGCCAAACATATTTTGCAACAAGTTTTATGCTGGTCAATATATATTCTACAGTGTATGGTTATGACGAATTATGTTTCTTTTTCTTTTTCTACTTGCCTTTTTTAAAAGTTTTGTTTTTAATTGGCACATAATAATTGTGCATATTTATGGGGTACAGTGTGATGTTTCAATCATGTATACATTATTTAATGATCAAATTAGGGTACTTAGCATATCCATCCCCTTCAACACTTGTCATTTCTTTTTGGTAAGAGCATTCAAAATCCTTTTTTCTAGCTATTTTGAAATATACAATACACTATTGTTAACTGTAGTCACCCTACTATGCAATAGAAGACAAGAATTTTTCCTCCTATCTAACTATAAGTTTATACCCATTGACCAACCAATGTCCTTCTCCCCTTCTCCCTACTCTCCCTAGACTCTGGTAATCACTATTTTACCCTCTACTTCTACAAGATCAACTTATTTAGATTCCATATATGAGTGAGTTCATGTGTTATTTACCCTTCTGTGCTTGGCTTATTTCACTTAACATAATGTCCTCTAGGTTCATCCATGTTGTCACAAATAACAGAATTTCATTCTTTTTTATGGCTGAATAATATTCTGTTGTGTACATATACCACATTTTAAAAATTCATTTAACCTTTGATGAACAATTAGATTGATTCTATATGTCGGGTATTGTAAATAGTGCTGCAACAAACATGGAAGTACAGATATATCTCTTCAACATACTGATTTCATTTCCCTTACATATACACCCAGTAGTAAGATTGTGATAAACAAGTCCTCCATCAAAGAAAAGCTCAGGACCTGATAGTGTCACTGCTGAGTTCTACCATTTAAAGAACTAATACCAATTCTTCTCAAACTATTCCAAATAGTTAATGGAAGGAATTCTTCCAAACTGTTCCTACAAGGCCAGCATTACCCTGATATTAAAACCAGACAATGACACAATAAAAAAAGAAAACTACAGGCCAACATTCCTGATGTACATAGATGCAAAAATCCTCAGCAAAATACTAGCAAACAACATCCAACAGCACATAAAAAGATCATTCACCATGATCAAGTGGGATTCTTCCCAGGGATGCAAGGATGGTTCAACATATACAAATGAATCAATGTGATAAACCACATTAATAGAATGATGGACAAAACCATGTGATCATGTCAATAGATGCACAAAAAGCATTTGATAACATCCATTCATAAAAATAAACGTGAACAAATTAGGTATAGAAGGAATGTACCTCAACGCAGTAAAGGCCATATATGACAAACCCACAGCTAGCATAATGCTGAATGAAAAAAAGTTGAAAGCTTTCCCTTAAAAATCTGGAACAAGACAAGGATACCCACTTGTGATTAGCACTTCTTTTCAACATAGTACTGGAACTCCTAGTCAAAGCAATTAGGCAAGAAAAAGAAACAAAGAGCATCCAAATTGGAAAGGAGGAAGTCAAATTATCCCTATTTGCAAATGAAATGATTTTATATAAAAAAACCATAGAGACTCCACTATGAAACTCTCAGAACTAATAAATGAATTAAGCAAAGTTGTAGGACACAAAAATCTATCTTTTTAAAAATTATTGTTCAGATAAATCTGATCTTAACCCATAATAACAAAGTGGTCATCAACAAAGGAAATAATCAGTTTTATAGATACTCCCACTGTCTGTTAAATCAACAAAACATGTTCACATTACATTATGTTTATACCTTTATATATTTACCTCTCTAAATTGTGATTGTTAATATCCTGGTCTTCTTCTATCACCATGTAATGAGCTGCTTGAGGGCAGGGACTACGTCTTATTCATCTTTGTATCCATACAGCCCAGTTAGGTGTTCAAGAAATATTTGAGGGATATTTGTTGAAATGAGAATCCTAGAGCCCTGTGTAGGTACTGATACCACTTGGTGATTTGCATGTAAAAGCCCAGGAACCAAGTAAGAATAAAGGATGCATCCAGCCCAGTGGAGTCCAGGACAGGATGGAACGTATCCATAACCCCTAGTTCTTTCCTAAGTGCATATGGCACTGTCTTGATTCACAAGCCTTTGGGAATTTTATTCTAGGATTTGTGGGTTCCTATGGCCCCCATCTGTCAGATAGCCCATTACTTTATTAAGGCATTTGTTAGAGATTACAGTGAATCTTTCATATAATGGGACCTCTTGGAGAATAGACCGTGCAAGTTTACAGAATTGTTTGGTTCACTGAGGCCTAAGGGGAAAACTTTTATTGATGAAAATCTTTCTAAACTGTCAGACACAACCTTCCTGCCTCACAAGGTACAGTCAAGTGGAGATGACAGAAAATCTTTCTTTGCTATTTGAGGACTAGCTGTGTTGCCAAGTTATTTTCCAGTAGATTATTTTCCATTGTCTGAGACTGCAGGTATAAGAGGTATAGGAGGGAGACTAAGTGACTGAGGATCCCTGGACACTACCTGGAGGCTGCTTTTTTTTTTCCTGGCTTATATCCCTGATCTTTTCTTAGATCATTTTCCTATGGTATATGATTCCTCCTAAAAGAGGAATGCCACAAACATTCCAGATAGCAAAGGTTCTAGCCTATCAGGATTTTACTGAGCATGTCGGTGGCATACCTGTAATCCTATGGGCACACTTAATTTAAGAGAAATTACTTTCATTCTACAATCTTCTTCCATAAGGTGGCAGAAACAGGGTTTCAACAAAAGCACTTCTAGACAGTTGCAGTTGACATCAGGGAATTCTTGTAGTTCACTTTGTTTTTGTTTTTTGTTTTTTGTTTTTTTTTGGTTCACTTTGAATCAACACACTCCTAGTCCCAAACAACTTGACAGGTTGATTTGCTAAAATGCAAGTGGGAATAATGAGTTGCTGCCTAGGGAAGAAAAAGTGAAATCAATCAATTGTACATGTTAAATGCACATTAATTTGAGGCTGGAATGTCCATTTTATATGGCTCACACACTTATCTAAATCTTGCATCAATAGATGTGGTGATACCAGTAGGCACTCTAAATATACCTACTTGTATTAGTTTTGCTTATCTTGGGGGAATTGTGTGGAATGGAATAGAGGTCAGAGGTGAGTACATGCCAGGAATGTGGTGGCTGGGGTGGAGGTATGGGAGTAGGTGAGGAGAGGAGAAGTTAGGTTTGGAGAAACCACTAGTGGAGTAAAACATTTTATTTACTTAACCTTATCTGGGCAAATCCTAACTTCTTAACTATAGTGATCTTAAAAAAGTAACAATGGAAAATGGTGCCTCAGGGAAAAAGTGAACTCTGCCCAAGTTTTGTATAAACTCTTCTCTAGATCTGCCAGGAAAGCTTTCCAAAAGTTGGAAGCCTTAAGAAGGCTCTACCCATCTTGAGAGCAAATATACAAAGAACCCCCAGTATTAGTTTTGCTGATTGCTCAAGCCACTCTGAGTCCCACAGGGGGCAAAAAAAAAAAAAAAAAAAAAAAAAAGGAAAGGCATCCTCAAATGGAAGTGGGGGGGCTACTTCCTGAAGAGAGCTTTCTCCAAAGTTCTGCTCTGATAGCCTGCTGTTTGAATTGGACCAAGGAGAGAGGCTACATTATCTAGAAGAGTCTGTGTTAGTGCTCCACACTTTAGTAACTTTAAAACGTAAAGCAGCATTTCTCAAAGGGAAGGTCAGGATGACCTTGGGGGCTGAAGGAACTTGTGTGTATGAGAGAAAGATAGTTCAATAAAGGGACTCAGTGGCAAAATATACTTTTCCCTTGCCTGCCCAAGGTCTGCCACAAAAAATGCAGCATTCAGAGGCTCATTTTTCCTCCTCATTCTTCTCTTTTCTTTCCCCTAATTTTGTTTAGAGCCAAGTTCTGTACGTACCCTGAATCTGTTTTTCAGTCCTCTCTTGTCACTGGTTCTGCCAACCTCACCCTGTTAACAAACTCTGACTCTTTGCTTGCCCATGTTCATTTTTCACACTTCCACCTAATGATCTAGCAGCCAGCACATTTGGACTCTCTTTCAACTCCAAGCTCTTATGACAATAATCAACCACAGCCAAAACATCTGTGCTATAACAACATATACCTTCACAGAACATACAAAATTAAGTTGAATGATCAAGGCTTCATAGAAAATTAAGTATCTTCAGCATTAGAGATACAGCTGCCATGGAGTCATCATAAGGCAGGAGGAGGGAGGAGTGGGGCATTTCTTCAAGAGGTGGTACGTAAAGTATACTAGCCAGGGAGACAGGAGACCTAGTCTCAGCTCTACCACCAACTTTCTGTGATCATAAGCAAGTCCCTTTTCTGTATCTCAGTTTCCTTATTTGAAAAAAGAAGAATTATATAGTGAAATCAGAGTTTTTGCAAAGAGGAATACACAAACCACACGGGTAAATCTTTTGTATTCTAATTGTATTGTATGTATTTTATTTTACATTAGCAAAACACTGGTTTTCCATTCCCAGTTTCATTCTGAAATAAATTTATTCAGGTAAACCTGAGAACCAACCTAAAGAAAAGCATTTATTAAAATAATAAATACTACATATAGCAAGAGTTATGCACATTTTGACTTGGATTTGGTGAATGATGGGCTTAAATGTTTCTTACTGGCTCTAGCATCCTGAGTCAATGAAATAATAACTAACACTTTACAGCATTTATTATGTGTCAGGCAAGTGCCAGTGTTCTAAGCACTTCATGTATATTAAATCATGCAATCTTCACAACCTTATGAGGTAGGGATCATTGTTATCTCTATTTTATAGATGAGGCAACTGAGATATAGAGGGGCTAGGAACTTGCCTAAGGTCACACATCTTAAGAGTCAGAGCCAGGATTTGAACTTGGGCTAATTGAATCTAGAGGACACACTCTTTAACAGCCATACCAGTACTTTTCAAAGTGTGGTTCCTGGACCAGGAGCATCAGCATCATTTGGGAGCTTGTTAAAAATGTAAATTATCAGGTACTCACCCCGAGACCTACTGAATCACAAACTCTGGAGGTGGAGTCTAATAATCTTTGTTTTCCAAGCCCAGCAGGTGATTCAGATTTGAGTTTCTTATTCAAATTTGAGTGTATACTAGACTATACTGCACTGTACTACACTATACTGAACCAATGGCAGCAAGTGTGGAATGAGAGGAAAATAATTTGGATGTCAAATTGAGGTAGAGTGAAGGTTTATGCAAGATTGAAGAAGCATGGATACATCTAATAGCAGAAAGGAGGAAGGCAGTTTAAGATTATGGAAACACAAGAGGGGAAGAAAGTAGTTTGGAGGTCCCAAAGGAAAATGAGGATGGTTATCTCTCAAAGAACTGGAAAAGGCAAAGAAAGACGAACCAAGGCAAGAAGTTGAGGGTTTTAATTTTTTGCCTGTATGACAAAACATGAGTAATAGCTTTTAGTGATGGTAGAGGTTTTAAGGAAAGAGGAACTGACCGGGTTTTGAGGAAAGAGATGGTTGATTCAAACAAACTTTGCTGTGAGCCACAACATTGACATGGGTGAAATAATATTTACTTGTAATACTTAAGTTAGAGTAGCAGCTGGAGATTATGATGTTCCAGTGAACCAAGCCCAGTGATTATTAGGGTTTTGTAGCAGTCATGCTTGGATCTCCTGCTTTAGGGAGCATATTTGATCCATGCACTTAGTTGCTGACCCCTTGAGTCCATCACTGCACTTGAGCCAAGGCCACGTGTCCAGTGGGCATTTCTCAGCTAATGACTGTGCATGGTAAGAATACTAAGGTAGACCCATTACTGTGAGACAGAAAACTCCTCTGATCACTGATTCTGGCTTCAGAACTCTATTGGCCTGGCTGAAACTTTCTTAGAACTGTGCTCCAATCTGAGACTCTGCTTGTCCAAACCTCTTTCCTTCCTTCTCTCCTCCACAGAGGTTGGACCTGCCCTGTGGTCGGATAAGTCACACCTCCTCTGGCTCCCTTCCTTTTTTTCTCTCAAAGTCACCTTCCCCCGGAAGATCTCTTGCATATTTAATACGATCTTGGAAGCTGCTCTACAGAGGTACCAAACTAATAAAAGGTTCTTCCCCAATCATGCTTTGCTGTATGAGTGAAGATGTTTACTCTGGAAATATTTCATGGTTGAATGATTTGAGGTTAAGAGTAACGCGTGGGTAATGAGGTAAAGAAGGATAGAAGTGAGGGATAAGATACCTTAAGTTTTGAATAGTCAAAAGGTTTTTGATTCTATATGAAAATAGGGAAGGGAATGGCAGCAAGATCGAGAAAGAAGAATGTTTGTCAGAAGTTGAAGGGGCTAATGTTGGCAGTCAGACTTTCCTTTTTATGAGTGTACACTTATAATGCTCTTCAGGAGGGACCTCCCCCAAGCTAAAAACACCTCTGGGAGAAATAACATTTTAGGAGCCAATAGCTTAAAGGAGATGATCTGCAAAACAGAAGACAGCTTGTTAAGGATGAACTCTGGGGCCTGACTAAAGGAGGAGCTGAGATGATATGAAAAAAACAAACTTTTACAACTTTACCTTTTACACTTTGGCTCTGGTGGAGAGGACACTCACACCCTCTTTTCTGTCAAAGAAACCTGGGTGTCTTACCCACTTCTTCCTAGACCTCAGGATATGGCAAAAGACAAGCCAGTCTTGTAATGAAAACTAGAGGTATAAGTCACTTAGCTAAAGAGTGAGTCTTCCAGTGGAAACTGGGGGATCAGGCCTATCTTACTAATGACTTTGGAAAACTGAGCTGCTTCAAGCACATTGAAATTTAGTTTACTTAAAGGATTATAAGGAACCAACTGCAAAAACAAGATTGGAATCTTTAAGACACAACAAATAGTTAAAAGGAAATAAAAAGGAGGGAAGGTAAACTACCTGAATACAACTTGATCTTCAGTGGGAATGTTCAGCAGCAGGGGAAACCTTAGGATATAAACATGTGTTCTAAACAGAGGCACTGAATATTTGTTTAGAAACAGATGCACCTGCAAATTAAATGATAATGCCATTAACCACAATTATATTCCTCTCCTGAGTGTCCATTTGTAGTAATTATAGTATTTAATAAATAATAATGGTATTTCTCACTTTAGAAATCACTTAACATTTCAAAACTTTAGGTCATAAAAAACAACTTAAAGAACTGGTAACCAAGACTCCTATGTTCCCACTGTTGCCTCTGACTGGAATAGCAGGATTCTCTCCTCTCTATTGAAACTGTGATGGCTAAACTCTTAGATATTGCCTGACAGTGATATCAATGTTAGTACACTTAATAAACACAATTTTGGAATAAGAATAGTCCCTATTGAAGGCATAGACCGTAAGTAAGAGGAGTAAATTATTAGGTGGAGAACAACACATTAACAGAGGCAAACATCCAGAAAGTTGCTCATTATAATAATGGAAACTGCATTTGTTAATCAGAGCTACACATTCCAGCAGACCCTGATAAGCAGCTCCTCTTTCAGTAAGACCCCACAGTTAATCCCATCGTTTAAATTAATGGGCTGCTATTTCTTTCTTCTAATCAGGTGGCACTGGACACAGATGCCTGGAAAACATGTAAGTCTAACTTATGGGAAAATCCACCAAATAATCTATTTGGATATGACCACCCCACAAATAAATAGTTTATCATAGTTTAATAGCCAGGCCTGTCTAGCCTCAATGGTCCAGGCAAGCAGAAATCATTTCCAGTAAACTTAAAAGTGATTATAATCATCTACCAAACATCTAATGTACAAGTACTACTACATGGTGGGCTCAAGGCAGTGTCTTGCGGGATTCTCTCCGAGTTAGGAGGCCGGAATCTAGTCCCACTTTTTGCCACCAACTGTCTGTGTAACCATGGACAATTCCCCATTATTCTTTAAGCCTTGCTCTTCTCATCTATAAAATAAGAGGATTAAGGTTGAGTGCTCTCTAAGGTCCCTTTCAGCTCTAGGACTGTATGTATTTTATTGTGTTTTTATCTCTTACAAATTGATCACAACCACCTGCAAAGATTAGAGAGGGAAAATAACTTTAATCTTAAATGTTGTAATTTAAATGCCCTAGCTGCTTGATGCTAGCTGCCTAAAATGCTGTGTTAAGAATTCTGAGGCTACGTCCAAACTCAGCAGGAAAGAATGCCAAAGACAAATGAAGAGGTGAGAAATGACAATTTTCGTGCGATGGATTTACCATTCCAGATATAGATACTATCACTTGGGAACTGAATCATACTAATTAGAAGCCTCCATTCTAACCAGTTTATGGAGCTAAAGTTTAGTATTTTTTTTTCGGATGCACTAAAACTTATCATGAGTGTCGTATGCTCTCTAAAAAGTATGACAGAAAAGTCTCGACTAGATAAGAAATGCTTATAATTATTTAGCTATAATACTAATATTTAATAATAATACTAATTATTTTCTATATTATTACAATTATTATAAATTTGAAAGCAGAAAAGTCAAGTCCAGAAACAGCATCTATCTACTGGTCCATAGCTGATTTTCAACTCAATGAGTTGCATAATGAGGACCTGTCACTGTTTTTAAGTCAGACAGTTTAATAACTCTCTGCCATCAATGCTATGGGAAATAGATCAACAAACTATTAAATGGAAAAGAAACATTTTGCAAATTAAGTGAATGATATGGTTTGGCTCTGTGTCCCCACCCAAATCTCATATTGTAGCTCCAATAATTCCCTCGTGCTGTGGGAGGGACCCAGTGGGAGATAATTGAATCATGGGGGCGGGTCTTCCCCATGGTGTTCTTGTGATAGTGAATAAGCCTCACGACATCTGATGGTTTTAAAACAGGAGTTTCCCTGCACAAGCTTTGTCTTTCTCTTGTCTGCCACCATGTGAGATGTGCCTTTTTCCTTCCGCCATGATTGTGAGGCCTCCCAGTCACAAGGAACTGTGAATCCAATAAACCTCTTTCTTTTGTAAACTGCCCAGTCTTTATCAGCAGCATGAAAATGGACTAATGCAGTAAACACGTTCTTTTTTGTATGAAAAATGTTTAATGTGGGATGATTGAAGTTGATTCTGTGGAATCTGCTGTGTATGTCTTGGAATGCCCTATGGTGATACTGTTTTCCTAATTTAACATAATGTGGCTAGAAGCATATTAACAGTTTTCAGATAGAAAAAAAGGAAAATTAGTTCAATGACTTGCCACCCCTTTCCACTTTTTAGTGGAATAAATAAAAACTCAGGAGTTGTGCATTTTGAAAACCTCAAGGCATCTACAATATTTGACTGTATCCTACCTTCCACATTGGAGAAAAAGGATTCCCACTGAGCAGTATTTTTCAACTACCTCTTTAATCATCCCCAAATTAGAAGACATCATTAGCACAGACAATGGCCTTCTTCAAGGAGCTGGCCAACACGATTGCTAATCATTTAGCATGGTGCCGCCCTATATGGTAGCCACTAGTTGTGCATAGCTATTAAATTTGAATTAATAAAACAAAATGAAATTTCAATTTCTCAGCCACATTAGCCACATTTTAAATGCTCAATAGCTACATATGGCTAGAGGCTACTGTATTGCACACCATAAATGTAGAATATTTCCTTATTGCAGAAAGTTCTATTGGATGTTACTGCCCTAGAAAGCATAAGTATTATACCTGGAGTGGGTAGGGGTTCCAAGATGGTTTAGAGAAAGCTGCCATGAAGGCTCATCTCTGGAAGAAGTCTTAAAAATTTGAATTCATCTCTCTCATTTTATAGATGAGGAAAATGGGGCTCAGAGAAGGTCACATAGCTAATTTCCAGTAGAGTTGGAACTAGAATCCAGCTTTCCTGCTTCTGTGGCCCCTGCTCATTCCATGATCCTGGTTATATACATAGAGCATTTTCCTAGTTACTCTACTATCCCACAGTCACCTCTCACCAGTATCAGTAGCTCTAAACCATTGGCCAGATGTTTTCATCATCTCCCACAACACACTTGTATTTCAGAGAGAAAATATCAGGAGGACACTGGATCAAGAGGAGGCAGGGGAGGAGTATGTAATTATGCAAGTAAATACCTAGCTCCAGAATTAAGAGTAAACATTCCATCTGATCTATAAATATTTAACCAAAGTCATACATCTGGGCCCCAAGGAAGCAGGTTTGTTCTTGGCATTTACAATTAAAATGGATTAATCCTCTGACACAATGTTAATACTAACCTTTCTTAACTATAAACATGTCCCAGGATACTCTGCAGTGAGTGTAAATGTATAGGAACACATTAGTCACTGGATAACCAACTCTTGGCAAAAACACAATGGTTTATTCTTACAACATGTGGTATTGCATCAGCAAGGGATTTGTTGGGTCCTGTTTTCCATGGGGGTAAAGGAAATGATCTTGTTTACAAGGCTGGTGAGGCTGTCTTCTGGAGGTTCAGCTGCTGGGTCTCATTTGGATGAGTCCAAGGCTGGATTCAAAATTTCTCATGGCAGTTCTAAGATGGTATATTTTCTTTGGCTGCCATTCCTTCCACTACTCTGAACCAGGTGCTAATGTAAGACATTGGGGCTAGAGAGATGAATAGGCCCTAGTTCACTGTCCTCCCATTGCTCCTTAGGATTGACCCTTGAATTCTTGCATTAACATGAAGAGCTGGTCCTCTCAACCTCAGGCTGTATTTGTGAGGTCCTCCAAGACAGTCATGGCTCTTCCTTCCTGAGAGTATTGGAGGGACTTAATGTGTTATTTCTGTTTATATTTAGAAACAGTAATCTGAAGAGGGAATGTTTAAACCAAATACATTAATCACTAATGGTGGAAATTCAAGCATAAGTGAAAAAACTGGGTGTAATTTTTTAAAAATGCATTTTGAAGAAGAAGGAGAGTCCTGCTGAACTCTACCAGTCTCACCACTTCATGACCATCCATGCAAGGCTGATTGTCTGAGGTTGTCTGGCTGTCTTACACGACTAATGTGAGGCAAATAAACATACAGGCAAAGCTTCTAAGAGAAAGAAATTATATCTTTACCAGTTGCTTCAAAAGAGACCAGTAGGACCAATCACGGATTGGTGGTTAAGATGTCTATTTGCCCCTACTAATTCATAGTTGATGGGCCTTGCAAGATTCCAAGTTTAAATACAACTTTGTCTTTACAAAGCCTCTGTCTCTTAAGACCATCAGTTGTCCTACATTTCATTTGATTATTTTTTTAAAAATAAACAAACCCTCATCAAAAACCTTTCTTTAGACTAGTAGAAGATATTGGAATCTACATTTCACAAACATTAAGGTACATTCCATAACCATTTGTTTAAAAGCATGGGTGAGTGATTGCAGCCAATGTTTACTAAGTCCAGGATAATTCATGAGACCACCACAAACATCATGAATGACAGATTCTGGTTGTAAACAAGGTTCAGGGAACAGAAGCAGTTCTACCATCTAATATCAAGCTGAAGCTACTAGACTAACTCAGGGACTAAATCTATAGACAAAGAACAATAAAATCTTTCTGATGAGGTCCCCAAATGAGATTCCTGTGCTCCACTTCTTAGACCAGTGATTCTCAGTTTTACCTACACATTCGAATCATCCAGATTCCACCCTAGAGATTCCAATTTAATTGATGAACTTAGGCATTGGTGTTTTAAAAAAGTTTCCAAGGGGATACCAATGTACAGTTAGGGTTGAAAACTTTTGTCCTAGAGTACAAGGTTCTGCTCAAAGTTCTCATTCATTTGAGGCATTGAGAATAGCTTAGGACCGTGGTTCCCATCAACATCTTCCTGTGTGGTTTTAAAAAATACAGATTCTTGTATTCTACCCCCATACTTCCAAATTAGAATTTTTAGGAGTTGGTCCCAGGAATCCACAATTTTACAAGCTCCTCACATAATTCTTATGAAGCCATCCTGGCAGGTCCTGATTGGAAGAAATGCATTTGGTAACTACTGAATTAAGTCATCTGTATGTCTACAACTGTGCACAGCAGTGGCTCTCAACCTTTGTTGCTCCAATGCCTGATTGCTTGAATCTCACCTCCAGATAATTTAATTTAATTAGTTTGGGGGTAGATCCCAGGTATCAATATTTTTAAATAGCTCTCAGTAATTCTATGTGCAATTAGGTTTGGGAGCCACTGGCTTGGTGCAAGGATGGATAAAAGGTAGCCTGTTTGCTGACCCTCCGTGTTTTCATGTCCATGGCAGACATCAATAATCAATCCCTATAGTGCCCATATGTGGCCTCATAATTCTTCTCACTATATTGTCCTAGGCAGCCACTCCCATGCATTGAGTGGGCATACAACTACTATTTGCTATCTTTATCTTCGATCCAGTCTGGCAGAAAGTTAATGACTTCTAGAGAGTCCTTCCTGGGTTTTGTTTCTAGGGATAGTACTTAAATGTCGAGATTATTGTCTGCCAGGACACTGTTCTGAAGTAGGAGAAGGTAAAAGCCGGAGGTGGGTGCAATAGAGAGATCTATCATCTAGCTACCTCTACTACCCAGTGAAGCACTTTCAGTCCCAGCTTCTGTTAAAAGTAGAAAGCTTTATGCAGAGTAATTTATCTACTGTATACATATTGGGTTAACAGAGGACCTCTGTAAGACCTCCTAACACCAAGTGTACAGGAAAGGCCAAACATGAAAGGAGTTCACTTAATGTTTACCTCAAATCCCTGATGGGATCCTCTATGTTCTTGTTTGTATATCCCAATCTATTTTCCATAAACATTCTACCTTATAGAAGCCTGTCTTATCATGGACTAATACCGAGTTCACTGAACCTTTCTCCTAGGCCATGGTATGCAGGAGAGCGCTTGAGCTTCAGAATTAAACTTGTCTCTTGCTGTGCTACTTCCTGCTTTGGAGGAGAAGAGCCAAGTGAGCCAGAAGTTTCAGCAGTTTCTTCTGTACTTGATAATTAATATGGTATGTGGGGAAAGAAGAAAGAACATGGTTTTTTTCTTCTAAAAAAGGGCTTCTTTCCCTGGGGCCTGTTGTTTCAACAAGTGCAGAACAAAGAACTGCAGGGAGACAGAGTTTTTGCCTCTTGGTAACCTACAAAGAAGCATCTTTAAAGGCAACAGATCGTAATTCTAATAGGACTGGAGAGGTAAGTGCACATTAAGCATGCCAAGGATCCTGAAGTCTGCAAATGAGGAAAACTCTGTGAGGAACAAGCAGCCTAGAATTAAGGGAAAGAGCATGGGCTTTGGAGGCAGAATATGTTGAATCACTCCATCACTTACTAGCTGTGTGACACTGAGCAAATTACTTAACCTCTCTTAACCTCAGCTTTCTTATCTACAAAATAGGGGATTACAATAGTACCTTCCTCATAGGCTAGAAGAAAGGATTAAATTAGGTAATGTCTTTCTATAAAGCTTCTTAGATCAGTACCTGGCAAACAAACAGTAACCATCAGTGGTACTTGATATTATTATTTGAGAGGTCCCTATACTGCTTTGACATCCCATTCAAAATCCATATTAGCCTTCTTCAAAAGATGATTCCTGGACATTCAGCATCATAATGATCTAGGGGGGGCTTGTTAAAATGCAGATTCTGGATCTAAAGAATCATAATTGGGTTTGGGTTTGAAAATCAGGCATTCTAGTTGGAGGAGAGTGACAGCAAACAATTTAAAAACTTGTGACTAAAAGACTATTAATTCATTGATTCATTCACCTATTCAGTTTTTTTTTTTGACAAACATGGAACTTATATCTAGAGGAAGACAAAAACTCTAAATAATTACAAGTTATTAAGTACTACAAATAAATGCCTGGGGCTGCAAAGATACATGGTGCTAAGGGATTACGTGTCTGAGGGAGGCTAGTATCTAAGGAGGTCTAATACAAGGGTAACTTTTACAGTAAGTCATATTCAAGTTGTGAACTGTTGGGTGAGGAAGCCAAGTGGAGAGGGTAGAGGTGGGAGTGGACAAAGAAACAGTTGATGAAACACTATTTCAGGAAGACGAAATAGTGTGTTCAAGGTCCAGAGGATAAAGAGAACATGGCAATGTTTGAAGATATCAGAATGGCTGCTGAGGATAGAGAGAGAGATAATGGCACGGGATGAAGTTGGAAGAGAAAGACAGGGCTACCAGATCATGAAGACCTAGAGTGCTATGATGAAGAGTTTGGACTTTATCCTGAAGGAAGTGGGAAACCACTGAAGGGATATCTGGTCAGGAAAATGTCAAAATGCAGATGACATACATAAAAAAAAACAGAACAAAACAACACAGTAAATAATAAGGGATATTAATGCATGACTCAGAACTATATGTACTATAGAGGCAAAGGTGAGCAGCTAGGGCTGGGGAGGGCATCCTTGGAGGCAGACATAAGCTGCATTTGATAACTGGGAGAGACTTTGGTTTGATGAGGTGGTTTATTTTGAATGCAAGAAAATATATGAGTGCAGTGGAAAGCTTGAAGTGAACTTGGCTTAAAATGAACCTTGGGAAGATAGAGCATGAGGGAAGAGTGCTTCCTTTTCCTTGGTGGAAATATCTGTTTTGCTGCTATTTTGATGTTGGAAGACTGTGCTGACAGAATTTCAGAAAATCACTTGGTGGGATGGGGAAATAGGTGAAAGAGCAGATGCCAGAGTCACAATCACAGGCCAACTGAGGGAAAGGACTAAAGGAAGAATGGAGCTAGTAATGCTTAAATCTTCTGTTTTACAAAAGATCAAAAAACCCCCAAACACTGCAGGTGTTCCTCAGTCCTGAAATATAAAGGTATTGCGGCTATTTTCACTATTATCTTTCCTGAAATATAAAGATATTCAGGCTATTTTCACTATTATCTTTCTCATTTCAAAACGTGTACTTGGGCAAAACCTGAAAGCTCAATAAAGACATGCCCTATGTCTATGCTGTTCACTAATGGTAATTTGTTCATTGGTGGTAATTTGTTATATGCTATAAATAGCATATAATATGTAAGTATAGAATTCTGAAACAGAATATATTTAAGCATTACTATAAACAGCATATAACAATAATTTGCTGAAGCATTTAGCATATTGCCTGGCAAATGGTATGGACTTAATGAACATGGTGCTACTAAGATTAGACCCAGATATTAGTGTAAATCCTATGTTTAGGGCATGTGAAAGCATGAAGAGCCTAGATATCCTGTGAGTACATTTGGAATAGGGATTTAGGGATAGGATTTTTTGTCATCAACTTGACTCAACCTCTGTATTAGCTTCCTATTGCTGCTATAACAAATTATCACAAACCTGGGCTTAAAACCAGACAAAAGAAATTTATTTATTATCTTACTATTCTTTAGGTCACAAGTCTGAAATGGATGTCGCTGGGCTAAAGTCAAGCTATTGGCAGAATGGCATTTCTTTTTGGAGGCCCTAGGGGGAAATCCATTCCTTTGTATTTTCTAGCTTCTAGGGCCTGCCTGTATCCCTTGACTTGTGGCCTCTTCCTCCATTTTCAAAGCCAGCACCATCAGGGTAAGTCTTTGTCACCTAACACCATTCTGACACACTGTCTTCAGCTTACCTCCTCCACTTATAAGCACCCTTGTGATTACATTGGGACCATCCAGATGATCCAGGATAATCTCCTCAACTCAAGTTTATCTGATTAGCAACCTTAATTCCATCTGCAACCTTAATTGCCCCCTGCCAATAACATGATATATCTCCAGGTTCTGGGGATTAGGAATGTGGACATCTTTGAGAAGGGGAAGCATTATTCTGCCTACCACAAGCTCCAATCCATAAATCGGTAAATACATTCTACTGGACTGTGCTCCCTTCTTGTAAGCCCACAGCACGTAAAGTACTTAACATAGAACATTGACTATACAGTAGAAGCTTTCTTGAATAGCCCTTAGAGTAAGTGATAATTTGTTAAAGTGAGGAATCATATAAAACAATACAGACACACATGTACATACATACACACATGTATATACATACATAAAACATTTTATTTCAACCTAAAACACACAAAGGTACATTCATTCACCACTCTGGTGATGTGTTGTAAGGCCAAGGCCTTTTCTTTGAGCGTGAGGCCACACCCTGGGATTTCACAGACTCTTTTTCACGTAAGTTACATTCCTAATGCATCACATTTGATTTCCACTTTCAGTTTTGTTTTATTTTTAACAATATGGCAGTTTTCAAAAGCAACTTTTCTTTAGTAAGTCTTTCCAAAGCATTGAACTTAGTTTTCATGAAAATAATAGTTTTCTTTTTATACTCATATTTCACAAATTTACATTAAATTACCTACTTGTAATAACGAGTACAACTGCCATAAATGGGCTTGGCAAAAACACAGCTAACTTTTGGTAAGTGATCAACTTGTTGTGTGGAAGCAGAAATATAAGTGTTCACCAGAAGTAACTTACCTGCCCATGAGCTTCCATTGTGCCCTGAGCATTGGCCAGTGTATATTCCAATAGGAAGGAAAAACATCGACTTACTCCATAAAGGAAGTTAAGCAGAGGCCAGGGAGGAGGGCTTTTACTGTATTTAAAATGGTTCATTTAAAAAGGAACAATCAATAGATGCCATAGTCTGAATTTACTATTGTAATCAATTCTTTCTTGAAATTGCCCCCAAATGTGCATCAGCTAATATTAATAATGACTAATATTTATTTACTGCTATGTGTTCAGCACTGTGCCAAGCACTTTATAAACACTGTTTTATTAATCCTCACAACAACCATATGAGGGAGGATGTATTATGCCCATTTTGTATATGAGACAGCTAAGACTTAGAGTTTAGAAATTTGCCAAATGGCACATATCAATAGAGATTCAGGCCCAGGTACTCTAGAGCCCACAACTGTGCCAATACTATGTTGCCAACCATCAGGCAAAACAGTCATGAGTCATAGCACGTGGTGTCACACTGCCAGCTGCCTCCTTGCTTCCTCTCCACAATCCAATGATAGATTGTTCCAAAGCAGGGGCAAGAATATCCATGGCAGTGCCCTTAGTCAGACTTCTTTGCTTCCTCATCTCCTCTGACATGGTAGTTGTACGGCTCTTTCTCCCGAGCAATGAGCCAGCATGACATTTGAGGGCCAAACGCAGACATTGTTTGAATTTATTGAGGTTCTTTATCAGCAGCAGCTATTTTTTCTCCAGCAGCAACTTTTTTTACAATCTTATCCCTATTTATTTTCCCTCTGGATTTAGCTGTCATCTCTGAAGGCTTAAGGGCAATGATCATTCTTTCTTGGTTCTACCATCATAGAGGCCACTTGCTTATCTTCTGCCTCCAGAAATCACTGCAAGTAATCTGTCTTCCAGTCTTCCATAGAAGTATGGGGAAAGAGAACATCAGAACTCAGCCTCCTTGCTGTGGCTGAGCCACATTACCCCTTAGAATCAAAAGAGATTAGGCAGAACCTCACTGAAATGGTAGAGCCGGCCAGCCATATCATTCAGTAGCTGCAAGTTGTGCTGCAGACAAAAAAAAAATAATAGATCAGGAAAGCAAACTGTGCCAATGAAAAGGAAGGGACTTTCGGAGCCTGCACTCATGAGGACATTTGTCTAGAAGGTTCGTGAGAGCAAAGCACACTGTCAGTGCAGATCAGCTGGAAACCTAGAGGAGGTAAATTTAAGATCCAATGATATTTTCTACCTGTAGGATGCTGGAGGCCAGATTTAAGAGTGCAAATGTACTGAAAACCAGAGGCATAGAGTTGCCATGGAGACTCACACCTGAAAAAATCTCACAGATAATGACTTGAGATCTCAGAGATACTAGCTCAAATCTTTTCAAGCTAGATTTGAGCAACTCGGTCTAAAATTTGACTCAGACCAGACTGGGCAGGATGGGGCAGATTCACAATTCAAGGGCCATTGAAGGAACTCTACAAAGGCAGTCAGGGAAGGGCTAACAGAAAACTAGCTCAGACCTATTAACATTTAAGTGAAGCTCAGTGTCAGTAATAAGCATGTTGACACATTTCAGATGATTACAATACTCCCATTCTTCAAAGAACTATAGTATTTTGGTGTTTGAGGCCATTCTGGTTCAATTATCATGTGACGTTTGGATTTTCTTTTAAAAATCAATTTTTATTAAAAATAGAGAGACTGGTATGTATGTTTCAGGGGTGGAAGAATTTGTGTTTTAGTAGGGGAACTTTAACCAACCCCTACCTCAAACAGGTTCAAATGGAAGAGTAGGTGACAACTATGAAGGAGGCAAATGGGCCAAAACCCAGGGACATAAGATAAAAAGAAAAAAGGAGCAGGCCACAAGGAGTCATCCTTGGAGTTGTCCTTTGGAGCCATGGGCCTTTAACTAGTTCATACAGCCTCTTATGGAATCTTGGAATTCAGTGTGGCAAAAAGCAGAGAAGTCTTGAGAGTAGGGTTTGCATTCCAGCACTGTCCAAATTTTCTGTGTTACCTTGAACAAATAATTTCAGCTTTCTGAGTCTCAGGTTTCTCATCTGTAAAATGGAAACTGTCATACCTGCCCCTTCTAAGTGTGGCAAATTGCATTACTGCCCCCAATTCTTTGCCCCCTACTCTATCCATGTCATTTGGCTCATTCCTTCCATAAAAGAGGTGGAGTATATTTCCCATTCATTGACTCTGGGTTCAATCATGTAACTTGCTTTAGCAGATAGGATGATATGGAAGAAAACAGTGAGCCAGTTACAAGCTTATGCTTTAAGAGGCATTCTATGTTTTTGTTTGCTCTTGCATGTCAGCTGTAACCATGAAAAGAATCTGCCCAGGCAAGCCCACTGGTCCTAGGAAGAGAAGGAGGAACACATGCAGCAGAGCCACTCCCAGCCTAGATCAGGTAACCTGGACTAATGACTGAGCCCAGTCCAGACTGACTGATGCCCAGCAAACCCGCAGACTGGTGAGAAGTAATTGTCTGAAGCCACTGGGTTTTGGAGTGGGTTGTTACATGGTGACAGCTAATTGATACATTAACTCATAGAGGTGGTATGAATCTTAAATGTGTTAAAGAATGAGTCCTTTTTCAAATTTTCAAACCTTTTTTCAAAGGTTTACACAAAAAACTGTACAAATTATTGTTCTAAGAGTGGGTAAGTAACTTAAAGGCCTGGAATGCTAAAGTAAAGTAGAATTAGGTCATATTTGGTTCCTGTAGGTTTTAATTGAAAGAGTTCCCTTTCAATTAAAATTAGGGGCACTAAGTCCCGAGGATCCATCCCAATGACCTCATCTCAAAGCTATGGTTGCCCATGAGTTCCTGTTCAGGCACTTGAGAAAAGGCAACGCGGCTTAGAGCAAAAGGAGATAGTAAGGATGGTTTAATGAGAAGACTTTCAGACCTCTTCAGACGATGGAGCAGGATGCCAACAGCTCTTTACTCTGTTTATTCAAATACTTGTTCTATTCATTAAATCAGCCATAAAATTTGTCAGCGTTGGTGAAGTCTTGTGGGCTGTGGCCGGCAAGTTTGCTGGGCAATAATTCTGCCAGCTCTCTTCCAAGCAACTGTTTCTGAGAGCTCCAAAAGCTAAACACAGGAAAACCACACCAGCCACAAGCTTCATTAACCAATAAACTCTTGATGGAAAGCAGGATCTCACACCATTGTTTGTGGTACAAGACTCCCCCAAGGGAGAGGGACAGTGGTACTTAAAAATCCCATTGGGCTGACTAAAGATGATCCTATGCTTCACAATTTACTTCAAAATTTGTGTCAGGCCAGTATTTCCACTGATAAAATAAATATCAGAAAGGATATTTAGAAAATCTTGGCAAGAAAAGTATAAGTAAATATGAGTGCAGGCAGGGGTATTTTAAGAAATAATATTAAATGGATTCAGTCAGATGAAGAGTAAATAATTTACAGTCCTAAGGATTCAGAGCAGACTCAGCCATAAAAGGGAGGGAGGAACAACCATCTGCTGCTCCAGGTATGAGTGACCAGCTTACATGTCACATGCCAAGGCCTGAACCCCAGCGAAAAACACAAATCATAACCAGATATGGACCTAGAAAGTTCTACCTTGGGGGTCTATAAAGGGAAAAAAATCATACTCTATTGGCGGTTGTGATTGTTCTCACTTCATGCAATAGTCCAAAGGAAGTTCTCTCTTTTACAGTGAGGGAGAAAGAAGCAAACTACTTTTAACTACTATATTTACACCATGTTTCTCTTGTGAAATCCATTCCTCATCCAGCTACCCTGGGCAAGAGAGAGTCTACAGTGGATGTATTTCCTGTATTATCCAGCTGCCTTCGGGTATACACAATAACATCTGAAAGCTAATTAACCAGTTTACCCTTCCTCTAACCAAAATGCCAAAATCAAATTCCTTATTACCTTTGTACCAAGCCCAAGTGCAACCCCTGTCATCTTTCACTCCCATATCCAATAGGTCTTTCACATTTGCTTTTTTTTCAGGTCCATCTCCAGATCTGTCCTGCCCCTCTCTGTTTCCATTGCTCTGCCCTAGTCTAGGCTCTGTTCCCTCATGATTTGCTTACTGTAACAGCCTATAAACTTCCTGGCCTCTAGGTTTTCTCTAACTTTTCTTTATATTGCACTCAGGTCATCTTGCTGAGCTACTGTTTAGAAAAATCAGTTCGTTCTCATTCTTTTAAAGGAATATGAATGACTCTTGGTTTCCTATGGCATCAAAGCCTCTGTGTAGCAGCCTTATTACTCGAACTTCACTCACTGTGTCAACCCACTTCAGGCTGGTACCTAGAACACTGATTCTCACTTTTGAGACTTTACTCAAACCACTTCCTTTGCCTAAAATGTTCCTTGAGACCTCCTCAACAATCCTGTCACTCCATGTATGCATAGCCAGCCTCAAATTTCTATCTCCCCATGAAAATTCTCTTCATAATAAAAATGAGATGAGTGGAAATTTAATTAAAACCAAGCAATCAACCAACAAAACAAACAACAACAACAACAAAAGCGAGATAAGCAGTAGGATTCCCAGTCTTCTTACTGTTTGGTTATCAGTGGCTTCTCCAGAAATGCTTTTTTTTTTTAACCCATCTCTCATTTTTTATTTCAGTAGGACAACTTTAATTCGAGATAGCACTCTCTACTTCTATCTGCCAATGGTTATCAACCTCGGCTTTGCATTAGAGTCATCTGGGGAGATTTAAAATACCAGATTCCCAGGTTGTATCTCAGATTAATTAAAGTAAAATATCTATGAGTAGTGAGTTCTAGGTGTCTGTATTTTATTTTATATATATTTTTTACTTTCTTTTTTATTTATTTTTATTATTATTATACTTTAAGTTCTAGGGTACATGTGCACAACTTGCAGGTTTGTTACATATGTATACATGTGCCATGTTGGTGTGCTGCACCCACTAACTCGTCATTTACATTAGGTATATCTCCTAATGCTATCCCTCCCCGCTCCCTCCACCCCACGACAGGCCCCGGTGTGTGACGTTCCCCATCCTGTGTCCAAGTGTTCTCAACCCCATCTAAAAGTGGGCGAAGGATATGAACAGACACTTCTCAAAAGAAGACATTTATGCAGCCAACAGACACATGAAAAAATGCTCATCATCACTGGCCATCAGAGAAATGCAAATCAAAACCACAATGAGATACTATCTCACACCAGTTAGAATGGTGATCATTAAAAAGTCAGGAAACAGCAGGTGCTGGAGAGGATGTGGAGAAATAGGAACACTTTTACACTGTTGGTGGGACTGTAAACTAGTTCAACCATTGTGGAAGACAGTGTGGCGATTCCTCAAGGATCTAGAACTAGAAATACCATTTGACCCAGCCATCCCATTACTGGGTATATACCCAAAGGATTATAAATCATGCTACTATAAAGACACATGCACACGTATGTTTATTGCAGCACTACTCACAATAGCAAAGACTTGGAACCAACCCAAATGTCCATCAATGATAGACTGGATTAAGAAAATATGGTACATATACACCATGGAATACTATGCAGCCATAAAAAGGGATGAGTTCATGTCCTTTGTAGGGACATGGATGAAGCTGGTATCTGTATTTTAAAAGTGTTTCTAGGTGATTCCAAGGCTGAGTACCATGGATCCAGATGATCTCTATAATCTCCTGCCATGTTTTCTCACGTGTCCCACATTTTACTGCTGTTTCAAATCTCAGCTTCAATTGTTCCATTCCTTTACTCAAAATCTTTCAATGGCATGGAGATATACATGCTAATATTAAGTGGGAACACATAGGTTAGAGAAAGATAGAGTATGTTTATATATAATTTTTTTTCATGTGTACTAGTTTTCTATGGCTGTGTAACAGATTTCCATGAACTTAGCAGCTTAAAACAACACAAATTTATTGTCACAGTTTCCATGAACAGGAAGTGTGAACATGTTTTAGCTGGGCCCTCTGCTTAGGAACTCTCACTGTCCTGAAATGTAGGTTTTATTATTAATTAGGTATGATGAGGTCTACAGAGCAAGAGATAAGTGCCACTGAAAAGCTGTTTTGTTGCTCACAGTTAAGAGGAGGGAGCTTGCCATGCTACATGGGGCTACATGGGGAAGCACCAGGGTCAGTCAGGAAGCAGAAGAAGTGAGGAGAAAGCATGGCCCAGAGCCTTTATTGTGGTTTCCATGGGAAAGGCAAGGCAGGATAAGCATGTTTTGGATTGGCTAGCTTGAATGATTTCAGTGGGTCTTGGGTATAAGGATGGTCTCTAGTTTCCTGGTTACTGGCTCTGCGATGATCAGGGCAGAAGAATATTGCCTTCTGGTATGTAAGAACCAGACGCAGGAGGTGGTTCAGAGTGTGGGCTCTGGGTTAGTTGGCTTACATATGAAATACATGGTCTTAGGCAAGTTATTTGCTGTCTCTAAGATACAGCTAGCCGTGGAGAATCTCTTCCCATTCAGTGAAGCTCCAGAGGCCAGAGCATCAGGAATACAGAAAATAAGAAAATATAGTTAATACACTCAACTGGCTAAAATTGTAGTATCAGCCAGGACTGTGACCCAAGCTCATTGGTTGTTTGAAAAATTAAGTTCCATGTGGTTTTAGGACCAGGGTCCTTGTTTTCTTGTTGGCTGCCTGTTGGGAGTGAGTCTTAGTTCCTAGAAGCTACTCTCAGGTCCCAGCCACATGGCCCTCTCACAGCATGAAGATTTTTCTTCAAAGCCAGCTGGACATTTTTCTATAATATAATCATGGGAATGACTATTCTAGCACCTTTGCCATGTAACATAACTTAATCAGGAGAGCAATATCCCATCATATTCACAGGTCCCACCCACACTCAAGAGGAGGGAATTATACAGGTCATATAGGCGGGGGTGGGAGTCTTAGAATCTTGTCTTCCATAGCACAGAATTATTTTATATTAATATATTTTAATAAGAAAGAAATCTAGGGGTATATACATTAGGATGTTAACACTAATCATCCCTGCTTTCAAGTGGTATTCTATTTTGAAATTTTATAGTTTTTATTCTATAAAGCACTTGTATTACTTGGGAGGAAAGGAAGAAAAATGGAAATGAAGGAAGGGAAGAAAAGGTAAATAAGGAAGAAAGGAAGAACCTTCTATTGCTTCCAAAACTAAGCATAGTTCATTCTATCAAAACAGTTTCTCCATAAGATACTTTCAACTATGTTCAAGGAATTATCTACCAATACCTCCTTCAAGCAATCCTATATTCAAGACAAGCCAAGTACCCTGGCCCATATTTATCCTGTGTTTTCCTATCTGTATGGCACACTCAAATTACTCCACTGCTTCGTTTCTGTTAAAATCCTATGCATCCCACAAAGCCCATTGCTCTATCCTGTATGAGTTAATTCTTGATTCCACCAGCCATGAGGTGTTTCCTCTTGCTTTTGAAATCCCTGAGCAATAGAGTATAGAGGTTAAGCTCCCAAATTCTAGAGTCATATTACCTAGTTTCTATTCTTGGCTCTTGCCACATTCTAACTGGGCAATTGGGGTAAACTGTTTAACCTTTAATAAATCAGGATCACTGCTCAAAGGAGATAAAGCAATTGAAAGAAGAGGGGATGCAATGTATAATCTAAGGGGGAATTAGCAGAGTACAAACACTGGAATTGAAGTCTCCAAGGCCGAAACCCAAATGAAAGCACATATGCCTTCAGGAGGAAATCAATCGTGTGGGACTGAGATTGGCATACGGGTGCACATGAGTAGAGCTTTGAAGTTCAAGCCCAAAATGTAACCTTTGCCTTGGAAAATTCCCCAGCCAAAGTCACAGACACTAAACAGGAAGCACATACTCTATGAAAGCAGGCAATGCCATCCATGATGTCTTCCAGGCCATTTCTCTAAAACAGAAGGTTCCTCCTGTTTAGATCTCTTTGTAGCAATGTATACAAATGTTAGTTCCAAGTGAGGAAATTTCATTCGTGATTTCTCAAGAATGGAATTTATCCAAGAAAAACAACCATCCCTTATGACAATTATCTCCCTCATTTATGCCAGTCAGATTATGAGAGGCAAAGCAAAGAATTGTATTTTCCAGACCTATGTCTTAAACAAGCCCTAATACCACATCTTCTTTTTAGCACTTTGTTCTGGCAGAGTAGGGCACAGACCTTGCCAAAGCATGCCAAGCTCTCTGGCAAGTTAAGGCTGTTCCTTGATCCCACCAACTGACATGAAATTGACATTTAGCTGGTAAACCAGGTAAACTTTGGACCTGGATTCTGATTCACAGATTCTCATTGTCTTTGCTTATAGAATAATTGGGAGCCACAAAGCTAGAAGATAGGCACTTTATGTTCCAAAGAAATAGTTATAGTATTAAGTTCTACCATTTATTTAGCACCTACTATGTCCCAGATACTTTGCATGTGTGATCTAGATTAATCCTCACAACAACTCTACCAGCTAGGTACTCTTATCCCCTGTGAAAGATGAGGACATTTGAGGGCAGCAAAATGGAAGGCTAAACTACATCCCTTACTGATCTCTCCTTTTTTTGACCTCCTAGAGTAATGCAGACCTGAGCACCTGGCTCAGGATAACCAAAGGCAACTTCTTCCTGCTCCTAAGGCAGGTGGCTCTTCCTAAGGCAGCAAGCCACTCTGCCATTTTAAAGGTGTTTGCTGCTTGGCTGCTAGGTGGCATGGGGAAGTGGATCACTAGAATCAGGATACTGAGGATTTCAACCTTTAATTGGCTATGTACCTCAAACATTCCCTTACTTTCTGGGGCTCTGTTTCTTCATCTGTATCATGAGAAAGCTGGACTAGATTAATAACATGGAAATTTTCGAAAGCAATGGAACCTTTGTCCAAACAAAATCTTAGAGAATTTCAAAGAAGTACCACTGGTTGAAAGGTATAGAGGCGAAGATGGCCGAATAGGAACAGCTCTGGTCTACAGCTCCCAGCGTGAGCGATGCAGAAGACGGGTGATTTCTGCATTTCCATCTGAGGTACCAGGTTCATCTCACTAGGGAGTGCCAGACAGTGGGCGCAGGACAGTGGGTGCACAAGCCGAAGCAGGGCGAGGCATTGCCTCACTCGGGAAGCGTAAGGGGTCAGGGAGTTCCCTTTCCTAGCCAAAGAAAGGGGTGACAGACGGCACCTGGAAAATCGGGTCACTCCCACCCCAATACTGCGCTTTTCCGGTGGGCTTAAAAAACGGCGCACCAGGAGATTATATCCCGCACATGGCTCAGAGGGTCCTACGCCCATGGAGTCTCGCTGATTGCTAGCAGAGCAGTCTGTGATCAAACCGCAAGGTGGCAGCGAGGCTGGGGGATGGGTGCCCACCATTGCCCAGGCTTGCTTAGGTAAACAAAGCAGCCCTGAAGCTCGAACTGGGTGGAGCCCACCACAGCTCAAGGAGGCCTGCCTGCCTCTGTAGGCTCCACCTCTGGGGGCAGGGCACAAACAAACAAAAAGACAGCAGTAACCTCTGCAGACTTAAACGTCCCTGTCTGACAGCTTTGAAGAGAGCAGTGGTTCTCCCAGCACGCAGCTGGAGATCTGAGAACGGGCAGACTGCCTCCTCAAGTGGGTCCCTGACCCCTGACCCCCGAGCAGCCTAACTGGAAGGCACCCCCCAGCAGGGGCAGACTGACACCTCACATGGCCGGGTACTCCTCTGAGACAAAACTTCCAGAGGAACGATCAGACAGCAGCATTCGCGGTTCACGAAAATCCGCTGTTCTGCAGCCACCGCTGCTGGTACCCAGGCAAGCAGTGTCTGGAGTAGACCTCTAGCAAACTCCAGCAGACCTGCAGCTGAGGGTCCTGTCTGTTAGAAGGAAAACTAACAAACAGAAAGGACATCCACACCAAAATCCCATCTGTACATCACCATCATCAAAGACCAAAAATAGATAAAACCACAAAGATGGGGAAAAAACAGAGCAGAAAAACTGGAAACTCTAAAAAGCAGAGCGCCTCTCCTCCTCCAAAGGAACGCAGCTCCTCACCAGCAACAGAACAAAGCTGGACGGAGAATGCCTTTGACGAGTTGAGAGAAGAAGGCTTCAGACGATCAAACTACTCCGAGCTACAGGAGGAAATTCAAACCAAAGGCAAAGAAGTTGAAAACTTTGAAAAAAATTTAGACGAAAGTATAACTAGAATAATCAATACAGAGAAGTGCTTAAAGGAGCTGATGGAGATGAAAGCCAAGGCTCAAGAACTACATGAAGAGTGCAGAAGCCTCAGGAGCCGATGCAATCAACTGGAAGAAAGGGTATCAGTGATGGAAGATGAAATGAATGAAATGAAGCAAGAAGGGAAGTTTAGAGAAAAAAGAATAAAAAGAAACAAACAAAGCCTCCAAGAAATATGGGACTATGTGAAAAGACCAAATCTATGTCTGATTGGTGTACCTGAAAGTGACGGGGAGAATGCAACCACGTTGGAAAACACTCTGCAGGATATTATCCAGGAGAACTACCCCAATCTAGCAAGGCAGGCCAACATTCAGATTCAGGAAATACAGAGAATGCCACAAAGATACTCCTCGAGAAGAGCAACTCCAAGACACATAATTGTCAGATTCACCAAAGTTGAAATGAAGGAAAAAATGTTAAGGGCAGCCAGAGAGAAAGGTCGGGTTACCCACAAAGGGAAGCCCATCAGACTAACAGCGGATCTCTCGGCAGAAACTCTACAAGCCAGAAGAGAGTGGGGGCCAATATTCAACATTCTTAAAGAAAAGAATTTTCAATCCAGAATTTCATATCCAGCCAAACTAAGCTTCATAAGTGAAGGAGAAATAAAATCCTTTACAGACAAGCAAATGCTGAGAGATTTTGTCACCACCAGGCCTGCCCTACAAGAGATCCTGAAGGAAGCACTAAACACGGAAAGGAACAACCGGTACCAGCCACTGCAAAAACATGCCAAATTGTAAAGACCATCGAGGCTAGGAAGAAACTGCATCAACTAACTAGCAAAATAACCAGCTAACATCATCATGACAGGATCAAATTCACACATAACAATATTAACCTTAAATGTAAATGAACTAAATGCTCCAATTAAAAGACACAGACTGGCAAGTTGGATAAAGAGCCAAGACCCATCAGTGTGCTGTATTCAGGAAACCCATCTCACGTGCAGAGACACACATAGGCTCAAAATAAAAGGATGGAGGAAGATCTACCAAGCCAATGGAAAACAAAAAAAGGCAGGGGTTGCAATCCTAGTCTCTGATAAAACACACTTTAAACCAACAAAGATCAAAAGAGACAAAGAAGGCCATTACATATTGGTAAAGGGATCAATTCAACAAGAAGAGCTAACTATCCTAAATATATATGCACCCAATACAGGAGCACCCAGATTCATAAGGCAAGTCCTGAGTGACCTACAAAGAGACTTAGATTCCCACACAAAAATAATGGGAGACTTTAACATCCCACTGTCAACATTAGACAGATCAACGAGACAGAGAGTTAATAAGGATACCCAGGAATTGAACTCAGCTCTGCACCAAGTGGACCTGATAGACATCTACAGAATTCTCCACCCCAAATCAACAGAAAATACATTTTTTTCAGCACCACACCACACCTATTCCAAAATTGACCACATAGTTGGAAGTAAAGCACTCCTCAGCAAATGTAAAAGATCAGAAATTATAACAAACTATCTCTCAGACCACAGTGCAATCAAACTAGAACTCAGGATTAAGAAACTCAATCAAAACCGCACAACTACATGGAAACTGAACAACCTGCTCCTGAATGACTTCTGGGTACACAACGAAATGAAGGCAGAATTAAAGATGTTCTTTGAAACCAATGAGAACAAAGACACAACATACCAGAATCTCTGGGACACATTCAAAGCACTGTGTAGAGGGAAATTTATAGCACTAAATGCCCACAGGAGAAAGCAGGAAAGATCCAAAATTGACACCCTGAGATCACAATTAAAAGAACTAGAAAAGCAAGAGCAAACACATTCAAAAGCTAGCAGAAGGCAAGAAATAACTAAAATCAGAGCAGAAATGAAGGAAATAGAGACACAAAAAACCCTTCAAAAAATTAACGAATCCAAGAGCTGGTTTTTTGAAAGGATCAACAAAATTGATAGACCGCTAGCAAGACTAATAAAGAAGAAAAGAGAGAAGAATCAAATAGACGCAATAAAAAATGATAAAGGGGATATCACCACCGATCCCACAGAAATACAAACTACCATCAGAGAATACTACAAACACCTCTACGCAAATAAACTAGAAAATCTAGAAGAAATGAATAAAGTCCTCGACACATACACCCTCCCAAGACTAAACCAGGAAGAAGTTGAATCTCTGAATAGACCAATAACAGGCTCTGAAATTGTGGCAATAATCAATAGCTTACTGACCAAAAAGAGTCCAGGACCAGATAGATTCACAGCCGAATTCTACCAGAGGTACAAGGAGGAACTGGTACCATTCCTTCTGAAACTATTCCAGTCAATAGAAAAAGACGGAATCCTCCCTAACTCATTTTATGAGGCTAGCATCATCCTGATACCAAAGCCGGGCAGAGACACAACCAAAAAAGAGAATTTTAGACCAATATCCTTGATGAACATTGATGCAAAAATCCTCAATAAAATACTGGCAAACCGAATCCAGCAGCACATCGAAAAGCTTATCCACCATGATCAAGTGGGCTTCATCCCTGGGATGCAAGGCTGGTTCAACATACACAAATCAATAAATGTAATCCAGCATATAAACAGAACCAAAGACAAAAACCACATGATTACCTCAACAGATGCAGAAAAGGCCTTTGACAAAATTCAACAACCCTTCAGGCTAAAAACTCTCAATAAATTAGGTGTTGATTGGACGTATCTCAAAATAATAAGAGCTATCTATGACAAACCCACAGCCAATATCATACTGAATGGGCAAAAACTGGAAGCATTCCCTTTGAAAACTGGCACAAGACAGGGATGCCCTCTCTCACCACTCCTATTCAACATAGTGTTGGAAGTTCTGGCCAGGGCAATTAGGCAGGAGAAGGAAATAAAGGGTATTCAGTTAGGAAAAGAGGAAGTCAAATTGTCCCTGTTTGCAGACGACATGATTGTATATCTAGAAAACCCCATTGTCTCAGCCCAAAATCTCCTTAAGCTGATAAGCAACTTCAGCAAAGTCTCAGGATACAAAATCAATGTACAAAAATCACAAGCATTCTTATACACCAATAACAGACAAACAGAGAGCCAAATCATGAGTGAACTCCCATTCACAATTGCTTCAAAGAGAATAAAATACCTAGGAATCCAACTTACAAGGGATGTGAAGGACCTCTTCAAGGAGAACTACAAACCACTGCTCAAGGAAATAAAAGAGGACACAAACAAATGGAAGAACATTCCATGCTCATGGGTAGGAAGAATCAACATCGTGAAAATGGCCATACTGCCCAAGGCAATTTATAGATTCAATGCCATCCCCATCAAGCTACCAACGACTTTCTTCACAGAATTGGAAAAAACTACTTTAAAGTTCATATGGAACCAAAAAAGAGCCCACATCGCCAAGTCAATCCTAGGCCAAAAGAACAAAGCTGGAGGCATCACGCTACCTGACTTCAAACTATACTACAAGGCTACAGTAACCAAAACAGCATGGCACTGGTACCAAAACAGAGATATAGATCAATGGAACACAACAGAGCCCTCAGAAATAACGCCGCATGTCTACAACTATCTGATCTTTAACAAACCTGAGAAAAAGAAGCAATGGGGAAAGGATTCCCTATTTAATAAATGGTACTGGGAAAACTGGCTAGCCATATGTAGAAAGCTGAAACTGGATCCCTTCCTTACACCTTATACAAAAATTAATTCGAGATGGATTAAAGACTGAAACGTTAGACCTAAAACCATAAAAACCCTAGAAGAAAACCTAGGCATTACCATTCAGGACATACGCATGGGCAAAGACTTCATGTCTAAAACACCAAAAGCAATGACAACAAAAGCCAAAATTGACAAATGGGATCTAATTAAACTAAAGAGCTTCTGCACAGCAAAAGAAAATACCATCAGAGTGCACAGGCAACCTACAAAATGGGAGAAAATTTTTGCAACCTACTCATCTGACAAAGGGCTAATATCCAGAATCTACAATGAACTCAAACAAATTTACAAGAAAAAAACAAACAACCCCATCAAAAAGTGGGCGAAGGACATGAACAGACACTTCTCAAAAGAAGACATTTATGCAGCCAAAAAACACATGAAAAAGTGCTCTTCATCACTGGCCATCAGAGAAATGCAAATCAAAACCACAATGAGATACCATCTCACACCAGTTAGAATGGCAATCATTAAAAAGTCAGGAAACAACAGGTGCTGGAGAGGATGTGGAGAAATACGAACAGTTTTACATTGTTGGTGGGACTGTAAACTAGTTCAACCATTGTGGAAGTCAGTGTGGTGATTCCTCAGGGATCTAGAACTAGAAATACCATTTGACCCAGCCATCCCATTACTGGGTATATACCCAAAGGACTATAAATCATGCTGCTATAAAGACACATGCAAACGTATGTTTATTGCGGCACTATTCACAATAGCAAAGACTTGGAACCAACCCAAATGTCCAACAATGATAGACTGGATTAAGAAAATGTGGCACATATACATCATGGAATACTATGCAGCCATAAAAAATGATGAGTTCATGTCCTTTGTAGGGACATGGATGAAATTGGAAATTGTTATTCTCAGTAAACTATCGCAAGAACATAAAACCAAACACCGCATATTCTTACTGATAGGTGGGAATTGAACAATGAGAACACATGGACACAGGAAGGGGAACATCACACTCTGGGGACTGTTGTGGGGTGGGGGGAGGGGGGAGGGATAGCTTTAGGAGATATACCTAATGCTAAATGACGAGTTAATGGGTGCAGCACACCAGCATGGCACATGTATACATATGTAACTAACCTGCACATTGTGCACTTGTACCCTAAAACTTAAAGTATAATAATAATAAAATAAAATAAAAAAATAAAAAAAAGAAAGGTATAGAGGCAAGAAGGGCAGATAGTCAGCCTTTGAGGCACTCTGCTGAATCTTAGGGCTTGGTGATCCACAGTTTGAAAACACAGTTTGGCTAGATGATAACTAAAGGTCCTTTCCAACTCTAACATTTGATGGTTTATAAGATGGACTGTTTACTCTTACAGTTTTGCAGTTTATTTCTCTCTTCCCTAAGCTGGAAATAGAACATCTTTCAAGGCGACAACCATACCATGCCAGTCTTGTATTTCCGCTCCTGTACCTAGCTCAATTCTGTACACTTCTAAGTGTTCAGTAAGTACTTGCTATGTTCCTGTCAGTTCAAATAATGTTTGCCTTAGAGCATCTGTACCTTAAGATGAACATTCTCCTTTGGCCAGAGGGTGATCCCCCTAAGTTTTTTTTTTGGGGGGGGGTTGGCGGCGGGGATGCGGGGAGTGGAATGAGTCTCAAAGACTATCTTTCTATTCTCTTCAGTACCTAAAGCTGATCATGTGAGATCTGACATCCTTGATTACAGAGAACAGCAGGACACAGTGCTTTACAGCTGGAGCACTTAAGAAAGCCTTTAAAATCTACCATGACAAAGGCATACAAAGTGACAAGAATGTATTAGACATGGTCTTCCAAGAAAAAATGGTCTTCCAAGAAAAAAAGAGGGCTTGGGAGGAAGGTAGAGCCTCTTTAATAAAAGGTGGGCTGTGGGGGAGGAAGATTGATGGATACTAATTTGCTGTTTGAAAAGATGCTCTGGTGATAGAGGACAACATCTGAAGAAGGGTCACACTTGAGAAATGTGAGCAAGATGATGAAGCCCAAAATACAGAGGCAGAAATAACTGTAATACATTCAGTAGGTTTAGTGTTATATTTATTGATTTGCTAATACTACTCCATTGCTCTGCCTGACTGGCAGAAGACAGACAGCTCTTGTGCTTTAGGTTTAACCCACTGAAAAGAAAGATACAAAACCTAAAAAGCTGAATTATTCTTTTTTATATAATTGGGTGAAACTCTCAAGTTTTTTACTTAAAGACAACTGACACTGCATGTTCTCACTCTTAAGTGGGAGTTGAACAATGAGAACCGTGGACACAGGGAGGGGAACATCACACACTGGGGCCTGTCGGGGGCTGGGGGGCTGGGGGAGGGATAGCATTAGGAGAAATACCTAATGTAGATGATGTGCTGATGGGTGCAGCAAACCACCATGGCACATGTATACCTATGTAACAAACCTGCATGTTCTGCACATGTATTCCAGAACTTAAAGTATAATGAAAAAGAAAAAGAAAAAGACATGATCCAATATAGTAAAGCATGAATACAGGTGACAACATACAGAAACAAAATAAAACAAAACAAAACAAACTACCAAAAAACTCTTTGATTTGCCTCAACTGGAGAAAATCACTATTTGGATCCAGACACTTTACAGATCTGTAGCAAACCAGTTTAAAGAATGTTATGCTTTCCCAATCAATAAAAAAGTGGTCAGAAAGACAGGCATTCAGCTAGCAAATGTTTGCAATTTACAGTATTAATAGTCATTGGCAGTTCAAGCTTTTACACCAATCTTTTGATAGTCATGATTAAAGAAGGATTACTTAAAATAAATGGAACCGAGTTTTAGTTTTTCGAGTTCATAAAGCATCAAGCTTCAAACGTGCCTCCATGTCTAACAAAGGTTTACTTCTTACTTTCACCTGGAAAATAACTTAGCCTCTCAGTGTCCATTTCCTCTTTATAGAAACACCTGGCCAATCCCACAGGTTATCTTCCCTTTACCTCAACTTTCTACCCCTATCCTTCCTTTTATCCAAACAGCAAGGTCTTACTGAAAACGAAATTGTACCTGACAAACAGCATTTTGTCAAGTCAAAAACCACCTGTTCTTTCCCAAGCGGCCCAGGCTGTATACTCTGGGTCTACTGGGTGCCCAGTGGGAAATCAAATCAGATAGGGCACAGCAGGTCAGTGAGTGTGTTTATTGGGCATATTCTATCATGCCTCTGTGGACAGGTTCACAGTAGGAGAGCCCAAGAGGAAAGAATCTTCCTCTGAAGTCACAATCTGGAGTCCAAATCAGCACTGGAAGTTCTATCCCAATCTCTTCCACCCAAGTATTTCTCTAGATTGTTAGTTGGCTATACTAAAACCCCTGTGAATGTTATACTTCACAATTCACCATTACCTGGTGTAAAGAATAATGATAGTTGTGATGCTAATCATAGAGAAGCAGTGTGATTACAGGATGAGAAAGCTTTTATCGGGGTAAAGTGGAAATGTCACATGGCAATGTCTGAGCGGAGGGTTGTTAAAGCAATCAAAGCCATCAGCAACTGGAAAGCACCCAGGCCTGACTTCCTGCAGATTTTTTTTGGGTCTGAGTTGCTCAAGACAGCACACAGAGCTAGTGCAAAATGCTCTGCAGGAACACTCAGTGAGCCAGCCATGACACTTGGTTTGTATGGCACCTTGCAAAAACTGCCATTTTTCAGCAATACAGTCTTGCCTGATAAAAACAGATCAACTGTATGCCCACCTACCATCTCTTGAGAAGAATGGCATCCACTTTGGCATTATGAGAGCAATAATATACCCAGAAACACTGAAAAGCTGTTAAAAAGGACCAATAAGTTGTAACAGCCAGGTGATTCAAGATTGAGGAATAGCTGTATGGCTAACCAAAAGAAATTCTGGGTAGGAGTGAGGTGGTCCCATAGAAAAGGGTTGTATCTATTATGAGCCAATTTTTTCTCCATCAGGAAGAAGGATCTGGTGTTCTAAAGAATGCAGTGTGGATGCTCCTGTGAATGTTTGTTTCAGCTGCAGGTGTTAGTGACTTTATTAGGAAAGAAAGAAAGTGAGCTCTTTCAGGAGTAGGGTATAAATAGGCTGGGTGACCCTGGTTTCTTGGCAATGATAAACATGTGCATAAGTCAAACAAAATGTTAAGCTCCACCTCTAGCTTGGTGTCACTGATTTGGAAAATGAAGCAACTCTGGCAGTTTGTTTGAGATAAACCCGAAAGTATATAGAAGTGTGGGGGCTGGAATTTAAACAACCACAAACAAGTTTTTAATTTCTAGGTAACAAAAACACCGAGGGGCAGTCTTATTCAAGTTATTTTTAAGCCAGGGATCATAATGCTATTCAAACTGGATCAGGACCTCTTCTGCACTATGAGCAGGCTCTGAACTTGAGATGTGATGGCTAGCTGTTCCCCTATTTCAGTTTTCCCATTCTTCATTAAATGATATAACTCTGACATTTTAGCTAGGCACATAGCCACCCAGAATAAAGACTACAATTCTTGATCTCACTTTTAGGTGACTGTGACCCTGGGACTAAGTTCTGAACCATGGGATGTAAGCAAAAGGGATGTCATGAGATATTTCTTTTTTTAGAGACAGAGTCTCAGTCTGTCACTCAGGCTGTGGTGCAGTGACACAATCATAGTGCACTGCAGCCCTGAGCTCCTGGGCTCAAGTGATCCTCCAGCCTCAGCCTCCCAAGAATCTGGGACTACAGGTGCACATCACCACACCTGGCTAATTTTTAAAATTTTTGTAGAGACAAAGTCTCACTATGTTGCCCAGGCTGGTCTTGAACTCCTGGGCTCAAGTGATCTTCCCATCCAGGTCTCCCAAAACACTGGGATTAAGGTGTGAGCGATCATGTCTGGCTGAGATTTCTAAGCATCTTTAAATGGAGGGGCATACTCCTTTCCCCTAGTCTCTCATGGTGCTGTTGGAAGGAAGATATGATGGCTCAAGCTAGAGCAGCCATTTTGGACCCTGAATTGGAAATCATATGTTGAGAATAGTGGAGAAAGAAGATAGAAGTAGTCTGGGTCCCTGATGATCATGGAGATGCCATTCAAGCCCACAACTACCTACATGGACTCTTACATCATCTCAACATTGAATTTTTCTACTCTAGAAGTTCTATTCGGGTCTTTCATGTCTTGACTTAATATACTCAATTTTTCATCTAGGTTCTTAAAAACACCAAAAGTTATAATAACTGTTTAAACGTCTTTGTCTTGTAATCCTATAATCTGTGTTATTTCTGGGTCAGTTTTGGTTGGTTGACTTTTCTCATTAGGAGTCCTATTTCCCTGCTCTTTTTGATGCCTGGTCGTTTTTGTTTGTAAGTCAGATGTGAATTTTATCTGGTTGGGTGCTGGATATTTTGTGTTTCTGTAAATACTCCTTGGCTTTGCTCTGTGACACAGTTAACTTACTTGGAAACAGATTCTTTCAAGGCTTGTTTTAAAACTTTATTTGGCAGCTCTAGAGCAGCCTTGAGTTTAGGGCTAATTTGGCACTGCTACTGAGGCATGATCCTTTTAGTACTCTGATGCTATGTGAGTTATAAAGTTTTCTATTCTGGCTGGTGGGGCAGGCACTATTTACAGCCCTATATGATCTCTGAGGATTGTTCCTTCTGCTCCTTTTGGGTAGTTCTTTCCCCAGTCTAGGTTAGTTTCCTTACACACATGTGTTGCTCAGTGCTCAACCGAAGATTCAAGGAGGACTCCAAATATCTCCGGAGTTCTCTTTTCATGCAGCTCTCTCTTCTCTAATACTTGTTCTGCAAATTCTACCTGTCTAGGTCTCCCTGGATTCCCAGCTGCATCTCCTCATCTACTGGGCTTTGCCTCAGTTCCCTGTCCTTGTACCACTGCCGGGAAACTCTGTCCAGGTAATAAGCTGGGGTCATCATAGGGCTCACCTTGTTAGTTTCCTGTCTCTCAGGAATCACTGTTCCTTGTGGCCTGGTATCCAATGTCTGAAAACCATTGTTTTCCTTTTGTCTGGTTTTTCACTTGTTTTAGGCATGAGGGTAAGTCCAGCCCCTGTTGCTCCATCTTGGCCAAAAGTGGGAACTTTTATATCAGAGAGAAATAAATGACTGTATTGTTTAATTAACTGTTATTTTGGGTTTTCTGTCATTTGTAGCCAAATATAATCTTAACAAGCACAGGGTTGATCTTTAATTTATTTAGAACAGCTTCTAATTTTGATATAGAAAAGCTAAGATTTTTAGAGCAGCCAAAGGCTTGAATAGTGCCTAAGTAAGGTCAAATACCTGGATGAAAACGAAAAGCTCTGTCATTTCCCATGAGAAACATAGTACTTAAGCAGCCAAATCAATTCCAGCTGGTGCCAGTTGACAAAAAAAGTACATTTTTTTTGTTTAGTATGATTAATTTCTCATTCATGGAGACAGTAATTCCAATTGGACAGAAATTTATTCAATAACCTTTTTCTGAGCATATACTATAGCCTAGGCACTAGGCTAAGTTCTAGACATAAAGGCGTGTATAGACTGGGGCATAATACTCTACCAGGAGTTCACAATTTAGATATGGAACTCCTTATTTAGATAAGGTCCCTTGTCATGTGAATAGTTCATGAATTTGGCTAAGAAGCTTAGTGCCAGCTTATTTTTAAATAAATCTCTTTTTTTTTTCATTTAATTAGGGATAATGCCTTTTCAACCCATGGTTCTGCAGTGAACCAAGTAATTTATACTTTCAGTGTAAAGAAGCTTCTCCTGGAACTGAATATTCACACAAATGATAAGCTTTACTGGTATCATTGCAATGGAGAAATATATTGGGCGCCACCCTAACCAAATGATTATGTTTAACATTACCAATAATTGGAAAAATGACATCATGTTCCTCCTGATGTGAGACACTGAGAAGGACATAACATGGTAGTAAACTAAAAGGTTTAACTGCAATGTATTCATGAGAAATAATCAGACAAATCTAACTGAGAGATATTCTGCAAAACAACTGGCCTGGACTCTTAACAAATATCAGCATCATAAAAGACAAAAGAATAAAAGTGGGGGTCTGGGGAATTGTTCTAGATTAATGGAGATCAAAGAGGCTGTCAGCTAAATGCAAAGCATAATCTTTGATTGGATTCTGCATTGAAAAAACAAAATTATAAGGACATCATTGGGATAACGGGGAAGTTTGACTACAGACTCTAAACCTGTATATTTTATCAATGTTATATTTCCCAAGAGCAATGAGTATAGTGTGTGTGTGTGTGTGTGTGTGTGTGTGTGTGTGTGTGTGTGTATCAGAGTGTCTTTGTTCTTAGGAGATTCATGCTTAAGTATTTAGGGGTGAAAATTCAAATATCTGCAACTCACTCTCAAATAGTTTGTAGAAATAAAGAGATGGAGCAAGTGTGGAAAAATATTAACAATTGGTGAATCTAGGTGAAAGGTATATGGGTGTTCTTTGTACTATTCTTGCAACTTTTCTGAAGGTTTGAAAATGTTCAAATTAAAAAGTTGGCAGGAAAACAAAAGGCTTGTGCCAAGTTTTTGTTTTTGTTTTTGTTTTCGTTTTAAAAAAAAACTTCTCTAATTATTGTAGGTGCAAGCTTTGGTGTTCCTAAAAGGTTTCAAGAAGGGCCAGACATAGACTTGCAGGCAGCAACCTCCATTCCTCTGGGCATTCCCTTAAGTTGTCCTACTCTCTGCAATATCCCAGCCCATTGGCCTGCACTCACTTCTCTCTCCCTTTTGCATATATTAAAACCAAGCTCCCTGAATAACGCTCACACTTTAATTCTTATTGAATTTATATAAACTAAGGATAGCAATGGCCTCATGGAATTCTGCTTCCAGTGGTGTGCTGGAACTGGCTTGCACTGGCCTGCATTGGCTGGCACTGGTTTGCAGGAGCGAATCTCGTCAGTAGTTTGAAATCAGCCATGCTGGAAATACTTACACCATGGATATCTGCAAATGTTACTAATCAGTGTCCCCCTCTCACCCTCTCCCAGAGCCAGTGGTTAAACATTTACCAGAGCATCCCTAACTTTAATCCTTACCCTGTAAGCGATATTCTGCAGACTCTATAATTGTTTTACAATGTTTCTAAAGGATCTTGAAATTCTCAGAAGATTGCTAACAAAATATCTCATGGAAGGCTCCCTGGTGGCCTCTATTTAGTCCAAGAGGAGGCTTTCATTAAACTGAAGATGTAAGTAGGAAGAAGGAAGTTTACTGTAAAAAGAAAAAGTGTTCACTGTGCTCTCATCCAAAAAGGCTTTCTACTGAGTGGAATTTAATGAAGTAGAAAAGAGGGCTTGACCAGGAGACAAATGGCCTTGTCACTTGCTGACTGTATAAAATTAAGCAAGGCAAATAACCTCTCTGGGCCACAATTTTCTTGTCTCTAAAATGGGATCATTAATAAAAGTACCTGTCTCACAGTTACTATTAAGTGGTGTGGGATTTCCACATCTATGTATTAAAATGTGACATATAATCATCAGAGCTAACGTTTAATGAGTCCTTTGTAGAAGGCAAACATTGTACTAATTTGCTTAGAAATATAATCTCAATTAGACTTTACCATAATTCTATAAATTTGGAATTATTAATACTTCCTTGATCTTAGAATTGAGCCCAAAGCAATGTAGTATGTGCTTAATACTTGTTTATTGTTACTGGTAACTCCTTGTATTTGTGAATAATTAAATTTGGTCTTTGTCATAATCTGGTGAACACGCAAGGTGTTATGTCCTTAACCTAAACCTCAGATTAAATGTCTTGTTAATAAGCAGCACAGCAGAGAGCAGAGCTAAATCCTTTGAACTCTCAGTCCTGTGCTCTGCTACCTGTGTGACTTTGGTCATGACACTACCCATCTCCCAGTTCCTGGGTGCTTTTTAATCTGAAAAAGAAAGAGGTTGAATTTGGAGATCACATAGGGCCTTCCAAATCAGATACGTCTTGAGTCTGGGGTGACCAATTCATTCCAGTTTGCCTAGGACATTTCCAGTGTTAGCACATTAAGTCCCATGTCTTGGGAAAGCCCTCAGTCCTGTGCAAACCAGGGTGGCTAGTCACTCTAGTTGGGTCTGCCCTCTCATTCACAGAATCAACCTAGGCTTCTGTCCAAGAGGACCTACCCAGCTCCATTATCTAGCTCCAGTCACCTCATTTCCTCAGCTCTCATTAGGACCTTATTTACTGATACTTTCTCAGTCTCTTTTGTGGTCTTCTCTTTCTCTGCATGTCCAACAATTTCCCCATAATCCTCTCTGCTGGTGATAAGCACTGACAACATTTTAGTGCATGTCATTTCAACCTTTTTTAAAAATTGGGTGTAGAATAATTATCATTACAAAATTGTGATCATATTGTATAAATACTTGTTTTCCATAATTCTCACTTAACATTATGCCATAAGCATTTTTACAAGTATTAAACATTCTTCCAAGAAACATTACTTTATGTGACCATATGATATTCCACTGTAAGGGATATACCATACTTCTTTAAGTAACCATTCTCCTATTGTAAGACATATAGGCTTTTTCTATTTTTTTTTTTACTGTTACAAATAGGGCTCTGATTAGTATCTTCACTTATAAATCTTTCTTACTCCTGTATTTCCTTCAATTAAATTCATAAGAGTAGAATTCCTGGGTTAAAGACTGTGAACATTTTTAATGTTATTGATACAAAATGCCAAAAATGCAGAGAGGATTAGCTGAGACGGGAAATTGCCAGTATTAATTTTAGAGACACATTTGGAAACGCTTTAAACAATATCTGGGTGAATGTGGAGCTTCTTTTTATAAATGGTTCTGTGGTGAGAACTTAGATTACCTTGGAGAGCACTTTAAAGTTAAAATCTAAGAAGGCAAACAAAATTGTTAATGAAATGCTTAGTCAATGTGTATTGTATTGTTTATTGTAGGTGGCATTTTAGATTTAGATGACAAACATGATATAGCAGAGGCCTCTTTTTAATCACTGTATAGAATATATCTATGCCCAATATAAGGCATACAACTTAATTTTTTATGTAGAATTATTATACTCCTACTGTAATTGTACCTTTGTTAGTATCACAAACTGTTGGTCATATTTTTAATTTTTTTGATACAGTATCCTTGGTCTGAAACATAATTCCATTTATAGCATTGTTCTTATGGAAGCAATTTTCTTCGAATATCACTTGTAATATTGCATTTACAGTTAAAAAGTAGGCACCACTTATACCACCATTGTCTCCTCCTTCCACTGACCACTAGAGGGGAGAAAACATTCAGCAGTAGCTTACAACATATTTTCATCTTCCAAAGGGACCAAGGTGGTTTTCAACACATGCTTTCTGTTTAACACTGCCTTCCGCCTTCAGCTATTTCCTGCTGGGACTATTTCTGTAGCATCTAGACTTCATCATTGCAAAATGGGGCCGCCTCTTAGAAAGATTGTTATCATTTCCTTTATTAGGAGTTTATGAAGCTCTTTAAGAGTGAAAGGGTCATCTTCTCCCGCTTGTTGCATTTTCTCTTCTAGATGAAGGGAAGGAGATAAGAACTTTAAAGGTAGAGTGATAGAAGCTATTATTCTATATGTGAACAATGAAAATTAGAATATGTGAAGCAATCAAGACAAAATTCCAAGGACATATCTATAGGACAAAGTGAACTTGTGTACAACAGCAAGAGAAATAAAACCCTGAAAAATCACCACAGTAATCTGTTTCAATCCAACTCAGGGCTTCTCTGAGCCCCTCCCTGAAAGTCTCAGCCCCCATCTCAGCCTCTTGGCTTACTGCTGCCACCACACAGTAGAAGGAAAAGCACTGTCGTCTCAGCTACTAGGGAGGCAGAAGTGGAAAGATTTCATGAGCCCAGGTGTTCGAGGCTGCAGTGAGTTATGATGATGCCACTACCCTCCAGCCTGGATGACACAGTGAGATCCCGTCTCTTAGGAAAAAAAAAAAAAAAAGAAAGGAAAGAGAAGGAAAAAAGCAAAAAAAAAAAAAAAAAAAAAAAAAGCCATGATTTCCACTTCAATAATTGTCTAGCAAAACAGCAAGCCAGCTTTATTGCCGGGACCATTTTATCCTTGTGCCCAAGTCTCCAAGCCTTTGGTTGCCAGCAGTACTTTAGTGTTTTGGGAGGTATTATTACAGTATAATGGTTGAGGGTATGCATATTTGAACCAGACAGATATGGGATTGAATCTCAGCTTCACAACTTTCCAGTTATGTGACCTTTGATTTCCTTTATTTTTAAAATGGAGAGGATGATACCACTTATTCTCACAAAACTGTTGTAAGAATAAAGAGATAATTAATACATAATAAAGCCCTTAGCAAAGTGTCTCACCTATGATAAGTACTTAATATTATTATTAGTCAAGTTTGGGTCTCTGGTACTTGCTCTTACATTGTGTTCAGGCAGCCTATTTGGACCTCTGCCAACTGCCCACCCTGCCCATGCTTAGAATGGATTTTGGAAGCTACTTAAAACCTTAAATGATAACCTGGCTTGAAATCTATTCCAGATTCTCATCCCAACCTGCTAACTCTAAAATAGCCCATGGGTTATAATCTGAACTATATTTGGGACTTCGGATTCTACCCAACCATACAGGTCTGCTGAGGCTACTTGGTTTACTCAGGCAGGTTATACCCAACCTGACACTGTACAAGTCCAGGTTATACTAGGTATTCTACAGGTCAAGTGATTTTTTTTTTGATGACACCTGGGAATCATTGTAGATTCTTAAAGAGGAAAATGTTGTGACTGCCATGAGGAAAGCAGTCAGCGATTTAAAGCCAAAAGTTATCTTTATGTTTTTAGTTGATTAAACTGGCAAGAATTTGCAGGAGCTATTTAACTTAATTGGTATACTACCTGGCATGCACTTCCTTGCTTAATAAATGCTTTTTATCAAAACTCGCCTTGTGGGCAGGCTGCCTAGGTTGATTCTAGGCCATATAACTTGACAAGTACTCTATAATTCCACATTCTATCCACTCACTGATGCTACCAAAATAACTACCAGCATTTATTGAGCATGTACTCTGTTTCAAGACATTGCATCAAACATTTAGCATGTATATTCAATTTAGCCCTCATAGCAGCCCTGTGATGTACATAGGATTACTATTTTCATTTTCAGCTGAGGAAACTGAGGCTTACAGGGGTCAACTGCCCAGGGTAACATGTTTAGTATGGGGAAACCAGACCAAACGTAAAATCCAAGCTTGGTACCTAAGTTCTTTTCTTATCACTATGCTAAATAATGACTTTCTATTAAACAAAAGTAGGTCTAACAAAGGGTAACAAATTAAGGTTTTATAAGTGTTTAAGATCTTCATTGCAAACTAATGTCACTAGCTGAGAATAAATTTTGTTAGGGCAATTGTGTTTTTTTTTTTTTTGGTGTGTGTGTGTGTGTGTATGTGGTGTAGGTAGGCAGGAGGATGGCAGTTGCTAGGGACACCAAAGCCATCAATTCCTTAAGGAACAAAGGAGAAAAGGGGAAGAAGTAGAAGAGCAAAACAAGAAGGTTACAATTGTTCCCTTTGGTGTTCCTATGAATGAAAATGAAAATAGACCATGGCACAAATAAAGAACCATCAGGGAGGTAGAAAGAGACGCTTCGGTTTGGGGTCCAGAGAGATCTGTCTTTGACTCTGAATTCCACCACTTATGTGCTATGGGAGCTTTGCAAATCATTTAACCTCTGTAAATGTTACCTCATCTGCAAAATGGGGTTTAAAATAAATATTTATTCCCCAGGGCTACTGTGAAAATTAAACGAGACAAGGTAATGAAATGTTCTGGAATTAGATAGTGGTGATGGTTGCAGAACCTTGTGAATATACTAAAAAGCACTGAATTCTACACATTCAAGGGGTGAGCTTTATGGTATGATATTTATATCTCATTTAAAAAATTAAATGAGACATATATAGAATACCTAGCACAATGCCTGACATAGAGTAAATACAGATAGCAACAGCTATTACTATCTCATTATTATGTGTTATCCTTATCATTTTTACAATAATGATGATTAAAAAGATGACAACTGTTATCTTTAATAGATCTGACAGCAATCTCTGTATCTTAGTAGGACAAATACATCTCCATGTGCACATTAGTCAAGAGGAGGAGATGATCGGGCAGTTTCTGTATACATTTAGATCACAGATGGGATTACTAGACAAGGAGCTCATTTGGCATCTACAGGAGGCTCAGGGGATGCTGGCAGCTGGGTCACCTTTCCAGAATGAATTGCAACTTCCCCCTTGGGCTCTATCAACACTTCTTTCGGGAGCTCTGGCTTTCTGTGGGCCCAGATGGATACTGAAGGATCTTTGACAAATAATAGTAGAACTGCCAAAGCCACCAATAGCCAAGCCAATTGGAAAATCATGGTGGCCTTTATGTCACTTGCATATTTATTAAGCACCTACTGGAAGGCTTAAAAAATAAGACTGTTGTTTAAAAAAGTGAAAAAATGCTGTTTTGAAAATAAAGTTGTATCATCATAATTCCTTTTGAGGTTAATGGTTTGGGTTTTGTGGATCAAACATTTTTCTTTGGTTGCTTATGCAAATCGGACTAAACTTTTTCTCTGCACTTGGACAGGTCCTATCTGGCAATTTACAGATAGGCTGACCCATCTGCAAAGCAAGTTGGTTATTGCATATGGGTGATAATGCAAGTGAGTAGGAGTGGGGTTTTGGATGGTCAGGGATTGGAAACATATGGGTTTTATTTAATGACGTTTCCAAGTCAGGGTCCAAATTATGGATGTTTTCTTGGTATGAGTGGTAAAGTGGATAAGGGAGAGACTAGCCACCATTTAATGCCACAGTTGGTGGTAGTTAATGGCTTGAATATTATATAAAAATCTAGACATTCTGTTTTTAGTGGAAAAAAGAAACTTGGTTCAAAGATCCTATTTGGTTATTACCTCATTTTAACTGAAAATGCTGCCAAATTATGTTATCAGAACGATCAGCAACACCTAATGGATGCTTTGAGTGTTCAAAAGTTTTCTAATAGATTTGGGTTGTGTGCTTTCTCTAATGACTATCCCTAAGGGACCATATTCTCTGGGTAATATAAATGCCACTTGCAAATTTGTAAAGATGGTGGTAGGAGCAGGAAAGTGTATAAAGTTACTCAAAGTTCAAGATGACTGAAAATTAAGTTAATCCAGTACTGTGAGAAAAGTGAATTTATGTTGTTCACTCTGTCAAACCCAACAGATAAGCTCTGTTCATGCTAATATTTGGCCACAGGCCCACTTCTCCTCCATACCTAGGCAAGGAGGTATTGGGATGATTAATGGGTGAGAATTGCTACTCCTTCCCTTTCGTGGTCCTATCATTTCTGAATCAGAGAGTGAAAATGGGTAGGGTATGACCTCCTACTGCATGTCTGTTCCTCTGAGCCTCTAGCCACCCACCTCTAACCTCAGTAAAACTCTTTATAAAATATTTCTCCTCTCACGCCATCTTCAGCTAATCCTGCCCATTGGAAACTGTTTTCTGGATATTGGCTATATATTGTTCTATTGAACAAAGCTCTATACAAAGGAGAACCAAGACAAAGTACCATTAGTCTGATTTTCAAGGGGCTCATAATCAGTAGGGGAGAATAATTGTAATAGCAATAACATCAATGCTAACAGTCGTAGTGATGGTGGTGATGACTATTGAGTACTTAATGTGTGCTAAGCACTTTAAACAATTATCTCTTTTAATCTTCATAGTAAATATTATTTGTTGATTCATTCATTCAACAAAACAAATCAGACCAAGCCCTCTACTCTTGGAACAAAGGAAATGTGAAGCTTTGTCCACCAAGGTAGGAAAATAATCAAAGGAATAGTATCCTGGAAGTCAAGCAAAGAAAGTTTTTCAAAAAAGAGAGAGTGAAAAGGCATTTTAAATGCTGATGGTAGGTCAAGTAAGATGAGGACTGAGAGATTACCATTGTAATTAACAATGTGTTTGTCACTTGTGACCTTTATAAGAAAGGAGTGGTAGCAACGAAAGCCTGATTAGAATAGGTTCAAGAGAGAATTGGGAAAGTGGAAATTTTGAGTATAAACAAATATTTCAAGAAATTATGCTATAAGGGGAACAGGGAAATAGGATGGTAACTATAGGAGATGGTGGAGTTAAGGGAGGGTTTGATAATACTCAAATCTAATAATTAATGGAGTGCTTACTTTGTGCCAGGCACTATGTTAATTGCTTTAAAGGTATTAGCCTATTTAATTATCTTAACAACCCTGAAAGATAGGTAATATTATTCTCAAGTCACAGATAAATAAATTGAAGTTCAGAAAATAGCTAAACCATTCACCTAATGCAGAGTTTCTTAACCTTGGCACTACTGACATGTTGGGCTGGATAATTCTATGTTGTGAGGGGCTGTCCTGTGCATTATAGGATGTTTAGTAGCATCCCTGTCCTCTACCCACTAGATGCCAGTATGACCCCACCAGTTGTGGCAACCAAAAATGTTCCCAGACATGGCCAAATGTTCCCTGGGGGGCAATATGGTTGAGAATCAATGGGTAAATGTGTATCATTTACACATCTAGTAAATGATAGAACCAGGGCTTAAAAGATTAGCTATCTGACTCCAAAATCCATGCTCTCAACCACTGCCCTTACTTGTATTCCCCAAATGGCAAATTTCTCTACCCTGTTCTGGGTCCCTGTGGGCCCCTGGGAAGTGGGAAGAAAATCTGGTCTCTAGAGTGAGGGGCAACTTACACTCAAAGATATTTTTGTTTGCACTGCAATTAGTGTTCCTGCTCACAAGTTCCTTGGCTCAGGCTTGCATGCAGTCCCTCCCCTCCCCTCTGCTTCTCTTCCCTTCCCTCCCCTCTCCTGTCTTCTCCTTTCTATCCCATCTCGTCCCCACACCTCTTTTTCTCTCTCTCACGTGTGTGTGTGAGTACACACACCACACACACACACACACACATCTTGCCTTCATAATCAAGGAAAGACTTTTCAAAAACACTCTTCAGAGTTTAAGTCTCTTCTTTACTGTGGGCCTGTTTCCCCATATGTAAGATGAAAGGGTCAGACTAGATGATTGCCCTTCTGGCTCTGCCAACTGTTCTGTGAGTCTAGCGCTCTCCCTTTCTTCATGAGGTAAATACTTTTGTTGGGGGGAATGAGGGGGGTGTTTGGAACAAGGGACGTTTTAGGCCTTCCAGTGTAGAAGCTGGTGCAAAGTTCCCAGGCTGCGTTTGTCTTTGTGCCGTGTTTGCTTCAGAACTGCCTTCTCCTGTCGCTCAGGGCCGAAGGCCACTCTGGCTCTGGCCGTGGCCTGGCTTGGTGGGGCGGCGGGTCAGACAGGGCATTGTCCAGGGCTACCTTGGCAGCCTGGGCTGGCAGGGGGAATTTCTGTCGCTTCTGCTCTGTTTCCCGCCTGGCCTCCGGGCCCTCTCCCTGGGCGGCCTCACCACTGACCCTGGGAGGTCACCTCCCAGCCACGGGTGGGTGATGGCGCTGCAGGGATGGCTGTGTGTGGGAACGGGTGCTGTTCTCGGGGATCCCCGAGGAGCAAGGATCTTTCGGGGATGCTGTGAAGAGCCCATGCTGATCCCAGGGCGGGATCAGGTTCCCCTCAGGAATCTGGGAAACTCTCAAGGAGGCCCTGCGGGGGCTGGTTAAACTGTCTGGGGTCTGGGGGCGTTGGGTCATTGGACTGTAAATGCAGGGAGGGGGCAGGCGGACTTGCCACATTGCAGGCTCTGGTGCCTCCAAGGGACCTTGGAGGCCTTCAAGTCTCCTTGCTCCTTTTATGAAGGAGGAGGAAGAGGGAGAGACGGGCTTCTATTCTGCTCTCAGAGCTCTGGCTCAGTTTGGACTTGATTTAAAAAGTAAAATTCAGGGAGAAGTTTAAATTTCTTACTCTGGTACCAATTACAGGAGCAATGGGACCCCAGTTCTGATAATGGATCGCATCAGATCACTAAACTGTCTGCCACATGCCTCCAAAAGCAACCCACGTTAGGCATCTTGGGACTCTGTGTCCTCCTGCTGTTGAGCCTCTTCTTATGTTTATTATCTGTGTCTTTGTGGTACCTTTGTGGTTCCTGAGGGGTCAATATTAGTATCTATGTGGATATGCAGGTTTAAGCACATTTCTGAATTCATAGAGTGTCTGAATGGGTTTTAAGAATAGCAAATGTTGCTGTGTATATGTGTGGCTTTTCTCTCTGTATATTTTCAGTTAATAATTCTTCAACTGAATTTCAAAGGCCACGTTTAACCCCTGGCTTCCTTTCCTCCCTGAGCTTTGTGAAGTTTAAGGCTCTGTTCTTAAAGCAAAGGGGCCCTGTCTGGGGAGCCTGTTTAGACCTGTCTCTTCCTTTTGTTTGCTTTCTTTTTGTCTCTCTCTGGGGAAACCTGGCTCCTGAACCCTGGTTACCCCTTATTCCTCTCTGGGCCCCACAGCATGTTCCTCCACAGCTCCCTCCCTTGCTCATAGCTGTATTGGCATTCCCCCAACAACTTGTGAAGGGGGTAGCAATCACTGACTCGTGTCAGCTCTGAGAGAGAACCTAACTGAAGTAATGGAATGCAAAGTCACTACAATTACTTGAACTAGCAAAGACATGTACAAGGACAGAGACCACAATTTCTTTGATAACCAAACATACATTAATCTTTCTTGGGGCTAAAGAAATGAGCATTTTTTCTTTTGGTCTTCAAAAATTAAAAAGTAAAACTGAGCTTATAAGGCTGAGGATAAAAGGTGTAAAGGCTGTCATAGCAAAGCCTAGGGCTTAGCTAAGTCCACCGTAGGAGCCTGCCATGGTCACAGCCAGTAATTCAGGATAAGGGCACAATTCTAAGGTACTCTGCAGACTTTTCTGCTGACCAAGCTTTAAAATCTGTTTTATATGAGACAATGACTTCCTTCTTTCATGATTCCCCAAACTCTGCCTTATACTTATAACCCCCACAATAAAATTTGTCAGGTAGGAAACAGATGCTCTTTCAGGACCCTTTGAGTTGGTCTTTCTCCCTGGGCATCATAGTAATTACAGGAGCTTTTAACATCCCACAGAGAAAAGCATCTAATAGTCCTACCTCTGGAATCAAGACAGGATCATCTCAGTGATGCCAATTCCACTTGATTTTATGATGAATTCTCCTTAAGTGGAATTAGTAGGGACTAACCAATGGGGACACTGGTTTCCAAAGAGTTAGACAAATGTGAGGGAAAGGAGCTAGAACTATTTTCCAGCTAATTTTTTAAAAATTAAAATGTCATACATTCATCTAAAGTGAAGACTAGGTCACATCATCAAATCACTAGTTTGGGTCTCTCTCTCTCTCTCTCTGTGTGTGTGTGTGTGTGTGTGTGTGTGTGTGTATTCAGGAATAGAGAAAACCACTGAAAGAAAGCATCTAAGCAGCAGAAAAAACAAAGTTTCCATTCTGTTGTGCTAGGGGGTCTTGGACATGCCACTTACATCTAAAAATAGGGAGCTTAGTGTCTGCCTATCATGTCTCTTACTCCAATCCACCCTGGATAACCCTCACCAAATTAATATTCCTAAAGAAATATTTTTTGTCATAATATTTTTAAAAAGAGATAGCTTAATTACTACAGACCATACCAGTCTATCCATTTGAGGTTTCGTGATTTACCATTTAGACTTTTAATCAGATGCAGTGATGGGTAGTCAAACATTGGCGTGTGTGTGTGTGTGTGTGTGTGTGTGTGTAGCCGCCCTAAGTAGAAGTCTGGTACTTATGAAATGTTTCCATTCCCCACAGTGCCTGCACCAATATTTAGCCCCCAGAGTACTTTCTTAAATGTTTTTCTAGGGGGCTTGAACCTCACAAAACACAATGAGATAAAAGAAAACACAGAACATAGTCTAGGACTTCCACCTCTAAAAGTAAAGATGGTCATTAAATAATTGGCTATGTGCTTCATTTGTTAAAATAAAAGCTCTTTTGAAAAGATGATAGTGAAGCAAATTTCTGCAAAGCAATGCACATTTTTCCATCAACTTTTACTATAGCTTAGAGAGTTGCTGTGCAATTAATTTTCTTAAACATTCTTGGAAGACTTCCATTAATGCGAGTCTTCTCAAAGTAGACACCAAATTACTTCCCTGACATATACTTGGTAATTTCATCTCCACATGTTTCTAACTCCATTGCAGTGAACTTTCATACAGTCAGTGGCCTACATAAAGGGACAGACACACATTACAGCTGTGAAAACTGACATGACTCCTCACAGAACTTGTAATCACATATAAAAAACATGCTTTCCTTAAGCTTGGAATTCATTTCTTAAACCTTTAAAAGAGAAGGATATTAGAAAAACACTTTAAAACCCAGACAGGGATATAAATGGATGCTATACATGCAGTCAGGAATTACTACTCACTAGGGTGGAGGACGAAGGGCAATTGATTTGTTGATATCTCGTGGATGTCTTCCTAGCAGATTTTCTCCACTCCAAGTATTCCTCCAATCACAACAATCTGACTGCAACGAGTAATGCAGGGAGCTCAGCTGATTATGGCCACAAAGGTTTCAGAGGCCATTTGACATGGTGGAAAGAACACTATGGAGGGGAATGGAACACTTGATTTAAATCTCAGTTATGTCACTTACAAGAGATCTTGGGACAGTCTCTTAATCTCTCTGAAACTTTCTTCCAAGCCCATTCATAATTAAAGTGAGGGAAAGAGCATTCATAGGCATGCCAGGAAAGCCTTTTGTAACCTACGATGTACCTCTTGAGGGCTGGATCCAACCTTCCAGCCTTGCAATTTTATTATTTTATAAGTTCCTTTGGTGTTTCACTTCTCCCAGTTCCTGAGATCTCCATTGCTTTATTCTATGTGAAATTGTCAAGGTGAAGCTCTAAAGTTGGTTGCATGACTATGCTATAAGGAAAGAGCAAGAGACTTTGTGACAGTTATTTTTCTCTTATCCAGAGTTCTTTTGCCTCTGTCTGCGGGCTCCCAGCTATTTTAAGTATGGTTTAGGCCAGTGGTCTCCAAATCCTTTTGATTGCACACCCTTTTTCAATTAGAAAAGCTTTGAGCATGCTTCCTCAAAACATGTATATTTATACATTGTTAACAATTATATAAATCATACACATGTCCTAATCTCTCCCCCATATATTAATGATAATATATATAAAATGAAACACACAATAAATAAAAAGTGTAAAAGGATGAGACAAAGATGAAATAAACAGCATGTTAAATGTCTTGTTAATTGTGATGGCTTTATTATATTATTAGCTAATACCTTAAGGCACAATTATATACTTAGGGCAAGATCTTTCATCATTGAGAATTGACATAAATCCATATTTCATATAGTCTTCATTATTCTTGCAATATGTTTTTGCTGACTTCTTGTCAGGTGTAATTAGATTACCATGGTTTTTACTTCATAATGAGGCTGATAAAAATCTCATTTTAGGAGTAGAAGTGTGAGCTCTGCCATGTGCTTACATTACTAGTATTATCTCCAATACATGGTCTATTTGCAGGAATCTTCTTAAGCTGCTTGTCCATTTTGTGAGGGTTAAATGTAGTTAGATAATATCCATAAATCTACTTAACTAGGTCCAAGGAAACATCAATATCTCTGGTATACATTCAGGAAAAAAAGTAAGGGCCCCAAGGACACCCCTCCATCTTGTGGAGCCCCCACTCTTCCCTCAGGATACCTTACAGAGTATGCACAACAGGAAAGCCGAAGAAAGCCAACTCACCTGATGAGGATGCCAGTGAAAATACACATGTTACATATAATAGTAATAATAATAGTCTAATACATAGCATTTAGTGAACCACACAGCTTTAAACACTTTATATAAATTATTTAATCCTAAATCTTAATTTCTTTCTAGTGTCTCTCAAATTAAATGTGAATAGAAATTTTCATATTTTCTTCTATACCCAACAAATTGACCTGCATGCCCTCCCCCCTCCACCCCCCCAATTTGCAGACCACTTATTCAGGCTCTGAGATTAAGAATCTTTGGATAAGTGGGATGCCTCTATAAAGTACATTGCAGCAACTCCTCCCTGCTATCCTGCTGCTGCAGTTTTCATGTGTGCTGATAAATGACAAAAAATAGAAACTGGAGTCAAAGATAAGTGACATAGGAAGCAATCCCAGGCAACTGAAGGCAGAGGGGAGAAACTAGGTGAGGAGGAGGCCATGGTGGAGAAACCAGGAATGAGGGATGGAAAGCTAGAAATGGAGCAAGAGGGAAGGAAGTCTTGAGGGAGAAAAGGGGAAGTTAGAGACTAGGGAGGAAAGGAAGAACAAGAAGCAAAAAGGGGCACACATCTGGCAACTGAAGGAGGGGGTAGACTAGGAGGAGATAATATGTCGCTTGTTGACCTGCAAGATGCTCACTCATGTCTTAATATCTGATGTCTCTGTCATATGACTTAGCAGGGACAGCAAAAGGAAAACTGAGTGGTCCCCCAAAATTTGTGATTTGTGCACACAGATATGCAGAGTGAGCATGGCTCCTCTCATCAGAGAGGCACATGAGATTTATACAAGCAATGCAAGGACAGGGCAATGCTTCATTTAAAGAGCGAGTTTCTAAAGCTAGAACGGTAAGCAGAATGACTCCTAGGCAAGGCAGGGAAGATTTTGTTGGGTTTTGGTGAAGAGAAATTCCTGTGACTCTTCAAATCACACCATCCAGATGACCAAGGAAGGAGAGTCCTGCACATTCCTGCAGAAGCACAATTTCAGCTGTCAGGAGCATCTAGAAGCAGCAGCAGTAAAGAAGCCACAGCAAATGAGTTATATCTGAGGCAGCTGCCAAGACACCATTCAGAGGATAGGACATTGTCAAACATCACCTTCCGTATCTCACTTCAATACTAGAAAGCACGATAATGCACTCTAGGGGCAAGGAACCATCAGGGTACAGTAATGTGGTGTCTGACTTAGATTGTCAGAGCTTGCAGGTCCTTTGAGATCACACATCCCAAATCTCTCATCCCACCTATGGGAAAACTGAGACCTTGAGAGGGGAAAGCACCAAACCAAAGTCATCCAGTTGGCAAAGCTCACGCATGACACTTAGGTCTCTGGATAGTTAAAGCAGTGTTCTTGTCTCCACAGCTGTGTATTTATCTATCTCCTTCTCCAGCTCCTTGGCTCTTCTCTAGCAGAAGCCTCCCTCACTAGTACATATAATATATTCCATAAATCCTGTAATGTCACAATACAATCAAATAAATGATTAAGATAACCACGAACATCTGCAGGGCTATGATTGCATCTTGATTCTGTGCAGAGACACATGTTTTAACACTATCATTAATTATCCTGAACCGAAAGAACCATATGTAAATATACAAAGACCCCTGATTTTCTACCCCGTCCTTTACTACCACCTAGTGGCTACTTCTCTGCTCAGACGTTACTTCCCCCCTCCCACAAGGAAGAGGAACAAGACCATCAACTTTGCAAAAGGTTAAGAGGTTTTTAATGAAAGGTTTGGTGGAGAGGAGGGTGGAAACAACGTCACAAAGAAAGTTAGGGATTACCTTTGACACAATTATTCATTAATGTTCTCATCTTGGAGAAAGAATGAATTGTTGGAAGTAAAAGATAAGCATTTTGCCAAGTCCCTTGCATTATTAGGTATAGAGTAAGAAGCAATCAAGCAAAAGAAGAGGCCAGGTCAAAAACTCAGAGGAGTTAAGGAAAGCAGAATCCCAGAGAAAACCATCGAAATCAGATGTGTGGTCCTTGCAGCTAACAGGAGCTAAAGAAGATGTGAAAATGACTGCCCCAGCTCTTTGCCTTCTTTCAGCAGCAGGGATTACTCCCTCAACAGGAGACTTCCCATCAACTTCACAGCATCCTAACAGCTAATCCTGGATGTGGAGAGTAGGGCTAGAACCACACCTATGCAAAATTGCTTGGTCAGTTGGTCAGTCTTTCATGAGACAGTGTGTAGTGCCTACGGACTCTGCAGAGTCTAAGAACACTGTCTCTGCCCTTTAATTGTTCTTAAGATAGTGGAGAGCAGACAAGTGAAGAGAAATGATGGTAAGAGTAGACAACCCCAGCCTGGCAGATCATGGAAATCTTCCCAAAGAGGTGAAATCTGTGCTCAGTTTTAAAGGATGGAAAAATAGAAGCAAGTCAACAGAGAAAGGGCAGAGCTAGTGGAAGACTAGTATATGTAGAAGGGGTGGCAAGTATAAAACCTGCAACACATTAAACAACACAGTAGCTCTGAGGACTATAAATAGTTCAGTGAACTCATATGTTTTTTGAAAATATTTGTCTTGTTTTGTTTTCTGAAGTGAGGAGGGTTCCTAATAATGAGAGATAATATTGGAGAGGTAGTCCAGGGCCAGGTAATAAAGGACTTTATAGGTTTTCTAGAGTTCGGATTTTATTGTGAAGTCCATGGGGGAGCCATTGAAGGACTTTAAGCAAGAGTTTCATGATACATATTTGTGTTTTGGAAAGATTATGGCAGGACAGTGGCAAATTGATGGGGGAGAGTGAGATTAGAGGCTGAGAGATCAGTCTTGAGGTTATTGAGGTAATTCTGGCAAGAAATTATATGAGCCTAGATTGGAGAAATGGGTATGGAGAGAAGTGTATGTATTCAAGTTCAATTTCAGAAGACAAATGGACAGGACTTAATGATGGATTGGAGGTAGTAGGGAAAGGAAAGAGAAGACAAGCATGACTCCCAGTTTTCTGGCTTGAGCAGCTCAGTGCTTGTTGATGCCATTTGTTGTGATGGGGAAGACATAGATAGAATTTAGGAAGGAGTACATCTGGTGGGGGTTGGTAATGGAGTTCTGTATAGACATGTTTATGGTGCCAGTGAAATCTAAGCAGAGATATCCAGCAAGAAATTGACAATGCCAATCAGAAACTAAGAAGAAAGATCTGAACTAGAGCTAGAGATTTAATATTTATCATTTTATGGATGGTGGCTGAAATCCCTGCAGTATATAAAACCACCCTGGGAGAGGCCTACACTGAGAAGAAAAGTGGGATGAGGACAGAATGCTGGGGGATCCCAATCACAGTAGGAAAAGAACTAGGAAAGGATAGCATAACATTCAAGGGAACAGAAAGTTTCAGGAGAGAAGAAGGTGTCTTATATAGCAGGGCCATCAAGGAAGATAAGGAATGAAAAATATCCATTGGATTTGGCAACAAGTAAGTTAGTAGTGATTAGTGTCAGCAATAGGGCCAGCCCACAAATGTCTGAGGAGTGAGAGGGCAAATATTTGTCATGAAATAAGGCACAAAACTTAAGTGCAGGCAGCTGGAGAAAGGCCTGGCCACCCAAGGAGGTGATATAAAATATGAGCTTTCATGTTGGAGCAGTAGAGGACAAAGACATTGGTGTGTGTTGTAGTGGGTAGTCAGGAGAGGGACATGAGGGGATACACAGGGAGGAGGAAAGATGTACATTGCAATTTCCTAATTAAGGAGAAAATGGAAAGGCTTCTTGGTAGCCATGGCACCAGTCAGCTGACACAGGGAATGCCAGATGTTTGCAGGAGGAGAATAAATTGAAGGGCTAGTTGTTAATGCATCTAGGTTCTGGAATTCATGGGAAACACATTTTGCGGCAGTGGAACAGCAGGATGTAGGCAGGATATAAGGAATTAAGAAACTTGGGCTCAGTTTCTCATGAAACTCAGGCTAACTTCATAAACTCTCAAGCTAGGCATAAAGTCCCAAGTCATAAAATGGGGGACAAACAGCCTTTACCTAGAGGGCAATCCAAGCATTCCCCATGGTTTTGGATTATCTGTGATAATGCTTCTTTAGATGGCATGGATAATTAGGGGGTCACCATGTTTTAGATAAACACCAGAACAATGTTACAACAGGGAAAACTCTAAAAGAGTATTAAGGAATACTAGGCTCAGAAGAAAACAAACTGCCCCCTCCTCCCAACCCCAACTTCAGACAAACACACACTGATGGAGTATAATGCAGAGATAGCTTTCAGATCTAGTAGGGAAAAAAAGAGAAGTGTTGGAAATGTCAACCTAAAATGTTTTGTTTGATCAAGTGGCAGGGGAAAAAAAATACCAGGGAAGAGAACAACCCGAAAGAATAGTTCTTCCAGATAATAACACCTAACTCCTAAGAAAGAAAAGTGAAAGTCATATATTAAGTTCAAATCTGAACATAGTGTTTATTTAACACTATGAGGCAGGTCATTTTTAAAGATTGCCATTCTCTTAAAGTTGGCTAAATAAGGTTTAGCTACTAGCAGGCTGGTGACCTTGCGCAAGTCACTTACCAGTTTCTTTATTTGTTGCATACATACAGGATTACAGCCCCTGAAAGAAGATGTTTTGGAAACTGCAAAGCAGTGCACCAACATTAGGTAGGGACTTTTACCAGGCAGGGCATACCTTTGAGAAATCTGTTTGAGATAGCTTCATCCAAAAAGGGTTGGATTGCAGTTTTGCAGGAGTGCTAGGTGTTGTGTAAATGTCCTAGTCAGTTCAAGAGGACTTTGGCAAAGGAAAAGTACACACTGCCCAGCAAGCTATGCGCTTGATGTTTCCCCAAGGCAGGGGGCAGGCCTGCCAAGGGCTGCAGCACATCTCAGGGTGACCCAATGTTCCGTTGCCCTCCCAGCTCAAGAGGAACAGCTTGAAATATAAATGGTGCCCTCTGCTCAGCTAAGGAGAACAGTCCCAAATCTTTCTGACATCTGCACACAAGGGGTACTGAGAGGCTGTCCTGCAGGGTCAATAGTGCTGGGGCCAATTTAAACAATTCTGCTTGGCCCTGGGAAGGTAGGAGGAAAGGGAGGATGACTAAACAGGACCTGGTGGTGCTTCAAGCATCCACGTTCAGTTTTCTGCATGAGCATCGGTCTTATCTATTTGGGAAATAGGACATTCCTGCTCTTGACTCATGAAATATGGCTTGGTCTGGTTCAGTAACTTTGACAAACATTCTTTGAAACTTTAGACTTTGCAAATACATTTTTAGGAACATATTTGACAGTGTGGAGTCTGTGTCTTTTAAATATTGAGGTAAAAATCTGTGCAGGGATATTCTAATTTCCTCCATCCTCCATCCCCTCAGCCACTCAGATGTTTTCAAAAGAGAAGCCAGACTAAGGCTCCAGATGTTTGAAACCTAAATGAGGGCTCCTCATGAAATAAATCTACTGCCCTCCATTTCCAGAGATCAAAATCTTAGCCAGGGGCTTAACAATGAGATCACTGTAGGCATGTTTGCCTGGTGTAGGACTGACCTCCGATCAGATATATAAGATTTTCTACTTTTAAAGGCTCCCCAACCCAACAAACAGCCCAGAGCTTCTCAGTTTCCTGGTTGTTGTGTCTAACTGCTTCTCACCCTGCCACAATCCATCAGGAAATGTCCTTTGTGTCAAACCTCAAATCTCACTTGCATCGATTTGGGTCATTTTTATTTGCTGTATCTTTGCAGAGGTAAAGTAAGTCAATAAGAATCATCAGTTAGGAAAGTGGCTAAAGAATATGTCCAGGAAATTCACAGAAGAAATATGAATTTCCAGGTAATATGTGAAAAGACATTTAAACTCAGGGAATTAGAATGATTTTCACTCATCATATTAGCAAAAATATCAAGTGTTGGCAAGGGTGTAGAAAGATGGGCATTTTTGTGCAATGCTGATGGGAATATAAATTGGAGAATACTTTGTAGCCTAATTTGTCAATGGCTTTGAAGGTTAAAAATGTCTATTACCCTTCTACCAGGTAATTATGATCCTTAGTATCTATGCTAGAGATGTATCTATGCTTGAGCTAGTATCTATGCTTGAACACAAGGAGGCCTACTCTAAGATTTTCACTGTAGCTCTGCCATTTTACAAATAGCAAAAATTTAGAAACAACCTAAGTAGCTGTCAAAAGGGTGGCTGAATTAAACTATGGGGTAGAGAAAAAGATCTTAAGGACACGTTAAGTTTACAAAAGGGGCCCAGAATATATACTTAGAATTCTATTTTGGAAAAGAAAATCAGATAATGAGACTATTTTTAGACATACGTGTACATATCTCTGATTATGTATGGAAAAAGATAAGAAAGACAATAATGGCACTGAAAGAGCACCAAGAGAGATTTTTGCTTTGTCTATACTGCTTGCATGTTATTCAAGAATGTGTTCATATATTTATTGTGAAATTTTTTTTCTAGAATGTTTCAGAGGTGAGGGCATGGGTCTTGGTGGCTACAGTGAACATGTCTTCCGTGAGAGGCAGCAGTAGATAAGCTGGTGACGTAAATAGATGAGAAATCAAAGGACCCAGATAAAGGCCTGGAATCTGTCATCACTTTGCTATGTGATCCCAGGAAGTAATTTTTCTTCTGCGTCTGTTTCCTCTGTACAATCAACAAATAAGATGTGAAGCTTACTAAGATACCTTCCCTTTCTCATATTTTACGATTCTCTAAGTCCATGTCTTTAATGTAGAATAGATCTAGTCCCCTTTGATGAGAAGATGGATTTTTATTCTCTTCCTTCAAATTCTGGCATAGTTTGACATTTTACTTTACCCCAAATGTAAGATAATGAAAGAGAAGGTGGAACGGTCACTGTGTTCCCTGTTTGGCTATGGGTTTGAAAGTTTGGTTGACCTATTTATAGTACTACTTTATTTTGACAGTATAAGCCCTTAGTCTTCTTTGAGTGTGATGAGAGTGTATTCACAATGCTAGAAATGGGAAGTTCTGAACTCTGTAGGATGGCCATTAATCCTGGAAACACACACACACACACACACACACACACACACACACACACACACACACAGATGGATCATCCCTAGTCCAAAAATCCAAAATCCAAAATGCTCCAATGAGCATCTCCTCTGAGTGTCACATCAGTACTCAGGAAATGTTGGGTTTTGAAACATTTCAGATTTCAGATTTTTGAATTAGGGATGCTCAACTTGTGTATGTGTCTAATTTTTTTTTCAGATTGAACCCCTTTCAACACTTTTCCTGGGTTATAATAAAAATGCATTTATTTCAGTGAAAATCATAGATACAAATATCTAGGGGCTATGCATATTCAGGGATTGATAGAAATGTTGTGTCAATGACTGAGTTCATTGCAATTTGCACAACAATTTGAACTGTGCATTGCTAATGAGGGACAATACACGGACTGTGTCACAACACTTTAAAACGTATCCTATGTTGTAATTTAATACCTATAAACCATTCTTTATGTATCGTCACCTATATTTCTGGACTTTATGGCTACCTTGTTCTCTTGAGTCTATCACTAACAAGCAGGGTGATTTTGGACAAGTCACATCCACAGTCTGTAGATAACAATTGGAACACCTGTTCCCCAGACTGGGAGGGAAGAATCAAGTGAGCTATGAAAATGTACACTTATCTACAAACATTGTCACAATCTGGCTCTCTACAACCTAATTGGCTTTTGGAAAAACTCCAGATGAAACTCTGAGGAAACCTTGGCATTAAGTGAATGAAGGAAACCTCTTCTTGGTACCTCAGAGAGTTTGACCAATCTAACTCTGACTATCATTAGTTAGCAAAGCTCCTTCCAGCTGGTCCTCATCACTTTGCTTGTTCCATGAGGTCATAAGAGTAAATTCTAAGCAGTTTATTTCTAAAGAAAACAGATAACAGCTCCCATGCCACTATTTGTCTTTCAACAATGAAATAAGCAACTTACTCTCGCTCCTTTCTCAGGAAAACACTGACAGCTCCCACTGCAGTCCTGGCCCCCACATGGCTTTCCATAAGACTTCTCTCCCTATTAAAAAAAGGAAAAAGTTAATAAACCATGTGAACCAAGAAGCAATGTTGTCCCAGCAGACCTAACTCTTAGCTTCTTTACCAAGTAAATCTATTGCGGCTTAATGATCTTATCTGATGTTGTCAGTAGTCAAATGAAATAAAAACTAAACTTAAGCTAGCATCCTTTTAGTTCAGGTCTATACCTTATCAAATAAATAGCCGGTTTGGGAACTTTGCTTTAGACACCTCCTCACTGGTAGAAATTCCAGGCACAATATACAACAGAATATCTTTACTTGGGGGCTGGAAATAGACTCTAGACATATTCCTGTGAAAACAGGTGTCCAGTGACTTATGGATTTGCACTCATTGGTAAAGAAGTAGCTGTAGCAGATAACTTGAGTGAAATTCAAGTGCTAGATATGTAGTGACAAATGAAAATGGCTACCTTGTACTCTGCTCTCGGAATTGTTCTCCTCAAACTCCATTTCAGCACACAATTCACACCTTACAGTGGCACTCCCATGCCCAGTTAGTCAGATCCAAATTCCTCAGTTGGTATTTTACAGTACCCCCCAAGCTCTCTAACTTCATTTTTGCCTCTCCTCTGATTGATCGTGATGATTGCTAGCTGAATTTCTGCAAGGCCCCCACATGACCTGCCATGTGCTGATCCTCACCAACCTCATCTCCTTTCTCTCTGGCTCACTCTGCTTCAGTCACACAGGAGGGCGTTCATTCTGTTCATTAAAAACATCAAGCCTGTTCCTGCCTCAGGGCCTCTGCCCTCGCTGTTACTTTTTTCTGCAATGTTCTTCTCCTAGATATTTTTTAAAAATCCTGGCCTCTTTTCATCACTCAGGTCTCAGTTCAATTGTCCATTCTCAGAGAGGCCATTGCTGAGTCTCCTGTTACTTCCAATCATATCATTTCATTACCTTTTCATCGTTAGACATTCTCTTTACTCCTACTAGAATGTAAGCTTCATGTAAGTAGGGACTTCATTGTTTTGTCCAACACTGCATCTCCAATGTCTGAAACCATGGATGACACTCAAGGAATTTTTGGTGACTATATTAATGGAGTTAGGATTTGAACTCGGGTCTGACTAACTCCAAAGTCTTGACCTTAACCCTTAAGCCTTAGTGTTTTCTAAGTCCTTTGTCTACCAGAACCTCAATACAAGGACTCAACAATGAGAAAAACTGCCATTCTGACCATATCCACCTTGGGAAAAAAGGAAAACATAAATTCTAACTGTTATCTGTAACAAGAACTTTATCTCTGGGATGGATTTAGTACCATCCAACTTTTTTGTTTAATGTTGGATGTTTTTTCCAAAGAGAAAGGCATATTTATGAGCTGACCTCACACTTAATCATTCTTGCCTCTGTGTACTGTGTGCCTTTTCCTAATTCCTAGAGAGCACTGTGAATTTCTCAGATGGTCTCTTATCTCTTTAGACATTCCCACAACACTTTATCATCACAACACCTTGGTAATAAGGTAAAGATGGCAAAGCTATGACAAAATATTACTATTTTAGATTCCAAACACCTTCCTTATACGTTATATTTTATCTCTCTTATAAGCCCTTGACATGGTAAGTGTTATTGCACACTTTCCAGTTTACCTTCCATTTTATGGAATATAGGACAGGCAAGTTTTAATAAGGGTGAGATCAAGAGGTACTCTGGCAGGAGGAAGCTAGGGGCTGGAATACAAGAGAGAACTGAGAGAGCAGCATTGAATTTTATCTTCACCTATGCTTACACCCTTGTCTAATGTTGAGTACTATATTTCTTGGTATTATGGATAATTTGTATTTCCTTCTCCATACATTTCTGTGTTTTCTAAGCAGTCTTCAACAAGCACATATAATTATTAAGAATACAAAATAATACATAATATTAAGTGATAAAAGTCATCCCCTTCAAGGAAGAGAACTTGACAGGTGTTGCCAAAGTTGAAATGGCATCTATTTGGAGCTATGGCCTACTTCCAAACAATGTCTGTTTGAGTGTTCCATAAAATTGGTCTATAGTAGATGAAAAATTTCCAGACCCCTCAAGCATGGAGCAAAGAGGCTGGAAGCAAGGGAACTGGATAAGACAGGGAAAAAAAAAACAATAGCAGGAGCTGAACAAAACCATAAGAATCAGAAGCTAAGGTTTCTTAGGAACTCGCCAGAACAAGGAGGCAAAGACACTCAGCTAACAGGAAATCATCACTGTCCTTTGTCACTGAGGAAAGTAACCAGAGAAGCCCTGTTGGCCACAAGGCAATTTCCTGTAATGCCAGCCCTGGCAGTTTCCCCAGGAGTCTTCAATTACAGTGAGGTGGGAGGAGTGAAGGCAGGCTTCCAGGGAACATGACCAGACTAGACCTGAGAAGCCTCTGCCTTATCCTGGCTTGTCTGGGGACACTCCACCCCCTGCTTGACCAGGCCATGTGGCTGGTGTCATTTCCACCTTGGAATGCTCTCCCTTTTCTCTCAAGATCAAGCCCATCTTATACCCAAGAAAATTAAAACTGGAAAGGCTTTGGGAGATCATCTAATACAGTGGTTCTTAACTCTATCCGAGCAGTACTTTATTATTTTTATTATAATTATTACTCTCCCTTGCTATCCTAAAAATAAATTCATAGGAATAAGTTATAATAAAAATGTAAGCAAAAAAATTTTTTTAAATCTTATTATTATTATACTTTAAGTTTTAGGGTACATGTGCACAACGTGCAGGTTTGTTACATATGTATACATGTGCCATGTTGGTGTGCTGCACCCATTAACTCGTCATTTAGCATTAGGTATATCTCCTAATTAAGCAAAAATTTTAAAAGCACATATTATGCCCTAACTGTATTGCAAAGAAAAAAAAAGAAGAAAAGTAATTTATATTAAAAAGATATGTATTTCAATATATAAAAGCTCATACATGGCTATATTAGAAGATGTCATGAAGTGGTAGTCAGAGGCCAACAGCTCTATAGAGAATTATTATGAATGTAACAGGCTGCTGACACAGAATGACACTGGGATGTAGTATTGATGATTCAAGTATCATGAATGCAGTTGCTATTAGTAAGTGCAGTGATTCTCTCAAATGATAAACAACTCATGGTGATGATCGTGGGTGGGGGGCAGGAAGTACAATCTTCCCTTTATTTACTGGGCAGTTTTATTTGTAACAAGAAAACCATGAAAAACTTCATTTCAATATGTAAAATGTGGTTATGTTCTAGACTTAAATAATTATAAACAGTTTTCATCTCCATGAATATCCAGAGGTCTTCTCTATCCTTCAGGATGCATAGTATTCAGAACACCTGTCATTCCTGGCAGCCACCTAGTAAGTGTCCCTGACTCCCTGATCATTTTGACAATCACAAATGGCCTCACAAGTTCCAAAATACCTCCTGGGGTGTACTTTTGTTAAGAAGTATTGGTCTAATCCAAATCACCCATTTTACAGATGATAACACTGAAGAAGATTATTTTGGCTTGGGTCACACTGTTAACAAGTGGATTCTAACACTTCTGAACATAATGCAATATTCTTCCTACTGTTCCGTACCTCTCAAGGCCAAATTCAAGTTCTATATTTTCCATGACCACTTCAGCTTCGGTGAACCACAATACTCCCTAAGTCCCATTCACTGGGTAAGTGTCTCATGTTGTTATGGGAGAGTCTTTGCAATGTTCCTAAGGTTGCATAGCTGAGAGTCTTGTTTCCTCATCCAGACCATAACGTTTATAAGGGAAAAGTCAATTTATTTTACTCCTTTGTATAAAACCACAGTGTTAAGGGGCAAAACTATGTTCTAGCCAATATCTGAGGCAGTATCCCTTAATTAGGAATATAAGTTCTGGAGTCAGTCTGTACAGGTTTAAATCCCAGCTCTAATATTTCCGAGTTGGATGAACTTAGGCAACTGACTTTATCTCTCTGAAACCCAATTTTCCTATCTGTAAAATGAGGATGGCAACAGTATCTACTGTACAGAGTTTGATTGGAGGACTCAATAAGATTAAGCATGCAAAACATAGTACCTGGCTTATAGTATGCACTAAGTGTCAGCTATTATTATTATATTAACATTAGCTATACTAGACTACTCAGCATTTTTTGCAACATTCTGGTCTCTCTCTGGAGCTCCTTATCAAGTGCTGTGCACTGGTATGATCATGCCAGTTTGTCTATAGCTGATGTTCACTTTGCTTGGTCAGGATGTCCATTTGGATTTGTTGATGTCTGTATATGTAATTATCTGAATCAAGAACATAATCACATTTTATACATTGAAATGAATTTTTCATGGTTTTATTGTTACTGAATAAAAATGCCTAGTAAATAAAGGGAAGATTGTACTTTTTTCCCCCAGATCACCACTACAAGTTATTTCTCATTTCAGAGAATCACTGCACTCACTTAACTTTTTTTTGAGATGGAGTATCACTCTGTCACCCAGGCTGGAGTGCAGTGGTGCGACCTGGGCTCACTGCAGCCTCCGCCTCCCAGGTTCAAGCCATTCTCTGCCTCAGCTTCCTGAGTAGCTGGGATTACAGGCACCTGCCACCACACCCAGCTAATTTTTGTATTTTTAGTAGAGATGGGGTTTTGCCATGTTGGCCATGCTGATCTCGAACTCCTGGCCTGAAGTGATCCTCCCACATCGGCCTCCAAAATTATTTTTAAATGCTAAAAATATTTAGCAATTAGGGTTAAAGGTTAGGGTTTGCTAAACCATAACCCTAAATATTGCTAAATATTTTAAATATAATCTCTACTCCACACATCTATCCTTTTGCTGATGCTGGTTCCTATGTCTAAAATGTTTTCCTACTCCCTTTACCACAAACAAAACTTCTATTCATTCTTTTAAACCCAGCTCAACCATCTTTTTGGTGAAGACACCCTTATACACTGCCTCCCTCTCAGCAATTTCAGGAGCAGTTCTTACTCTCTTCCCTTTGCTGATGGAGTTTTGCAGTATTTTACTCAATTTGATTCTGCCATCAGACTGGGATCAGGACCATGTCTTATGCTTCTCTGCAGCCCTGTCACAGCAGATATTCAGTGAAGGGCTGTGAAATAATTGCTCTCAGAACAATTGAGTTACAAGTGTTAGAGATCAGCATCACTTGGGATTCTTCGTTTCTCCTGGGTCTCCTGAAATAAAGAGTTACATCACAGTGCCTCTACCACCAACCAATAGGCTTTTCTAGGCATCACCAGTGCTTTCTTGCATGGGGGTTGGCAAGGATGACAATGATGCAAAAGGTAACCCAGGAAGCAAGATAGGAAGTAACAGAGGCTTAGCTGAAGTGATTGGATTGCAAAGGCCAGTTATCTTTGTGAGCAATTTTCTCCAGAAGCTTAGGTCACAGAAGACTGGCTGTGTATAATTTTATTCTCACCATTCATTCAACAAATATTTATTAAGTGCCTACTATGTACTAGGCACTGTGTTAGAGATGGGTGATAGTGGCAGTATCATACAGCCATAAGTGAAACCAAGTCCTTGTTTTCATGGTGTTTAAAATTTAGAGGGAAGACAAACAGTAAATGAATATTACATACATATTTGTCAGTTGATCTGTATTATGGAGGAAACTAAATTGGGTAAGAGGGTAGGAAGTGTTGGGGTTAGGTTGTTATTTTATATAAGGAAGTCAGAGAAGGCCTTGCTTATAAGGGGACTTCTGAGCAGAAAACAGTGTTTTTCAAAGCACAGTCCTTGGCCCAGAATCATCAGTCCTGGGAAATTGTTAGAGTTGTAAATTCTTGTCTCCTCCACGATCCACTGAATCATAAACTTTAGGGTGGGGCTCAGAAATCTATGTTTTAACAAGCCCTTCAGGTGATTCTGATGCACATAATGTTTCAGAAACACTGCTATAGAAGATGAAGGAATGAGTTATGTGAATATCTGAGGAAAGAGTATTCTAGGCAAAGGGAACAGCAAGTGCAAAGGCAGTAAATGAGAGAATATGCTTGATGTTTTGGCTACAGCAAGGAGGCCAGAAGCCTGGAGTTCAGTGAATAGGGGGATGGGATACATGGTAAAGCCAGAGTTGGAGCAAGAGCCAGATCATAGAAGATTTCATAGACCAATGTAAGAGCTTTGCCCCTGGAAATCCACTGAAGGGCTTGGAACATATGAGTGACACCAGTTGATTTACTTTTTAAGGAGGATTACTCAAGCTGCCATGTGAACTGTAGTGGGGCAAGCACAGAAGCAGAAAGGCCACCTAGGAGGCTGTTGCGGTAGTTCAGCAGGATGATGGATGTTTATAACAGAGAGGCAGTTATAGAGTCTGACAGAAGTAAAATGATTCTAGGTATGTTTTAAAGGTAGAGCTGCTAGGATTTGCTGATGGATTGGATGTGGGATGTGACTGAAAGGGAGAAGTCAAGAATGACTCCAAAGTTTCTGTACTAGGCAACTACAAGGATGCAATTGCCATTTATTCAGATGGAGAAAACTGTTGGAGAAGCTTGCTTGGGAAGCGTCAGGAATTCTGGTTTTGAGATGTGTATAAGATATTCAAATGGAGGAGTTGAGGAGCTGGCTATGGAAGTCTGGAATTCAAGGAAGATGCCTTAGTCAGTATAGACTTGACTACGTTGTGGTAACAAACTTAAGATCGCAATGGTTTAGCACACAAAGTTTGATTTCTCACTTTTGTCATAATCCTGAATGGTAGTGCCTAGGTTTTCTTCTAGGGTTTTTATGGTTTTAGGTCTAATGTTTCAGTCTTTAATCCATCTTGAATTAATTTTCGTATAAGGTGTAAGGAAGGGATCCAGTTTCAGCTTTCTACATACGGCTAGCCAGTTTTCCCAGCACCATTTATTAAATAGGGAATCCTTTCCCCATTGCTTGTTTTTCTCAGGTTTGTCAAAGATCAGATAGTTGTAGATATGTGGCGTTATTTCTGAGGGCTCCGTTCTGTTCCATTGATCTATATCTCTGTTTTGGTACCAGTACCATGCTGTTTTGGTGACTGTAGCCTTGTAGTATAGTTTGAAGTCAGGTAGCGTGATGCCTCCAGCTTTGTTCTTTTGGCTTAGGATTGACTTGGTGATGCGGGCTCTTTTTTGGTTCCATATGAACTTTAAAGTAGTTTTTTCCAATTCTGTGAAGAAAGTCATTGGTAGCTTGATGGAGATGGCATTGAATCTATAAATTACCTTGTTATCCACCATGATCAAGAGGGCTTCATCCCTGGGATGCAAGGCTGATTCAATATATGCAAATCAATAAATGTAATCCAGCATATAAACAGAACCAAAGACAAAAACCACATGTTTATCTCAATAGATGCAGAAAAGGCCTTTGACAAAATTCAACAACCCTTCATGCTAAAAACTCTCAATAAATTAGGTATTGATGGGACGTATCTCAAAATAATAAGAGCTATCTATGACAAACCCACAGCCAGTATCATAATGAATGGGCAAAAACTGGAAGCATTCCCTTTGAAAACTGGCACAAGACAGGGATGCCCTCTCTCACCACTCCTATTCAACATAGTGTTGGAAGTTCTGGCCAGGGCGATTAGGCAGGAGAAGGAAATAAATGGTATTCAATTAGGAAAAGAGGAAGTCAAATTGTCCCTGTTTGCAGACGACATGATTGTATATCTAGAAAACCCCATTGTCTCAGCCCAAAATCTCCTTAAGCTGATAAGCAACTTCAGCAAAGTCTCAGGATACAAAATCAATGTACAAAAATCACAAGCATTCTTATACACCAATAACAGACAAACAGAGAGACAAATCATGAGTGAACTCCCATTCACAATTGCTTCAAAGAGAATAAAATACCCAGGAATCCAACTTACAAGGGACGTGAAGGACCTCTTCAAGGAGAACTACAAACCACTGCTCAATGAAATAAAAGAGGATACAAACAAATGGAAGAATATTCCATGCTCATGGGTAGGAAGAATCAATATCGTGAAAACGGCCATACTGCCCAAGGCAATTTATAGAGTCATAATCCAATAAGACACAAGCAGCTCCTCTTAGTGGCCTTCTCCAAAGGTGACTTGGATTTCCAAGCTGCTTTTGTCTAGCAACTCCACTATCTCAGATCCTAGTAACTGCTCTTAATTCCCCATTACTGGAAGTGATACATCTCTTGTGTTCATATTCTCTTTAGAAAGAACCAGACATACTGGAAAACCTAACAACATGGAGAGTAGGAGAGAACATGGTTTATCTGGAGATCACCATCTCTGCTATCATTGTTATATAAAGCCAAGGGGTTAGGTGTGGTGGCTTGTGTCTGTAATTTGTAATCCCAGCACTTGGGAAGCCAAGGCAGGGGGATCGCTTGAGCCGAGGAGTTCGAGACCAGCCTGGGCAACATGGTGATACCCCATCTCTACAAAAAAATTAGACAGGTGTGATGGCATGTGCCTGTAGTCCCAGCTACTCAGGAGGCTGAGGCAGGAGGATCACTGGAGCCCAGGAGTTTGAGGCTGATCGTGCCACTGCACCCAGCCTGAGTGACAGAGTGAGACCCTCTCTAAAAAAACAAAAAGCCTCCAAAGTAGATGAGATTACCAAGGGAGTGGAGGTAGATAAAGGGAAGAGAATACACCCTAGAATTAAGCACTGAAGCATGTCAGTGTTAAGAGAGCATGAGGAGGTACTTGAGAAGGAATCTGAGAGGGAGTAGCCAGTGAGATGAGTAAAGAATCAACAACCAGAGGGGTCCTGGAAAGCAAGGAGGAAAAAAAGTGATAAACTTAAATTGTTGACAGGTCAAGTAAGACAAGATATGAAAACATACCAATGGATTTAGCAATGTGGTGATCTGTACCAGATAAATTTCAGTGGCTTAGTGTGGCTAAAAGCCAGATTGCAAGGGGTTCAATACAGAGTGGGAAGTGAGGAACTGGAGTAGTCCAGGATAGCCAATTATCTAAAGGGGTATTGGGAATGGAAGAAATGGCACTGTAGCCAGAGAGGGACATGGGGTAAGAAGTATGTTTAATTTTTTTGTTAAGATTGGAGATATTGAAATATATTAGTAGTTTGAGGGAATATGTGTTGACACAGGAGAGAGATGGAAGAATTGTTGGGGATGACTTTAAGTGTACAAGAGAGGATGGTATCTAATACAGAAGTTGATGGAATGCCCTTAGGTAAGAGAATTGAAAGTTCATCCACAGTGACAGGTGGGAAGGCAGAATACATAGATACAGATGCAGGTAGGGTAGTTGATGTGGTAATGGAAGCATGCAGACATTCTCTTCAACATACTTATTTTTTCCTCTCAGTGAAACAAGAATCAAGGTTATCAACTGAGAATAAGAACATGAAGGAGTTACTGGAGGTTTGTGGAGAAATAAGGTGTGACATGATCAGTTAGGAGAGCAAGGAGAAGGCATGAACTAGGGAAATGTGGCAGGACTGCAAGGCAGCTCTAAGGGCCCACTTGAATTTGGTGGTCATGGACTTAAACGAACATCAGTTATCAATATTGTGAGGTTTTTGGTAGACTTGTCCAGCCACGTGGATACATATGAAGATTAGAGGAAGAGTTGGATTTAATCAAGGTTGGGGTCTGCTAGGTGAGGATGATAAAGGAAAAGAGGGGCAAGGGAGTCAAGGGTATATGGAAAGAAGTGATTATGATTATGGACCATAGGATCTAGGTTTCCTGTGGAAGGAACTGAGCACAGGCGGTGGGCAAGGGGCAGTAGAAAGGTAGTAGGATCAATGGATGATTGACTCTGGCGGGGTTAAAGAAATGCATCGGTTTTAGGATTGTGACTATGTCTCAGAAGAAAGAAGGTGTGGTCCTGTAAAGACGTTAGCTCTGTTAATACTCTGCACAGTGCAAAACAAGACAGTCCTTGGAATATAATAAATTTGTCTTGAATTAGCACAGTAAATGGTTGTTGAAATGGCTGCTCATTCCTGGTTTCATACAGCATAATGAAACTATCCCCTTTTAATAACTTCAGGTTTCTTCAAAATGTCTTTCACATAAAATCTCATTTGATTTTCCACCACAAATCTGAAATAGATATTTTAGATGTATGTGTCTGTGTAGAGACATAGACACGTATGCAACATTACAATGATTTATTTATATCTTCACCTACCCTCCTAGACATTAGGTTCCTTTGAGATGAAGATCTTGGGTTCACTATAAGACAAATCAATGGAAATCCTTTAAGCCTCAATTTCCTGCACTATAAAATAGGGATATTTTACTTTATAGGGTTTAGTGAGGTTAAATAAGATGATGCTCTTTGTCAAGTGCTTGGTATATTGAGAATACGCTCAATCTATGTCAGCTGGTATTATTTACAATTACAGTCTCTAGTACTGTGCATGTGGATGCCTAATAGGTTCTCATTCAATGACTAATTCCCATTTTAAAGATGAGGAAATGAAAACTCAGCTGTTAAGTGACTTTTTCAACATAGAAAGTTAAGTATCAGAGTGGGGATAAGAAACCAGATACCTTCAACTGTGTGACTCTTGTTTTTTTGTTTTGTTTCATTTTGTTTTTTGTTTTTGTTGTTGTTTTTTATTGGAACTGCTGCCACTAGTTCCAGGAATTGGCCTGAAACTTAAAAAGTCAGGAAAAAAAAGATGAGGGTTGACAGGTGCCTATTTGGGGGTACTTTTTATCAATATTACTCTACTTACTTCACAATATTATTTGTACTGTGTGTACATTTTCTAAATAACCTTCATATATAATTCTTATAACTACTTTTGAAACGAATTATTTTTCATATGACCATTTTCCAGATTAAAAAAACATCCTGAGTTTCAGACAGTTGGTATCATTTGCTAGTTAAGTGACAAAGTGAAGAGAGCCAAACATCTAAAAGAGAAAAATAATACAAGATGCTGAGGTATATATATATATAATCTTCATTCCCTGCCAGTGGCCTCAGGGTCCAGAAATTCTGAGGCCTCTTTGGCTAGATCAGACCTATCCTGGGGCCACATTCACAATAATGGCTACCGTGAGCATCTGTTATGTGCCTAATTAAGTAGTTCACTTCTGTTATCTCACTGAACTGTTCCACCTCCACCATGAGGTAGGCACTATTACCATTATCATTTTACAGATAAAAAAGCTGATGCTTCAAGGGGTTAGTTTGCCTTCCCAAGGTCAGTCAGCTAGGGAGCAGCATAAATTCAGACCCAGGTTTGGCTCAAAATCTTAGAGCTCTTCCCTTAAACTAGGCCCCGTTTAACATCACCCTACGTTTATGAACTTCTTGCTAATAATACAAAGAATCTGGCTTTACTTTGAGCAATTCTAAAACAAAACCTAAAACCTTTGCATTGAAATGTGAACATACACACACACGGGCACACACACACATACACACACACAAACACACACACACATTCAAACACACATTAAACCAAGCTGGGTTCTGTCCCATGTTTAATGTGCATTTGCCTTTTAAGAACAGCTCCCTATGAGTTTATGAATGAAAGACTCTGAGAAGAGAAGGAAGTGATCTGTGGGAGCTGGCTTCCTACCATGTGGGACTTGTCACCTATACTTTATTTTAAGGAAGAAGCTGACACCAGACATTTCTGAATATTTCAGGAAGCCATTTCCCTCCAACATCTGCTCAACTGTGTTCACACCATAGATAAAAACAACTGATGGCATCAGGGGTAAAAGAGGAACAGGCATGCCAGGTTTCACTTGAAAAGCTCTAGCCAGCCAGTATGAACCAGGGCCTGAGGGGATATAGTACTACCCAGTTAGACCTTAAAGTAAATCCAACAAGTAAATGCTTAACACACAAACAGGCAAACTAAATGTTGCCCGTAATGTTCTTAAAACAGAAGCCTCTTTTTCCTCTGTTAGTAAGAATTTACTGAGTAGCTATGAAAGAACAACACTTCCCAAGGCTAGTCATAGGGAGCATGTGAGGAATACTCAGATTTAGCAAATAAAAATACAGGATGCACATTAAGCTTGAATTTCAGAAAAACCACAAGTAACTTTTTAGTATGAGTATGTCCCAAATTAGTATATGTTCCATGCAATATTTGGGGATATACTTATACTTAAGATATATTTGTTATTTATCTGCAATTCAAATTTAACTGAGTGTCATCTGTTTTGTCTGAAAACCCTACAAGTAGCATCATGGCACACTTGTGTGACAAATTCAGTTATGATGTGTGTCAAAAATAATTGTTAGTAATAATAGTCAAAATACAAATTCTTCCCCTTAATTTTTCAGAAAATTAAGAGGGGATTCATGTTTCTTTCTGTAATTGAGTCACTCCTACTCATTTGCTTTCTTATATGCTTTCCAAAGTAGGAGGGGAAAGTAGAGTTATAACTAGCATTGCAATGATTACATTTATTCATTTACTCAGCAAGTATTTATTGAGTGCCTGCTGTATGCTTGCTAGACAATCTTTAATGCACACCTGCTATGTATAAAGGCACTGTGTTGGGCACTATGGAAAAAAGACAAATATTTAGAAAACATGTTCCTTGCACTCAGGAAACTAAAAGCTTGATACAGGAGATAACTGCAGTCAAAAGGAGAAAGTGAGAAGTATCATTGGAGAAGATAAAAAGATATGCTTCTAAAACTTGGATGTGATTGTTCTGTCTTCACTCAAAAGCCTTTGATAGCTCCCCATTACCCACAAAGTTCAAAATTTAAGCATGATATTTAAGGGCACTCAAAATTAGGCTCAACCTACCATTGCAAGTCCACCTGTCACCCCCTCTAGTCATAGAAGTCTATTTATTATTATTCCATTTTCCTGGAATACCTTTCATGTTTCATCCATTTCTCTCGAAATTCTAGTCACATCCGTTCTTTTTCCTTTTTGTAAAAACTTTACTGAGATAGAACTCATATATCACACAATTCACACATCCTTTCTTAAATTTCACTTTCTGTCTTTTCCAACAATAGCACTGCTAATGTTTCACTGTTGTATTCGTTGCTCACTCTAACAGCCTTCCTTTTTGACTACTTTAGAGAAACTGTGGCAATAGTTTTCCAATAAAAATACTCAAAATTATTTCAGGTGATTGAGCTGGGCCTCAATTTCCTCAGTTGCGCAATGCGTGGAGAAACTGTATGTCCTTCTACATCGTGTGAGCTTACTCTTGCTACTAGACCTTAAGTATACAGTGAGTGTCATGGCCTTTAGTGGCTTGGCACAGAGCCTGTCTGCTAATTTATAACATGATAGCTTTAGGAAAATCATTACAAGTTGAAAACAAAATCCTTTAACGTTTCTAGTTGGGAGATTAAGAATTTTGTTTTTAAGCCTACAGAAATAGGAAGGGTTGGGATTCCAGGACAGAGACTGTGTCCCGTTAGAAATATCCTGGCAGATTGTCTCCTCTGTTATTAAGTCCAAATGGTTAAGGGCAGTGCCATTTCTGTCTTTTGGACTAGTGGGACACAGTCTAAAAATGCCCAGTTGAAACAGATGGTGAGTTCATGTGTGTAGTTCTCCAGTAGTAGCAGCTATTAGGAGACAGAATAGGAGACAAATACAGGTCATTTCCACATTTAACACACAAACAGGCAAACTAAATGTTGCCCATAATGTTCTTAAAATAGAAGCCTCTTTTTCTTCTGTTAGTAAGAATTTACTGAGTAGCTATGAAAGAACAACACTTCCCAAGGCTAGTCATAGGGAGCATGTGAGGAATACTCAGATTTAGCAAATAAAAATACAGGATGCACATTAAGCTTGAATTTCAGAAAAACCACAAGTAACTTTTTAGTATGAGTATGTCCCAAATTAGTATATGTTCCATGCAATATTTGGGGATATACTTATACTTAAGATCTATTTGTTATTTATCTGTGATTCAAACAACAAATTCTGTTATTTGTTAATTATCTACAAGGCTTACATGTGTTGATAAGGCAAAAGATGTTTTAACTTGCTCACAGATGGGGAAAGATTACATGTGGAGAAGACTAACCAGGAAAATTGAGTGCCTCATAGAAAATCCATCCCTCATGACTAGGGGGAAAAATCAGAAGGAAAAAAAATCCTACAAAGTACAAAACCCAGCAAATACACCAGGACCTCTGTCTTCATTTGCAAAGAACAACATATTACTTTTACCTATTTTTTGGCTGCAATATTAAGCTGTAAATCCTTTCAGAAGTTAATTTTCATTTTGCTTGCAGCATGAACAAGACAGACCAACTTGTCACGTATGCCTACATTTCTAAAATTAGGAGAAACAGCCCTAATCCCTTCTCATAGGCAGAAAATAGAAACAAGTCAAGTAGTCTACTTGGTTGGTGGGAATGGACTTTAAAAAGCATCATGCTAGAAAAAAAGCACTGCATGTCATAAGCAAAGTTCAAACTCCAGTTTAAACTTTTTGGGCTTAATCAAAGCCATAGGCGAAGGAGCGGTCCAGTATTTTTGTCTCTAATTCCATATTTCATGACTTCAAAACTCATCTACTTTTCTTTTTGTTTCTAACCACAGTGAGATGCAAAACTAATTTTTAAAAGCCCTTCTGTGGCAAGACTTTATCTTTGGTGATTCCCGTGCAAGACATAAACTACCAAATCTCACTGAAGAAGAAGTAGAAAATCCCAGTAGTCCCTTATCTATTAAAGAAATTGAATTTGCAGTTAAAAACCTTCCAATAAAGGAAACTCCTGGGCTAGATGGCCTCACTGGTGATTTCTACCAAACATTTAAGGAATAAATATATTGATCCTACACAAATTCTCCCAGAAAATCGAAGATGAGGCATCAATTTCTAACTCACTCTGTGAGTCCAGCATTACATTACAGACCAATATTTTTCAGGGATATAGATACAAAACTTCTTAACAAAAATTCACAAAATCGAACCTAACAATATATAGAAATGATGGTACATTATGACCAAGTTCAGTTTATTCCAGGAATGGTAGTTCGGTTTAACATCTAAAAATTAGTCAGTGTAACTCACCATATTAGCAGACCAAAAAGAAAAAAAAAAAAAACTATGATTATCTCAATAGATGCAGAAAAAGAATTTGAGAAAATCCAGCCTCTACTGTGATAAAAACTCAAAGCAAACTAGAAATAGAAGGGAACTTCTTTAACCTGCTAAAAGGCATCTATGGAAAATACTACAGATATCATCGTGTCTGTTGGTGGAAGCCTGAATGCTTTCCCTGCTAAGATTGGGGGCAAGGCAAAGATGTCCACATTTACACTTCTATTCAACATTGTGCTACAGGTTCTAGCCAGTGCAAAAAAGGCATCCATATTCAAAAGGAAGATGCAAAACAAGTCTTTATTCACAGATAACATGATCTATATAAAATATAGCATGAAATCTACAAAAAAACTACTAGAACTAATAAGTGAGTTTAGTAATGCTGGATGATACAAGGTCGATATACAAAAATTAGTTGCATTTCTGTAAACTAGCAACAAACAATTGGAAACTGAAATAAAAATGTCATATGATAACATCAAATATATAAAACAGGAATAAATCTGACAAAAGATGTGCAGTCGCTTTGCATGGCAAAGTTAATTGCTGAGAAAATTAAAGAAGGCTTAAATAAATGGAAAGATATCTTTATGATATCAATTTTCCCCCAATTGATGATCATAAACTCAGTGCAATTTGAACATGTATATGAAAATCCAAAGGACCTAGCATAGCCCAAACAACTTAGAAAAAGAAAAAGCTGTAAGACGTACAGGACCTACTTCAAGACTTATTGTGAAGCTACAGCAATCAAGAGAGTGTAAAGACAGACAAAAGTATGAATGAAACAGAATAGAGTCCAGAAATAGAGCCACATATATATAGTCAACTGATTTTTGACAAAGCTGCAGTGGTAGTCCAGTAGAGAAAGAATTGTCTTAAACAAATGGTGCTGAAACAATTGGACATTCAATATGCAAAATAAACAAATGATGAACTTTGATCTATACTTCACACTATGTACAAAAATTAACTCAAAATATATTGTAAATGTAAATATAAGCCTGAGACTTTAAAATTTCCAGTAGAAAAATTAGGAGAAAATCTTTGTCCTCTTAGATTAAGCAGAGATTTAGATACAACACCAGAAACTTGAAGCATGAAAGAAAAAAATGAAGAAATTGGACATCATCTAAATTAAAACTTCCTTTTTGAATGATATTCTTATGAGAATGGAAAGATAAGCTCTAGACTGAGAGAAAATATTCGCATATCACATATCTCAGGGGTCTCCAACTCCCAGGACAAAGACCCGTACCTGTCTGTGGCCTGTTAGGAACTGGGCCGCACAGCAGGAGGTGAGCAGCGGGCATGTGAGCACCTGAGTTCTGCCTCCTGTCAGATGAGTGGTGGCATTAGATTCTCATAGGATCACAAATCCTATTGAAAATTGCACATGCAAAAAATCTAGGTTGCACGCTCCTTTTGAGAATCTAACTAATGCCTGATGATCTGAGGTGGAATAGTTTCATCCTGTAAGCATCCCTCGCCCCACACCTCCCACCCCGGCCCCTTCTATGGAAAAATTGTCTTCCACAAAACCAGTCCCTGGTGCCCAAAAGGTTGGGGACTGCTGACATATCTCATATGTCAGCAGTCCCCAACCGGTCCTGGGGGTTGGGGACCTTTGTCATACAGGGCTATTGGTACAGGCAGCATCATGAATGAGTATCAAAATAATTATGCTGAGTAAAAAGCATAATTATTTTTTAATTATGTAGAAAAGCACATGTATTTTATGTTTCCATTTCCATGGAATTCTAGCAAATTAAAATTTATCTATAGTGACAGAAAACAGATTTGTTATTGTCCAAGGATGGGGGGTGGCAGAGAAGAGTGAGAGAAGGTATTACAAAGGAATATGAGGGAACTTTTGCAGATAATGGACATGTTCATTATCTTCATTGTGGTGATGCTTTCATGCTTGTACATACTTGCCTAAACTTATTAAATTGTACAATTTAAATATGTTCAGTTTACTATAAGTCAGTTATATCTCAGTAACACTGTTAAAAAAAAACACAGCAAAGGGACTCAGAAGTCATTCTGAATAGGTTCCCACTGCCCAAATAAGTGATGGCCTGAACACCAATAACGATAACTGCATTCAATGAAATTTGTAAAATATTTGGAACTTCATGAATCCATAATGGTAACCTACACACAAAAAAACCTTTCACAGGTCACTTTTGGAGGATGCCAGGGAAATAATTATTTTTTAAATTTGTTAAAAAAAGGATAGTGGAATCAAGCATTCATTCTGCCTTTCCTAAATGAACTATAACTCAGGATAACCATAAAAATTAATGAAGGGATGTTTCTCCTAAATAAAGTATTCAAGTACAGTATGCATAAGAAAAGACAGAATTACAGAATCAACATTTGCAACTCCCAGTGAAGTAATAGATTGAGGTAATAGATATCAACAGCTGCTAGTATTTCAGAAAGAAGATCAAGCAGACATTGCAGACATTTTGTACATCAATAATGATGGAAGAATAAAACACTACGTGATTAAATAGTTTTGCAGAAAGAGGGGAAGGGGAAGAGGCGGTGGAAGGGGGAGAGGGAAAGGGGGAGAGAAGGAGGGAGGCAGAGAGGAAGAGGGAGAGAAAGAGAGAGAGAGAAATGGAATATGATTAAGTCTCTAGATCTAACTGCCAAAGCTTTACAATACCAGCACCAACCAATACCAATGCCAACACCAACCAACAAATCAAAACTGTGGGAAACTTACAAGACAAAATGATCCAGTTTTTTCCACAAATATTTCAGGGAGAAAAAAGAGAGATTGAGGAGAAGCTACAGATTAAAGCCATTATGAACAACAGTATGGAGATGCCTCAAAAAATTAGAAATAGAACTACTTCATGATCTGGCAATTCCAAAGGAATATGAAATATCCAAAGGAAATGAAATGATGTTGAAGAGATATCTGTGATCCCAGATTTATTGCAGCACTATTCACAATAGCCAAGATATGAAGTCAACCTAAGTGTCCATCATTGGATGGATGGATAAATAAAATGTGGTACATATGTACATGGAGAAATGCTACTCAGCCATAAAAAGAACAAAATCTTCTCATTTGCAACAACATGGATAAGCCTAGATGACATTATGTTAAGTGAGAAAAGTCAAACACAGAATAAATACCACATGATCTCATGTGTGAAATCTAAAAGAAGTTGATCTCACAGAAGTAGAGAGTAAAATAATGGTTTCTAGGGGCTAAGAAGAGTGGGAAGGGGGCTGGGAATGATGGAGAGAAGTTGGTCAATGGATACAAAGTTATAGTTAGAGAGGAGGAATAAGTTCTGGTGTTCTACTGCACAGTAGGGTGACTGCAGTCAAAAGTAATATTTTGTATAGTTCAAAATAGCTAGAATAGAGGAATTTGAATGTCTTACCACAAAGAAATGATAAGTGTTTGAGGTGATGGATATGTTAATTACCAGGATTTGATCATTACACAATTTATATATGTATGGAAACATCCCACTGTACCCTCTAAGTATGTACAATTATGAGTCAATTTAAAAACAAAATAAAACTTAAAAAATACAATGACTTAAGAGATTTATCATCCAATCACAATGTAGGGACTTTATTTGGATACTCAAATGTAAGGAAGCAAATCCATTTATGAAACAATGGGGAAATATGAACATTGTCTGGATATTCGATTATATTATATTATTGTCAATTTTGTTGGTGTGATAATGGGATTTTGGATGTTTTCATAACTTACTTTTAAGAGATACTTAATGAAATACAGATGAAATGAGATTATTTCTGGTATTTGTTTCACAATGATTGAGGGTGAGAAGTGAGGATTGTTGGAAATGAGACTGTCTATGAATTGGTAAATTTGAAGCTGAGCAATTGGTACATGGGAGGAGTTTCATTGTACTATTCTATTTTTTTATGTTTTAAGTTTAAGTTTTATTTTATGTTTGGGATTTAAGTTTCTGAGTTGGTAAATGGACGGATTAAGGTGAATGACTGAACCTTTGTGGGAAGGGAAGGAAAAAGAGGAGTCGAAGGTGACTCTTTCAGCTTGAGCAACAGGGAGGATGGTAATGCCATTTGCTGAGATGGGGAAGCATGGAATAGGACCAATTTGTGTGTATGTGTGTGCATGTGCGTGTGTAGAAAATGAGTTCGGTTTTGGACATGCTGAGTTTGAAATATCTGTGAATAGCCAGGAAAATATGTCTAAACAGTTATATATATATATGGGCTTGGAGCTTGGAAGACAGATTTGGGATAGAACGTAGAATTATGCAAGGATGAGTTTGTGCAGAGAGTGAAAGAGTTCCGGGAAAAAGCCCTGACGAACATCTACCTTAAAGATCTGTGCAGAGAAAGTAGGGCTCAAACTTATATGGATACACAGCAGAATGGGACAAAGACTCTGCTACTGGGGAGCTCCACCTTTAACCAGGGATACACATTCAATTAAATTCTATAGGCCTGGTCCTGGCCCAGATACTAGGCATAAGACACCGCTTTGAAAATATTCATGTGCTGTCATGCACGGCTCTCCAAGTACTCTATGAGCTTTAATTAGTCTTAACTCTCAAAAGACTCTAAATGACTTCAGTGCAGGGAGTCAGAGAAGAGCTTGCATCCTTGGGAATAAGTGGAATTCACTACATTTTAAGGACATGATCCTTCCCTGAAATACCCAGGGCTGGCCTTTTAAATGGTTGATGAATGCAAACTAAGTACTGATAGAGCCTGAAAACTGAGTAGGCAATCCTGGAAACCAGGAGGTAGAAGACAGGGGACAGGTAACTGCCACCAGCCCATATATTCAACTAATTTGGCCCAAATAAAGTTGTCAGAGATACAGGTGGTCTCAGCAGGAGCATCTGTGTGCCCGTTTTCACTCCACAGCTATACCAAGTAATTTTTCCAACCCTAGCTTGGGTTCCAGAGATTAAGCCAAGTTTAGGGGGAAACGCTGGCAAATCTGAGGTTTCTTATATCATCACAACTATGTCATTACACACTGTGCACAAAGCTAAGATTCAATAAATGTTTATTGAATTAATTTATTGAGTAGATGTAACAAACAGGATAGTCTAAAGTAAAGAGGGGAGTCTATTTTTACCTCTATTTTTGCAAGGTTTCTCCTTCTAAATTAAATAAATTTCCCACTTGCAGATAAATGTCTGAGTGTCCTTAGTTATCATCATGTGTAAAGGACATCATGAAATGCCCCGGATGCTTTTCTTGTGGCTTTATTTTCCCGCCTTGACCTACCTTTGTCAATGTGTTTTGTCACATTTTGCCATATTGTGCAAATTTCTTTGCACAGAGGTCTCTTCTAAATATTCCCAGAGCCTAGCACTGTGCCTGGTACATTAGTAGGTGGTTGTTATTAGTTCGGGATCTCCAGGAAAATATAGCCAAAATGATATTTGTGTGTGTGTATGTACACTCCTGTCACTCAACAACTAGGAAACATTCTGAGAAATACATCCTTAGGCGATTTCGTCACTGTGCAAACATCATAGCATACTTACACAAACTTAGATGGTATAGCCTACTACATGCTAGGCTATATTTTATAGCCTATTGCTCTTAGGATAAAACATGTGCAGTGTTACAGTACTGAATACTTCAGGCAATTGAAACACGATGTTAAGTAATTATGTGTTTAAATATATCTGAACATTAAAAAGGTACAGAAAGATACAGCATTAAAATACTATGTAACCACTGTTGTATATGCCATCCGTCCTTGACCAAGACATTGTTTGTGGCACGTGATTATATTTGTATTAAGGAATTAGCCCACTCAGTTGTGGAAACTAGCAAGTCTGGAATCTGCAGGGCAGGCTGGCAGGGTAGAGACCCAGGGAAGAGATGACGTTGCTGTCTAAAGTCCAAAGGCAGTTTGGAGACAGAATTGCTACTTTGTCAGGGGATCTCAGTCTTTTTCTCTTGAGGCCTTCAGCTGATTGGATGTGGTCCACCCACATTATGGAGGGTAATCTGCTTTACACAAAGTCTACTGATTTATTGATTTTTATAGATTTAGGGGGTACAAGTGCAGTTGTGTTACATGAATATGTTGAGTAGCAGTGAAGTCTGGGTTTTTAGTGTTACCCATCACCCAAACAGTGTACATTGTACCCAACAGGTAGTATTTCATCCCTCACCCCACTTCTACACTCCAACTTTTTGGAGTATCCAATGTCTATTATTCCTTTCTGTATGTCCATGTCTAACTCATTTTTTATCTCCCACTTATGAGTGAGAATATGTGGTTTTTGACTTTCTATTTCTTAGTCATTTCACTCAGGAAAATGGCCCCCAGTTCCATCCATGTTGCTGCAAAAAACATGATTCCATTCTTTTTTGTGGCTGTCATTCCATGGGATATATATCACATTCTTTTTATTGAAACATCCATTGATGGACATTTAGGTTGATTCCATGACTTTGCTATTGTGAATAGTGCAGTGATAAATACATGAGTGCAGGTGTCTCTTTGAAACAATGATTTCTTTTCCTTTTGGTAGATACCCAGTAGTGAGATTGCTGGACACACAGTAGTGGTAGTTCTATTTTTACTTCTTTGCGAAACTTCCTATACTGCTTTCCATACCAGTTGTACTAATTTACATTCCCACCAACAGAATATAAGCATTCTCTTTTCTCTGCATCCTCACCAACATCTGTTGTTTCTTGCCTTTTAAATAATAGCCAGACTGCTGTAAGAAGGTATGTCATTGTGGTTTTAATTTGCATTTCTCTGGTGATTAGTGATGTTGGGCATGTTTTCATGTTTGTTGGCCACCTGCATTTCTTCTTTTGAAAAAATCATTTGTTCATGTCCTTTGCCCATTTTTAATAGAGTTATTTGTTAGTTTTTTTTTTTAGTTTAGTTCCTTGTAGATTCTAGACATTAGATGCATAGTTTGCAAATATTTTCTCCCATTCCATAGGTTATCTTTTTACTCTGTCAATTATTTCTTTTGCTGTGCAGAAGCTTTTTAGTTGCATTAAGTCACATGTGTCTATTTTTGTTTTTGTTATGTTTGCTTCTGAGGATTAGTAATAAATTTTTCTCCTAGGCCAATGTTCAGAAGTATTTTTCCTAGTTTTTTTTTCTAGAATTTTTATAGTTTGAGATCTTGCATTTAATCTATCTTGAGTTAATTTTAGGATATGGTGATAGATATGGGTTCAGTTTCATTCTTCTGCATATGGCTGTCCAATTTTTCCAGCCTTATTTATTGATAGAGGGCACTTTCCTCAATGAATATTCTTGTCAATTTTGTCAAAGATCAGTTGGTTGTAGGTATGTGGCTTTCCTTCTGGGTTCTCTATTCTATTCCACTAATCTATGTGTCTATTTTTATACTAGAACTATGCTACATCATGATCAAGTGGGTTTTATTCCAGGTATGCAAAGATGGTTCAATATGCAAATCAATAAATGTGATTAACCACATAAACAGAATTAAAAACAAAAATCATATAATCATTTCAATAGATGCAGAAAAAACATTCGATAAAATCCAGCATCCCTTCATGAGAAAAACCCTCAACAAACTAGATGGAGAAGGAACATACCTCAAAATAATAAAAGCCATACCTGACAAACCCACAGCCAACATCATATTGAACAGGAAAAAGTTAAAAGAATTCCCTTTAAGAATGAGAACAAGACAAGTTTGCCCACTTTCACCACTCCTATTCAACATAGTACTGGAAGTCCTAGCTAGAGCATTTAAGCAATAGAAGGAAAAAAAGGCATCCAAATTGGAAAAGAGAAAGTCAAATTATCTGTGTTCATTGATGATATGATCTTATATCTAAAAACCTAAAAGACTCTTAGATTTGATAAATGACTTCAATAAATTTGCAAAATATAAAATCAATGTGAAAAAATTAGTAGTGTTTCTGTACACTGATAACAATAAAGCTGAGAACCAAGTCAAGAACCCAATCCCATTAACAGTATCTACAAAACAATACCTAGGAATACATTTAACCAAGGAGTTAAAAGATACCTACAAGGAGAACTACAAAACACTGGTGAAAGAAATTGTAGATGACACAAACAAATGGAGAAACAACCCATGCTCATGGATTGAAAGAATCAATTTTGTTAAAATGACCATACTGCCCAAAGCAATCTACAAATTCAATGCAATTTCTATTAAATTATCAATGTCATTTTTCACAGAATTAGAAAAAAACAATTCTAAAATTCATATGGAACCATAAAAGGGCCTGAATAGCCAAAGGAATCCTAAGCAAAAGGTATAAAGTTGGAGTTACCACATTGCCTGACTTCAAATTATACTGCGAAGTCTCCTGATTTAAATGTTCATCACATCTTAAATATATCTTTACAATAACACCTAGACTAGTATTTTACCAAACTTCTGGTCATCATAGCCTAGCCAAGTCGACACATAAAATTACCCATCACAGTGGTTATAAACTAGAACTGAAATAACCTGTGGACTGCCTGCATTTGCCTATTTACTTCTGAACATCAAGTAGTGAATACAGTGGGCACACAGACATCAGGGAACACCAGGTCATTAGTTCATTTCTAACTACACAAAACAGTTTTTCAATAAGGTCGGTGAAACATGAGATGAAAATAAGTTATGGATGAAATTTATTTTCAGATTTTCTCCCAACATTTAATCATTTTTAACTGATGAACTATTACATTATTCATCCATTAGAGGCAATAAAGTAACATGAGATGGCATTCCTGGAACTGGATTCCAGTCCTGCTTTATTATTATAATAAATGGCTGAGTGACCTTGGACAACTCACTTTACCTTTCTTGGTTTCTGCCTCACCAATAGCAAAAGAAAATCTCAGAAATTCTTTAAAGTAAGTGTGTGGTATAGTAAATTCGAGTCTTCAGAAGGATCCGGGTCCAAATCTTGCTTCTGACACTTATTAGTTCTGAGCAAGTTTCTTCTGAGCCCCAGTTTCTGCAGTTCCAAAATGGGAATAAGGATATTTACCTCATAACAGAGTTGTTATAATGATCAAATAAGACAAGCTGAGTGCAGAGTATCACAGATATTAACTCCTTTCACTGTCATTTTCCCTTTCAGCTCAAATACTATATGGTACTGTTCTGTGCAGATGGAAAGTTAATTCCTCTTAGAAAAATGTAACTACCAACAGAGACTAAGCGTAATCAGGATACTCAAAGGATGCATTTGAGATTACAGAGTCTTGAACAGCTTTTGTTATGGTGTAATTTCATTTCATTTGGAAAAACTCTTTATGACCATTTGATATTCTTTCAGGCCTAGCTAAAGTCTTTGGCTCTTTAACTCCTGTGGGCCACTTTGGTGGCCTGTGGTGTGTGGGAAAGCAAGGAAGGTCAAAGTCATGGGTATCTTTGTAGCACCAGACTGAAGATTGTGTGCTTGCTGTGTTCCTAGCACTAATGCTTGCCTTATCCCATCTATTATTCACAAAAAGTCACAAAGGTGGGTACTACTATTTATATTCTTGGTTTACAGATGAGGAAACTGAGGCTCAGATGGATGAGGTAACCTTCCCAATATTACACAGCTAATAAACACTGAATTTTCATTCATTCCCATGTCTATTTTGATTCAAACATATTCTCTTAACTACTAAATTGCATTGCCTCTTCCTGGAAAGTGTCGGTTTTATAAAAGACACACAGGCTTTTGAGATTTTAAAGAAATGTTTTCACTAGAATAATTTGTGTGTACAGTACATGGAAGTGTGTATGTATATATGTATGTGTATAAATATATACAGAAACACACACATATATATACACATACATACATGCACAATTCTAATAATTTAAAATTTGGGGGTTAAGAAATGAGGGTAGATCATTTTCTGGAAATTCCGACTACTTCCAGAGCTCTACAAGGTGGGGGTGATGAGGTAAGTAGCAAAATAAATAAGAGGGTCATGCCTCTACTTGTCTGTGATGCTGACTATACAGAACATTTTGAATAAGACTACTACAGGATATTCCTAGTAGCTGACAGGTATCTAATGCTTAATATGTGTCAGGCACTGTGTTGAGACTTTATATGCATCATGCCATGTGATCCCCAAAACAACCCTATTCAGCAGATGGGAAAACTGAGGCTGACAGGTTATATCACTTGCTCAACGTCGGCCAACTAGCAAGTAACAAAGCCAGGATTCAACTCAAAGTTGAAAGCCCTTGTTTTTAAGTAATATGACAGATTTACATTAAAAGTTCCTCAGTAAATTAAACATAGAATTGCCATATGACTCAGCAATTGCATTGCTAGGTGTATACCCAAAAGAATTGAAAACAAGTGTCCAAACAAAAACTTCTACGCCAATGTTGATAGCAGCTCTATTCACAATAGTCAAAAGGTGGGAGCCACCTAACTGTCTATCAACAGATAAATGAATAAACAAAATGTGGTATATCCATACAATGGAATTCAGCCATAAATACAATACAATTCAGCCATAAAAAGAAATGAAATTCTGATACATATTACAACACAGATGAATGTCGAAAAGGTTATGCTAAATTAAAGAAGCCATGTATTCTATTATTTCATTTATATGAAATATTCAGAAAGACTAAATCCATAGAGACAAAAGATTAGTGGTTGCCAGGGGCTGGGGAGAGAGGTTAATGAGGAGTAGTTGCTTAATGGGTACAGGGTTCCCATTTGGGGTGGTGAGAAAGTTCTGGAAGTAGATAGTGATGATGGTTGTACAATATTGTGAGTGTACTTAATGCCATGAATTGTACTGTTTAAATGGTTAAAATGGTAAAATTTATATTATGTATATTTTACCACAATAAAAATCAATCAATTGATCAATTGATTAATCAATCCATTGGTCCCTGATTTTTTTATGCCTAACTATGGGTTTTGCTCCTTTAAAGCATGTATGCATGTCTCCGCTCATGGTTAAAAATTAGATTGCACTGTTGCAATGAAACACATAAGCAGAGCTTTGTTTGGTCTGGCCCTAGAATTGGTTATACCTTTGTAACCATTTAACACTCTGGGCTCATTTCCCTTCTCTTTACCCTAACTCCTACTTTTCCTTCCTTGTTCCTCCTTGGACCTGGAGTCTCCTCTCCCTTTCCCACCAATTCAAATTTTGCCCATTCTTCATAGTCCAGCTCGTCCATGAAGACTTTCCTGATTATTTCTTCTCTGCCTCTAGTCAAGAAACCCAGAATGACTGAGGTAGGCCCACTTTATTTTAAAATTAGCATTAAAAGTTAACATTACACAACTGTTTCTAAAACAACACTGGTTCTCAGACCAGTGTCCTTTCTATTAACACCTCAGTGTCTCACCCAATATTTAGAGTTGTCACATGAATTGGCATATTATTTTACATGTGTATATATATTCTGAGGGGGTTCCTGTCAGGTAACCTCATTTCTCTGGTAAGACACTCACTCCTGGTAATTCCTATTCCTTACACTTATTTGAATCACCCACCATGTGTTGGTACATAATAGATGCCCAATAAATACTTAGGATGAGAGATCTACAAATGTCCACAATTGGCCTCAAAACTATTGCTGACATGTAAAACAGGACATTATAACCCATCACTCCATCAGAAAGGAAACATCTGTTTATTCTACTGTATTTTCAGTTTCTAACAAATTAAAATCAGATGAGTTCTTGCTCGTGAAGCGAGGAGCAGACAGACACCTTCCAAGAAGCAGCAAGTGCATATGCTTTGAATCAAAACAGACATGAGAGTAAATTCCAATTCAGTATTTATTAGCTGTGTAATCTTGGGCAAGTTTTCTCACCCTTCTGAACCTCAGTTTCCTCAACTGTAAACATGGGGATATGAATAATAGTAAGTAACCTTGTTGGTTTGTTGTGAATATTCAATGAGATAATGCAAGCATTAATGCTAGGTTAATAAGCACTTAATACATGTTAGTATTTATGATTATCCATTACTTTCCCAAATCTTCCTAAGGAAACAGTTTATTCATAGTCCTAGGACTTAGGGAACATTTAGCCTAGTTGTATATAGTATGGTAGGTTCAATGATTTGGTCCTAAATGGTGGTGTCAGGACACAAAGATATAGATAATGAGGCTTAATAATCAATTCCAGGAAAATGTAGGCTGATGTCACGATACTGTAATTATGACCTAAGAAGTCCAATTAGCTGGACCAACCAGATTTTTTTTTTAATAATGGCAGTGTTCCTAACCCTGAGAACAAAAGTGAGACTTGAAAGAAGTGTTAGTTTGCATCCTGGCCAATGAACAAGGGATCTGCTGGTGGCTTTCCAGCTGATAATAGAGAAATCACTGGGGAGGAATGAGATGGCATTCCCAGTGTTTAACCATAAGAATAAGGCTTTTAATTCTCTAAGCCCTTTGGATGTCTTGGACACATGGTTATTCATCAATTTTCTTCAAACATCTGATTGCCCATGCATGCCAAGACAGCTGCCCACATTTCGGTAGACTGGCTTGTGCCTAGGCATAGGGATTTGAGGTTGAAAGAGTGAAGTTACATGAGATGGAAAAAAGTAGAGAGGTCAGAACAAGGAATAGTCTTGGGAATGAAGACTTGTAATCTTTGTAAAGAATTAGCAATGCCCACATATAGTTCTTTCAGACTGGTCTTGCTCAGGAATCCAAACCTCTGTTAGTATTGCTTGAAGGTATAGAAAAGCATCAGATTTCTGGGATTGCAAACCCACTGCTGGCAGACAGTTGGCTGCTTTCATAATGCACAATCGACACTTGAAGGATTAATTTCCTAAGGTCAGGTAGAATGGTTTGTTCGCCCCTTTGGGTGAGCTGTCTCTAGCCCTTCTGTAATATGCTGCTATTCTCAAAAGCCATGGTTAAAAATGAGATTGCACTGTTGCAAACAAACACATAAACAGAGCTTTGTTTGGTCTGGCCCTAGAATTGGTTATACCTTTGTAAACAAATGTAGGCACTAATCTGATTATCAAGTTTTGAAAATAACAGCTGAAAGCTTAAATTAGTTTAGACTATAGTATGTAAAATTGTGAAGGGAGTGGGCAGGAGAGATGAGATTTTTACCGTCAAGCTGAATTTTACAAGATATGAGAGAGACATAGGATAGCCTGCTTGACTCAGGCACTTTAAAATGGCTGTCTCTGATTTTTCACTCATACCCAACTTCCCCTGTGGCCACACACCTGCTCTCTCTCCCTGCCAAAAAAAATGTTGGGAATCAGATCTTTTAATCAGTACCTCTGACTCTGAAAGTTAGTGGGGTTGGTGGGGCAGGAAAGAGCTGAAGAAACTTTTGTGAAAACCAGGAGTGGGCTACAAAGCAGCTCAGAAAGCCAGGCAAGAGCCTGGGGCTAGAGCTCTCTGTAGTTTTTGACTAAATTAGACCAACAGCTTCTGAATCCCACATCACATTCCTGCTGGCTTTTAAGTTTATAGAAATAACTCTACAATTAACTGAAAACCAATATTAAGACCTGCACAACGTCCCCTCTCATTGTATTCGATTTTTGGCTGACCTTCGCCCTTTTCATCCTCCTTTCCTTTTTGATCTACTCTTCTATACCACATTTGCTCCCTCCATGTTCTCTTCCTCTTCCTAGAGTAATTAACCTCAGAAATTCAGTTCTTAGCAGCCCAGTTCAGGCCTCACCCTCACCCTCCCAAACTTTGATAGCTATATGTTGTGGGAGTCAAATCCTATTCTTCCACATGTTTACAGATAACCCTCTCTTAAACATAGCTTTCAAAGTAGTAGATAGGTCTTGTGGATGATGGCAATATACTTAGGAAATGAACATATTTTGATCACAGGATTGAGAGTTTACTCAGCCCTCAAAGCCCAGAGCACAGACTTCAGATACTTTACATTATTCACAGCATCTGTCCTGAACTGCTCTCTCTGACCTGCCTTGCACTCCACCTCTTAGCCTCCGTTTAATCTTTTTGGCTTCTGACCTCATAACTCGTTTTCCCCTCTCACAGTCTTGCTTTGGATCTGATTCTTGCTACGGCTTTTCTGTTCTTTAGTTATCTTATTTTCTCTGCAGTAATGATTTCCAACTCTTCCTCTTGCTATGCTGCAGTTGATTGCCCTGGATAAACACCTTAGTCGATCCTCCTCCAAGCCCATGCCCAGGACCCTTATACGCAATCACCCCCTCTAACCTCATATAGCTCTTCTTCCTGGAACTCAGTTAACATTTACCATATATAGCTCTGTAATGCAGTATTTTCACATTCATTCATTCACTCCATAGCTATTTAGTGCTTTTTATGTTCATAGTGTACTGGGAAAATACAAATAAAATTATTCTCCAGGGCAGCATTGGAGAGTTCATTAGAATGTCTGTGATGATGGAAATGCTCTATATCTGTGTGCTTCAATTCAGTAGCCACTAGCCATCTATGGCTATTGGACACCTGAAATATGGCTAGTTCTACTGAGGAGCTGAAATTTAAATACTATTTTATTTTTAAATTTTAATTAATTAAAGTTTTAATTTAAATGGTCACATGTGGTTAATGGCTACCATGTTGGATAGTACAGACCCAGTGTATATATCTAGAAATTGACTTACTTAGTTGACAAGCATGTGCATTTTCAACTTTACTATATATTGGCAAATGTTTTCCAAAATGGTTGTCTCTGTTACCCCAAAAATGTAAACATAACTTAAATATTCAGGAAGAAATGAAAAGATCACCAAATTATGATTATAGGCATATAATGAAGTAATAAATAAAGGTTAAAATGAAATAAATAGAAATATAATATAGTTGATTATTAAGATGTAAGTAAAATGAATGAAAACAGCAAGCTGTAGAATGATGTTTCATATCATTTAAATAAGGTTTAAAAACATGTAAAACACTTTTATGTTTCTGAAAAATGCAGTAAAAATATAAAGACATACATAGGAATGACAAATATCTAAAATAGTTCATTAAAAAATAAAGTTATTTTTCTTCCAGGAACTTATAATCTACTAGTGGGGTGGGGGGGGGGAATGGACAGGAGGGCAGGTCAAATTTATATATTTACACAAATAACTATACTTTATAAAGGCCATGAAAGGAAAAAATGCTTTAGAAGCTTATGGAGGAAGCACTCTCATATTTGTGTTTGTGTATTTAGAAAAGATTTTAATAATTTAAGGATCAAGACTTGGCTTGGATGCAGTGTTTCAGACAGAATGGGCAATAGCTGCTGTATCCTAGGGTTTGTAAGGCTGAATGAGAGTCATGCAACAGGGGATGTATCTGAGCTTTCTGTCATTGAACCTACCTAAACATCCATTGGGCTGTGTCTTATTCATCCTAATATGCAACAATGCCTTACAAGTACACAATAACATGTGTACAAGTTGTTCTCGCCACTTGGAAACTACCATATTCTCCATTCCACATCTACAGCTTCTAATTTGTGATTCAGCTCTAATGTCACCTCTTCTGGAAAGCCTTTCCTAACTCCCTGTATGGTTTGGCTGTGTCCCCATCCAAATCTCATCTTGAATTGTAGCTCCTATAATTCCCACCTGTTGTGGGAAGGACCCAGTGGGAGATAATTGAATCACAGGGAGCAGTTTCCCCCATACTGTTCTGGTGGTAGTGAATAAGTCTCAGCAGACATGATGGTTTTATAAGGGGTTTTCCCTTTCTTTTGGCTCTCATTCTCTCTTGCCTGCCACCATGAAAGATGTGCCTTTTGCCTTCCATCATGATTGTGAGGGTTCCCCAGCCCCATGGAACTATGAGTCCATTAAACCTCTTTTTCTTTATAAATTACTCAGTCTTGGGTATGCCTTTATCAGCACCGTGAAAACAGACTAATACACTCCCCAAGGCAAAACTAATCACTTCTACCGCTGAAAAATTTTTCTTCCATCTGAAAAAATGGCAGTGACTCTTGGGTCAGAAATGCATTTCCCTCTTTCATTTGAGAATTGTACTAGATTATATAAAGATTCCCAGAGGACCGATAAATGCACCCACTAAACTCTGAGAATTTGATGAATAAAATTAAAACACATTAGATAAGACTAAAGGTGCAAAGTCACCTTAAAAGATACAGCAGAGGTTCCAGGCTGAAAGCCAGTCCAGACAGTAACCCAAACAATGTTATTATCATATCTAAGGAAAGAGAGAGTCCATTGAGAGGAAGAAGGTTAGTTGGAAATATTGAAAATGTGGATTTTCAGAAGGAAGTTCTTGGCAAAGCAGCACTCCCAAGGCTAGGAAGAACCTCTGGCTCAAGAAATCTATTTTCCATTAACTGAGGTTAGCAAATCCCCATCCTGAAGACGGATGGATCAGACCATTAGAGTTGGCTGCCACAAAATATTAAGATTATGCAACCAACTCCCCTTGCAATGGTGCTACACACATAAAGCAACCTTTCTGTTATCTTTTGGCTTCCCACATGGATTTTCCTACAGGCAGAAGACTTGTTCATGTGACCATCAGATGCTTAGCAATTATCTTTTCTTATGCTAATTCAATAAATTGTATTCTAGTCTAGGTGTCCACCTCTTGTGACCTTGGCTAGTGTAGGCTAATAAATGATATATCCCTACTACCCCTGGGCTGACAAAATTAAATTCCCAAGTGGGCAAAGCTTAGGGCCAGACCCAGAAATATGGGGAACTAAGTAAGGTGACACCCAAAGGGCCAGGTAACCTTCCTCTGAGAACACTCCTAAGCTAACACCCCTTTTGAACCAAAAATACACTCTGTACAATGAATGAGAAAAGCAATGGCACATTCTACGAATAATTATGGGTAGACATCTTGCTGCACAAGGTATGTCTTGCATCCCTATTTAGAAACAAGGCTTTCAATTGCAGGCATCTTTTGCTAAATTCTTTGGGCCTGCAATAGAGCCGATCACAGTGCTTGTCTAGGTAGCTACCCAGTGGATATTTATTGAATGAAACTTTGACCCTACATGCCCTCTAATGGTGGAATTAGACAGTTATATAGAGCTAGTTTAAGGGTAAGTAAAAAATTTTTCTTCATTTATTCAAACAGTATTTGAGAGTGCCTGGTATGTGTTAGACACTGCATTATCTACTGGGGATACAGTGGAAAACAAGTGGGACATGAGTCTTGGCCTCATGGAACTTACATGACTCATAGAGTTGTTCCAAGTGACAAGCATATAGAAAGGTACTAAGCAGTACTTTTTTTAATGTGTGTAGATATGAAGTTCAGTTTTTATCAATCTATAAATTTAGAATTTATAATAAATACTACAAAGGAAAGGAAAAGAGCGCTATGAAAAAGATTAATGGGAATATATATATATATATATATATATATATATAGTGTGTGTGTGTGTGTGTGTGTGTGTGTGTGTGTGTGTGTATGTACAAAGGCTGGGAGTTGACATGGTGCCCATAAGTGACTCAATTCAATTTAACAAACACCTGCTATGTGTAAGCCACTAAATGTGGCTTCTGTCTTCATGCCATCTAAATCAGGGGGACGGAACTGTGGCAAGATCCGAGATGTATAGACAATGATATAGGGCAGTAAAAAAATGATTGAGATTCTCAAGGTCTATTTTTGGTTGGATGGAATGTTTAATTACAGAAGAAAAGTTACTGCTTATAAAATAGTCCTTCTTTCAAGGAAAAGCATAACAAAATAAACATTACTAAACAAGAATAAATATCCCTAGTCATAGAGGCATGTAAGTTTGGAATTAGAGATGAACAGGATTTGTGGATTGGAAGAGATGTGAAGTTTGAGATTTGATTTTGCTGATGAATTAACTATTGGTTGAAATGGCAAACAAAGCAGTCATTATCCAGATAAAGGATAATAGTAAATAATAAATGTTCAGAGTAACTGAAGCAATAAAAAATATTGCAATAAAATTTTGGTTTTTCCCTTCCATTCCAAATTAGGTTGAAAATGAACATAATTTGCCAGCTATTTTTGGCTGCAAAGGCAAAAAGCCAAAAAAAAAAAAAAAAAAGGCAGTGAAGAAAGGAGGGGTGAGCGTTGGGGGGAGTTAAGTTGCATGCCAGTTAGCACTACTAGCCATTAACGAAAGGTGACCCAATCAAGCATCCTGGAAGTGCAACAATAGTGAAATTGATTAGACAATCTTAACTATTATCAAGTGGTAGGGATAAAATAAAATTGCATGTTTTTTTTTCCATGAATGTTCTGTTTGTAAAGATCCACTTTACTGGTTGTAGTTAGTAAGTATTGTTTCTATTTTGTCAATCCCAAGAATAAAATCAACTCCATTTCAAAAAGTAATGTTTCTCACAGGCTCAGATCTGCATTGAAAGTTCCAGGACAGGACTCCATGTCTAAAATCAGCCCCTCGAAACACCCCAAACATTAGTTTCCACTGAGAATGTACTTAAAGGCAAAAGTTGCATCTGCCTTTTACTTCAAGGAAGCAAACCGAAGCTTTAAAAATCCCTTCATATGGTAAGGTAGTGATCCCAGCCAAAGAACAAAGCAACCCAGGATCTGTCTCTTGGCCACCAAGAATAAACAAGAAAGAGGGAACAGCTTTACAAACAAAACAAAAACCAACTATGCTCCCTTTCTGCTTTCTTCATCCAACTTGGCAGAATCTCAGAGTTTTCAGAAAGATTTTGGAACATAAAAGATATGTGCTTAAGATAAAACTTGAATTTTGCTGAGACTCAGCACTAAGGCCTGTCCAGAAGGCTTTTTTTTCCTGATGTTTCAAAAAGATACTTTTCATTTTTTTTGAGCAATTTAAGTCACATATTAAAAGCCATAGTATCAACAATTCATTTCCAATGAGTGATTATGAGAAAAAATGCTTTAAATTAAAACAATATTCTATGATCAACAATCATTTGTTTCTGATTCAAGATCCTTTGATTTCAAATTGACAAATTTATTTGCCACTAGGCTTTTTGGGGTTCAGAGAGTTGCTTCATAAATCATGTCCTTATGTAAAAACCATATCCATTTTCCTCCATCAAGAGCAGCAAGACATTTACAGGAAAGAATCCAGATATAAATTCAAATATTTGAGTGGATATGACTTATATTTCCATTTTATATAGAAATTAACTTCATCTGGCCTGTTACCCAGATGGATACTAACCATGGGTGGGGGATGAATGTTCCTATGTTACTAATAGTGTCTCCAGCATGGATTAAGTGTCTAAACTAAGCTAAACTAAACCTAAATTAAGCTAGTACACATCATAGACATATAGAGTGAATACCTGTTCCTAACTACTGAATCTCAACGTAGGGTTTTATTTACCTGGTTTTGAGCCCTCCAAGCAAACAAAAGTTGCCCTACTTGTTTTTAATCCATACTAACTAAAACTTCAAGTACTATGTTCCCTCCTCAATCTTTCCCATCCCATAAGACTTCATTAACCAAACAAATCTGTTTTCAGATGACTTTTAGTATGTAAAAATGAAGAGTGGATCTTACCACTCATCATCCATAAATGAAACAAAATTACCAAAACAGTTGAAAGCTGAAATAATTTCAGTTTATCTAAATAAAACACATGTAGTCATCTTCTGGAACTGACAGAAGGGCATGAGTTATAGCATCATCTGGAATTGTGGACAAGGCAGATACATGTTCAAGCCTAAATTAATAAAAGCTGAGTAATAGCTAACAACCCAAGCATAGGAGATCAGCATTAATGAGATTAACTCTTAGACTACTGTACATTTTCTTAACCTGATTACAAAACCAGGTGTGAGCTTTTTATCCCTGCCCCTTATGCAAATTACGCGCATTTAATGGAGTGTGGTACAGTATGGCTGATGGTGACATTTGATAAATACAGGTGGGGCTAATGCAAATTTTGTGGGTTGGTGATTATTGCCCTGGGTCAAGAGATTTGGAAGGAATCCATGATCAAGGCTGTAGTGGCACGCTGCCTCCTATAGCATGATGTTAATTTTCATCATCTTTGTCACAGATGTGGAGCATCTGCCTAAAATCAAGTGATTCTCAACTCTGACTGCACATTAGAATCACTTGGGGGAGCTTTGAAAAATCCCTTTGCCCAGGTACCACTGCAGATAAATTAAATCAGACTCTCTGAAGGTGGGACTCAGGCATCCATACTTTTTAAAGCTCCCCACATAATTGCAATGTGCAGCCAAGGTTGAGAAACACAAGTCTAAATGTTGTGATTCACCAGGATTTGAAGCAACACAAGAGGGGAAACCAGAAACACCCCCGCACCCCCCACACACCGTGGCACCAACATTTAACTGGAGGGTCAACTGGTTCCCCTGCATGGGGAACACTACCTTGCCACCTGGAGCCATGTGGATACTGCCTTCCCCTTGGAGAATATAGCCATCATTTAATGAACATAGAATTTATTATGTGCCAGGCAGTGTGTGTGAAGCGCTTCAAGTGCTACTCTTTTTCATTTAATCTTTACAACATCACCATAGAGAATATATTAGTATTTCCCTTTTACTAAGAAGGAAACTGAGACAGGACAGGTGAAATTATTTTCTTAAGGTCACTCAACTAGTACTCTTAACTCCTCTGAAATGAAAAAAAAAATACCGCCTTTCACAAACTGTCCAGAGGCCTGGGCTCTCTTTTGTTACATTGTTTTCCCACCAAAAAGGTTTCTTCTCTTTGGAGAGAGCCTGACAGTCTACCAATAAATAATGTGCTACACGAAAAATATCAGCATGAACCCACCAAATATCACCCATTTATACAATGATATGTAATTAAGTCCTCACTTAACATCAATAGGTTCTTGGAAAGTGTGACTGTAAGTGAAATGATGTATAATGAAGCCAATTTTACTCTAGGCTAATTGATACAAACAAGAGTAACAAAAGTTAAGTTCCTACAGCATACATCTGGTCAAAGCCACCAAACTTCTAAATAAAGACCCAAAACACTTCTAATATTAAACATTTAAATAAGTGTGAGCTATACATACATTTAAGAAAAGTTAATAAGAACAAGAAAGAGAATTATTTGCCCAATTTTTGGTGAATTGGTGAGTGACAGCGGTCGTAGTGATGGTGGGTCAGGTCAAGATATAAATGTTTGCAAAGCGAAATCATAAGGAGCACCTCCTGCCACCCAGCAGTTCCAGAAGAATCACAAATGTGGCAGATTGTTGAGTGCTTTCCTAGAGTGTCGTTTATTGTCATGCATTTGTATGGTTATCATATACTTTACAAATTTTTATTTTCCAATAATTTGTATTACTTCATTTAGTTATTTTCCAACCCGCTAATTCCAGCTCAGGGTTGTGGGTGGCCGAAGCCCATCCTGGCAGCACAGGGGGCATGCAAGGTGAGAACCACCCTGGACAGGATGCCATCCCGTCGCAGGGAGCACTCACACACCACCCACTTACACTAGGACAACTTAGACACCTCATGTGCACAAGTGTGGGAAGTGGGAGGAAAGCGGAGTACCCAAAGAACACACGCAGACATGAGGAGGATGTGCACCTTCCACATGGGCAGTGGCCCTGGGGAGAATCAATTTTTTTCCTCATTAACATTTTAATAAAATGGCATTGAATAGGACCTGCTGTATATACAATTTACCACACGTTTAAGCAACTCCTAATTAAGAGCTGCATTTCCCAAACATTTGCTGATTATCTGTCTTTCAACGTTGGCCTTCAAGGAGGGAATTGAACTCAGGAACATGTCAGAAAAGGATCTGTCAAATCCACATTTGAGACTCACAGCCAAAAGCAAAGATTCCAGAGAGGTCAGTTACTTTACCTTACCTTCTGGTAAGTCTTGTTGGCCACTATTCCCCAACTTATTAATGAGCATCTACTTCAGAAAGAAACATTAATTTCCCAGAGTCAGTCATCTAGCATTGTTATTATGACTGGTAAATTTTTCTAGGGTATTGTTTCACAAAAATCAAGACTGAGGAGAGGGAATGAACAAATTCCATTTCTAACAGCGCCCCACTGGGCTGGACATGTGTGAAGGATGGATGGCCCCAGGACACCAGATCAGACTGTTGTATGGTGAACTGAAGTGAGGCAACCCCAAGCAGGGAGGGCAGAAGAAAACCCATTAAAGCAGCTCTGAAGCCCCACTTCAAACAATGGGGCTGAGCTGCAGGCAGCAGGAAACAAGCAGCAGGCAGGCCAGGCTGGCTACAGCAATAAGGGAGTGCAGGAGGGGGTTGTTTTCTGAGCTCTAGGATGACCTCGGGTCTCAGAGGCAGAGTCCCAATCAGTCACCATATCCGCACAGCTGCAATTGTAACTCGAAAACAGTCTTTGTGTGTACAGTGGTCTATGGAGTGGAAAAGGCTGAGACTGTCACCCTGGTCTTTTTAGTCCCATCTGTACTCACAGATAACAATCCCCATTAGCAGTATTATCTTCAAATGCGTGAAGAACATCAGCATAAATATAGCTAACATATCATTTCCGTGAATATGAATAGAATGGCAGGACCTGTACATGGAAGATAATAATCTGTGATAGCTTTTCATTTTGCAAATGGATTTCCTTTATTGTAGGGCTATTTTTTTTTGGAAAAAAATTCTATCTGCATATAGGAAGGAAAAAACATTAGAAATATGTACACCAATATGTTAGCCATGTTTACCTCTGGATTTTGGAAAAACGGATTTTTTTAAAACCTATTTTCTTTTGTTTGCATGAGTTTTCTAAATTTCCTAAAATAAATATGTGTTCTTTGGGTCATTTTATAAGTTTTAAAACTATTTTTTTGGTAGTTTAAATTAAAACAAAATAAAAACAAACAACTTCTTTGGTGTACTTTAATTTATCCTCAATTTCAAAGATATCAATTGAGACAAGGGATTAGCATTTCTAAAGATAGAGCATGACACAATATATTCATATATCCTTTGGGGGGGAAAAGTTCTATAAATAAGTCACAAGAGGGCCTTGGCAAAGGCTCAATCCCAGTAATAGAACCAGTCCTAAACTCTAAAAGAAGAGTTGGCGAGGATACCAATTCTATTGAATTTCAGAATCCTGGCATATAAGAAACACTCATTTTTTTCTTCACCATCAGAATCTTAGCTTGGAACAATACTCAGGGTTTGGTTGTCATTCTCCATGAGGACGGATGCAGTGGTATGCTAGAGTCAGATCACACCAGCTTGAGGCAGTGGATTGTGTGCATCTCCTCCCAACTTAGCATCCAGTGCCATGACATGGATAAGTTGAAATCAGCCTTGGTGGGAGTATTTATACCATGGAAATTGGCAAAAGCTACAAATCAGGGCTTTCCCTTCCTCCCACAGAGAGCTGATTGTTAAATTTTCCCTCTAATTCAGTAGAGTCATTGTTTGTTTGTCTGATGCTTGAACGGCACAGTGAAAACTTTTCATTTGTACGAAAGCAAAACTATATTGCTGTAAAAAGTTCAGAGGTTAGAGTCAACCCAAGTTTAGCTCTTGGCTTTGCCATCAGTGAGCTGATGTATCTCACTCCACCACCAGGCCTCAGTTCTTTCATCTCTACTATGAAAGGATTACTCTGTGATGTCTAAGGTCCCTTCTCAACAGGGACAGCTTATGATACTGAACTGGAGAGGCAGTGTTGTGCAATAATTAGGGGGCTCAGACTTTGGAGAAAAGATAGCCCTTGGTTTAGATCTTGGCTCTGCATTTATTAGCATCTGTGGGACCTCAGGCAAGTTACCTAACTTTTCTGAGCCTCCATTTCCTCATCTGTAAAATAATGATTATAATAATACTTTCCGTATGGGGCTGTCGTTAGGATTAGATGAGATCATTCTCAACAATCATAGTAGCAGGCACCAATAAATGCTTGCTGTAATTATTCCTGTTCCCACTTGTCCCTGACATAAAATATGTCTTAGAACCATAGGGAAATCTTGATTTGCTGAGATCTCCAGGAGATGTTGCCTTGGCTCCATTAGATAGATACTATATTCTATTATAGATGAATCAACACTAGAAATAGTAGTAACAATCCCTGCAACATAAATACAGATAATAGAAGGGATATGGGGGCCTAACATTTATTTTCGTCTATGCTAGGCATTTTATACACTATTTATCTTGTCTGATGCACACACTCCCTAGGTGAGCCACATGTTTTTCTGTTTGTTTTGGTTTTGTCCTTTTTACAGATGTGGACACTGGGGTTCAGAAATGTCAGCTAACTTACTGAAGGATCTACAGCTAATAATTGGCAGAGCTAGAAATCTTCTCCAAAAAAGACTGCCCACATACCACTGAGGTATTAGGAAATTATACTTTTTCAGAAAGACAAAGATGGGAGAAATTCTGTTGATCGGAGGGCAGAAGGATAGATAAAAAGGAACTCTAAAACAAAAATGCTATCATAAATTGAAAAATACAATCTGCAATATATATGGGGTAATGGAGTAGTGGTGGCTAAATTCAATAATTTTCTACCAAAATTAGCCTAAATCAGGAATAATATTTTGGAAAATTCACAGTTTCATCTTTTCCCTAAATATTTTGAGATGAAATCATGCCTATATATTCTTGTAGGGCAGTGATTCTCAAAATCTGGTTCTCAAACCAGCATTATCATCATCACCTAGAAACTTGTAGGAAATACAGATTCTCAGGTCCTCATCCCAGACCTACTAAAGTCAGAAACTCTGGAAGTAGCACCCCCTTCCATCTCCAAGCTCTACAGGTGCTTCTAAGGCTACAGTTTGAGAACCAGAGTTGTAGGAATTGGTGGAAAGAATGAAAAAACCAATTCAGGCATCTAGGTAAATCTATATATACATATATTGCCCTGACATGCTCATGGGTAGTGACAATATAAGTGGATACTTAAGGAGGTTCAGCTTCAAGAGAGATTTAAATCATTCATCTTCCCATAAGTAACAACTAAATCTTGCGGAACGCTGACTTTCATGTCTCTTTGCCACACATCCCACTCTCCCAAAAAGCATCTGTAATTGATTTTTTTTTTGAAAGAGTGGTTCCTGAAAAATAAATGATGTTCAAAGGACCTTGGTACTTAGTACTGACTCCGTTTCTGGTTTCGGGACAATGCGGGAAGGTGATTATGTGTAGTTGACCGTCAAAATCGAACCCTTTCCTTCTCAAGAGTCAGAACTCAGGGTTTCAGCCAGCAAGGAGTAGGGAAAGTTTTGCTTACGCTATAGAGCCTGGGCAAGGACAGTCAATCCCTCTGTAATAGCTTCTGTTCTGGCATTTAATTCTCTGTTCTCCCCACAATGAATTCCGCTGCAGCCAAGCTTAGCCTCGGGGTCCCAATCATCTCTCAGGTGCACATCCTAGCGCCTGGACTTTGCTTCATTTCAAGTCACATTACTGTCATCGTCCAAAGAATTGTGCCCTATTGACAGTTTTCTTTTCATTACTAAGGTGAAATTAAATGAATTTGTGTCCTAGAAAAATGTAAGTCACTTCTACAAATGCTAACAGTGGCTATTTTCTTGGGGTTGGGGGGTGGAATGGTATTTGTTTCTTCTTTATACTTGTCTGCATTTTCTGATTTGAAAATAAATCATTGTAGCAATGTGTATAATTTAATTTTTAATTTATAAAATTCAGTCTTTAAACATACAAATAAACAGTATTAAAAAAGGAGGTAACTCTCTCTCTCTGTGTGTGTGTGTGTGTGTGTGTGTGTGTGTGTGTATGTGTGTATGCCTGTGTATATCTATGTGTATGTTAGAAGGGTAGCTGGGGAGACCCTCACAGCCACACCTCGAGTGAATACAACCCTGTGATTGCAATCTACTAAGGCACTTGGCTGCATGGCTTCTGTGACTGATTGCACGTGGAAATACCCTCACAAGACTGTACCCTGATTTTAAAGTCAGATGTTTCAAGATTCAACAGGAAGCTTTGCTTGTAGAGGCACAGAAAGAAGGAGACAAAAACAAGAACAATAAAAAGGTTATTTTCAGCTGGGGATAAATAGTGATTTTATGTGAAAAGAAAAAACATCGAAGCTGTATCTCTTCAAGCAGCAAGAAACATAAATTAAACACACACTTCAACATCCACGCATACACACACACCCCACACAGAGGCAAGATAGTGAAACAAGATATCTATATATTCACTGCATGAGGCTTGTAATCAGAGATCATTTCTGCCAGGGAACATACTGGCAGGTAAAATACCCTTTGCAAATTGTCTGGGTAATTGCCATCTTAATACAAAACTTCTTTTTCCCCGATCAATGTGGCAAGGTCTTTGGGACACAGGAATCTTGGTCAGAATACTCTGCCTGCGGCCTTTTCTTTGGAGTCAGGTGAATGCAGGCATTTGGAGAAGTATTTCTGCGGCTGTTGTGAAGTGCGTGTGCACCCAAGTGTTGCTTACCTGCTGTTGCTTCCATTTTATTTCCTCTATCTCCACATAAAAAGAGAAGAACATGCCTGATGCATAAGAAATGAACACTAAAGCTGTGTTGAATGTGAATACAACCCAACATTTTACTCTGTGGAATGTGAATAGCAAAGTCCTCCCCTCAAAAGTGGGCTTTTACATTGCCAGGCAACAAGGAGTCAATGTACTTTGCATGCATATTTCACAGAATCCTAGTGACAAATCTTTGATGAAGGTATCACTGTAATCTCATTTAATGGACAAAGAAACTGTATTCTGAGAGAAATTAACCACAAACAAGTCCCATATGGAGCACTTACTATGTTTCTAGCACTGGGTTGCATGCTAAATATTATCTCATTTAATCCTCACCACATCAGGGCTGAGACTAATACTGGAATATACAGAGGTGTCCCAGGTAGTCCTTTAAAGCTACAGCATAAACCTATACACATCTATGGAACATCAACTTCATCTTAAAACATTATTTTAAATATCCCAACAAACACAATTACATTTTAGAGAAGACTGCAAAATAGGTCTGAATTTTTAAGATAAGGCATGAGAATTACACTTATGGTAGGTGCTTTGGACCATCATGCCATGGTCCTAAGGGATTACGTGCTTACAGCCCTCTGTCATTAGCATTGAGCTATGTATGCCATGCTGCTTCTGGACAAGGTAGCAGGCAATTTTGCCTGTCATCTTATGAGGCTTGACAGAACTTTGGGCTTCCTTGTGGGGATGTCTTAATTGAGGGAATGTATATTTGTTTTCTTTCCTTGTATTAATCCCCCATCAGTGGAATCCCACCATATAGTTTCCTTGGCAACAGAATGACAGGACACTGTTTGATGAGGTGATGGTGAAGGCAACGCCAGCGTGGCTGAGCTATACAGGGTAGTGGTTATAAGAAGAAAAAAAGGCTAGACAAGTTCACTGTCCTCAGTGTTTCTAGGTCTCCATATCTTTCCCCCTAAGGCCTGGGTTCTACTCCTAGAAGCAGTGACAAGCCAGGTCTTCTCAGAAAATCCTTAGTTGTACTCATGTAAATTTCCTTCTCTTTCCCTGATTATTGCTGCCCAAACAATCCTGAAATTCATCTTCTCTTTTTATCATGGAATACAATGAGAAAACAAGCTTCAGTATACAGAACACCTCTTAGCTAGCCTTGCAAGATGGCTGTCATTTCTGCCTCTGGGAGGCATATATGTGACTCAACCTACAGTTCATTTATAATTTTTTCAAATATTTGAATACCTGTATGGGAGGCTTTGTATTAAGCCTCAGGAGGATGAAAAGAAGATTAGGAGAAAAGGCTAAAGGAATTCACAACACCAAAAGATCACTTCCTACTGAGGTAGCATTTAAATGAGCTTTAAAGGATGGGAAGAATTTCATTAGCTAGAGATTATAGGGTGAGGGAGAGGCATTCCAGAGGGAAGGAACAGCATAAGCAAACATTCAGTGGAGGAGGAGGTGGTGGGAAAGATCAAACCAAAAGAGCACAGGGCATATACAGGAAATGCAAGATAAGTACTCCAGGATGTCTGAGATTAGCGTATATTATGGAAGTAGTGGGAAAGTAAGCTAGAAAGATAGATCTTGAAAGGGTTTTAGTGTTAGGCTTAAGGGTTTGATTTTATTCAACTGACAAGGAGGCACCATTAAATGTTTTGATAGAAAGTGATGCTGGCCGAGCGCTGTGGCTCACGCCTGTAATCCTAGCACTTTGGGAGGCTGAGGCAGGTGGATCACTTGAGGTCAGGAGTTCAAGACCAGCCTGGCCAACATGGTGAAACCCTGTCTCTACTAAAAATACAAAAATTAGCTGGGCATGGTGGCATGTGCCTGTAATCCCAGCTATTTGGGAGGCTGAGGCTCAAGAATGGCTTGAACCCGTGTGGCAGAGGTTGCAGTGAGCTGAGATTGCGAGATTGTGCCACTGCACTCCAGCCTGGGTGACAGAGTTAGACTCCATCTCAAAAAAAAAATAAGTGACGCTATGAGAAGAGTAATTTAGAAAGATTAATACAAGGGAGGAGGAAAAGGAAAGAGACCTTGCAGATGAGACAGGTTAAGGTGCTGCACCGGATGCAAAGGGAATGGTAAAATGTGGTCTCTTCCCTCAACAAGCATATACTAAGATAAATTATAACTACCAGACACCACAAAATGTTTCCATGGTGCTCAGTACATTTCTATAAGTGCTTTATTAGATGATACTGATGATAACTTTTTCTTTCCACAAGTCCCATTTTCTGTGGCAACAACTATTACAGGCATAATATAGCCCTGAATTTTGAACCCTGTGACTTGGAACTCTTTCTTCTTTCTTTGTATATCACCTCCTCATTCACAGTAGGGGAAAAGAAAGGCTTCACAACTCTAACCTTTTCCTTAGAATGCAGTTTAAATCCCTCCCCCCCCCCTTTTTTTTTACTTCATTTAGCAAACTAGGCCTTTACCAGGTAGCAAGGCTCGAAGCTGCCATAGTCACTCCTTTCTCACTCCCAAATAACCTGTGCTAATTTCCTGAACAGAGTTCTGAGATTACAAGCAAATATCATTTAGGAAGAAAAACATGTCATCTCTATGGCAACCTGAAAGTCTGACAGGGAACCCACCTTGAAGTCACCAAACAATGGTCTCTTTGAGAAGTATCTAGGGCCTGGGTTAGACAATCTCTTATTAGGTGATTGGCTGTTTTTAGTGTATTTGCTATTCAAACCCTCAAATATAAGTCATAACTCTTGACAACCCTACGTAAGTTGTCTCTTTTCTTTCCACACCTCGTTGATATATGAAGTTGTGATGTTAAAGAAAAAGAGAAGGTTCATTCACAGGGTGGACAATTATTGAGCACCCACTGTGTACAAATCACTGTACTAAGTGCTCTAGAGACATCAAAATAAAAATTACAAAGTCATACCCCTTGAGATGTCCAGATCCATCCAAGGAGACCCAAGGGACAAGAGGAGGGAGTGACTAACACTATCGGGTACCCATTTTGCAAGGACCACTGTAGGAAACACTGGCATTACAGAGATCACATGAATGGGTTTTCCAAGCCAGTTCTAATGACATTCTCAGTGCTGTCTCCACCTAAACTATCAAAAATGTACAAGAAGTTTCCATTTTTATAATCCAAAATATACCATCCAGTAGTTTCTACACCTAGAAGCACACAAATAAAGGTTCTTTGACAGACAAGGTGCACTGGCTTTGGTTCAGAAAATGGAATCACAGTATTTGTTTATTCATTCAATGCATTTCAACTGAACATTGCCACATGCTATTTGGTACAGTGGTGAACAAGGCAGACAAGGTCCCTGGCCCCATGGAGCTTATGTTCTGGTGAAAGTACTCAAATAGTACATAAATAAAAAACTAGATAATTACAGATGGTGGACATGAACAATTAAGGCAATCACAGGGTGATATGACAGAGCCTGGCAGGGAGGGACCTACTTTAGATTGGGTGGACAGGGAATGCCTCCCTGAGGGGATGACATTTGAATGGACACCTGCCTGATGATAAAGAGTCAGCCATGCAAAACTCTTAGGAAAGAAAGTTATAAATTGAGGGAATAACAAATACAAAATAGAAGGAATAACAAAATCAGCAGATAATTAGCAGGCAGATAATAATATTGATTATGTGATAAGCACTTTTCAGATGCTTTACGTAGTGAAGTTATTTAATTCTCATTACAACCTGACAAGGTAGATACTACTAATAACCCCATTTTTCAGAGGAGGAAACTAAGCCAAAGAGAAGCTAAAAAACACCTAAGATTGACAGCTAGTAAATGTCAGGTCAAGGATTGAAACCTAGGCGATCTTGCTTGAAAGTCTTTATCTGCACCCATTAACTCGTCATTTAGCATTAGGTATATCTCCTAATGCTATCCCTTCCCCCTCCCCCCACCCCACAACAGTCCCCAGAGTGTGATGCTCCCCTTCCTGTATCCATGTGTTCTCATTGTTCCATTCCCACCTATGAGTGAGAACATGCGGTGTTTGGTTTTTTGTCCTTGCGATAGTTTACTGAGAATGATGATTAATGGGTACAGCACACCACCATGGCACATGTATACATATGTAACTAACCTGCACATTGTGCATATGTACCCTAAAACTTAAAGTATAATAATAATAAAATAAAATAAAAAAAAGAAAGTCTTTATCTGTCTTAACCATATGGGAGGGGAGGTGTTCAAACAATATAGGAATCTATGTTTAAGAGTTGGAATTTACATAACAAAGGCTGAAAAGTATTGTGAAGCAGCCTAGGAAGATATGGGGCTAAACCAGTAGCTAGGCTCCTAGGAAGTAAATAGGTTTGAAGGGTGAAAAACTCACTTCATATTGAGCCAGATTTGAAACATGGAATTTTGATTTATCAAGTTACCCCTGAGCCCCAAGACTTAAACTTTTCCATAACAGGCAGAAATGTCTGAAAAAAAGGCAGGAAATACCACAGTGTAAGAATATTAGCCCTTCACATAAATGACAATGTAAATCCAAGTTTCTATCACCTACTGAAAGAGTTCTCCAAGAAAAAGTTTAATTAAATGGCTTTAAGATAAGTATGAAGAAACTGGCAACAAGTCATCAATACAGACAGCTCAGGGATGTAATCATCATTCTTTATTTTCCTGGAATTTTTCATCTGTAATATTTATCTATTAGAATAATAAGAGCAGAAGAAGCACATTTCATCTGAAAAAAAAAAGCTAAAAATGCCGGCAGACATTAATTCATCATCCTCATGATACAACAACAAAGAGTAGAAAACTCTATTCCATGCATTTAAAGTAGAAAAAAGAAATGTTTCGAACCCTAAATGCTTTTTATTTATATTACCTCTTTCTAGGCTGTTCTCTATTCCTTTTTAGCAGTTTGGTTTTTCTAGTATTACCTTCTCAACATACATACATATATACAAACAGACAAATATAGATAATTCACTCAGTGAATGCTTACAATGATGGGTAGAGAGCTTGAAAATACACAGGACTGAGACAAGAGAGAAAAGGAATGTTAGAGCTAGAAGACTTCTGGCAGAGTCTTATCATTATACACACTGGGAACAAGACTATGCATGATTCCCCAAACCTGTTACTGATAAGTCTAAGCCTTCTCTGCTTACTATTTCACAGTCCCTAGACCAGAGCTAGGTGGCTTGTCAGTAAAGGCATGAAATGGTTTGACTCCATCTCAGCTTTGGCCCTAAAATACCACTCCAACCTGGAATTTGATAAAATTCTGCTTACACCCTGGCCTCAGTTTCCCCACCTGACAAACACTGAGGTAAGACAGTGATAACACATAGATAGATGGTCACTCTTAAAAAAACTGCTTCTGTGATTTCTCATTACCTTGTAGAACTGAATCCAACTTCCTTACCATGGCATACGTGTCCCTCCATGCTGATTCTCTGAACTTCTCTTGTCACTTCCACCAATCTCCCTTTACACTACACACTACACATTCCCCTCTTTCACCCCTTGCCTTTTGTGTACGATATTACTTTGCCCAGTATGCCTTTTTCTTCTTCTCCTTGCTTCTCCCTCTCCCCCTTCTCTTGGATAACTCCAACTTGACACTTCTTCTTGGAGGACTTTTGGGAGAGTAACTCTAGCAGTTACGTATATGTTGTCCTAGAATAGGGATGGCTTGGGACTGGGAACCCAGATAGGAAGGCATTTTATAGTCTTGTAACCCTTATAACACATCATCGGCCTGTTAAAATCAGTTGTAAGCTATATCCAAATAATTTGTTACAAATAATTGCTAAAGTACCAAAGTTTGCCAAGAGTTGAAAGCAGATTCAAGGTTATTCTTGTATAATATCATTAGCCCTCAGGCTTCCCAAGAAGTCTTGCCTGACACCTTCCCCAAAACGTAGGGTGCCCCAGATGCACACAGCACCCCTGGTGCTGCACAGCACTTAGAACTCAGCATAGGAACTGTAATTTTCCTCTTCTGTCTCCCCTATCAGACTACAAATTATTTGACAGCATGGACAGTATATTATCCATTTCTGTATTTCCAATACCAGGCACAGCTGTAGGCATTTTACTGAATGGAAGCATGAACACTGACAGGTAAAGTAACTAAGAAAATAGTAAGAATTCTTTTGAGGACTAGTATGGCTCTACCTTGCTTTAGCTATAACGTCTAAGAAGACCTAAGTTCAAGGATAATGACTTTTTTTTTTTTTTTTTGAGACAGAGTCTCACTACTCTGTTGCCCAGGCTGGAGTGTAGTGGCACAATCTGGGCTCACTACAACTTCTGCCTCCTGGGTTCAAGCAATTCTCCTGCCTCAGCCTCCCGAGTAGCTGGGACCACAGGCGTGAGCCACTGCACCTGGCTAATTTTTGTATTTTTATTAGAGATGGGGTTTCTTCACGTTGGCCAGGCTGGTCTCGAACTCCTGAACTCAGGTGATCTGCCCTCCTCAGCCTCCCAGAGTGCTGGGATTATAGGCGTGAGCCACCGTGCCTGGCTGATAATGACTTTTAAAAATTTTTCTCTTCCCATTCTATTGGTTATGATATAACTGAATTTTTTTTAACTTCAGAAGACTGCAGACATAATAAAGCAAAGGCTTTCTTCAGCAGTCTTTTCTTTTGAATTCTGTCTATAAGCTGGCAACATAACATAAGGTAAGGTATGGGTACAATAAGGTGGCTGAAATGGAAAGCTAGGAGTCCTGATCCTTTCTAGAGGGTGGTGCTTCTGGAGCAGGCATGAGGGAGAGGGAGTACATCGAAAAGAGCTTCAGAGTCCTAGGGACCGGATCTGCACTAGAGATAAGTAGTTTGAATATGGTTCAAGACAGAGCTGAATTCCAAACCATTCTGAAAGCAGATCTGTCCATAGTGTTCAAAAGATATTATCTCCAAGTCCTTGCCAATCAGTTATTCTCTCCCTTTCTTGTATCATCAACCTTTTATTCTCCACTGGCTCCTTCTCCACCTCGTAAAAAATGTGAAAGTCTCCTACATCATTTTATTTTATCCTCAAGCCAATCCCATGTGGTAGGCCATATCATTATCCTCATTTTATAAATTAGACAATTGAGGGCCAAAGAATAAGTAAATTACCGAAGGCCACACAGCTAATCAGTGACGGGAGCTAAGACTCTAATCCAGATCTGTCTGACACCAAAGTCCTTGTTTTTAATCATTCTGCTAATATTGCCTTCTTATCTAATTCAGGCAAGCTGCAATTGCAGGTATTTTTCCTATTATCCTGTCTTGCAAGGTAATGAAGGATAACTGTCTACACTATTCCTGTAATACTCTTTCCTGTACCAGGAGATTCATGATTATGTCTATCTCTGGTCATTTCTTCTTAAAATTAAATACAGGTGGTTTGGTGTTTAGACTCTATTTAGCAGATCTTTAATTAAATCAGCCAAAACTTATTAAGTGCCTACTAGGTGCCTACTTTGTGTTTCAGGACTCAATACAAACAAGTTCTTGGCTTGAAGTGGGAACAATGTATCAATGCAGAATTCAAGACAGTGGGGGACAGGTGTGAGTGAGCAAATATATGGTATTCATTTTAAATGCTTATATGTTCAGGAAAGTTAAAGTATAGGGGCTGCCATAATTTGCCTTTAGGAAGTATAAGTTTCAGGGTAATACCGCCTACATAACATATTTGCAGTTAAAGAAATAAAGAAGTTCCGTGTACATTTCTTACTTGTGTAGAGTCAACAGATGTGATCCAGAATGGCTATATTCTGAGTAGCTGCTAGAAGACTGGACACAGCTGGACAAAAGTCATTAACCTTGGAAGAGAAGTAATTCTAAGTACACCAACAGCTGTGTTGATCATATTTGGAGGCAACCAGATGTTTTGGTCTGTGCAGTACTACCAACTAATCTTCTTACCCAACTGCTAAATAATCCGAAACTCCAGGGATCTATCCAGTTTTCCTTCATCTCAATGGCTGAGGTCCCCACATAATTTCATTCTTGTCAATATCCAACTATGAGTCTTCCTTTTCCATTCTGTTCAACTATGACTCTCCTCAAACATGAAGTTATCAACTAAACAATTAATCCAGTATTTACTATGCAAAAGGTGCTGTTGGGAATACAAGGACACATTATATAAAGAAGCATTGGGTTCTGTCTTTCAGGAGCTTACAAACTGATAATATTTGGGAGACAAGAATGACTCACTTGAGAAGATTACCAGAATTTACTTCCCCAAACTATGACATGCCACATGAGAATGCAGAGAGGAGTACAGGATTTCAGAAAAAGGAGTAGAGAGATTGATGTTTTGCGATTAGTATAGTCAGGGCAGTTTCATGAGAGTTGACACTTTAACCTTTTTTTTTTTTTTTTTTTGAGATGAAGTCTTGCTCTTGTCACTCAGGTTGGAGTGCAATGGCACAATCTCGGCTCACTGCAACCTCCGCCTCCCGGGCTCAAGCCATTCTCCTGCCTCAGCCTCCCGAGTAGCTGGGATTACAGGCACCTGCCACCATGCCCAGCTTTTTTTTTGTATTTTTAGTAGAGACAGGTTTTCACTATGTTGGCCAAGCTGGTCTCGAACTCCTGACCTCGTGATCTGCCCACCTCGGCCTCCCAAAGTGCTGGGATTACAGGTGTGAGCTACCGCACCCGGCCAACACTTTAACCTTTGAAGGACCGGGGGTTTTCTTTTAAGAAGTGGAGTCATTTTATAAGCAAGGAGGAATGGGAATGATTCATTAGAGTGAAGAGTAAGTCTGGGAAATTAGCGTGGGGCAGATCAGGGAAGGCTGTGTTCCCTGTAAAGAGTCTGACTATCATCTTAGAGGAGGCTGGAAGTCAGAGCTATCATGATGATAGTCTACAGGATATTGCAAACATCGATTTACCATTTTTAATTTTGTGGAAACCAGTCCCCATGACCCCTCCATGCAATATTTAATTATTCTTCTGCTATCATTTTTAATTCTGTTTTCAAGGATTTTTTTCCCTCTGGTTGATGAAAATATATATTTATGGTATGAACCCTCAGCTCTAAGGCCTTCATCCCTTAGCAGTCACAACCTGGACAGTCACTAATGTCTATCACATTGCACTCAGCTTAATTAACTGCACAAATAGATTACTTCCCCAATACAAAAGTTATCTGGAGAGAGAAATAAAAGGATAGGGAGGGAAGCTATGAAAAGCAGAAGCCAGAAGACAAATTTATCTGACTCAGGAAGCCATACTGGTTATCATAACAATAACAAATATTTATAGAGGGCTTTCATCCTGAAGAATCCCAGAGCCTCAGAGCAATGAACACTTGTGGTAAATAGATTAAAGGAACTACTCAGCCATCCAAGAGAGGAAGCCCTCTCTCCTAGGCCCAGTGCACTAAGTCATCCCTGGGACAACATTCGATTTTAGCCAAGGGATTTTAAAGGAAGCTGAATGGAACTTCCAAGTCATAAAACGTGGACAGTATACATAAAGAACAACCCAGAATCTTTTCACAAGAGAGAGCCTGGGAGCAACAGGCATGCCCATAGTCATCTTAAGTCTCATGTATTAAGATCACCACAGCTTCTGAGGCCAGTGAAACCTCACTGATTTGAGATAAAAGGAGTCATAAATACCATCAGATGTTGTTGTATATCTTGAAACTACAGATTTATCACAAACACACACTTCTAAATTAATTAACTCTGTAAGTATTTAGAGCATATATTAGAGGAGAAAAAGGGCTTACAATCTCATCAGAAATTCAAGGCACACTATTAATAATGTAACGTATATTGTTCTGGTTCCATTCCTAGATCTAACATTAAGTAGCTATATGAACTTGGACAAGTCATTTGGCATCTCTAGATCTCAATTCCATCAAACTAGTTTGTGTGTGTGTGTGTGTGTGTGTGTGAGAGAGAGAAAGAGAGAGAGAGACAGAGAGACAGAGACAGAGACAGAGAGAGCACGTGTGCTCAAGAGAATAGAAAGTGAAATAACATACCATCCATATTACTCTAATAACTATTTTGCCTGCCTGTAGGGAGTGGTCACAGGTCATTTGGCTCCAGGCCAAAAGGAATACAATCTATTAGACAGCTTGGATCTTTCCTCTTACAATAAGTTTAACAAAACATTTTAAAAAAAGGAGTAGGTTACAAGAAGGTAGAACTTGAACAGATGGGTAAAATGTTAATACATGATCATGGGCATGTTGATATATAAACTGGATCACAGGCATGTTGATGTGTACTCATAGGGATAAACTGGGCTGTAAAGGTCGCCTAGTCCACTTCTTTTCAAGTGATTCCAGGGAACATCAAGGTTCCTTGGGAACATCTCAAGATCCACCCAAGGGTCCATGAGGGCTGGGCTCCCAATCCAAAAATGTCCTTTTAAAAAGCATTCAGCCTATGTTGAAATAACTGCAGTTACTGGGTACTCCTTCCCTCTCAAGGTGGCCTATTTATTGGTCCTTTGGAGAACTCAGACTATTAGACAGCTTTTCCTTATATTGAATTAAAATTTATTTCCTAGAGCTTCAACCTATTGATCCTAGCTCTAGTCCTGTGCCAATGTAGAACACGGTAAATCCCTTTTCCCCATGACAGCCCTTCAAATATTTAAACACAGCTAACCTGTCCAGGAGTCTTTTCTCCAGTCTCAACAGCCCCACTTTCTTCACCTGTGCCCTCATGTCCTAAGCCACTCTCTTCTGGACACAACTCAGTTGCTTTACATATGTGCTAAACCTCATGCCCCAGAGCCATCCTTAAACTTTGAGGTATGATCTACCCTTGAGTGCAGAAGAATTCAAGACAATGAAGTCTCCTGGTCTAGATACTGTGCTATTTTTACTTCTATTTATGCAATGTGAGATTACAGTAGCTCAAAACAAGGATGGAACTGCTAAAACTCAGAGTGGCTGAGGAGAATTGCACTAGCACACGAGAGAGTGGACTGTATGTAGCTGGAGGTGATGTGTGTCGTACTGGAAGGGGCAAACACAAAGCAAGATTATTATCTGGTAGGAATATTATAGAGGAGGTTTGGTGAGGTAAAAGCGATACTACTTCCACATTTCCTTTGAGCCTTGAAATTCCATGATTCTATGAATCAATTGGCATTCTACAATTGCTCATAAATCTCTATATGTGGACCTCTTCAGAGCTTCCTCAAAAGTTGAGTCAGTAAATTCCTGCAAAGAATCTAGTGGGCATTTAGTAATATAATACCACATTTGCCCTGGTGGTTTCATACAAGATTCCTCAAATAGGAAAGCAGGTTATAAAAATAAAAAGTAGCAGGGGCGTATTTTCAGCCCCCAAACACAGGTATAACTTGTCCCCAAATTACACCACTAGTAAGTAGAAGAGCATGGCTTGGAAGTTGGTTGTCCAGACCCCTAAGCACAATTGTTTTTCTTCACAGCTGCAAGTTTATAACAAAACCATGTGCATGTACTTCTGCCTTCACTTTCCAGAAACTCACAGGCCTGCTACCTGTAAAGGGGGATTTCAAAGATTCTTCACTTATATCAGACATTCTGTCTGGGTTTGGATGACGTAATAACCTGCATTTTATTCAGATCAATTTGTTCTGAGGCTTTGCAGTTGTGCTTTGATTTTGCCATTCTGATAGGGAAGTCTCTTAATTAAGTTATGCATAGTTAGGCATATTTCCCTCTCTCATCACAGTAGCCCCCCACCTTTTTTTTTCTTGAGAGGGCGTCTTGCTCTGTCACCCAGGCTGGAGTGCAGTGGTGCGATCTTGGCTCATTGCAAACCTCTGCCTTCTGGGTTCAAACGATTCTCACACCTCAGCCTTCTGAGTGGCTGGGATTACAGGTGTGTGCCACCACACCCTAATTTTTTTTGTATTATTTGTAGAGATGGGGTTTCGCCACATTGGCCAGGCTGATCTTGAACTCCTGTCCTCAAGTGATCTGCTCATCCAGGGCTCCCAAAGTGCTGGGATTACAGGTGTGAGCCACCACGACTGGCCCACAGTAGCCTCTTAACAAGCTTCATTTCAGAGTAAATTAAAGAACACTTTGCCTACAACCTTGAGAAGAACCTTTTATCTCCTTCCACAATCTATTCAAGAAAGTTTTATTGAGCACCTGCTATGAGATAATAGATCTGAAAATCACCGAGAACTCCCCATTGTCTAATGAAAGGAAAAAAACCAACCTAAGTTCCTTATTGTGGTAAGTGTTACATAGGACATGTTTAATGTGACTTTTGGCTTAATTTTTTTTAATTTTTAATTTTTATTTGTATAAATTTAAGGGGTACAAGTGCAGTTTTGTTACATGGATATATTGCAGAGTGGTGAAGTCTGGGCTTTTAGTGTATTCATCACACGAACAATGTGCATTGTACCCATTAAATAGTTTTACATCACCCACTCCCCTCCCACCTTTCTGAGTCTCAAATGTCTATCATTCCACACTCTAGGTTCATGTGTACACATTTTTCAGCTCTCACTTATAAATGAGAACGTGTGGTACTTGACTTCCTGAGTTGTTTCACTCGGGATAATGGCCTCCAGTTCCATTCATGTTGCTACAAAAGACATTATTGCATTATTTTTATGGTTGAATAGTATTCCATTGTATACCACTTTTTTCTGGTTGAATAGTATTCCATTAATTACCACATTTTCTTCATCTAATCATCTGCTAATGGACGCTTAGGTTGATTCCATATCTTGGCTATGGTGAATAGTGCTGGAATATCCCAGCCTAATTTTGAGCCTTATTTCTAGCCACCCAGACTTCCCCTGCCCCAGAACACACACATATTCCATGATGTCACCACACCTAATGACTCAACATTCCCTAAACATAAAACATAGTATGTATTTAGTGTGTATGTGCGCATGCTCTTCCCTCTGTATGGGAGACCCCTGTCTACCTGAGGGTTCGTACTCAACTTCCAAATTCAACTCTAATTTCTTTCTGTAACCTTTTCTACTTCTTCATTTCCCAAATCAATCACTCAACTGCACTCCCAAGGCAATACTATTACAGCATTAACAAATGTAAATTTACTTGCTTATGGTCATATGTATTTTTACTAGACCCAAAATAAGAGGTTTTGTCTCAGCTATCCTCAAATTCCCAACAACTAGTGCTGTGTCTGAAATAAGAGTAATGTTTATAAAATATTGAAGGATAGATGAAAGGAAGGAAGCAATGAAATAAGCAAGAAAGCAATTTCTCCATTTCTTAGACCTTGAGTCCCTTTAGGGTAGGCACTACATCTTACTCATTTTTTTGTACCCACAGTGGCTTAAACACAGAAGACCCATAATAAACCTCTGTGGTATTGAAAGTAGGTAAAAAAATTTCTTAAACACAAAATCAGTAAATATATAGCTGCCTCCCAAGTGCCTACAATCTCAAAGTTGAAAACAATAGTTTTCAGTAGCAAGACAGACACTGCTAAATGCCCTAAAAGTCCAGAGAAGGGAGAAGCGAATGTGGGCTGGAAAGCACTTCTCAAACTCTATGTGCCAAGAAATCATTTGGGGAATTTGTTAAAATGCAGAAGCTGATTCAGTAAGTCTGGGCAAGACCTGAAGATCTGCATTTCTAATAGTCAGGTGTGAGGATCATATTTTGAGTAGTGATGAAGGTGTAGAAAGCCTTCTTGGAGGGGGCACTTCTTAAGCTAGGTGCACTTCCAAGTTGCTTTAGTTAGATGGAAAGGACAACCTAAGCAAGAAGAAGAGCATAAGTAAAGTAACAAAAGCAGGAAAAAGAGTATCTCCAGGAGAGTAAGAAAACCACAGAAATGGAGCAGAGGGGTCTAATAAAGGCATAATTAGTGATAATTCTAGAGAGGTTAGGTGGGATCAGATTATTAGCTGCATCAAAAAGTCTTCTGAGGAGTTTGGACTTTATATTGTACATTCTTAAGCAAGAACTTGATGTATCATTCTCATACCTTATATTGGTATAGAAATGTCCAGTTCATGAGACATATTTTTCCTATGTATTTGCCACCTGATCCTCCCAACAACCCTCTGAGTTGGGCCAGGTGTTTTGTTTTCATCCCCATTTTACACGATGAGGAAACTGAGGCTCCACAGAAGTGAATTTACTTTTCTCAAGGTTATCCAAATTTGGATTAGAGGCGGTACCAAAACCAATTTTTATCACTACCACTGCAAAGTGATTTTGCATCACATCATGTTGAGATTGCCCCTTTAAACCAGAGGGTCCTGAAAAGGGGCACTTATGAAATTATCTTCACATTATTCCAATCTTCTCTTTAACTGCAGCTCATTATCTGGTTAAGGAAAATCTGCTTTCAGAATTATAATTCTCTGACCCAAAAGGCTATTAATTTCTTTCTATTTAGTCATTGAGGGGTTTCTCCCTGCCCCCTACCATTCTCACTGTATGTTAAAGAAGAATGAAATTACTGGAGTAAAAATGTGGGGTGGCACCTGCTAATATATTTCATTTAGGAAAATTAAATGGAACCAGTTCCAATCTCTAAATGATAGCATCAAACTCTGCTCCCTGAGGCCTTGCTATTGTAGTTTCACTTGCCATGCACCTTTTATTTATATCTCCCAGCCTGGAGAGCTGATCACTCTGATATTGCCTATTGTGACCCTATAGGAGTCTATTGTTCCCCAAATTCCCTTCTTTACAGATTCTTTTTTGGAGATCTGCAGGGCTATGGGACTAATAGTGTATGACATCAGTGTCATTCTTTCTTTTCAGTTGCAAACAATGTGTTTGGCCACATTGGAATTAAGTGGGTTAAAATTCCATCAAAGCAGCTCAGGAATTAGAAAATACTTTTTCTAGAAAGGAGAAGAGGGATAGACTTAATTTGAAGCTCTACGGAACTCAGATCATGAAACAAGTGTTAGAAATCTAGCAGGTTCTCAACCAGTGTTTCAAACCTGATTAATTTCTATCAAATCTGATGAAAGTTCAGAGAATATCAAATTGAGTTTGTGTTTATTTCATTACTAATTATGTAGGCAAAAAAATATACTGGCTGTGTGGCCTTGGGCTAGTGCCTTAACTTCTCTGAACCTCAAATATCATTATCTGATAATGAGATGATGAATTGTGCCTATTTCATAGGATTACTGTGAGGATTAAATGGTATAATGTACAAAAGGTACTTTGTGCACTGTCTGGTCCCAGAGTAGGTGCTCAGTAAATGGTGGCTGGTGTTCTCTCACTCACTCTTACACTTACTCTGAAAAGAGCACAAAGGTAAGCTTGGAAGTACCTGCAGAACATACCCTCGTGTCTTAAAGACAGGAACCTGGAGAAGCTGTTATCTATGTGACAAATTGTAATTATATAGAGCCAAAGCAGATCTTTTGGGTCAGTGATCTTTCTGGACTGAGGCCCACGATGAGAGGAAATGCATTTTACATAGTTTTACAAAACAATTATTTCCAGAAAACAACTGGAAATTTTCATTCTATTCTATTTCAATCTTGTCCATTCCATTCTATTGCATAGGAAACAAATGTTGGTCAGGATCCATATAATTGATTTTTTCAAAATGGGTTTCAACCTTCAGATTGAAAAAATACTAATTTACATGTTTCCAAGCTCCATTTTCATCAACCAAGAAAGGAAACAATTATCAGTACTACTATCTCGATTTACTGGTCCTACACATCCTTCGGATATTAGCTGGAATGCTTCTCCCTGATGTCATCAGTCTAGATCTTATTCCCTTGTTATTTGTTGCCATGTGACCATGCTCCTTTTCTTCAGAGCATTTATAACAGTTGATAATTATATACTTATTTGTCATTTTAAAATTTAATATGTATCTAAGGTCCATGAGAACAGAAACTTTGTTTTTTTTTTTCATTAGTATATTTTTCCATCTAGCCCAGCCCAGCACCTAGCACATAAGTACTTTATATATATAGTCATATGTCTCTTAACCACCATGGTGCCTTCTGAGAAATGTGTTGTTAGGCAATTTCATTTAGGTTTATACAAACCTAAATGGTATAGCTTACTATCTATATACCTAGGCTATATGATATAGCCTATTACTCCTAGGCTACAAACCCATATAGCAGTAAGTGAATTCTGCAGGCAATTATAAAACAATGTAAGTATTTGTTATCCAAACATATCAAAACCTAGAAAAGGCACTGTAAAAATATGGTATAAAAGATTTAAAAAATTATATCCCTGTCTAGGGCACTTACCATGAATGGAGCTTGCAGGACTAGAAGTTGTTCTGGGTGAGTGGGTAAGTGAGTGGTGAGTGAATGTGAGGGCCTAGGGTATTACAGTACACTACTGTAGGCTTCATAAACACTACACCACTGCTATGATGTTACAATGGCTATAACTGTACACTTAGGCTACTCTAACTGTATAAAATAATTTTCTTTCTTCAATAATAAGTTAACTTTATCTTACTCTATTTTACTTTATATAATTCTAATATTTTAGACTTTTGAATATTTTATAGTAACACTTAGCTTAAAACACACACTGTACAGCTGTACAAAAATATGTTTTTCTTTATATTATTCTATAAGTTTTTTTATTGCTAAAATATTTTATTTTGTTAATTTTTAAAATTTTCTGTTAAAAACACAGGCACAAACACACACATTAGCCTAGGCTTACACAGGGTCAGGATCATCAACATCACTTTCTTCCACCTCCACATCTCATCCTAGTGGGTGTTTGGGGGCAATAACACACATGGAGCTATCACCTCCTATGATAACAATGCCTTCTCCTAGAACACTTTCTGAAGGACCTGTCAGAGGCTGTTTTACAGTAAACTTTTTTGTTTCAGAAGTAGATGGAGTACACTTTACAATAATGATAATAGTATAGTAAATACGAAAACCAGTAATAGTAGTTTATAATTATTACCAAGTATCATGGCTGTACATAATTATATGTGTTATACTTTTATACAACTGGCAGTGCAATAGCTTTGTTTACACCAACATCATGACCAACACATAAAGAATGTGTTCTGCTATGATGTTACAATGGGTATAATGTCACTAGGCAACAGGAAATTTTCAGCTCCATTATAATCTTATAGGACTACCATCGTACATGTGGTTCACTGTTGACCAAAATGTCATTATGTAGTGCATGACTGTATATATTGAATGAATGAAAGAATAAACTAATAAATGAATGAATAAAGGTGTTCATAAACCCAAATGTAAACCTGGACAGTTCAACCTACCATGAAATAATTTGTTGGCTTTGCTTTCCAAAGTGAAAGATATGAGGAGGTTCTGTTAAAAACTGTCTCCTCCAGAAGACTCTAAGCTCCATGACTGCTAGGATCATGTCTGGTTTGCTCCCCATTGCAACCCAGAACTATCACTGTACCTAGCAAACAGCAAATCCTTAAAACGTTTTTGGATTAATAATAAACAAAAACAAAATAATAAACATACAGGTGGGACCTCTGGAGTATTTCCAAATTTCATGAAAGGTTTCCAGGTGAACCTAAGGATTGCAAATGGTCTGACACATTAAGTCTTTAGCAGTACGCATATCACAGATTGTCAGAGGAGGAAGGGACCTTACACATCAATCAGAGGTTAGCAAACTATTTCTGTAAAGGGCCAAACAGTAAATGTTTTTGTCTTTGCAGGCAATATAGTCTTTGTCACAACTTCTCAACTCTGCTGTTGCAGGGGGAAAGCAACCACAGATATTAGTTAAATGAATAGAGTGGCTGTGTTCCAATAAAACTTTATTTATAAAAACAGGTGGCCGACTGGATTTGGCTGCAGTTTGCTGACTCTAACTCTAATCCAATCTTAACTCCCATAACAAAGAGGGACCATTTCCCCAGAAGGGGGAAATAACATTGTTGAAGATCACACAGCTAAAAGATGAAAGTGGGAACTTCCAACTCCCATTTTAATTTTCATGACACTACAAAGCAGCCATGTTTCAGGGTCTTCCTGCTTCAGTGTTGGTGTTAGCATTATCCTGCCTTGTTTATTGAAGCTAAGAGACATTATCTTAAATTTGGTTTGTGTTGATGGTTTTTCATTTTTACTTTTTATTCTGTCATCCATGTAGTCTAAAAACCTTGGGGGTGATCATCTTCACAGAGAGAATATACAACTCCCTTTATTTTCTTCAAGTACCTGGAGCTCTGCCTCCTCACAAATTCAGAGATGGTATGTACTAGGTTCTCTTAGGCAAAATGTTCTGACTTCTTGGTACTAAGGACCGGATGGAGAAATAGGAGGTGAGATCCCTGTCATATCATGTCCTACCATATACCTTAATCAACTCTCTCATCAATCATTCAGTCGTAGGGATTTGCTACTGTATATGCAGCACTAAGCTGGAGTTTGGAGAAAAGGAATGGTAATGATGAGATAACAGCTAACTTTTTTGAGGTCTGACTATACATCAAGGACATTATATATAGCTTCTCTAAAACCTCAACACAGTGCTTTAAGGAAGGATTAGATAGACCAAATTGCTATAATTGCAACCCGATTTGGTCCACATCCAAACTCTGGGCTGCTGCTGTCTCTACTACTGCTGCTGTTCTTAAGGCCAGAGATTCCTGAACACCCTTCTAAGGATTAGAGGTGGAGAAATTAAAGCTCCTAGCCCAGCGTCCAGCACATAGTATGTGTTGTTATTACTTACCAATCTCCCTTACATAATCACCTGCAGACACATATTAATGTGTCTTCAACCTCAATAAACACTCTTTGAATAAACGATGGCCTTCCACACCACTGTGCCTTTGTATGGTCCATCCATTCTTCCTGGAATGTTGCCCACCAATGTCCTGTGCTCTACCAAGACTTAGCTCAAATGTCACCTCTTCTGTGACATTTTCCTGATACCTTTGGAGAAATGGAACCAGTTTCTCCTCCATGCTTTCCTCAGAACTTTGTTCAAACCTCTATTCTTGGATCTAGTAAAGCATCTGTTCTCTGGTTTATCACATTCACTACGAACTCTACTGAGACAGGGTCTGTCTTATTGATTTCCTTTTTAAAATAACATCTATTGTGTTTTTTTTAATATAGAAAAGCATCAAAAAGAAAAAAAAGAATGATAATTCATCTTCCAGAAACCCCCTTTGGCCTTTAAAAAAGCAATATATGAACATGGTAAGAAAATTCAAACTGTACAAAAAAGTACAAAACAAAAATTAAAAGTCTCCCACTAGCTGACAGCCCAGAAGAAACCTTTGATAACCAGTTTCTTGCATATTCCACCAGCAAACATTTGCACATATATATTAGAACTTATATATGTATTGTAGCTTATTAAAACATTAAAAAAATTCTAAACACAACTGTATATACTTTAATTTTCACTTGAGTGAGACCAGGAGTTTGAGATCAGCCTGGGTAACATGGAAATACTCTGTCTCTATAAAAAAAAAAAAAAAAAAAAAACTCTTTTAAATATTAGCCAGTGTGGTTGTGCATGCCTGTAGTTCCAGCTACTTGGAAGGCTGAGGTGGGAGGATTGCTTGGGCCCAGGAGGTCGAGGTGGCAGTGACCCATGATTGTGCCACTGCACTCCAGCTTGGGTGACAGAGCAAGACCCTTTCTCAATAAACAAACAAACAAACAAATACATAAATAAAGTGTGTGAGTGCTCTGGAGAGGTATGGGTTGGATCAATGTAGCATGACAGAGGTCCAATATGAAGGAAAAAAAAAAAAAAAAAAAAGACCTGAATAGGACCTGGGAAAGAAGAGTGTGTGATTAAGTGTAAAAGATGGAAAAAAGAGAAAGAATAAAAGCAGGAAGAAAAAAGTTGAGCTGCCGCTGAGATCATGGGAAACAAGAAAAATGAAATCTCCATTTTGCTTCCCCTGCACAGACTTAAACCCCTACCTGTAAACAAGCATTATGAAAGCTAAGGAGTTGGTTAAAGCGCTTTTCAAGTGCTTTGCAAAATCAGGGAGACTAACAGTCATTTTTCTCACTGGGGAAGGCCGGGCCTCTCAACATCAAAGAATGGCCCCTCTTTTCAATGGGGCAGCTTCCCACAGCAGTACCTAGCTCCCTTAATCTCAGTAACTACAATAAATGCACAAGCCCCCTTTTGTGTGAAACTCCTATCTAATCAAAACTAATCACCAAACAGATCTTTGCCTAACATATCTGAGTAACAGAACTGAAATCTTTACCCTAGCAGAGGCCCCCAATAAGCCCCTGTGAATGAAGAAAAGGGTGATTGGGCTGTTTGCCTTCCTCAGTGCTCTGTGAAAACTCTACATTCACAAGAATAAAATCAAAGGCACTTGGAAAATAAGAATGCAGTCCAACTCTCCACATCTAGACTGATTGGGACCAGGCAGATTCAGATACTGACAAATTGAAAATAGCAGAGATGCCTCAAAACCAGTTTTCTGGGAGGGATGTTGAGGAAGTCTAAGAGTGTCAGAGGGAGGGGGTTGCTGTTGTGTAAACTGACATGGAAGACCTCGATTTCAAGATGATAAAAGCTCAGTCTCTAAGGAGGAGCTAAAGAGTCCCCTTTGTGTAGGCTAATTTGTCTAGCAAAACAGTCCAGGCAAACGAGGGCTACAGTAATTGGAAGCTATGAATGACTACCATTTATTGAGTGCTATGGTAAGCCACATGTGCTTTGCTCAGATTAATTCATTTTGTCTTCAAATCAACCCTATTTAGTATGTAGTATTATTATTCCACTTTAATAATTAGAAAATTCTTGTTCAGAGAGGTTAAGGAACTTGCTTGAAATCACAATCACAACTAAGTGGGTAAGTGGATTCATACCTTAGACAGGTCTATTCAACCCCAAAGCTTGTGTTTTTTTCTACTACATGATAACTCTTTTCCACATATCTATCTAATGCATTTGATACAAAATTTTCTGTCTCATATATTTTTTTCTTCATATGGCTTTTCCTTATGCTGGTTCTGGGCCTTAATAAATGGGCCTTCAGCCAGGCACGGTGGCTCATGCCTGTAATCTCAGCTCTTAGGGAGGCATAGGCAGGAGGATCGCTTGAGCCCAGTAGTTCAAGACCAGCTTGGGCAACATAGCAAGACCCGATTCTTCACACAAAGGGAAAAAAGACAAATAAAGGGGCCTTCATAAGGTCCATCCCTCTCTTCTGTAATCTCTTTCTTTTCAGCCGTGAGGTCTACTGAAAACTTGAGAGCTTGACTGAATTTAAAATTTAAAGCTCACTTCTCTTGAGGAAGTTTTCAAATCCCAGAATGCCTTCCTTGGAAATCTTTTGCATAGTGCTGACCCTGAATTGTGGAGGGCGTGACCTAAAGTTTGAAGAGGGGAACTGACAAGCCAAAGGTCAAAGAGCTACAGAATGGTGAAGTTTGCATCAGGACTAAACCCAGGTCTCCTGAATCCCAGTGCAATACTATTTTCCCTCCAGTCTCCCTGTCCCTGTTACTCCACCCCCATCCCTGATTATGTCTCTCTCCTTCCTTGATTAAGCCTGTTATATCTCCCCAGCCCCCAGTCCATCCTACACACTTCATCTTGTTCATTACTATCCAAAGCAGGGCCTCTACATCAGTCAAGCCTGTCACCTTAAGCCCACTTCAGTGCTCATTTACTCTAGAGTCTCTTCACACATATGCATAATGTTTGTGGCTTACAGATTTCTATAACTAGCTTAACTTCCTCAGATCCTTTGCTCCTTTAAAATTGTTTTCCTTTTATATTCATTTGTGTCCCCCAAAAGGCCTTAAAGATGCTTAGTAAACATTGGTTAAATTAACAAACATTGTCTCCTTGCAAAAAACACAAATGTTTGCTAAAAGAATATATCCTCCCCCAAAAGAAAATAAAACAGGCTAAAAAGACTCCTTATCAGTTCTCATTAGAATTTGACAAAGTATACACTGGTTAATTAGCCCTTAGCAAAGGCTTAGATAAGAGCTGGAGGATGCTAATTAACCCAAAGCCCCACAAACCAAAGGCAGAGAAGTGGGAAAATATTTTAAGCAAATTTTGTTTTCAAGAGTGTATGCTAACGTGAAAACTGAGCATGGCATATTTACAACATTTTTGCCGTAGCAAAATGAGCCAATCTAGAAGCAAAGGAACCAGGAAAACATGGCAGTTCATCTTCAAAGCAGCTCATTCACCACTTAATTTTCAAATCACCTCTTTGGGGTAAAAAAAGTATTATTATCCCACTTGAACAATGGGGAAACTAAGGCAGGCTAAGAGACATGTGGGGGCCTAAAGCTGTCCAAGGAATATAATAACCACGGAAGAAATATTTAACACATTTTTTAATGCTCATAAACCACTAACAGAATTGAACCTAAAATACAGGTTTGGCTGACATTTTAGTATTCAAAGGTAATTTAAAAGGGGCTGTCAATCACGTCCTATTTTCAATGCACAGAGAAGGTTCTCAGGAGTGAGTAAATTCTTTGGTAAAGTAAACAACCACCTCATTTGTTCATTTCGTAAATAATCTCCTGCCTTTTTAATCACAAAGTCCCTAGACAAGCAATCTGGCCAAAGAAAAAGAGTTAGAATCTACCAATATAACTCATAGAAGTACAGCAATTTAGGGTGGTTTTTCAAAATGTTAATAACTACTTTGTCATTATACTGATTAGACTTCACACTTGCTTTAAGGGTGTGGGAGTCAGGGTTGACCATCCATGACACAGAAGGATTGTTGTTATCGGCACTTGGCAGAATTTCATTCAGCTATTTGAAATCAGGAGAGAGCGCTCTGATTCATTTTTAAGGGCTTGCAGTCTCTTTAATAAAATTTAGAAAAGTATTTTCAAGGCGTTAAGTAAGTAAACGGAAAAGAGAAGTGCAATGAAGTTGTCTTTTCTAAGTTGTCTGTCCCCTGGAAACCATTAACATCCATCTAAGCTAGCTCAAGGACTTAGGATCATTTTAAGTAATCAAGGGGAAGGCTCCAGGCTTTCTAATCTAATTGCCATCTCCAGGGAAGTGCCTTCTTCACTCAGCTAGGTTGAAGGGGAAGAGCATCTCTTGGGATTAAGAAATGAATGATTTGGACTGTAGATTTTTCAATCATTTTGATGGTGCTTATCTCAGGAATTAAGGTTATTTTTTCCAAATGTAGTATATAATGAAAGACACTGGCCTGTGTGGGTCTGTATAACAATCAACCTACCTCATGCAAATTGCTGGTCTCAGGAATTTTTACTTATTTGACTTAAGATGAAAGAAAGAGTATTATCCTAAAATATTTTTTTCTGAGTTACCTGGGGAAAACCCTTCTATAATCAGAATCAATGAGAGTTTGGAAACATGATGCTGGGATTCTTGGAAAATGCTACCAACCTCTTGTTTTTAATACTCTTTTTGGATTCTGAATAAAAGAGGTGTCCTTATCTATTCCAAACTACCTTTTCTCCTGGAATCTTAATATGTAGGTCAGCTCTCTACCTGATTTCTAACATTTGCAGTTCTCACGTCTGGAGCCATTTGCCTCCCAGCTGCAGCCTCAACCATACTCCAAACCCTAGGCTAAATCTTTTTTTTTTTTTTTTTCTATGTGTCTCTTTCTCTTAGAAGCACCTGTGATTAAGTTTAGCACAATCAGAATAATCTCCGTTTTGATAAACACAAAGTCAACAGATGAGTAACCTAATTTCATGAGTGATTTCCCAACACAGTCACACATTTTTTTTTCACTGAAGAGGAAAGTATGACACAGCAGGTGTGCAACAGACTGGTAATCCAGGGTATTATCTTAAAATGTTGCCTACCCACCTAAATAAACTTTTAAAATAGTCTTTCTGCTCCTTTTGTTATCTACATAAACAAAGATATTATCTGCAACTAATAATTAACTACTCTCCAGTTTCATTCATTACAAATATTAACTTACATCTTTTTTCTGGCTTAAATTATTTTTCCTGTATGTACCATTTTATACATTCACACACACATAAAACAATAAAAATATATCCAATTACTCAATGTTGGTTAAATTTTCATTAAAATAAGTGTTAAAAATGATTATTTTTTTCTGTTTGAAGAGGGCTTTTATTGTTCTACTCAAGAGTGTTATTTCTGAAGACAAAGATGCCTGTGCTTTAATAGGCAGATTCTAGGGAGAATCTGAACCATAAGCCATAACATTTTACAGTAATAAATTCAAGACACGCTGAATGTGGCAGGTCACACCTGTAATCCCATCACTTTGGGAGGCCGAGGTGGATGGATCATTTGAGATCAGGAATGCAAGACCAGCCTGGCCAACATGGTAAAACCCAGTCTCCACCAAAAATACAAAAAAAAAAAAAATTTAACTGGGCATGGTGGCACCTGCCTGTAGTCCCAGCTACTGGGAGGCTGAGGCAGGAGAATCACTTGAACCCAAAAGGTGGAGGTTGCAGTGAGCCAAGATCGTGCCATTGCACTCCAGCCTGGGCAACAGGAGTGAAACTCTGTCTCAAAAAAATAAAATAAAATAAAATAAAATAAAATGAATAAAGGAATTCAAGACAAAACAAAAAGTATAGATTTGCTTTCAGCATTTTTGAGGTGTTTAGTTTTCTATTAGTCAGCTTATTTATTTGTTTTGTTGCAATTATTGCTCTTTTTTTCTGAAAATATGTACAAACTCATACTCACACAAACACTCTCACTTAATACTTTTCTTACACCTAAGGTTTATCTTCAGAGTAATATGTGTATATTTAACTCTATGTAAATTTGAAGGGCTGGGTTGCCCCTCCACACCTGTGGGTGTTTCTCCTTAGGTGGAATGAGAGACTTGGAAAAGAAACAGACACAGAGAAAAAGTGTAGAGAAAGAAAAATGGGCCCAGGGGACCAGCGTTCAGCATAAGGGGGACCCGCGCCGGCCGCGGCCTCTGAGTTCCCTTAGTATTTGTTGATCATTATCGGGCGTTTCCCGGAGAGGGGGATGTGGCAAGACAATAGGGTAATAGTGGAGAGAAGGTCAGTAAGAAAACGCGTGAACAAAGGTCTCTGCATCATAAACAAGGTAAAGAAAAAAGTGCTGTGATTTTGATGTGCATATACATAAACATCTCAATGCATTAAAGAGCAGTATTGCTGCCAGCATGTCCCACCTCCAGCCCTAAGGCGGTTTTCCCCTATCTCAGTAGATGGAATATACAATTGGGCTTTACACTGAGACATTCCATTGCCCACGGATGAGCAGGAGACAGATGCCTTCCTCTTATCTCAACTGCAAAGAGGTCTTCCTCTTTCTTTTTTTTTTTTATGTGAAAAGAATTGTCATGTATTATTTATTCATTTAAAAGTAAAAGTTTATTGACAGTCTATAATCTTCTGTTCTCCAATAACATAAATAATCTTCTCTCATCCCAAACATGGAAATGGATGTTTCAACTTTCTCTGTACAGAAAAAAAATTTCTTTTTTTTTTTTTTTTAAGTATTTATTGATCATTCTTGGGTGTTTCTTAATAATAGTTAAGGGGAGGAGGAGAATTTAAAAAGCTGTAACTCGGCCGGGCGCGGTGGCTCACGCCTGTAATCCCAGCATTTGGGAGGCCGAGGCAGGCGAATCACGAGGTCAGGAGATCGAGACCATCCTGGCTAACATGGTGAAACCCCGTCTCTACTAAAAAAACCAAAAAATTAGATGGGCATGGTGGTGTGCCTGGTGATGCACACCTGTAGTCCTAGCTACTAGCGAGGCTGAGGCAGGAGAATGGTGTGAACCCGGGAGGCGGAGCTTGCAGTGAGCCGAGATCACGCCACTGCACTCCAGCCTGGGCGACAGAGCAAGACTCCGTCTCAAAAAAAAAAAAAAAAAAAAAAAAAAAGCTCTAACTCAACTTTCTAGTCAGAAATAGGCATATGAACAATATTCAGAAATTAAAGTAGGCAGTCCATTTGTGTAGGTGGTAGGTAAGGATGTGAAGAAATTTAAAAAAAAAATGTTTTCATGTAGTGGCTTTATATTTTAAAAAGTTTTTATGCACAAGAAATTCCAATGCAAATATATGGGATCATAAATAATTTCCCCAGCACTGCCTGGACTCTACTCCCTTCATCTCCCACTCCAAATGCAAGTGAGCATCAGTAACTTTATTATAAAATAGTGTTCACCAACATTTTAGGGAGCTTTTTGTTTGTTTCTTTGTTTCACACTATAAGACTTTTCAGAACCTTTGATATGTTAATACGCACTGTGAATCTCAATATGAAGAAAGAACCTATAAATATTATTTCTAATCATATATGGTCTCAGAACCCATTTTTTCCCTAAAAAGTCTCCAGTACATGTATTGTATATATGAGATACCCTTTAGGAAAAGTTGGCTTACAGCAAGGAAATTAGAGGAAATTTTAAGCTATAGAAGCTGGCCAGATGTTTGCCAGAGTTTTTTCATCTTTCTGGGCACATAGATTATATTCGCCAGCTTCACTTGACGTTAGATGCAGCCACATGACTCAGTTCTGGACAATGAAATACGGGTAGGATTCTTGTATGCCACTTCCAGGTATGATCCATAAAAACTATTCATGTAATCTTCCACATACTCTCTTTTTTCTTATCTGCCCTCAGATGTAAAGGATTCCATGGAAGATTATGATGCCTTAGGCCTGGATTGGCAAACTATGGCCCCCTGGGCCAAATCTTGATGCTACCTATTTTTGTAAATAAAATTTTATTGGAACACAGTTATACCTGTTCCTTTAAGTATTGTCTATGGCTGTTTTTGTGCTCAACAACAGAGATAAGTAGTTGTGACAGAGGCAGACGCACAAAGCCAAAGTATTTACTACTTGGCCCTTTACAGAAAAGTTTGCTGACTCCTGCCTTAGGCCATGGCAGAAAGTTCATGGAAAGAGCTTGGGTTTCTGAATGACTGCATGGGACACAGTCACCTATTTCCTCCATGGACCCACATTGGATCTTTATTATATTAAACTCCCAATATTTTGGATTTTAAAAAATTACTGCAATTGGCCTAACATATTGTTAAAGGATGTGTTAGGTATTATGTTTGCCCGTTTGATCTCAATGCTCCACCTTTTTTCACCCTGTTTTATGTCCAGGGAGAATGCCCACACTTTTGTGAATAGTCACTTCGTTAAATTCCTTTATTTTTATTTTTGAGACAGGACCTCGCTCTGTTGCCCACACTGGAGTGCAGTGGCGCAATCATAGCTCACTGCAGCCGCAACCTCCTGGGATCAAGCTATCCTCCCACCTCAGTCTCTTGAGTAGCTGGGACTACATGGGACTACAGTTGTACACCACCACTCTCAACTAATTAAAAAACTTTTTTTTTTTTTTTTTTTTTTTGTAGAGAAGGGGCTTGCTATGTTGCCAGGGCTAGTCCCAAGCTCCTGGACTTCAAACAGTCTTCCTTCCTTTGCCTGCCAAAGTGCTGGGATTACAGGTGTGAACTACCTTACCTAAACTCTTCTAAATTAGTCTTTTTAGTGTACTATCCACTTCCTGCTGAGACTCTGACTGATTTAAGGGATAATCTTGACTCTGCTTTATTTATATCAAAAAATCCACAAATGTTACTATTTTATTATTAATATGTTAATTGCAGTATACTTCACAGCTGATGGAGACATACTAGTAGTATTATGACAAATACAGGTGAAACATACTAGATTTGTCTCAATCTCACATTTAAAATAAGTTAATATTTTTAAAAAGCTCTCAAGGCTGGATGGTACAGAGAGAAGAATATCCCTCCAGCAGTTGGAGACCCCAAGTCTTCTCTTTGCCCTGCCCCTGACCCTGTTTGTGTCTTCTCTCTTCATTATTGCCAATGATCAGGCTGGACCTGGTGGTCTGTCCTACAAATCTCTCTGCCGCCAATATTTGATAATAATTCCAAGAATCTGCTAAATAATCCAACATGCTAAAGAGTCAGCATAGAAGCTCCTGGGTTTATGCATTTACTGAGATTCTTCAGCAGGAGAGTTTTTGCTTTATACTCATTCAACCAGGTAATGCTGTCAATCTACTATTTTAAAAACACAAGCTAATGGAGATAGTATATTTAATTAACACAAACTAAATTTAAGAAGCCTATTTTTTACTTTTGTGAATCAAGAATGTTGACAGTCTTTCCTAAATAAATTGTCCTCTACAGCTTAAGGGGATTATCTCAGTAAACTAGTTCATAAATAGCTGAATTGCCATTTAAGAAAAAAAAGTTTAACTGAATCACTTTTTGGAAACTGGATTTCTTCAGGGCTGGAGGAATAGGTCATGCACTGGCCAGAGTGAACAGTGAAGTCTCCATTGGCCTACGCGTTGTTTACTGAGCTTTAAAATAGACAGGAAACTGGATACACATTGAACCTAGGAGCTTTTCCATAAGGCAGTGACATCCTTTTCAATCCAGAACAACCTGTGGTATTGATTAACTTTTGGGATCTTTTTCACCACTACTGATCTGTCTCATCTTTTATTCAACAGTTCCCTGAAAGAAATTTAGAGGCAACTATGGAACACCTGAGGCAAATCATACTTGTAAGTTCTCTGCAACACTGTTACTTACTCAGTTTACAAATTCTTCTTAGAGAATATGGAAACTATGAAGATTTTCAGCACTTTCTGAAACTACACTATAAAGGGCTCTGAGCCAGAATCAGAAGCCCAGAGTCATTGAATCAAAAAGTAGCTGTGTATTCTTGCACAAATTACCAAAGTGATATGGGCCTCATTTTCCTCATCTGTAAAAAGAGGATAATAATATACTCCATAGGGTTGTTGAAAGGATTCAAAGAGATATATGCATGTAAAGCATTTGTTACAATGCCTGAGACATAGTGAGCATTATTATTATTAGAGTATTATTACCTATAAAGTGGATCAAGCCCACCTTCATGGTTCTATTTGCATCTACTCTTCAATGTAAGCCATCTTCTATAAAAATTCCCAGTTCGTCACTGTCCCTTTAAAATATTGTGCCCTCAACCATGACTGTATTATTAAATTATAGGTTATCTTATTTATTATCTTCTATTTGTTTGTCTTAGCCCCCAATTCCTGAGAACTGCAGGTATTCTTGTGCCTTAAGGTTTGTAACTCATCCCAAAAGGGATAGTCAGGTAACATAAATAAGGTAAGCAGGATGGATGGGCACTGAGTTCTACTTGAGAGCTTATGATCTGTCTAAAGGGGCAGCTCATTAAGTCCAGCTGAACACTGCCATATGGGAAAGCAGACCCAGTATAGCCAGATTCTAGCATACTGCTTTAAAAGAAGCTGAGAAATATGTATCTTTAAAAAATTTAAGTTATGTTGATGTCTACATGTTGAAAACAAGTTAACATTTTTTTAAAAAAAGAAGCATTGTACAGGCCAAATAATTATATCAATACTTTCAGACTAGATTTGGCTGTACTATTTATTAGCTATGTGCCTTTGGGCAGTTACTTAACCTCCTTGGACCTCAGCTTCCACAATTGCAAAATGGAATATTAGTACCTAACTCACAAGGCTATTATGGGAATTAAATGAGGTAATACATATAAACAAAGCAATTAGAATAGTACCTAGCACATAGGTAACACTTGGTAAATGTTAATCATTATAATAATAATTTAAAAAGTTATTGGTAATGAAAGTTTCATTAACAACAACAACAATAATGTTATTAATGCCAATAGCATTAGTATACAGTCTAACAAATAAAATCATATGCAACTGATGATATTGGTATTAGTAATAACCGATATTTGAATCTACTCTTTCTTCCTAAGCTTAGCACAAAATAAGGACTTTTCATTCTCTATTTTCTTCCTATCTCTCTCTCTTTATGACTAACATCTCAGCTCATATTGATTTTTCTCTTGAATTTTAATTTTCTTTTTTACCCTCTTTTTTATTTTCCTATTTTAGGCACTCATTATTTCTCACCTAGACTCTAACAGCAGTATCTTCACTGGTATCTCAGTCCAAGTTTTGGTGCCCTCTAATTATTTCCAATTCAGCAGGCAGAGTTGTGTTAAAATATAAGTCTGCTCACATCTTGTCTTTCCTCAGAAATTTTCAAATGCACCCCAATACAAATATACCATTTTCTTTTCACCTTCATTATGTCTGCTAGGATTTTCATCCTGGATTTGTCTCTTACTTGCTATGTGACCTTTGGAAAGTTACCAAGCCTTAGTTTTCTCGTATCTACCCACTGGGTAGTTGTGAAGATGAAATGATTTAATTGAATATGTATAAAACACTTACCACAGTGCCTGGCACATAATAAGTACTTAATAAATGAAAATATTATCATCACTCTAGTCTGATTAATGGTTACATTAACCCCTACATTAATCTCTAAGATCCAGGCACAAAGAACATCTCACTTTCCAAATATGTCAGATTATTCCACACCTCCATAGCCATGAATGTGTATACTGTGATAAATTAATTGTAATCCCTAGAACAATCACTACAAAAAACCTCCCTCCAATCCCCAAACAACAACCAAGACACATAGCTAAAAATCCAAAATTGAAATGAGATAAAATGAAAAACTAGGCCAGGCACGGTGGCTCACGCTTGTAAACCCAGCACTTTGGCAGGCAGAGGTGGGTGGATCATTTGAGGTCAGGAATTCAAGACCAGCCTGGCCAACATGGTGAAACCCCGCCTCTACTAAAAATACAAAAATTAGCTGGGCGGTAGTGGTGCGTGCCTGAAATCCCAGCTACTCGGGAGGCTGAGGCAGGAGAATCGCTTGAACCCAGGAGGCAGAGGTTGCGGTGAGCGGAGATCATGCCACTGTACTCCAGTCTGGGCGACAGAGTGAGACCCTGTCTCCATTCCCCCGCCAAAAATAATAATAATAATAATAATAATAATAATAATAATAATAAACCCTTTTGATTAATTCCAAAAAGGCAAGAAAAAAGAACAAAGGAACAAAGAGAAATATAAAAGAAATAGCAAGTTAGTACACTTAAACGATAAGAACCATTACATTTAATGTAAATTGATTAATCACTGCAATTTAAATGCAGAGACTGTCAGAATGAATAAAAAGCAAGACCCATCTGACCCAACTACAGAGTTATAATTTAAGTATAAAGAGTCACACTTTAAATAAAAATAAAATCAGACATAATTGACTTTAAAACAAAATATGTTGCTAGAGAAAAATAGGGACATTTTATCATGATGAAAGGGTCAACCCATCAGAAAGACATAACAATTACACACATATATGCATCTAGCAACAGAGCACCAAGCTATAAGAAGTAAAACCCTGACTCAAGCAGCATCCTCAACCCTGATGGCTTCCTGGGCTATCCCTGTGCCTCCTACAATGAGTTTTGGGAGGTAGGTTACCCCAGAAGCCTGAGGAAGATGTTGGTGGCCCTGTTTTGGGTGTTTTTGCATTCCTGTGGCTTAGAACAGAACAAAGAGATGTAACTCTGCAACGAATGCGAGGCGAATAGCTGTTTCCCTTGTCCAGCTGAAGGATGCCCCAAAATGGGGCACTATGCTGACCAATTTAAGGGGAAAACCAGTGCCGTTGAACAAATATTTTTCCTCAACACAGGAGAGAGTGGTAACTTTACTAGTTGGAGATATAAGGTATCAGTCACACTGTCTGGAAAAAAGAAAGTGAGTGGGTACATCAGGATTGCTTTGTATGGAAGTAATGGAAACTCAAAACAATATGAGATTTTCAAAGGATCCCTCAAACCAGATGCAAGTCACATGCATGATATTGATGTGGATCTCAATGTTGGAAAAATACAGAAAGTTAAGTTCCTCTGGAACAACCATGTGATAAATCTATTCTGGCCCAAACTGGGGGCTTCCCAAATCACAGTGCAAAGTGGTGAAGATGGGACTGAGTATGTATTTTTTATTGCATCTAAGTTTGGTTACTTATATTTACATATTGATTTACCTGTCTATGCATTCATTCATCCAGTTACCCACCTACCCACCTACTCATCCATTCATCTACCCATTTATCCATTTCTCTACCCATTTATCCATTTCTCTATCCTTTTTATCCTCTATACTTTTAACCACTTAGCCACTTACCCATTCACTTATTCCTCTACCCATCCACCCAGACATCTATCTCCTCATTCTTCTGGCCCTCCAGCCATTCTTTGATCTTCTCATCCATCCATTCATCTTTCCAGCTATTCATCTTAACTCTCCATCCATCCATCTGATTTACTGTGAAAAACCAAACATCATTTTCCTTAGGCAAAATTCAACTTGGCAGGGGCAAGGCAATGAATGTAGGCACAGATTCAAGAAACAGGCAAATATGAATGACTGTTTTATCTCAAACAATGAGGAAAACACCTGGGAAGCACGTAGGGGAAATCTCTGAGTTAATTCCAGTTTACGTGCAGTTACTAATGTAAACTGGTTTGTTTGGAGACTATTGCATGAGAGGGATACACACTGTGTTGGGGATCTGGCTCATAGTGGCAAGCTTTTCCATTCTGAGGGAATAGAATCCTACTTGGTAGGCATGAGAGAGAACATAATTGTTTTTGAAATATGGAAAGAAAGAAGGACACCTCAAAAGAGGATAATTCAAAAATAATGGAATATTAGAGAATAAAGGAAACGTAAATGTCGACTCTCAACTGCTCTCATTTTAAGATGAGGAAATAAGATTTGGAGAGTCAAATAACTTGTCTAAGGTCACATGGGGAATCTAAAGGGAAAAAATATTGGACTTCAGAATGTTTTCAAAACTTACACCAAGACTTTGCTCCCCTGCTTGACTTAACTTTGCTGGCTGTAAAAGTGGCAATGATCCCAATTACTCAGTGTATTTTTGGAAGGATCAAATGTCACAGTTAGCATGCCATCACTTTGTATGCAGTAGACCGCCTTATCTGTGGGGGATGGGTGGTATTTTCCAAGACCCCAGTTGGATGCCTGAAACCTCAGATAGTACCAATTCTTATATATACTATTTTTTTTCCTAGTCATATATACTATATGAATGGGAAATATAGTATGTGTATAGAATGGGAAAAATGTTTTGTAGTTTTCCAACTAAGTTTTGCCTTTTTGATAGTACTTCTGTACACTGGTAATGAACAATTTAAAAATGAAATTACGAAAAGTAATTACATTTACAGTACTATCAAAAAGAATTAAATATATAGGAATTACTTTGACAAAAAAGGCAAAACTTAGTTGGAAAACTACAAAACATTTTTAAAAAGATATTAAAGAAAATCTAAATAAAAAACACGACTATGTTCATAGATCAGAAGGCAAAATCTTTAAGATGGCAATACTCCCTCAAACTGATTTATAGATTCAATAAAATCCCTATTAGAATCCCAGATGGCTTCTTTGTAGAAATTGATCAGCTGATTCAAATTCCATGGAATTGGTTGGTTTCCAGATTAACCAAATCAATTTTGAAAAATAAGAATAAAACTGGAGGATTCACATTTCCTCCTTTCAAAACTTACTTCAAAGCAACAATAATCAGGACAGTATGGTACCACTGTAAGGACAGAGATATAGATCAATGAAATAGAATTGAGACTTAAGACATAAACCCATACATCTTGGTCAATTGATTTTATTTTTGTTTCTTTTTTTAAATTATACTTTAAGTTCTGGGATACATGTGCAGAACATGCAGGTTTGTTACATAGGTACACATGTGCCATGGTGGTTTGCTGCACCCATCAACCCCTCATCTACATTAGGTATTTCTCCTAATGCTATCTCTCCCCTAGACCCCTACCCCCCCAAAAGGCCCCAGTGTGTGATGTTCCCCTCCCTGTGTCCATGTGTTCTTATTGTTCAACTCCCACTTATGAGTGAGAACATGCAGTGTTTGGTTTTCTGTCCTTGTGATAGTTTCCTCAGAATGATGGTTTCCAGCTTCATCCATGTCCCTGCAAAGGACATGAACTCATGCTTTTTTTATGGCTGCATAGTATTCCATGGGGTATATGTGCCACATTTTCTTTATCCAGTCTATCATTGATGGGCATTTGGGTTGGTTCCAAGTCTTTGCTATTGTGAACAGTGCCACAATAAACATACATGTGCATGTCTCTTTATAGTAGAATGATTTATAATCCTTTGTGTATATACCCAGCAATGGGATTCCTGGGTCAAATGGTATTTCTAGTTCTAGATCCCTGAGGAATAGCCACACTGTCTTCCACAATGGTTGAACTAATTTACACTCCCACCAACAGTGTAAAAGCATTCCTAGTTCTCCACATCCTTTCCAGCATTTGTTGTTTCCTGACTTTTTAATGATCACCATTCTAACTGGCGTGAGATGGTACCTCATTGTGGTTTTGATTTGCCTTTCTCTAATGACCAGTGATGATGAGCAATTTTTCCATACATTTGTTGGCTGCATAAACGTCTTCTTTTGAGAAGTGAATGTTCATATCGTTCGCCCACGTTTTGATGGGTTTTTTTTTCTTGTAAAATTGTTTACGTTCTTTGTAGATTCTGGATATTAGCCCTTTGTCAGATGGATAGATCACAAAAATTTTCTCCCATTCTGTAGGTTGCCTGGTAACTGTGATGATAGTTTCTTTTGCTGTGCAGAAGCTCTTTAGTTTAATTAGATCCCATTTGTCTATTTTGGCTTTTGTTGCCATTGCTTTTGGTGTTTTAGTCATGAAGTGTTTGCCCATGCCTATGCTCTGAATGGTATTGCTTAGGCTTTCTTCTAGGGTTTTTATGGTTTTAGGTCTTATGCTTAAGTCATTAATCCATCTTGAGTTAATTTTTGTATAAGGTGTAAGGAAGGGATCCAGTTTCTGCTCTCTGCATATGGCTAGACAGCTCTCCCAACACCATTTATTAAATAAGGAATCCTTTCCCCATTGCTTGCTTTTGTCTGGTTTGTCAAAGATCAGATGCTTGTAGATATGTGGTGTTATTTCTGAGGCCTCTGTTCTGTTCCATTGGTCTATATATATTTTGGTACCATTACCATGCTGTTTTTGTTACTGTAGCCTTGTAGTATAGTTTGAAGTCAGGCAGCATGAGGCCTCCAAGCTTTGTTCTTTTTGCTTAGGATTTTCTTGGCTATGTGGACTCTTTTCTGTTTCCATATGAAATTTGAAGTAGTTTTTTCCAATTCCGTGAAGAAAGTCAATGGTAGCTTGATGGGGATAGCACTGAATCTATAAATTACTTTGGGCAGTATGGCCATTTTCACAATATTGATTCTTCCTATCCATGAACATGGAATGTTTTTCCATTTCTTTGTGTCCTCTCTTATTTCCTTGAGCAGTGGTTTGTAGTTCTCCTTGAAGAGGTCCTTCATATCCCTTTTAAGTTGGATTCCTAGGTATTTTATTCTGTTTGTAGTAATTGTGAATGAGAGTTCACTCATGATTTGGCTCTCTGTTTGTCTGTTATTGGTGTACAGGAATGCTTGTGATTTTTGCACATTGATTTTGTATCCTGAGACTTTGCTGAAGTTGCTTATCAGCTTAAGGGGATTTTGGTCTGAGATTATGGGGTTTTCTAAATATACAATCATGTCATCTACAAACAGAGACAATTTGACTTCCTCTTTTCCTAATTGAATATCTTTTATTTCTTTCTCTTGCCTGATTACCCTGGCCAGAACTTCCAATACTATGTTGATTAGGGCTGGTGAGATAGGACATCCTTGCCTTGTGCTGGTTTTAAAAGGCAATGCTTCCAGTTTTTGCCCATTCAGTATGATATTGGCTATGGGTTTGTCATAAATAGCTCTTACTATTTTGAGATAGTTTCCATCAATACTTAGTTCATTGAGAGTTTTTAGCGTGAAGGGCTGTTGAATTTTGTTGAAGGCCTTTTCTGCATCTATTGAGATAATCATGTGGTTTTTGTCATTGGTTCTGTTTATGTGATGGATTACATTTATTGATTTGTGTATGTTGAACCAGCCTTGCATCCCCAGGATGAAGCCAACTTGATCGTGGTGGATAAGCTTTTTGATGTGCTGCTGTATTCGGTTTGCCAGTATCTTATTGAGGATTTCTGCATCAAAGTTCATCAGGGATATTGCCCTAAAATTTTCTTTTTTTGTTGTGTCTCCGCCAGGTTTTGGTATCAGGACAATGTTGGGCTCATAAAATGAGTTAGGGAGGATTCCCTCTTTTTCTATTCTTTGGAATAGTTTCAAAAGGAATGGTACCAGCTCCTCTTTGTACCTCTGGTAGAATTCGGCTGTGAATCCGTCTGGTCCTGGACTTTTTTGGTTGGTAGGCTATTAATTACTGCCTTAATTTCAGAACTTGTTATTCGTTTATTCAGGGATTTGACTTCTTCCTGGTTTAGTCTTGGGAGGGTGTATGTGTCCAGGAATTTATCCATTTCTTCTAGATTTTCTAGTTTATTTGTGTAGAAGTGTTTATAGTATTCTCTGACGGTACTTTGCATTTCTGTGGGATTGTTGGTGATATCCCCTTTATCATTTTTTATTGCGTCTATTTGATTCTTCTCTCTTCTCTTCTTTATTAGTCTGGCTATCAGTCTATTTATTTTGTTGATCTTTTCAAAAAACTGGCTCCTGGATTCATTGATTTTTTGAAGGGTTTTTCGTGTCTCTATCTCCTTCAGTTCTGCTCTAATCTTAGTTATTTCTTGTCTTCTGCTAGCTTTTGAATTTGTTTGCTTTTGCTTCTCTAGTTCTTTTAATTGTGATGTTAGTGTGTCGATTTTAGATCTTTCCTGCTTTCTCTTGTGGGCATTTAGTGCTATACATTTCCCTCTACACACTGCTTTAATGTGTCCCAGTGATTCTGGTATGTTGTGTCTTTGTTCTCATTGGTTCCAAAGAACATCTTGATTTCTGCCTTCATTTCGTTGTTTACCCAGTAGTCATTCAGGAGCAGGTTGTTCAGTTTCCAGGTAATTGTGTGGTTTTGAGTGGGTTTCTTAATCCTGAGTTCTAATTTGATTGCATTGTGGTCTGACAGACTGTTTTGTTATGATTTCCGTTCTCTTGCATTTGCTAAGGAGTGTTTTACTTCCAATTATGTAGTCAATTTTAGAATAAGTGAGATGTGGTGCTGAGAAGAACACATATTCTGTTGATTTGGGGTGGAGAGTTCTGTAGATGTCTATTAGGTCCACTTGACCCAGAGCTGAGTTCAAGTCCTGGATATCCTTGTTAATTTTCTGTCTTGTTGATCTGTCTAATATTGACAGTGGGGTGTTAAAGTCTCCCACTATTATTGTGTGTGAGTCTAAGTCTCTTTGCAGGTGTCAAAGAACTTGCTTTATGAATCTGGATGCTCCCGTATTGGGTGCATATATATTTAGGATAGTTACCTCTTCTTTTGCATTGATCCCTTTACCATTATATAATGACCTTCTTTCTCTCTTTTGATCTTTGTTGGTTTAAAGTCTGTTTTATCAGAGACTAGGATTGCAACCCCTGCTTTTTGTTTTTGTTTTTTTTTGCTTTCCATTTGCTTGGTAAATATTCTTCCATCCCTTTATTTTGAGCCTATGTGTGTCTTTGCATGTGTGATGGGTCTCCTGAATATAGCACCCTGATAGGTCTTGACTCTTTATCCAATTTGTCAGTCTGTGTCTTTTAATTGGGGCATTTAGCTAGTTCACATTTAAGGTTAATATCATTATACGTGAATTTGATCCTGTCGTTATGATGCTAGCTGGTTGTTTTGCCCATTAGTTGATGCAGTTTCTTCACAGCGTCGATGGTCTTTACAATTTGGTATGTTTTTCCAGTGGCTGGTACCAGTTGTTCCTTTCCATGTTTACTGCTTCCTTCAGGAGCTCTTGTAAGGCAGGCCCGGTGGTGACAAAATCTCTCAGCATTTGCTTGTCTGTAAAGGATTTTATTTCTCCTTCACTTATGAAGCTTAGTTTGGCTGCATATGAAATTCTGGGTTGAAAATTCTTTTCTTTAAGAATGTTGAATATTGGCCTTCACTTTCTTCTGGCTTGTAGGGTTTCTGCAGAGATACCCACTTTTAGTCTGAAGGGGTTCCCTTTGTGGATAACCCAACCTTTCTCTCTGGGTGCCCTTAACATTTTTTCCTTCATTTTAACCTTGGTGAATCTGACAATTATATATCTTGAGGTTGCTCTTCTGGAGGAGTATTTTTGTGGTGTTCTCTGTATTTCCTGAATTTGAATGTTGGCCTGCCTTGCTAAGTTGGGGAAGTTCTCCTGGATAATATCCTGAAGAGTGTTTTCCAACTTGGTTTCATTCTCCCCATCATTTTCAGGTACACCAATCAAACATAGATTTGGTCTTTTCACAAAGTTCCATATTTCTTGGAGGCTTCATTCGTTTCTTTTCATCCTTTTTTCTCTAATCTTTTCTTCTCGCTTTATTTCATTGAGTTGATCTTCAATCTCTGATATCCTTTCTTCTGCTTGATCATTCTGGCTGTTGATACTTGTGTATGCTTCACAAAGTTCTCATGTTGTGTTTTTCAGCTCCATTGGGTCATTTATGTCTTCTCTAAACTGGTTATTCTAGTTAGCAATTTGTCTAACCTTTTTTCAAGGTTCTTAGCTTCCTTGCATTGGTTTAGAACATGCATCTTTAGCTCGGAGGAGTTTGTTATTACCCACCTTCTGAAGCCTACTTCTGTCAGTTCATCAAACTCATTCTCCATCCAGTTTTGTTTCCTTGCTGGCGAGGCATTGTGATCCTTTGGAAGAGAAGAGGCACTCTGGTTTTTGGAATTTTCAGCCTTTTTGTGCTGGTTTCTCTCCATCTTCGTGGATTTGATGTTGGTGACCTTTGGATGGGGTCTCTGAGTGGACGTCCTTTTTGTTGATGTTGATACTATTCCTTTCTGTTTGTTAGTTTTCCTTCTAATAGTCAGGCCCCTCTGCTGCAGGTCTGCTGGAGTTTGCTGGAGGTCCACTCCAGACCCTGTTTTCCCGGGTATCACCAGTGGAGATGGTGTTCCTTCCTCTGGAAGCTTCGTCACAGAGGGGCACCAGCCAAATGCCATCCAGCGCTTTCCTGTATGAGCTGTCTGTCTGCCCCTACTGGTAGGTGTCTCCCAGTCAGGATAAACAAGGGTGAAGGGCCCACTTGAGCAGGCAGTCAGTCCCTTATCAGAGCACAAACGCTGTGCTGGGAGAACCGCTGCTCTCTTCAGAGATGACAGGCAGGAACGTTTAAGTCTGCTGAAGCTGCACCCACAGCTGCCCCTTCCCCCAGGTGCTCTGTCCCAGGGAGATGGGGGTTTTATCTATAAGTCCCTGACTGGGGCTGCTGCCTTTTTTTCAGAGACACCCTGCCCAGAGAGGAGGAATCTAGAGAGGCAGGAGGCCTTGCTGAGCTGTGGTGGGCTCTACCCAGTTTTAACTTCCTGGTGGCTTTGTTTACACTGTGAGGGTAAAATCACCTATTCAAGCCTCGGCAATGGCAGAAGCCCCTCCCCCCACCAAGCTCCCAGTCGACCTCAGACTGCTGTGCTAGCAGCAAGAATTTCAAGCCAGTGGATCTTAGCTTGTTGGGCTCTGTGGGGTTGGGACCCCCCGAGCCAGGCACCAGAGGGAATCTCCTGGTCTGCTGGTTGCAAAGACTGTGGGAAAAGTGCTGCATCTGGGCCAGGGTGTACTGTTTTTCCCAGTACAGTCTCTCATGGCTTACTGTGGCTAAGAAAGGGAAATCCCCCGACCCCTTGTGCTTCCTGTGTGAGGCGCTGCCCCACCCTGCTTTGGCTCGCCCTTCATGGGCTGCACCCACTGTCCAACCAGTCCCAATGAGATGAACCGGGTACCTCAGTTGGAAATGCAGAAATCACTCGCCTTCTGCATCAATCTTGCTAGGAGTTACAGACCAGAGCTGTTCCTGTTCGGCCATCTTGCCAGCTCTCCCGCCTCAGTTGATTTTTAACAAAGGTGCCAAGACCATTCAATGAGGAAGGAAGTCTTTTCAACAAATGGCGTGGAACAACTGGATATCCACATGCAAGAGAATGAACTCGGACTGCTACATCACACAATATGTAATAATTAACTGAAAATGGATCAAAGCCCTAAATGTAAGCGCTAAAACTATAAAACTTTTAGAAGAAAACATATAAATATTTAGGACCTCAAATTTGGCAATGGATTCTTGTATATGACTCCAAAAGCATGAACAACAAGAAAAAGAATAGAGTGGATTTTATTATAATTAAACATTTTCATACCTCAAAAGACACTATCAAGAAATTGAAAAGATAACCCACACAATGGGAAAAAATATTTGCAAATCATCTATCTGATAAGGAGCGTGTAATCTAGAACAGATAAAGAACTCTCACAACTGGACATCAAAAAGACAATTAACCCAATTAAAAATGGACAAATGATCTGAAAAAAAAAAAAACTGTTCTCCAAAGAAAATATTTAAGTGACTGATAAGCACATGAGAAGATGCTCAATATCATTAGCCATCAGGGAAGTGCAAATAAAAACTACAATGAGATACCACTTCACACTCATGAGAATGGATGTTGTGTATGACTTGGATCTTTGAGTCTCCCCAAAATTAGCATGCTAAAATTCTAACCCCCAAGGTAAGGATATTAGGAATTAGGGCCTTCAGGAGGTGATTAGGTCATGAGAGTGGAAACCTCATAAATGGTATTAGTGCCCTTATAAAAGGGGCCCAAGAAAGCTTGTTCATTGCTTCCACCACATGAGAACACAGTGAGAACACTGTCCATGAAACAGAAAGTGGGCCCTCATCACACACTGAATCTGTTGATGCCTTAATCTTGAATTTTGTAGCCTATAGAACTGTGTAAAATAAGTTTCTGTTGTTTATATACCACCCAGTTTATGGTATTTTGTTACAGCAACCCAAACAGACTAAGACAATGGCTATAATAAAAGAGATAACAAGTGCTGACAAAGATATGAGAAACTGAAACCTTAGTATATTGCTGATGGGAATGTATAATGGTGCAGCCATTTTGAAAAATAGCCTGGTAGCTCTTTAAAAAGTTTATGTAGAATTGTGATTTGACCTATCAATTTCACATCTAGGTATATACTCAAGAGGAAAAAAATGACCACACAATAATTTGTACATGAATATTCATAGCAACATTATTCATAATAGCCAAAAAGTGAAAAAAGAATCATAATGTCCTTCAACCGATGAATGGATAAACAAAATGTGGTATATTTATACATTGGAATATTATTCAACCATAAAAAGGAATAAAGTACTGATGCATGCTACCAATTAATGAACACTAAGAACATTATACTAAGTGAAAGAATCCATTTACAAAAGACTACATACTGTATGGTTTCATTTATATGAAATGCTCAGAATAGGCAAATCTATAGAGACAGAAAGCAGATTAGTGGTTGCTTGGGGTTTGGGGAGATAAAGTTATAGAGGGATCATTGCCCACAGCTATGGGATTTCTTTTTGAGCTGGTGAAAATGTTCCAAACTTGACTGTGGTGATAGTTATAAACACCAATGAATATACTAAAAACCATTGAACTATACACTTTAAATAAGTGAATTCAGTGGTACAGTATGTGAATTACATCTCAATAAAGCTGTCACCAAATAACTATAAAGTCATAGCATGGTTGAAATTATTAGGTTGGTGCAAAAGTAATTGTGATTTTCACCTTTAAAAGTAATAAAAAGTAACTTTAAAAGTAAACAACAGATACTGGAGAGGATGTGGAGAAAAAGGAACGCTTTTACACTGTTGGTGGGAGTGTAAATTAGTTCAACCATTGTGGAAGACAGTGTGGCAATTCCTCAAGGATCTAGAACTAGAAATACCATTTGATACAGCAATCCCATTATTGGGTATGTACCCAAAGGATTATAAATCATTCTACTATAAAGACACATGCACACGTATGTTTATGGCGGCACTGTTCACAATAGCAAAGACTTAGAACCAACCCAAATGTCCATCAATGATAGACTGGATAAAGAAAATGTGGCACATATACACCATGGAATACTATGCAGCCATAAAAAAGGATGAGTTCATATCCTTTGCAGGGACATGGATGAAGCTGGAAACCATCATTCTCAGCAAACTAACACAAGAACAGAAAACCAAAGACTGCATGTTCTCGCTGATAAGCGGGAGTTGAACGATGAGAGTGCATGGACACAGGGAGGGGAACATCACACACTGGGGCCTGTCGGGGTGTAGGGGTCTAGGGGAGGGATAGCATTAGGAGAAATACCTAATGCAGATGAGGGGTTGATGGGTGCAGCAAACCACCATGGCACATGTATACCTATGTAATAAACCTGCACATTCTGCACATGTACCCCAGAACTTAAAGTATAATAATAAAAGAAAAAGAAAAAGAAAAAAAAAGTAATGGCGAAAACTTCAATTACTTTTGCACCAAACCTAATAAAAAGATGGGAGGGGTATCTTTTGTAAATACTAATCACAAAAAAAGCTGGTGTGGCTATATTCTTATTTTTAGCCTGTTCATCTTTTCCACTAAAGCTGTTAGTTCCTTGAAGGCAGGAACCATATATAACTGGGTTATGAATTCCTAGCACCTAGCACAATGTCTGGCATGTAGAAGGCATTTATCGTCTACTTGTGGAATCACTGAATTGTTCACTGATCAATTTGCATTAAAAGTAATTGTAAATGCTACTAGCAACAATCTTACAGATGATAACAAAAAGCTAGACATAAAAGAATTTACACCATGTAATTCCATTTTTATGAATTCAAGAAGAGTCAAAAAGTAATCTATGGTGATAGAAGTTAGAAGCAAGTCTGGTGCAATTCTGGAAATGTTCTATATCTTGATCTAGGTGGTTTTATATATTAAGCAGAAGAGTTAAGTTTTTTTTTTATATTTCATTGAATGTATATTATTACTCAATAAAAATTAATAATAAAAATAATCCATATGAATACAGGTTCTGAGATTCTATGTTGCCATATACCACTTTCTCTAGGATGGTATACTTACATAGTATTCAGTGAAGTTTGTTTTTATATTAATGTCATCACCATTCCACTCCACCCCAACCAATTTACTATTGCTTGTCTTTGTCACTCAATGCACTACTGAAAGATCAAGGGCAAGAGTACCTTTTCCTAGCAAAGTTTATAAAGCTCTTCATCAAAAGCTAAACATGTGTTACTGTGTGATCTTCCACATGCTACCTCTGGAGCATCAGATTCTGACTCACAGTTGAAAGTTGAAATAACTTATCAGTTTGAGGGTTTATAGGGCTATTCTCTATGACAGCAGATCCTGTGTATACCGTGAAATGTGCCCCATCAGCCAAAGGAACTTTCTTTAGGTGAGAAGAAAAATCTCCACAGATAATATTTATCAATCTCAAAAGAAAAGAACTATAAGCAAAAATTACAATGAGTTGATGCAATAACTGCAGGTATCTCATGTTTTTCCTTAACCCAATATCTAGAAAACATTACAGCTTATAAAATATAAATGATTTGACTTTGGTTTATCCTGTCAGTCTTATTAAGCAGGAGAATCAACTTCCCATGTTTCCTTAACTTTTCTATGTGCCCTGAATTATAGTTTATATTTGCCTTTACAGTTTGCATGGCAATGTGAACAAATGTACTATGATTGTCCCTGTGGATGTTTTGCATTTTCTGAAACTAACTTCTGTCCCAAGGGTCTCTCACAAAGATAGTAAAAAATACATCTAACTAGCTTTCCCAAAGGGCTTCATAATAAGAGGGGCTGACGTCATTTTCTCTCCCAGTTAACCACCTTGTAGTTTTATGACGAATCAGAACAAGCATGATTTTTGTTCTTCATATACCTCATTTAAACATGGCTGATCCAGGACCGCTTTAAACAGCATTAAACTGTTCACTTTGGACATTCTACAGCCAATTTCTTTTTTGTGTTTAAGTGTTTTAAAATGTTAATTCTCTCTCCTTTTTCACGGTACCCTCCCTAAACTCTGGGAAATAAAACATATTAATAAATAATAACAAATAAAATTAGTAAATAAAAATAAGTTATTAAATAAAATAATTATATAGAATTATTAATTCTCTTTACCACACTGTCAACTGTCTGCAGAGTGGACAGAGTGGAAGTTGGGTAAAATCTGTTTTCCTCAGGTATGTGAGAGCACTAGCCTGTACCTGTGTCTCTTGCTGTTCACACATTCCTCTGTTGTGGAATTCAGGTCAGAAACTCCGTATCCCCCACCTCCACTCCTCCTCCTACTCTTTCCACCCTCCCTTTTCAAGGCCTCCCAAGAATGAATTCACAACCTTGGAATGAAGAAGGTGAACGAAACCTTTTCTTTTCTCATCTTAGTGTCTGTGCGCTGGTCTGGGTTTTCCCAAATTGAGTGAATTCATCAAATGTGTCGGGACAGAGGTGCTCTCTCTCATTAAGTGTACTCCAGCACAAAGGCATTTCTGTTATCTAAAGTCTAGGTCCAGTGCCTGAACTTCTGGTTGGATACCTATAGAAGCTCTGTTAACTCTTTCAGAACAGAAAGGTATGATGCAGCACTACCTGCCAGTGCTAAATAATCATTCCACAGGCTGTTGGGGAGATAACACTTCCAATTCAAAAGTAACGCAAGTCATGATGCACCTAAGATTTATAAAATGATGTCATTCAGAAGGTGAGTCACAGGAAGAGAGTTCATTCAGTGCTGACTGTGAAGTCAGGGAAGACAATCAATGTAATTTGACATGAGCTCCCTTTCTCTGCCTGTTCGATTTCTATGTCTCTTTCAAGGCCTAGCTCAAAGTTTCACCTGACCCAGGAAGGCTTCCCTGACCACCAAGGCAAATGCTGACCTCTCTTTCTCCTTTGATCACTTAGCACTTGCAAATGACATTTATCTCAAAATTATTTCTATTTGTAATGACTTTCTATTCATGTATATGGTGCCTCTCCATGCAGGTTACAACATTATTGAGAACAGAAACCTTGTCTTACACATCGTATCTTCCACAAATTCAGTTATACACACAGTAGATTGGGACTCTTCAACCAAGAAGATTTTCTCTCCTTCACTAAGCCAGGCCCTAAGTATTCTTCAAGATCCATTATAAATAAGCATATAATCTACATAAGAACAGTATGTTTGTTAATGTAAATGCAGTTTCAGGACAAGTCCCTCAACCCTTCCTTCTACTCAGATTGCTATACCCTAAGCCTATTCTACATAGAAATTATGAATTAGCTATGATGGTGATGATCTGTTCTTTGAGGCCTTCCTCATCCTCTCCAAAAGTGGGTTACTCACTTAACAATCAACAATTGTTAATGTCTTTATCATTTATTGCTTAAATATAGTCAGGCGTGCACTTTTGTTTATCTCTTTTTATGTCTTGTTTCTCAAACTAGTCATTAAATTACTAGGTGATTTAGACCAGCACATTCTATTTCTTTTTCATCTGCCACAGCCCTTGAATGCTGTATGCATTCAAGTAAGCAATAAAAACATGACATTCAATTAATGGAAGATATTCAGGACAACAAAAATATTAGGCAAAAAGAACAAGCAGAGAGGAGCCATCTAACTCCCTGAAAAAAAAAAAAACACATATGGAGAAGTAGGTATACTGATGTAATCATATCACAAAGACATTGTATGGAACTGATGCTCATTTGCAGTTTTTACTGATTAGTTAGATCAGTCTCTGCCTACACATGTAGGTCCTTGCTGTAGTGTTGTCCACCCTCAGTGCAAACACATCTTTCTATAGCTGATACCAAGCAAAGGAATTCCATTGAAGTCTGGTAGAAACTACCAATTAGACAAAAATGTACCTTTTTGAAAAGGCTAATTAGCTGACATTGTGGTTCAAAATGGCCAAGCAGATACTGAAGCACAAAATGGTTAAGCAGATACTTACTGAGTTCTTTTTACACTCAAGACCCCGTGTTAGACGATGTGAGAGTTTAGTCCACAAAACAGCTGACTATTCTTAAAATTATTGTTAAAGAGTAAAACACAAAGCCGTGAGCAATATATGTTAAAATAGTTAAAGCTCATTTGGTAGGTCAAAAAGTACTCGCCCCACCCTACCCTCACGGCAAGAACTGACTAATGATGAATCAATCTTCGCAAATCCTTGGCACTGCCCATCTATTTTAGGCATTATCAGATTCTGATTCTGAGTCACTTTACTTTTGCAATTACTTCTGCAAATTCCCCCTCATTTTATGTAAAGAATCAAACTCAGAAATCTTAGATCTGGGAAAGCCTAAAAGGTTGTCCATGGTTCTGTACCTTTTAAAATTTATGTGTGTCTGTGTGTTTTGGACATCTTCTCAGAACAATTCCTTAAATGCATAAACTAAACACATAACAGTGATTCCTACTAATTAAAGTTCAAGAACATACAGAACTGATCTATGGTGTCAGAAGTCAGGATGTGTTAGGTTCTATATTCTGTAGTGGTGGTAACATTCTTGTTCCTTGTTCTGGGTGGTAGTTATACAGTTCTATTCATCATGCAAAAATTCACTTATGATTCGTGCACTTTTCTAGATGGATGTTCTACTTCAATGAAAAAATTCAAAACTAAAATAGGACCTATAGGATTACCAAAAAAGTAGGTTACATTGAAATATAGTTCTATCCACAGACCGTTAAGGGATCGCCTTCCTTGATTAAGACCCTAGATTAAGAACCCAGAAAAAAGAGGTAGGGTGTACAGAGAGATATATGCTAGGAACTTCTCACTTCTAAGAGTTGACAATCTGAGAAAAAAAGACTGGAAAATTGCGAATTTGGAGAAACCAATAAGTATACTTGGTAAGAGTCAAACAAGAGGGAAAGACAAAAGAGAAAAGTGGCAATAAATACTTTGGCGCTAGAGTGTCAGGGCAGAATAAGCAGAAGGATGTGGAATCCATGCTGTAAGTAGAAGGCTGTGAAGTGTTTGGATAAATTGAAGGGAGAGCATCCTTTTTGTAGTATGGCCAGTCAAAGTCTTGGGAGGCATTATATCTATTTTGCTGGCCATGGTGAAGGAGGCACATAAGTAGGTAGTATGAAATAAAGCTGCTGACTACTGCTGGGTACAGAAGGGGAGGAGGAGTTGAACTTGGATTTCTCATAAATGAAAAACCATGCAAGAATTTTTAGCAAGGCAGTAATAGAGAGAATGCTGTTTTACGAACTCATTCAGTTTAATTTAACAAACACGTATGAAATGCCCACTAAGTTCAATGTACTATGTTAGATTCTGCCCTGGTTAATGGTCTCAAATAGACTCTAAGATTTTTTATTTTGTGCCTTTCATTAGTACTAGACCTATCTAATTTGTAAATTGTCCAATTACATTTACATTCTAGATTGGTATAAATTATACTGTAATTTCTTCAAAACAGCAACTCTTTAAATACTACAAATCAGGGAAAACTGGGGCAAAAAGACAATAGGATATGTTCCTATTTGGGTCAGGAACATGCCTCCAAGTTTTTAGTTGGATTGTTTCCAAGTGTACTGTTTGTGCAAGTGTTTTCCCTTCAGGCAATGTTCTTTTCAACACACAAAATGCTAGGGCTGGAAGGAAGATGAGACACCCAGGGAAAGCAGCAGATTTTAATCACCATTGAATAATCCAATGATTCATCCTAGTATATTTCATTATTAACCATTTTGAAAGTTTGATAATGCAAAGGGACTATAGAAAAGCCCATCTAAGAACATAAACCCAGATAATGCAGAAGCTTCCAAAATTCCCAGCCTACTCTGATTTTCCTACTTGTTTAACATGGAGATCACACTGAATTGTAAACTAAGTATTGTCAGTCTCACATTGAAAAAGACAGTGGAGATGGCTAATTTCAGGGAGTTTACTGTGTTCCTTTTAGTGCCTGAAAGCCATTCTATTGCTGTCATCATGACTACCAGTCAAGACATGCTTTATGATTTCTATCAGACTCTGTATTCAGACTACATGGCTGCCAATAAAACTTTTCTTTTCCGAAGGCCAGTACTGAGCCTCCTTTATTATGAGGTGAAGGTTTGTAGAGATTATTATTTGCTAGGAAAAAATGTCTTTAGACAATTCTCTAAGAAGTGATTTCTTTGCCCTCTTTACTGCTGGGCAAATATTTTGCTGTTACTACCCCCAGGAAATAGAAGTCTCTAGGTTTGTCATTTAATTCCGCTTTCTCCCTCCTTTCCTTCCCTCTCTCCTCGCTCTTTCAGAGTCTCTTAAAATAAGAGACTTCTTTACTACAATGTTAAAAACTTTGGCCATAAATCACATAAAGATGGTACTATCTCATTACTCATTTTTGCTTGTAATAGATTAAATTATCAGCATTTTAGTAGTCACACCCAGATTTTCATAGCTCACTTATTTTTGCTCTTAGCTCAAGGCTAGAGCTGCATCTCAGAGCAATGACAAAAGGAATATGCTTTCTATCTAGGGTCCAAATACAGCAGGGTGAAACTGCTGCCTCATCTCACCTGAACCCCAGAGAAAAATGCCTTTTGCAATTTACAATCTGGTTTCAGAAAATCTCTTTTCCAGCTCCCACTGTGAAAAAGGACAAAAGAAAAAGTCTTATCTTCTGTTTTTTGAAAAAGGCCCATGTATGTATGTATGTGTGTGTGTGTGTGTATGTGTATGAATGTGTATGTGTGTTTAAATATAAATGCACAGATAAAAGATAGCCTTCATTTCTTTATATAGTAATGAATTAAGCCTTTCTTTTACTCACGTTGTAAATATTTGCCCAAATGTGGCATTTGCCTACTATTTTTTCCATGAACTATTTTTGACACAAAAAATTTAGAAAGTGTTCAAAGGTATCAAGAATTTTCTTTAGCCTTTCAGGCTTTATAACATCCTTAGAATTTAGAAAGTCATTCCCTATTCCACACTTATATGAGAATATTTCTCTATGTTCTCTTGTAGAATTTTTCAAGGTTTTGTCTCTCACATTTAAGATTTTATTATACCCGATGTATATTGTGGTGTCTTGTATGCAATACAGATTTCACTTTTTCAAAATTACTGTCAACTATCTCCAAAAAAGCTGATTTGAGGTGCTACCTTCACTATTTATTAAGTTCATATATATATTTAGATATGTGTCTGAAAATAGTCATTTCTTGAGTCCTTAAAAATGTGCACATCCTTTGACATAGTAATTTTATGTGTAGTTATGTTCCCTAAGGAAAATAAGTAAGTATAAAGCCTCAGCTATAAAAGTGTTAATCACAGTATTATTTTCAAGAACTTAGGTTGAAAACAACCTAAAATGTGTAACAATATGGGAGTAAAATATAATATCTATTTAATATGATAAAATGTGGTCATTAATAGGTGATGTATAAGGCTGTTAGGGAGATTATATTAAATATATTCATGATACTGATAAATGAAAATAGGTTACGATAGCATAATATGTACAGTATGGTCACATTCCTTTACAATACAAATATATACACATACATAAAATCTATTGGAAGGATATGAACTGAAAAAGTTAAAAATTGTGGAATTATGGGTGGGTACTCTTACTTTTCTTCCTTATTCTTTTCTGCATTTTTCCATTTTTCTACAATGCAGGTATATTATTTTGTAATCAGGCAACATAAGTTTTATTTTTAACTAAAATAAAAATTTGCAGCATTTACATGTTAACAGGGAGTAACCAAACTGAAAACCAAGACCTAAAACTCACAGCTTATTGCTTTTAAAATGTTTCATCCACTATGGAGGTCAAGTGAATTGCCAGGGAGTTATCCATGTACTATTGTGGGGAAATCTCTCTACTGAGATGGGTATATTTTTCCTCCTTCAATCTATTGATATTGTAATTTGAATTTATGCATGTCTTAATGTTAAAACCACTGCTACATTCCTGAGATTAACCCAACATGTCATGATAGATTTTCCTTTTTATATCCTACTGGATTTACTTTCCTAGTATTTTGTTTAGGATTGTTACATTTATGTTCATAAAAGAAACTGGCCAGTAATTTTCCTTTCTCTTTTTGCCATTATCTTTTTTTCCCCTTAAAGTTATACTGATCTCATGGAATAAGTTGGTGGGGTACTCCTGCTTTTTCTATTCTCTGGAAAATCTGTATAAAGACTGAGATAATCTGTTTCATAAAAGATTAGTATAACTTTAACTACAGAATGCATTTCTTTAATCGTTATTCTTCTAAGAATTTGTCTATTTTATTTTAAGCAAAATTTAATGGCATAAAGTTGTTTGCAACATCCTCTTATCATATTTTCAATATCCAGAGCATATATAGTTATATCTTCTTTTTAATAGCTGATATTATTTGCGACATTTTTTCCTTGCCAGAGGTTTTTCAGTTTTATTATTCTTTTCAGAAAACCAACTTTGACTTTAATGATCCTCTCCGCTGCATGTTTGTTTTCTATTTAATTAATTTCTCCTCCTAACTTTTTCTTCAACTTTTTAGGATTTGTTCTGTTTTTCTTTTTCTAACTTCTGAAGTTGAATATCTATATCATTAATTTTTAGTCTTCATTTTCTTATTATAAGAATTGAATAACATACATTTTTCCATGTATAAATCTCATTACATGCTACAAGTTTTGATATATAGTATTTTTGTTATCATTCAATTCTAAAATTTAATTTTTATTATAATATTATGTGTGTTTTCAATGTCTAAATGCATAGGGATTTTGAAAATTATCTTTTTGTTGTTGACGTCATATGGTTAGAAAACATGTTCTAGACGTATGGATTTCTTTAAATTCTGTTGTAATTTGCTTTAGGGCCGAATACATGCTCAATTTTTATGTATGTTCCATGTCTGCTAGAGAAGAATATGTATTCTCTAACTGTTGGATATAGTGTTCTATAAACATTTACTATATCAAGCTTGTACTTAGGTTGTTCAAATATTCTATATCTTTGCTAATTTTTTATCTGCTTGAAGTATTCATAATTGAATGAGGTGTTTAAAAATCTTCCTCTAAGATAGCAGATTTGTTATTTTCTTCTTGCATTGCATTAAATTTTGCATTCCATTTCGATCGGTAAGTGATCTGCTTTCAGTGTAATTGTTGTTCTTCTCTATGTGATCTGTCCCTCTGCTGTTAAGATCTTTTTCTTGATGGTGTCCTAAAGTTTCACCACAATGTATCTATGCAAAGATTAGCTCTCTCTCTCTCTCTCTCTCTCTCTCTCTCTCTCTCTCTCTCTCTCTCATCTTGTTTTGGTATGTGTTGTATTTCCTGAATTTGAGGATTCATATGTTTAATAAATTCTGAAATATTCTTCATAATTATGTATACAAATAATACCTCTCCTCAATTCCCTCTATTATCTCCTTCTGGCGCTCTAATTCAATATGAGTTAAGTATTTGCATTCTGTGCTCCACATCTCTTATTTTTTTAATATTGCTACTCTTGTTTTTCTATCCCCATTGTAGATAATTCTAGATTTTTCTTCTAGTTCCCCAATTTGCTCTTTATTTTTGTTTTTAACCATTCACTGCATTTCTTATTTTAATAAATGCGTTGTTCAATTCTAGAAGTTCCATTTAGTTATTTTGCAGATTTCCCTAGTAACTCATATTTGTCTCTTTTTGTTTGATAGCTCATCTTTGGAATATATCCCTAGTTTTTTCAACACATCATACATAAATATTCTAAATAAAGCGTTTAGGGATATAAATCTGCTCATTATTGTTTTTGCTGATTCCTGTTTATGGTGACTTACTTCCTCAGTACTTGGTGATCTTTGATATTTGTGAATCAAAGATCTGCTTCATAATCTGCTGTAAAACTGTATATCTAAATTGGGGATTTTAAAATAATATTCTTGTCTGCTTGTACTGGAAGGGAAGAACACTATCGATCTGGGACCATTTGCTCTCTTTACGTGTCCTGATTTAATAAGGGGGTCTTAGATTCAGAGGCTCCTTCTTTGTGCCCCTCAACCTTGCTGCTATTCCAAGTCTTAACAATTGAAAGCAGAACTGCTATAGGCTTTTCCCCTCAGTGCAACTCCCATATTTCTGCACCTTGATCTTGAACTTCCCAGCCTCCAATACTGTGAGAAATAAATTGTTGCCTTTTGTAGATTACTCAGTCTGTGGTGTTCTGTTATAGTAGTGCAACACAGACTAAGACATATTATTTTAGTAAATAAAAATGACTACTTTTCACTTTTAAAATATACAAATCCTATTAATCTCTCCTGTCAGATGATGATAACATTGATTATCCTTATATGTTTGACTTCCAGGGACTTATTTATTCTACTGATAAATTCTAAACATGATATAAATCTTGTTGCTTAGTTATTAGAGTGGCATGGAGGGGAGACAGAGGATATCACTCCCATATACAAATTATCTATATCCTCGGTTTTAAAAGAAGCATTGACCAACATCCCTGCGGAAGTTTTGATTTGTAGAAATTTCATCCTTTAGGAATGCTAATTTTCAATTCACCTCATGTGTTATATGTGATCAGTGATATGGTTAAATTTATTCTAAAACATACATTAAGGCAAAAGTCTATTGGAGAACAATGGCTTCTAACTGTTCATCTCATCATATCCAAAGTCAGTAGCAAAATATTTAAAAATCTACCTTACCTGCTTCATGTACTCAATACCTCATCTGGCATGCATCTCCTAACAAATATGTATTCCAATTTCTCCTCTATTCTTTCATACTTAGTAATGTATGATGATTGAATGATGCTGAAGTGAGTGAAATAGAACTGAACACCAGCCATATATCATTGCCAATTTTTGAAATTGATTTAATCCCTTTCTTTTCACCAAAAGTAGAGTTTGAGCCAGGTATTCATCTTGAATATTTTGTTTACTATATTTAAATCAGATTTTTAGCACAATGGTTGTCAAACTTCTCTTTTTTAACAACAGCAACCTCATCTACCCCCCACACAAAACAAACATACAATGGAAAAAGAAACACACAAACACAAACACACACACACACGTAGAAGTGAAGCTCTTCTAATTAAAGCATGAGTGAAAGACTGCTCAGTCTATTCCTTATCCTCTGCACCTCCTCAGAAACCTGGCACTTTGAGAAGCAGTTTGAAATTTAGTATCATGGGTTTTTTTTGTTTTGTTTTGTTTTTGTTTTTGTTTTTTTTTTTCTTGAAGCGGAGTTCTCCCTCTTTCCCCCAGGCTGGAATGCAGTGGCATGATCTCGGCTCACTGCAACCTCTGCCTCCCGGGTTCAAGTGATTCCCGTACCTCAGCCTCCCCAGTAGCTGGGATTACAGGCCTGGCTGATTTTTGTATTTTTAGTAGAGATGGGTTTTCACCGTGTTGGCCAGGCTGGTCTTGAATTCCTGACCTCAAGTGATCCGCCCGCCTCAGCCTCCCAAAGTGCTGGTATTACAGGCATGAGCCACTGTGCCCGGCCAGAAATTCAGTATCATTGTTAACTAGGTTGTGAAGTCCTTTAGGTCAGGGCTTTCCTATATTTGGTGTAAGCACTCAAGAAATATTTATTAAATGTTGATGTTATGCCTGGACTCCATTATCAGATCTCTGTTCTTTTCATGCTACATTTTCTCCTTGAGTAAACCCATCCATTCCTATAGTTAGTTTCAACTATCATCAATATGCCCATCATTCCCATATCTATATCTGGGCCAAACCTCTACCAAGAACTAGTATTTCCAATTGCCTTATAATTAATTCCTCTTGCATGGACCAAGGGAGAGCAGGCTTCTCAAACTTACATCCAAAGCTGATGTCAAGTCTAACTCCTCCTAAATTTCTCCATCTTCCACTGTCATTGATATCACTAAGCAGGAAACCTAAGATAGACATTTCTTAATAATTCTTCTTTCCCTTACCCTATGTGCACTAAATTATGAAATCCTGCCAATTTTACCTCCTATTTATCTCTTTTTTTGTGGAGACAGGGTCTTGCTGTGTTGCCCAGGCTGGAGCACAGAGGGGTGATCTTGGATCACTGCAGCCTTGACGTCCTGGGCTCAAGTGATCTTCCCACCTCAGACTCTTGAGTAGCTAGTACTACAGGCACATGCCACAATGCCTGGCTAATTTTATTTTAACTTTTTGTAGAGAAGAGGTCTCACTATGTTGCCTAGGCTGGTGTCAAACTCCTGGACCCACACCATCTTCCCAACTTGGACTCCCAAAGTGCTGGGATTATAGGTGTGAGCCAGCGCACCAAGCCCATGAATCTGTTTTTTCCACTCCATTTCTACAATCCTCGCCCTTCCTCCTGACCTTATCTTAACCCTTTACTTACCAGACTTCTTAGGAAAATTGTCACCCAACATTTCTACTAACCTTCCGGTATCCACCATTATACTAGAATCTTCTAGTAGATCACTATCACTTACATGATACATTTCAGGCTTTTTATGTTATCTGTTATCCAAGGTCCTCCTTGATCTGGTACCTGCCTATTCTAGGCTTGTTTTTCATCAGTTTCTACCTGGCACTTCATGCCTCTCTAACAATGAACTACTTGGAGTTTTCCACACACACCATGCTGGTTCTTGCCCTGTTTACTTTTTACTTTTTAATTTTTGTGGGTACATAGTAGGTGTATCTTGTCCTGGCTTTATCCTCAATGCCGCAACCTATGCCTGAAATAGTCTTTCTTTCCATCCTCACCCCTTTTCCTGGATAACTCCAATCTATCCTTTAGGATATCCCACTAATGCTGCTTTTGGTGCTTCACTGCTCTGTGCTTTTATAATATACTTTGTATATTTCAATTAGACTGCCATGCAATAAATGTGAAGGCATTTTTTTGTGTGTGTCTGTCTTCCTTGCTAGAATTTTAACTACTTGAGGGCAAGAACTAATATGGGTGATGGTGATATAATGATTGTGGAAGGAAGGAAGAAAGAAAGGAAGAAAGGGAGGCAAGAAGTTAGAAGTTCTGTAATTCTTTAAGCAATGGCAATCTAAATTTGCCTTCTAGAACATAAGGACAGGTTGTATTAACAGCCAACTGCCACAGTTTTATGGCGTCTGTGATTTTACTACCAGAAATCTCAACTCTGGGAGCGAATTATATGTAATAGAACGGCTTTGTTATGACTGCTAATGACTTTTATATGGTTGCTAAAAGCAACTTTTATAACCAGAAACTGTCAAGTCTAAAATCAAATGTTTGTTGCCTCTCCCTTGAGAGATTAATGCTAAATTGCTTTCCTTCTTCAGAGGATATTAAGGCCTTCATAACCTGGAAGTTCCAACTGAGGAACTGAGGAACTCTTTACCACCAAAAGGTTGGGACTCTTGATTCAGGGGATAATTTTTAAAATTTACAGTAATGTTGGAGAAAATGTAGAGGAAGACAAAAAAGAAAATTTGATTTTAAATGGAAAGGTAATTAGGGGTAATAGTAAGCTTCTTTAAAATCTATAGACATGAACCTGAATATAATCTAAGAAATATTTTTTGAGCATCTGCTGTCTCAGGCAACAGAAAGAATACACAGATAAATAAAATAGCCCCTGCTCTCAAAGAGCTCATAATCTACCAGGCAATCTTTGCAGAAACTTGGTCAGACTTCTACACCAGTGGTTTCCAAATTATGTACTACAGGACCTAGAGTTAGTATCTGATAGAGATGGGCATTTAAGGTTAAGCATTTTACAATATTGTAAGATTGATTTGAAAAAGTGTTTCCCACCAAACAATGAAGATGAAATGAGCTAAGGAATCTACTTACCAATTTTCCTGCTGTATGATTTACGGAATTCAAATGGATTCTGCTGCTGATGGTGGTGGTGATCGCGTTAGTACCAGTTAGTATTTACTGATTGCTTATGTGCCAAGCATTCTGAAAAGTCTGCCAAATTCCTTAGAGACTTTACATACAATGTCTTACTTAACCCTCAAACCCCCCTGAGACAGGTACTATTGTGATTGCTATTTTACAAACAGGAAAACCAAGGCTCAGAGAAGCTAAGTAGGCCGGGTGGGGTGGCTCATGCCTGTAATCATGGCACTTGGGAAGGCTGAAGTGGGAGGATTGCTTGAGTCCAGGAGTTCAAGACCAGCCTTGGCAATATATTGAGAATTCATCTCTATAAAAAATTTAAAAATTAGCCAAGTGTGGTGGCACATGGCCTATAGTCCCGGCTACTCGGGAGGGAGGCTGAGGTGGGTGGATTGCTTGGGCCTGGGAGGCAGAGGTTGCTGTTTGCAATGAGTGGAGACAAGGCCACTGCACTTCAGCCTGGGTGACAAAGCAAGACCTTGTTTCAGAAAAGAAAGAGAGAAAGAAAGAAAGAAAGAAAGAAAGAAAGAACGAAAGAAAGAAAGAAAGCAAGCTAAGTAGCTTTTACCAGTCCACACAATTTTTTTTCTGTTACTATTCTTTTAAGCTTATGGATCACTTATTAAAACGACAAAAAATCTGCAGCCATTTGCACTTACTACAGAGATGTGAATTTTATTTTTCAATACTGTGTAGAAAAAAAATGCAGGATCAAGTTGAATTATACACCAACAAAAGACTACGACTGTCAATCTTAGTACCTAGTTTCATTTTTTTGTACTGAAAATAATATATAAATATCATGCATATGAACCTATGAAAAAACTCATGTTAATAAAATATGGCCAGGCACGGTGGCTCACGCCTGTAATCCCAGCACTTTGGGAGGCTGAGATGGGTGGATCACCTGAAGTTGGGAGTTCGAGACCAACCTGACCAACAAGGAGAAACCCCGTCCCTACTAAAAATACAAAATTAGCCAGGTGTGGTGGCACATGCCTATAATCCCGGCTACTCAGGAGGCTGAGGCAGAAGAATTGCTTGAACCCGGGAGGCAGAGGTTGTGGTGAGCTGAGATTGCGCCATTGCACTCCAGCCTGGACAACAAGAGCGACACTCTGTCTCAAAAAAATAAATAAATAAAATATTACTTTCATATACTTTATGTGTTGTGGTTCTGTATATGACTTCACTTGGATACAAAAGGGGTATGTTGCTGTTCAAAAGTTTTGAAAACCACCGGTCTAGATAATTGAAGGAGTAGATTCAGAAGTGAAAAGAGATGCAGCCTAAGTGAAATGTTCAGTATCTTTGACCTCCATAGCTGATAACTTTGTGGTTGTAATGCCTAACTTTTAAGCAGGTTGTATTTGTAGAAGACAATTACCTTGGATAGAAGTAACTTAGCCTGAGTATGTGAGGAGATGAATCTAGCAAACTGTTCACCCTAAGCTGTAGCCAATAGAGGTTCCCAGAGACCTTTCATAAAGGCCACAAAGATAGGAAGTTATTTATTATTTCGAATAATAATTATCATAATGAAACTGTGATGTTGGGAACAATTAGTAGCAACAATCAAGTGACTACTATGCTAAGTGATTTAAAACTGTTATCTCACTTTTTCCTCTAAACAATCCTGAGAGGTGAGTACTATTATTTTACCAGTACAAAAATTCAGGCTTGGATAAGTTCGAACAGGTAAAGTCACTTGTGCAAAGTCTCACTGCTAGGAAGTGGAAAAGCTGGAATAGAACCCAGGTCAGTCTAACATTACCTGCTGTGCTCCTAACAACTATGGCCAAGAGCAACCACCCTACAAGTCAGCTATGTAAAAGCTCCATTATGCTACCCTTTTAAATTTAAGCCCCTCAAAAGTAATAAGAAAGAATGGGAAGGCATCAGGCAGAGAATGGGTTGGATGACGAATGTCTTGCTGAAAGCTATGCCCCTCTGTAGGACAAAAGTGGTATTAGATGATCAAGGGTTGGGGATGGTCTTCATTTTTTCATTGAATGACTGAGTAGTGAAATCTTCTCCAACAATGTCTTCCCTAAGCTGGGCAGGATCAACCCTTCTGTTTCTCTCAAGCAGCTCATTCCAGGCTTGTCTCTTGAAGTCTTCCCCGGAATCCTCCTCCTATCATCCAGGAAAGAGATCCCCGGGAAGGTGAGAAATTAAAATTAAAGAATTTTTCAGGTGGCTATTAAGCAGCAGGTCTGAGGGTGTTTGGAAAGTGATCAGTATGTTTCCTGAACGTTCTTATCTCCAGAGTAGTGCCAAAAGTCCTGGAGTCAGTGAAATTCTCTCCAAACATGGTCTAGGAGGCCTAACAATGAAGAAGCCAGAGGAAAACATGATTGCATGGCCACTAAGTCAAGGACCCTTTTATCACTCCTTAGCCTCCATGATTTTGCACCACTCTGTTTTCTTGAATTACCTGATTAATCACTTTCACATTTATTGAACACCTACTCTGAGTAGAAGTAGTTTAGTGGGTGCATAGGTAAGGGCATGTTAAAATAATTCAGGCACTCAAGAGTTTTTTTCATATAGATAAGAAGGCAGACATATAAAACAGATAGATAATATCCTAGATGACATGGTAAAGGATGGCCTTTACCATGTTTTCCAGGTTAGATTGATGTACACTTTTCTAAATTAAATAAGCACATATTAATAACATTTGCTGTTTGGCAATAGTGGTTTCTGGATAAAACATGACATAATTGAGAAATCTCAAACTTTAAGCCTGTCTCTAGTCAATTTCTTTGCAAGTAGGATTGGGTATATCAGTTTAAAAATAATTTACCCCCCTTTCCCACCAATGTTATGGCCGTAAGAACATCATTAATATCATCAATCAATTAATATTTCTTTGACAACTGATTATCAACATTTTAGAGTACCCAAAGACTTGCTTTATCCCTTCCCCAGCAAGACTCCAGCCATTCATGACACTTAGGTACCCCATACTTCCATTTTCTCGAGTGACATTTTCACCAAGAACTCAATTTCCATCTTAAATGAGTGACAAATGAGTTATATTTTTCAAAGCAAGCTTAAACAGAGAATGTTTACTTCTTAACAAACCCTGCACCAGCCTACCTAGGATAACAATCATTTCCCAAGCTTTTAATAACTGTTATCTGTCTAGACATCAACTCATAGGAAGAAGGCAGAAATGCCTGTCAAAGGGTAAAACAATCAACATCTCAAAGATGAAGAATTTGGGCACAGCAAAGGTAAATGAAAAATGAATAAATTGCATTTCAATATGGTAATTAATGCATAAAAAAGATAGGATCAGAGGTAGGCCAAGGCAGGCACTAGTTAATGTCTTCTTTTAAAAATCTTGCCAGTAAATCATAATTACATACAGAAATCATGTCTTTTGTAAGAGCTACTTTTCACTTGGCAAGTGGACAATACCTTAAAAATATAAGGAAAAGACAGATAAGATTGATGATTATGATAGTAAGTTTACCCTTTAATTTCTTCTAGATGCCAGTTTATAGAAAGAGGTATGCAATTTTGTCTTGTCTGTGATAGGGAAGGAGGGAGTCTGAAATAAGATGATTTTCAAGGTGTGTGGGGCCTGTGTACATATACACTAGTATGTGGGAAATTGGCTAGAACCATGTGAGGTGAACAGGACAGACACTGTTATCTCCACTTTACAAATGAAGCAACTCAAGAAGAGTTGAAGTGAATTCCCTAAGGCCACAGTGGCAGGGCCAGAAGTTCCCCCCTAGTTGGTATCCAGTGAGTTTCCATTACTTTTGTCCCCTTAAAACAGAGGGTTAGATGAGGGTACTAGGTCATTTATTAATTTAATGTATTGAGGATATTATATTATATGGCAGGAAAAACAGAGAGTGAGATATACTTCAACTGCTTAGAACTGTAATTATCTGAGACTTGTAAATCCCGGGTGCTTGTGCATGCCAAAGTTGATGCTTAGAACATTAAGCTTTATTGCAAAACCTGGAGGCATTTCAAGTGCATCTCTTTAGTTTCATATTTTTTTCCTCTGGTGCTGTTTGAAGGGAGGGGTTGCTCGGTGTTGAGGATAGGGGTGGGATCAGAGGGAAGAAGAAAGAAAGGTTTATGGAAACTATGCAAGGGAGGCCATGGGGTGCCTGTTTTGCTGGAGGCTGCATTTCACAGACTAAAATAGGGATTTTCACAAAAGCACACCTAGATCTTACTGAAGAGAAGCACGAGATAAGCCTTATCAGAGAAAAAGAAAAGACACACAGGAATAACATTGTGTTTGTTTTAATAGAAAAGCATGAAATGTGTTCTGGGACCCATCCAAAATGCCTGCTCAATAAAAGGAGTAAAAGATAGTGTCATAAGATTTATAGGCTTATCTAGCTTTCCAAAAACAAGTATTATATGTAAATACTGGTTTATTCCTATTCTTTGTAATTACATTACTTAGAGAATATGGCACAACATAGGACAAACCAAAATTTATATTCTCTCAGAAATATTAGATACATCAGTATAGTTCACTGGCTGGAGTTCCTATATCCCTCTCACTGGAAATTTGAACATATAGTCTCTCACGCTTAACAAGTCTAAACTTATTGTGCAAAGACGCATTCTACTAAATCCAAGACTGCCATGAATTCATAAAGAAGGAAGAAGCATAGGTGAGAGGTAAGGATGCATCGCTGTCATCACATGCCATTTCAGGGGCCATTTTCTGTTTGTAGGAGATCTGTAAAGCTAGCACTCCACTCTACTGATGTTCCCACCAATTTGACAAAATAACTGAATGTCTTTGTCTCTTCTGTTGCCTTCCGGTACCCAACCACCTCAGGCACCAACTTCACTGAATTAAAAGGGAGCCTAGTTAACATGGGAAAGGTAGGATTCTGACAGCCAGTGTATAATGAACCAAGCAGGTACACACCTGCCAGCTGAACAACCACTGCATAACAAAGGCATTTCCCTGACCCAGGTGAAAACACATTTAATTTCATATTCCAGCTAATTCAACAAAATTTTGGCACAAATAAAAAAATCAACACAGCCTGGAGTCCCATGTAATTGATTTGGGGTATGCATGCCAAAGAATCAAAGGTGAGGAAGTGAGTTTCTTTCAAAAGGTCTTGTTGGTCATTGCTCTACAGTCTATATCATTTGACTCATTTGCTCTTGTTTGAAGAAAGCTGAAGGTAATACCTTGCTGTGGAATTTGGAAGAGTAGGTTATAGACCCTTAATGTTTAGTATTCTTAAAGGCACACAGCAGGATTGCTACACTAGTTAAAGTAATATGAAGTAAAAAGGCTTTATTTGGTGCTAGAGAGTTAGCATCACAGTCCCACACAAAATTAGGGTACAAAAGTGTGAATCTCCAAATGAGATTACTGATGCCAAAATTCAGGTGTAAGAAGATGATAGATTTAATCTTAACATATTTTAAAAGAATGAAAAGAATCTGTTGGATAGAATTTAGCCAATGGATTGTCTGGCTTACAGAGTTAATCATAACACTGGCGTCTAGTGTCATTCCAGTCCATGTGAGCTGATTCAGCATGTTCTTTAGGATCCAAAAGGAAAAGATAACCTGACAGGTCATCAGAAGCATTTCTTTTTTCTTTTCTTTTCTTTATTATTATTATTTTTTCTGACAGAGTCTCGCTCTGTCGCCCAGGCTGGAGTGCAGTGGCGCGATCTCGGCTCACTGCAAGCTCTGCCTCCCAGGTTCACGCCATTCTCCTGCCTCAGCCTCCTGAGTAGCTGGGACTACAGACACCTGCCACCACAGCCGGCTAATTCTTTGTATTTTTAGTAGAGACGGGGTTTCACCGTGTTAGCAGTATTCAGTCAGTTTCCACTGCTTTGATGGAAACAGGATGTGCTGGCCTTACCTGGCTTCTAGACAGTCCAGTTAGAACTGGTTTCCCAGCCTTGGTCCCTGGTACTCTGGAGAGTCACAAAGACTGAAGGCAATGTAGGAGTTAAACATCTATTACTACTGGTTTTCAGACACAGTGTGGATAATATCTGGTGGTTCTCATCGGTGCAGAGCTTTTCAGAACCATAACATCCTCAAGAGACACTAATTAAAGGTTTCATTCTCTCCTCATGTCATTTGTTACAAAATGCAGGTTGAGGGTTAAGTCTATGGCCACTGCACAGAGCAAAGCGAAATTCATAGAGACATGGAAAATGCAGTGTATGATGATTTTTAATGGAACTCTCTAATCAAACCTCTGAGTTATGCTCAGTAGTCAGTGACTAATAGGTTGAAGAGGAAAAGATTATATTCAATCTGCCTGTTAACTAAAAGACTTTAATCAATTTCAGAGGAAAATGCTCTGAGGCAGAAAGAAACATAATAGGGCAGTGATCTAATCTCTCAGAAAGCTTGATGCCATTTTGTACTTTCTGTCTCCAGTTAGGAAGATGCGAATGCTGAGACCATTCCTAAGTGTATTCTACATAAGTGTTGAGGAAGAAGAGGGTCATTTTGCTCAATGGACCACACATGTCCTTGGCTATGAACTGTTGAAACCTAAATCTCCCAATATGGTTGTATTTCACCATACCAAAACATCTGGAGAGCCTTGTTGAGAGGTTATGGCAAGTCTGTGGGTTCAAAATCCTGCTCTTCTCTCCAAGAAAATAAATAAAATCCTACCCCTGGCTGGACACAGTGGCTCATGCCTGTAATCTCAGCACTTTGGGAGGTCAAGGTGGGAGGATTGCTTGAGTCCAGGAGTTTAAGACCAGCCCTGGCAACATAGCGAGACCCTGCCTCTCTCTCAAAAAAAAAAAAAAAAAGAAGAAGAAGCTGAGCATGGGGGTGCACACCTGTAGACCTAGCCACTCAGGAGGCTGAGGTGGAAGGATCACTTGAGCCTGGGAAGTTGAGGCTGCAGTGAACCATGGTTGTGCCACTGCACTCCAGCCTGGGCAACAGAGTGAGATCCTGTCTCAAAAACAAAAAGAATAAAAGAAAAAATAATCCAACCCCTAGCCTACAGCAGCACTGGTGAAAACAAAACATGTCTTTGAACCATATTAGGATCATGGATCACCAGTTTGTAACAGCTAGTCTACACTATAGTTATTAGAGGATTTCAGATAAATGTAAGATTAATGGAGGCCAGAGCAGTCATAGTACAATTTGTGGAGGTAGTGCAATTTGAAGGTACCTTGGCAGAAAAGTAGGATTTCTCTTCTCTCCAACTAATTCCTTTAATGTAAACATACTTTTAAAAGGTCTACAAATATCATCCTCTCCATACCCACCATTCTCTATTAGCAAATATCTACACATAGCTGAATTAATTTGGAATCAGGAAAGCATATCTCTTTCCTACCTACAGGATTTATGAAAGAATGAGGGAGATCAGTAAGCCATTGTTTCATGTGGCAACTCAAATTTCACTTCCTCCGAAAAAACTTTCCTGTTTACCCTGGTCCCAAATGGGCTCTCCCTTCAATCACCCCAACTGACTACTGTAAAATGTAATGCCTATATTATTTATTTGGTTCACACAGGAAGCTTGTATTAGAGGAAGAGGAATGTACTAGGTCACAGGATGGGCAAGAAGAACAGGAAATGCAGAATTATGGGAAGACCAACTGATTCAACTTGTGGCTTTGTAAATGGTTATTTTATCTGTTAGCAAGTTAATAACTTAATATCATTAAGCCTCAGTCACTTCCATCTACAAAATGGGTATATAATCCCTACCTATCTGATATAACTGGTAAGTAGTTCAATTCAGATAATATATATAAATACTCTAAACACAAGTTTAAAGGAAATATCCTTATCATTCATCATTCCAGCCTGTGAGAATGAGTTTCTTAAAGTTCACTCTGGAAGAATGATCAACCTTTCAATTTACTAGTTGCAAAAAGCAACTCTTACTATGAATTATTCATTGCTGCTAGTAGCCTTAAATGATGAGAATTTATAAATAACACATTTTGAGCTGCATACTGAAGATAAGGTTTATGCAAAGGAGATCTGACTATATTGTTCAGGCTTCACCTGGCAAACAACAACACTGAAGACCAAAGAGGGTAACCAAATAAGCACAGGAAAAATAAAGTAGCTGGTGACGCTGAATGAAAGGGAAGTGGTTACCTCCAGGAGGATTTAAGCCAAAATATCTGCCATAGGACTTGAGTCCACAGACTTGTAGTCTCCACTGTGACTTAAGTAAATGTTTGGCATGGGTATCTTCCTAGCAACCATTTGTATATTCTTTCCCATTCATCCTCGCTGCTTCTTCTTACTCCCACTGACAAAGCAGTGAAGGTTTATTGTTAAAAACAGGAGATTTGGGCTTAGTCAGACATTGGTTTAAATCCCAGTTCTGCCACTTGCTAGCCTTTGACCCTCCACAAACTATTTAACTTTTGAGTCTCAGGTTTCTCATTTGCAAAATGGAATAATAATATTATTTATAGCATAAAGTCTGGCAAGCAGTGTATGCTGAAAAAGCACCAGTTATAATTATTAGAGTAGAAAATAAACAATTTGTTACAGCACTCCTTGTAAACTCACCCCAATCATGTTCCCTGCTCCAAAACTATCTTTTATCTTTTTAAAAACAGCCTGAGTGAAATCCTCAGCAAAAATGTTTTTAAAAATCTATTTTTCACTAATGTGGAAATTACTTGTACTTCCTAGACATGTATGGAATTTAGGATAATGTCTAGGAGTATCAGTGGCCAAAGGAATGTTTCTACAATAGTTTACTTTTAGACAGTGTGTGATCATTGGTAGGAAAATATTTGGGGCCCTTCTGTATTAGGGAGTTCCTAAGATTTAGATAGAAATTACACAGCTTAATGAATAACCACATACTAACCTGCTGCAAGACGTACCTGAAATTTATTGTATTCTTTTAGCTCTTTATCCATTTAAGTACAAAATCTAACAAGCCAAGTTACTGCATTTTTTAAGTGCCTATGGTGTGCCTGATACCTTGTTGGGTGTAGAAGGGCACAATCAATGAGGATTAAGATCTATCTCCCTATTAACTGGTAAACAAAGATGACTGTACTTTTCACACTTAGAGAAGAGTCAAGATTCAATATAACAATAGTAGAAGGTAATATGAAGAAGACTTATACCTTGATGAATTAAGAAATATTTGAGCCTCCATTTCCTCATCTAAAGTTCACTTAATACTCTATTTTCCTTTCTTATTTCATTGTGTTCCTGACAGGATCAAATGAGATCACATGTGTAAAAGAGACTGTGTTAACTGTGTACAAATATTAGATGCTGATGAAGTATTGATACTGCAATATGGGAATGAATGTTATAGCAGTAGCAACCTACTGCAAGATGGGAAAGGAGAAACTGCCCATATGAACTGGAAGCAGATGGACTCCAGGAGCTTCCACCAAAGGACTCTGCCTGATATCAGCAGCACCACAAGCACACATGAAGAAGAAACCTACCACCCTACTGCGTTTGGGTGGTGGTGAGGATGAAGTAAAAAATGTAAATAAGGTTCTTAGTACAATAACTGGCATATAGTATTATCATCATCCTTTTGCCACTGTTATCATATTAGTAGTAGTAGTATTAGTAGTAGCAGTAATTAATGTACATAGAATGGCCTAAACTATGTTCTTGTTCTTTCACAGTTCTGAAAGAAACTGAAAGCATTAGTAAGTTTCTATTCTGAAGTCAGTTTAGAAGCCTCTTACTGCCACTGAATAACCTGTGTATCAGTAGTCTGGAGCCTTCTTTCTACCAAATTATTGTTCTTTGTAATATAGGTATAATTTTTAATGTTCAGCTCTGCATGAGAAAAATAAACTGTTGTAAATTTCAATGTTTATTAATTAAGACAAATATATAGAGAATATTGTTTTACTTACATAGTATGAAAACCCGATACAGCATCCTACCTAGATTGGGAAACAGGCTTCTATACCATACATGTATTTTGTTTCATAAAATTATCAAATATTCTACATTCTTCCCTTAGAGTGGTATTTCTCATCCTTCAGAGAACTCTAAGGAACTCTAGAATGGATTCATGAACCTATTTGAGAAACACTGACATAAGAAAGTTAAATCATATTATGGAAATGTGTTTTGGTGATGCATTGCCATTTTAAAAAACAAGTACTGGTAAAATAATTCAACCTGAGTAAGAGTGAACACTCAAAAGGAGTGTTACCATTTTGATATTAAAACAATGTTTCTTAAACTTAAGAAGTGTTAGATCACCAAGAACATATTTGCAGACACCCAAATGTTGCAGACCATAGTTGAGAAGCAATGGTGCTTTTCTAGCTTCTAAGTGATTTGACATAACGAATAGGTGTTAATAGAAGGATGCTGTCTGACTGCCTCTAAGAATATCTTAGGAAATTGGTTGATATCTGTGGCTGAGCTATGCTAATGGCATGAATACTTTGGATATTATTTTCAAGTGGTTTGAATAAATTCTCTTTCCTTATGTAAAATCCTAACACTTATACCTGTGGTTGCCCTGGAAAGTGAAAAATAATTAAAAAACAGTTCACAGACATGAAATGCAAACGATTATGATAATCTTCATAAAGGTCTCATAGCAGATTGGCCACAAGTTGATAACTGTTGAAGCTCAGTGATAGGAACACTGTTTACTCTGCTTCATTTTGCACAAAATTTTCCACGAGAAAAAAAAATCAACCTGATAGCTACATAACTACAAGAAATAACTCTGTAAGAAAATGTTATGGAAAATGTCTCTATCATGGCAGATATACCATAAGTAAAACTGGCTTTGACTTTGCACTAATGGCCATTGTCCTCAGATATGTAGCTTTGTGCTTCTACATAAAATAATATTCCCAGATTTTAGTGTCAGAAGAGTAATAAAGATCACCTGATGCCAGAGGACAAACTATTAACACAATTCAGAGCATTATTCTAATAATTTCTGTGTGGCATTCTTTGACAAGTCTTCTTTTTCTTAATCTACAAATTTAAATTATTGAATCCATATAAAAACCCAATGATGTATCCTTCCACTGCATCTTGGGCAAAGGTTGGTGGTACCTGCAGATACCCTGGACCACCCGTGTGACATTTGGTTGATATCTTGACAATAACTCTGTGCCTACGTATTAAGATTTGTTTGTATACAAGATGCTGCCTTTATCATTTGTGATTTTTAGTGATAATCTCATTGGCTAGTGCCTTCTCTTAAGCCCTTACTAGTAGAAAATTTGCTTAAGACAAGAGGAATTATTGTAGAGCTTTATAGTAAACTATATATGAGAAGAATCCACAGCATATCATATAAAAAGTAACTCCAAACTGAGGCAGGTTGACATAGCATAAACATAATGCTGTCACCAGGCTATTGATTTCATTTTTAATTTTAATCCTGGAACATTGCCTGACATTCTAAATACTAGTAAGAAACAAACCTGCAATAATACAATATATACAATGCCTTATTTTAGATTGAGGTGCAGCAGGGGTGGTGAAAGTTCTTATTTATTTGAGTCTTATAGATAGGATTATATTATTGATCCATTCAGGGCCAGTTACTTGTTTGCTTCAGGCAAGAATACACACTTGTTGGCATAGGAATCCCAGGAATCTGATTTTACTACATGGAATTCATCAAAATATTCAAAAGGAGGCATTTAAATGGGAAATTCCTTCTATTCAAGATTAAAGACCAGATTCTTTTGTTACCAATTGTCTCTGGAAGTAAATTACACTGCTGTCAGTTATACAACCTTTTAAATAATAGGACGTGGCATAATAAATATAAAACAGTCTATAAGTCAGAAAACCTGAGTTCTAGTTCAGGCTCCTTTAATACTACCTTGTTACATACCCTTAAGCAAATCATTTAATCTCATTGTTATGGTCAAAGGGTCACAGAATTATAGCTATTCTATTACCATAACACTAAATAGCACAAGATGGCAGGAAAAGTCAAAAATAGATAATTTTATTGAAACAAAATTGTTCTAAGCTAATATCTTTGTCCATCGCTACAGCATACAACTGCGAGAACACCAAAGGGGTAGAAAAAATTCAAACTGAGCAAAAAAAGACCATGGTCTTGCATTAAACAATACAGACTGCAATATGCACAAAAATTAACAAATTGACAAGTTCCTTGGTTTCTGCAGGAGCAATGGAACAAGAATGAGTGAAATCGAAGGGACATGACTTAGTAAGATGTTTGAGGGAAAGGGACAGGGCTAGAGAGACCAGAGATGTCTTTCTACAGGGTGCATTAAGTGTGCAAGGGGGTCATTAGGGCTGCTCACTGAACATTTTCAGCTCTCCACCTTCAGGGCACATGGTAGGATAATACTTGATGTCCCTTAACTAGCCCCAATCAAAGCTGACCAATGGTGTATGAGAAAAAAGTGTCATATCCTTTCCAGGAATCATATTTAATTGGTGATGCAGTGTGAGACCTCCAGAACTCTCTTTCCTTCTGCCATGATAATAAGCAGTGTTCCAGATGGTGGCTGGTCCATCTAGGTCCTAGAGGGAGGACTCTGTAATGTCCCCCAGGTGACTCATTATGGACACGTAGCATAAACAAGAAGAAACTTAGGTTATTTTAAGCTACTGAGATTTGGGGAGTTGTTTGCTATGACAGCATAACCTACCCTATCCTGAAAGAATGGATGGCAGTTAGGAGTTCAAGCACTCTACCCAACAGAGGCAAAGATAGCTTGGCTGTTTTCCTCCAGGCAGTTGAGCCTCAGTAGGGGCCTTAGTGCTTCTCAGAGGATTGTGCCTTAAAATACTGTAGGATTCTATTATGAATATGAACAAAAGTATGTCACTGTTACTGGCATCTAATAGTGGACATGAAAAGATAAAGGCACAATTCAGGACAGGGCAGCCTCAGGGGACTGGTATAAATGCTTCTTCTCATTCTGCTCCAAGTAAATAGTGATTAAAAGTCATATGGCTCTTCAATGGTCCATCCAGAATAACTGGCCCCAGCCCAGCTTGAGACAAGCAGGTGTCCTTCATAATAGTGTTGACGCTTTCATTTGTCAGTCTATTTAGTAGCAGAATGAGCAAAAAGCTGAATAAACAAGCAGGGGAGAACTACATTTTTACTTTCTGAGGTCCTTAAAAGTGACCGGGCCAACAATAGTGTTACAAGCTTTAGGAGATGAAATTAAATTTATATCTCTATATAATTTAACGCTAACTAGTCTTTACCTAAATGATTTTCTCCTGAAGACTCTACAGATTACTGATACTGTCTAACCGGAACTACTAGTAGTTATAAGGCTGCTAGTAAGCTAATGAACAGCAGTGCAGGACATTGAGGCAGTATTTGCTGGCTGTCTTTTTGCCATGATCTCTGTCCATTAGCAACATCTTGAATACAGAGCTGGAAGATGATGAGATGCAACACAGTGGTATGAGGATTAATTGCTAATAACAGCTAAATTTATTGAGCGCATACAACAATCAGGTGCTTTGGGAACATTACAGCTAATTCTCACAACCACATGAGTTAGGCATTATATTTTCTAAATGAGGAGACTGGGGAATATCAAGAGAGTGCAGAAGCTAAGGGAAGGGAAATAATCTAGAAGGACAAGTGAGCCAAGAGTAAGAATCTGCAGGTAGTTCAATGAGGATAAGGATGAAAAGAAGCCATTGGATTTAGTGATGAGGAAGTGAACTTTAAGAAATTAATCTCAATGAACTGGTTAGATAGAAAGCTAGAATACAAAAAGCTAAGCAATAAATGAGTGGCAGAAAAGTATATGCACTAGCTGTAGACAATTTTTGCACGAAATCTGGTACTTTGCCAGAGATTTATCCATGTAAATCTCATTAAAGCTATGGACCTTTTCCCCAGAAAAGTCCAGACACACATCAAATTCTACATACAATTTGAGGGTGCTCATAGACCTACCTGAAACTAACTTAAGAACCCCAGGTTAGAAATGAACGATATACACCAAATTTATGATGGTGGAGGCGGGGCCATGGAAGTGGTACATAAGTGGTTTCATTTGCATTGGCAGTGTTTTACTTCTTAAGCTGGGTGATGGTCATATATGTGTTCATTATGTTACTTTATGTCATATTCATATAAATGATATTATAGCTTTTTGTTGCCTAAAATATTTCATACTAATTTTTAAAATAGAAAAATGGCTACATAGCATAACATCTTTGTTTGAAGAATGCACATTAAAGTATTTGAGGGTAATGTGGCATCATATTGGCAACTTATTCTCCAATAGTTATAAAAAACAAAACGGGCCTGGTGCTGTGACTCATGCCTGTAATCCCAGCACTTAGGAAGGCTGAGATGGGAGGATCACTTGAGCCCAGGAGTTCCCAGCTTGGGCAGACCTTGTTTCTACAAAAAATTTTTAAAAAATTAGCTGGACATGGTGGTGCATGCCTGTAGTCCCAGCCATATGGGAGGCTGAGGTGAATGGATCGCTTGAGCCCAGGAGTTCCAGGCTGCAATGAGCTATGATTATGCCACTTCACTCCAGCCTGGGCAATAGAGCAGGACTCTGTCTAAAAAGAAAGAAAAAGGAAATAAAAATTTGTACTATACTTGAAACTATTCTGTAATTTTGAAACTGTTTCAAAATGTTACAAAGACAGTAAGAGACAGCACTAAAAGGAAAACAAATTGACAAACAAAAATCCATAAATGAACACATACTCTCGAAGGAATTCAGGAGGGCACAACCAAACTTCCAGAGGAATATACACATAGAAATGTATAGAGAGATCCTTTGAAATACAGAAAGGAACTGCCACCAATCTGACTCTAAAACGCAATGTTTTAGGTCAAAAATCTTCTCCCTGCTGACTTATACTCTGAAAACTAAAAGTCCATGGACAAAGAAGGAGCAATCTCAGCACCTTTGGCTATCCTAGCCGTTAGGTTGAATGGGAGCCTCAACCTACTTTCATGGTTTCAAGGACTGGAAAGTTTAGGCTGAGGGCTCAAAACAGGTGCTGGACATCAAAACAGGGAAAGCTACAGGTCTCTTCTAACATGACCATTGTGCCTTCCATTCTTCCAGTAGTCCTAGGTTGGGGTGCAGTAGAGGGATTTGGCAGGACAGAAAAACAGAAGAATTTGGAAGTTTAAGGATTGCAGCTGCAAACTCCCTGACACAGAATATACTGTTGGAAGAGTCTCATCACTTCACTAAGATATAAAACTGAGAAAATGATGTTTTTGCCTTTAGTTTGCGATTTCTTTAATTCTTCAGACAACAAAACTGAAAATCTTACTAAATTTGATGCCCACTATGTCAGTTTCAAATCTTGTCTTCTAAGTTTCCTTTGAGGGAAGAATGCTTAAACAAATGGCAATAAACACATAGAAAATTTACAAGGCAAAACGTTATGTGATGTGGTGTACTGTGAGAACTAGATTTGGCAATTGACCAGTTAAATGTGAGAAACATGCTTCCAATGGACAGAAATCAAATGGTTGGCATCAAGTTCTTAACAATAACCCTAACATCAACAATAATAATAGCAAATAAGATTTAATTAACACTTGCTGAGTGCCAAGAGTAATGCTAAGAGTGTTATGTGCATTATCTCTTTTAAGCATCTCAATAACTCTATGAAGTAAATCCCATTATTTCACAAATGTAACAGTGGAACACAAAAAAGTTAAGATGACTTCCTCAAGTAGAAACAGCTAGGAATGGCAAAGAAAGAACAGTTTTAAACCTCGATCTAACATTCTGGTTCCAGCACCTCACTTACAGTAACATCTCTCCAAATAGAAGCTCTCATTATTAATAACATGATTATTAAATGCACACACCTCTGACTTCTGACACCTACAAAGCACTGATTGCTATTTGGGGGAAATATTGACATGATCAAAGGTCTTTTGCTCATTGTTCTTAATGCAGGATAATTTTTTGTACATATAACTCCCTGTATCCTATATATCTAACATAGATATACTTACCAAGAGTCTACAATCTATCTTTTTATAATAAAGGCTTTCCTTTAAACACAGTCTTTACTTTTAGTTTCTTCCCTCTTAACCACTTTTATCTTTCCCCTGTTCAAGAAGTTGTAACAACACCCACATCCCCAATCAAAGCCAATTCTTCCCTCTGCCTTGAGGTTAAGGTCTCCATAGCCTGACCCTGTTCCAACTGTCCACAGTCGTTTCCCTTTACTCCATAATAATCATCCTGTGCTCTAGCTCTTCTCACTGCCCTCCACTCAACCATGTTCATCCCTGCTAGAACTGTAGTGTATGATTCTTCATAGGGTTCACTGCAAAAGAAAACCCGATTGATGGGGCAAATGGGGGCAGAAGTCCAGCCTGCTCATTGCTTACCAATGAGTGTGGCATGGCACAGAACTATGACTGCCTAGAGGAAGGAGTGCCTTTTTCTAATATCCTCAAAGATTCTGTATGGGGTGGCAGCACTCTGATTCCTCCTACATGTTTTAATTTATGCTTTCTGATCAGCCCGTCCCTCCAATATTTAATAGGACTGCATTTTGAAAGCAAAGATAAGTCATCAATCCAGATAAATACAAATATATTTGTGTATTTACTTGTTTTTCTAGAAGTTTTCTTTAGAAGAAATCATAAAATCAAGGATGTCCTGGAAAATCTAGAATATATAATATAGATATTAATTACTCATTTTCTACTATTTCTTTAAGACCCAGCAAGAATCATACTTCTGTGACGCCTTCCCTAACTACAATCCATATTGACCTCTCCCTTCTTACACCTTCTGTAGCATTTTATTCTGTCTTATGGAGTTTAATGACTGATTACCATATGATATAGTGTATTGAAACTGTGGAAGTAACTGAAATTGTGCTGTTTGAAATTTTGGCAGTTCCACAATATCAGATTTTAATTTCATTTAAAAAAACATATTTTAGGCCATACGGGGTGGCTCACGCCTGTAATCCCAGAACTTTAGGAGGCCAAGGTGGGCAGATCGCTTCTGCCCAGAGTTTGAGACGAGCCTACAAAGTGAAAACCCCATCTCTACAAAACATACAAAAATTAGCTGGGCATGGGGGACCACACCTGTAGTCCCAGCCACTCTGGGGGCTGAGGCAGGAGGATCGCTTGAGCTGGGGAGGTTGAGGTTACAATGAGTGGTGATCACACCACTGCACTCCAGCCTGGGTGACAGAGTGAGACCCTGTCTCAAAAAACCCATAAGTAAAATAAATAAATAAATAAATAACATATTTAAAAACTGTTATAAAACAAAGTATGCACCATTCAAATGGGTTACATACCAAACATTAACACACTGGAAACCAACACTGATTGTATTAATGGGTGCTGCCCAGTTAACTGTATGTGTGTGTGTGTGTGTGTGTGTGTGTGTGTGTGTGAGAGAGAGAGAGACAGAGAGACAGAGAGACAGAGAGGAGAGAGAGGAGAGAGACAAAGAGAGCGTGAATTATGTGTGCAGACCTGGAAATATAGGTTTTCTTGCTATTTCTGTTTAACTGCAGAGCATCCTGAGATAGCAAGATAAAAAAGCCCTCACCCCATGATGTTCACTATTACATCAGGATTTTCTCAACATTCTATAAAATAAACAGAAATAAACTGGAGATTAAGACTTCTATAGCTCTCAGGCCAGGCGTGGTGGCTCATGCCTGTAATCTCTGCACTTTGGGAGGCTAAGGGGGGATGGATCACGAGGTCAGGAGATCGAGACCATCCTGGCTAACAAGGTGAAACCCTGTCTCTACTAAAAATACAAAAAATTAGCCGGGCATGGTGACGGGTGCCTGTAGTACCAGCTACTCGGGAGGCTGAGGCAGGAGAAGAGCTTGAACCCGAGAGGCAGAGGTTGCAGTGAGCCGAGATCGCACCACTGCACTCCAGCCTGGGCGACAGCACAACACACACACAAACACACACACACACACACACACACACACACACCTCTGTAGCTCTCAATTTCAGATGTTTATGTTCATTTCAAGCTCTTCCTTCTTACTGACTTTATAAATTACTGTTAAAAATTTGAATTGTTAATAAATACATTGATATTTCTGGGGAGGGCATATGAGATTTAGTTTGGGGGAAAAGGGGTCTACTGTCGTAAATTTTGAAAAATGTTCTAATAGAGTGTCCCATTTTTCTTCATTATCAACAGCAACCTCAACATCAGTATCTATGAGCATGTTCTGGATATTTAGTTGCATGCTAGGTGCTAGACGGTATTTATGCAACTTAATCATATCTAAAAGACAATATAAATCTCATACATCTAAGGTTTGTTCCAGTCCTTAAGGGATCTGCTACACTCACAGAGTTTAGAAATCTAGGCATTTTAAATTTTCTTTGCCAATCCTCTTCCCTTGGGTACGGAAAAATGGTCACTCAAAGTTGTACAGAGCAAGGAAAAATATAACTAACATTAATTCCCTCCGCAAGAGAAAAATCTGTCTCCCAAAAGACCAATTCAGCCTCAGAGCCAGAGGTGCCAGACAATTCTGGGAAAGCTTGGTCTCTCTGAGGTAAATGTTGTAGAGCTTTATGACCAGGAAATTTTCCACTGAATAACACCAACTCCCCCTCAATACAAGCAAACCAGACTGAAAGATAATGGCAAACTAGCCTTATTGTTGTTAGACAAAGGGGAACTGGGACTTCAAAGATGCCTGGGGCGGTGTCTTTGGGCATAATCTTTAGTTGGGAAGCAGGTCTCTACAGGAAATCACAAAGGTAGGGCAGCAGAGGTAGAAGTGGCTTTGGGGAAACTGGAACAAGTAAAATAACAATTCTAACTCTTTTTCCCCTAGGACACTTGAAAAACAAATTCAACAAATAATTAAACAACTTTTTTTTCCTAAATTGTCACCCAAGTGGCCTCACTACCCATTTCTAGCAGAGAGGCAATCACAATGAATGAGGGGAAAATAATAACTGCAATAGTAATAATTTTACAGTTAATAATATATTTAATGATTTGTCCTAAGGCCGTAGTTAATAGTGGAGTTTGTGTTTGAACCTGGGGATATTTGGCTTTAAAGTTACAGCTTTTAATTTTTTAACCACTTCATAAAGAAATAGAAGGAGAAAAAATCAGGAAATGGACATCCAGAATTAAATACGGAACCCCCAAAAGGCTTGAGAATAGACACATGCCTCATGGCTTGCCTACATTTGATAAATGTGGAAGGACCAGATATATGCTGCAGGAGTGAGTCCTCCACGTATAAAGGGTTTGTTAGAGAACTGGACGCAAAATAAGTGGCCGGCAATAACTATAATGTCAATTACACCCCACATAGAGAGATATACGGTAGTACAGGTGTTAGGTAAATGCTCTGAGGAGTTACGGAGCAAGTAAGAGTGCAGAGCAGGTCTCTTTCCTATCCTCCATCCACATCTCACAAAGTTCTACCTCTCTCTTTCCTCTTCCCCTTCCCTGTGCTCTGGCTACAGTGGCTTAGTGCTTGACATAGTCCTTCCCACAATGGGGTTGACAACAATGCCTGGCACATAGTAGTCACTAAATAAATATTAGTTGAAGGGACGAAAAAACAGTGAGAAACAGAAAGACAAAAGAAGAGGAGACTTCAGAAAAATACTAACTTAACTTCCTAAGAGAAGAACAATATGTCCATCTGTAGAGACAGGAGGAAGGCAAGACAGAGGATGAAAAAAACAGGAGAAGCAGAAGGAGTGAATATGCACGTCCTGTTAAGCCAACATCACAAGTATAACTGTGACCTAAACATCAGCTACATGAGGACAAGACAGGAGATGGAATTGGATGGGTAGGCAGGGCCAGATCAGATACTCCATGGGTGTAGGGAGCTTCCACAAATGTTAGAGTGGCATGATCAATTTGTGTTTTAGAATAAGCTCTTTGCTTTCAGAGAGGATGGATATCAGGAAAGCCAATGAGGAGGCAGTGAAAGTCTGAAACTGGAACAGTTAGGTCTGCTGTAGGGAGTCCGGATAAGAGATGATAAAAAACTTAAATTAAAGAGATAGCACAGTAGAGTGGGCTTTAACTCTGCCATTTGTTGGGTTTGTGACCTTAGATAAATCAGTTAATCTCTCTGGGATGAGAATATTTGTCCCTCACAGGGTTGTCTTGAGCAGCTAACAAAATAATATATGATAAAGTGCTTTGTAAACTTGAAAGACTTGAAAACATATGTTACTATTATGGTGGTGAAATTGGGATAAAGAGATGAGGGGGACAACTGAGAAATATGGCCATTGTCCCCAGGGATGTCCAATCTTTTGGCTTTCCTGGGCCACATTGGAAGAAAAAGCATTGTCTTGGGCCACAAATAAAATACAGTAATACTAACAATAGCTAATGAGCTAAAAAAAAAAAGCAAATATATCTCGTAATGTTTTAAGAAAGTTTACCAATTTGTGTTAGGCCGCATTCAAAGCCGTCCTGGGCCATATGCGGCCCTTGGGGCACAAGTTGGACAAGTTTGTTCTAGACATAAAATCTACAAATGAGAGAGCCTTCTCTGATATCTCCCTTTCTCTCATCTTATCAAACATCAATTGCCAAAATTGGGAAATGATTTTTAAGTCTCTGAGGATACTGGGGGGAAAAGATGGGAGAGGAATTTAGCACCTACCTGGTGCATGGCATGTTCACATACAGCATCCACAATAATACCTCAAGAACAAAGTATAATATCATCATCCCTTTTCTGCTGATGAGAAAATTAAACCCTGGAGGAAGAGGGTCAGAAAAAAATAATTATTGGGTACTAGGCTTAGTACTGGGGTGATGAAATAATCTGTACAACAAACTCCTGTGACACGAGTTTACCTATGTAACAAATCTGCACATATGACCCCCGAACCTAAAATAAAACTTTAAAAAAAAAGATTCATGGGTTCAGGAAGGTAGAGGAAAATGTGACCAGGATGAGGAGAAGAATGGAAGTTTGTAAAATTTAAAATCCAAAAGGAATTTCTAGAAAAGAAAAATATAATATCTGAAATGAAAAAAAACACACAGGTGGTGTTAATATCAGATTAGACTCTGAAGAAGGAAAAATCAGTGAATATGAAGCTATAGACTTAGAAACTATCCAAAATGAAATATGTGCTTACCATATAGCAATCATACTCCTGGATACCTACCCAAGAGAAATGAAAACATGTTCACATGAGGACTTGAATATTCATAGCTTTGCTCATGATAATTAAGAACTGTAAACAACTTAAAAGTCTATGGACTGATGAAGAGAGAATTAACATGTGATATATCCATTCCTTTTATTACTCAGCAATAAAAGGAATGAACTACTGATACTTATAACAACATGGATAAATCTCAAAAGTGCTATGCTGATTACATTTACATGAAATTCTAGAAAAGGCAAAACTACAATAATAGGAAGCAGATCAGTGGTTGCCTAGCGTGCAGAATGAGGAGGAGGGAATTGACTGCAAAAAGTGTAAGGGAACTTTCTGGGAAATAAGTGTTTTTATTACAATTGTGGAGACAGTTATAAAACTGTATACATTTGTAAAAACTTAATATATGTTGTTGGAGGAGGAATATGGATGTGGTTATAAAAGGACAGCATGAGGGATCCTTGTTGACTTTGGTATCTTGACTGTGGCAATGGAAATCCCAACCTACACCTGTGAGGACATTGTATAGAACAAAATACACATACAAATAAGTACGAGGAAAATGAAATAAGATCAGTGAATGTTATCAATGTCAGTATCTGGGTTGTGATATTATATTATAGTATTACAACTAGGGGAAAACTGGATAAGCGTACATAGGATCTCTCTGTACTATTTTTTACAACTGCATGTGAATCTACAATTATCTCAATAAAAATTTCATTGAACACTCAAAAAGAAAAAAGAAAATTAAATCTCAGAAAGGTAAAACGAGTTACTCTAAGTCACACAGCTAGGAAGTGTCAGAGGGCAGAGGCAACATTTAGACAAAAGTCTGATTCTAGAGTGCTTTCTCTTAAACATTATACTATTGAACAGGGTTGATATTTTTCCATCAATTCAATTGTTATTGGAGTTAACATTAGTAATTTTTAAGATAGACAGGGAGAAGGCAGTTTGTTGCGAGCCATTAGGAGATGTTTACTCATTTGAAAGTCATCTCTTGATCACCTATGCTCAGCCTGGCAGTATCCTGGACATCCTAAGTACAAGGTTGAAGAATGTAACGTAGTCATATAAGCATAGGAATCTTACCACCACATGGATGTGCTACCAAAGAGGCCCAAAGCTCCTTGGAAGCACAGGAGAAGGAAGAATAAATTCATTCTGAAGAGGTCTGGAACTGTTTCATAGAAAAAATTATATTTGGTCTGGGTATTAAGGATTGAGTAGGAGTTCATTAGATAGAAAAGAAGGTAGAAACAATACAGAAGGATATTCCAGAGAGAGGGACTGCATATCCAGGGGCAAAGAGATGTGAAAGAATATAAAGTGGTTTGGGAATGGTGAGAAGTTCAGTCTGAATGAAGTGTAATATACACCATGAGTTTGGAAAGAAGGACTGGTAGGAAGAAACACACAGACATGAGGCTAGAAAAGCAGTTGGGTCAGAAAATGAAAGCCCTTAAATGTGCCAAACCAAGTAGTATGCATTTTATCCTGGAAGAAAGAAGAAACCAATAAAGGCATTAAATCAGAAGATACCATAATTGGGTTTGTTGTTAGTAAAATAACTCTAGTGGCAATGTAGAGATAAGGATGGAGTCAGGAGGTAGAAAAACCAGTCAGGAGGCTACTGATGTATGAAGTTTGAAACCAACAGAATATGAATGGAAAAGCCAGATTCTACAGATTTTTGGTAAAATTATCAAAATTTGGTGAGAATTTTGGAAATAATGAAAGCTGATGGCTGCTTCTGTAGCTTCTTGCTGAAACTTGGTGGATGGTGATGACATTTAACAAAAATAAAAAAGATCACAGCTGGTTGGAGTGTCATGGGAAGGAGAAGAAAACAATTTCACCTTTAACTATACTGTATTTGGGGCAATAAAAATAATAATAGCTGGCTTTGGCTGAGTGCCTATACTAAACTCCAGGCACTGTTTTAAGTGTTTTGTATATATCAACTAATTGAGAGACAGGTACAAGGGGTTAGTAGGCAAATGGAAACATAGATTTAGAGCTCAAAAGAGATGTCTTGGCTGGGGATATAAATTTGATAATCATCACTATATAGGAGGCATAGTTAAAACCATTGAGGCAAGAAGACAGTAAAGAATTAAGTTTTGGAAAAAATCCACCATTTTAGGACAAGAGACTGATAAAGATTATAAATTCCATAAGAGCAAAGTTCATGGCTAACTTGTTCACCACTGTGTCACTAGGGCCTGGCATACTATCTGGAATATAGCTGTTGCTCAATAAATATTTGTTGAATTAATAGCATAAATAAAAAGATCAGAGAAGTATAAGGAGAACTAGTGAGGCAAGTTTGTGTCATAATCCCAAAAGACACAATCCTGAATGCTATAATCCCAAATGTTGAAATCCCAAAGATCAAAATCCCTAAAGTCTAAATCCCTAGAGTCTAAAATCTTTAACATCTAAAATCCTGAAAATCACAATACTGAAAGATTAAAATCCCGAATGTTGAAATCCTGAAAACTGAATTCTGGGGAAGTGTGTTTTTGGTCGCAGATGGGATGGTTGTGCCATGTTAGTTGCATCATGTGAAGTGGAACTATTTCCTTGTTATTGTCTTTATTTAGAAATTAAGTATGGTTTAAGAAGATGCATAACGGGTGCCAAGTTGACAAGGGGTGGACTTGCGGACTTAATTTTAGGTTCAATTGGACTGGATTAAGGAATACCTAGAAACCCGGTAATGTATTATTTTAGGTGTGTCTGTGAGGGTGTTTCCAAAGGAGATTCATGTATGAGTCCCAGTGGATAAGCTAGGGAAGATCTGCCCTCAATGTGGGCTGGCACCATCCCATAGGCTAGAGGCTGGGAGAGAACAAACAGAGAATGCAAATTGGTCTCTCTCTGAGAGCTGGGGCAGACTTTTCTTCTGTTGCGTTGGACATCAGAAATTTGATTCCATGAACGTGTATTATCACAATGTTGACTTTCTGTGTAAGCATTGTGTGTGTATGTAAAAATGTGAAAACCTCCTCAGTGAATGAAGAGATGTCTTTTTGTACACCCGCATTTGTGAAAGATAAAATTTCTCAAGATCTTGGCTCTTTGGATGACTGCATATACGGTGGTCACCTATGGTGGTTTTTTATCTATCTTGTCAAAAGACTTTTGTTGTTCATCAAGGTATTTCAGATGACTACAGTTATAAAGCTGGATGCACACAATTACCAACCATAGTGATATGTCTTTATACATTTTCCTTTTGACCTATTTCTTTGTGAATACAGTTCAACTACTTATAACTGTCATACAAGTGTGACTGTCACTAGTATATACTAAGTGTTTATCCTTACAAAACTATGTATGTTATTATTGTCTATTTTATTATGTAAAGTGACCTTTGGAATGTTCTGTTGTGTTTTATGTTTCTCAAACAACTATCCTTTTAAAAATGTAAGTAAATATCTTTTAAATAATTTTTAAAATTACTTTTTCCAGAATATTTTTGGGATTTTGATCTTTCAGGATTTCAACATTTAGAATTATGGGATTCAGGATTATTTATTTCAGGATTATTACCAGCTCCCTAGTGAGGTATAATGTCTTAAAAAACAAGAGGAGGCCGGGTGCGGTGGCTCACGCCTGTAATCCCAGCACTTTGGGAGGCCGAGGCGGGTGGATCACCTGAGGTCAGGAGTTCAAGACCAGACTGGCTAACATGGTGAAACCCCGTCTCTACTCAAAATACAAAAATTAGCCGGGTGTGATGGCGGGCACCTGTAGTCCCAGCTACTCGGGAGGCTGAGGCAGGAGAATCACTTGAACCTGGGAGGTGGAGGTTGCAGTGAGCCAAGACTGTGCCACTGCACTCCAGCCTGGGTGACATAGTGAGACTCTGTCTCAAACAAAAAAACAAAAAAACAAAACAAAACAAAATTAAAAAAAAACAAGGGGATAAAGAAGTATCAGAGTAACTGGGAAATGTCAGATAACACAGTGAAGTCAGATAGAATGGGGACTGCAAATAAGCCATTGGGTTTGGTAATTAGGCAGCCATTAGTAGCTTGAAAGAGGGCTGTTTGCCTGGAGTAGACTCAGTTGAGACTATAATAGGTTGAAGGGTAAGTGGTTGGTGATGAAGACTAGACAATACCCAGGAACTTGGGGGTAATGCAATTGAAGAGGTTAGAGTTATTAAAGTAAATGAAGTGATTTTGTTTAAATTCATTGTTATAACGGAGGAGAATTCAATATTGTTTATAGAAGAAAAATAGAAACCCTAGGAAAGGGATAGATTAAAGAAAGAGAGTTGATAATTGCTCTTAGCTAATTTTCCCATTACTATTTTCCCTTGAGCATGCTTATCAGGTCTTCTATTTACATTTAATTAGACTTTAAACCAAGTAAAAGCCCTATGATCTGCCTCACTGGGACATTCAGGCAGCTATAAAGGACTTGATAGTTTAATATAGCCTGATGTTATCCCACGATGTTCTTTTTCTATGTGTATGTCTTGTCACCTACACAGTATAAGACAAGTCTATACTCCAAGTATATTACTGTATACTGTTTTTTCTTTCTTTTTCTTTTCTTTTTCTCTTTTTTTTTTTGACAAGGTCTAGCTCTATTGCTCAGGCTGTAGTGCAGTGGCATGATCTCAGCTCACCTGCAACCTCCAACTCCTGGGCTCAAGCCATCCTCCCACCTCAGCCTCCCAGTAGATAGGACTATAGGCGTGCACCACCATGCCCAGCTAATTTTTGTATTTTTTGTAGAGACGGAGTTTCACTATGTTGCCTAGGCTGGTCTTGAACTCATGAGCTCAAGCAATCCACCTACCTCGGCCTCCCAAACTGCTGGGATTACAGGCATGAGCCACTGCACCCAGCCATACTTTTAAGATTATTCTAACAGGGAGCTGTGGTGTGTGCCTATAGTCCCAGCTACTCAGGAGGCTGAGGCAGGTGGATTGCTTGAGGCTGTGGTGTACCATAATTGCACCTGTGGTAAAATTATGAAATAATCCATATAATTCAGGCAAATAAAAACCAATATTAATAATTGAGGTCAATCAGTTTTTTCTATTAATGAGATAATAAGGGAAACAGTATACTTTACTCCAGTCATATGGCTTGATTATGAGCTTACAGAATATAGGAGCATATTTATTGAAGACTCCAAACTATGCTTAAAAATTAAAAGATTGTTGGCACTTAGAGTCAACACAATTCCCCTCATGCCTGAACAAACATTAGAAAATGACTGTTTTTGTAAAACCAATTTTCTTAAACTAGGGGTACTTTTTTCATGCCATAGTTTGGCAGTCTAGTGAAGCCTATGGACTCCTTTTTAGAATACTATTTTTTTTTTCCTTTTGAGACAGGGTTTCACTCTGCTGCCCAGGGTGGAGTACAGTGGCTATTCACAGGCACGATGATGGTGCGTCACAGCCTCAAACTTCTGTTCTCAAGCAATCCTCCTGCCTCAGCCTCCTCCTAAGTAGCTGGGACTACAGGCACACACCACAGCACCCTGCTAGTTTTAGAAGTATACAATAAAATACATAGGATTACAATGGAAACTGATTACACTGAAATACAATCATTAAAATGTATAATAAAACAATTTTTGAAATGGTTATATATTTGCTTCTTTAGTAACACTTTAGATAATAACATCTATTATCCCCTCCTCTATCTTAAAATATATTTGAATTTCACCTATAAATAATGTAAATATATTATCATCTATGGATTATCTATTTACAGTCATTTGATGATTTACTTAATAGTGTACTCATACATTTCTATCAGTATCCTTAGTCATCCCAAGATATATATATATATATATTATATATTTATATACACACATACACACACGTATATTATATGTTGTGATTTTTCATAGCTAGCTGATATAGGATATTTGCTAGCAGGTAAAGTAGAAGAGTACTTTAAGGATTTATAGAGACACAGCCCCAGATAATGCAAATATTCCTCTTGGTCTTTAGAACTGGAAGAGATCGTCTCCATCGCTGAACTCCCTTAACATAATATTCATATATTGATGACTACTATACGACTGAAAATCACAGCAGAAAGGACCAACCTGGGCATGTTACAACTTTAAAGAAAGAAGTTGATATTTCAATCAGACCTTGATTTGAGTGCAGCTAAAGGCATTTTACCTATGCTCTCTGCAGAAGGAACAATAGAAATGTTTTCTCTCCTTACCCTCCTCCCAACCCAAATAAGTATCCCCCTAGGCTTTTGACTTTAAGTATGCTTGATTGTATTAGACCTTTTCCTGAAAGCTCATTTGGAGGGGGCAAAGTGTGAAGAAAACATAAGGATCTGACTACTTCGGGATATATGTTTTTTCCTAGATATATTGGCTGATGGTGAGATTTGTATCTTTCTAGACATTTCGCTAACACGATGCAAGTACATGTAGATAATAACTTATCATTAAGCATCCTATCTTCTAAGGAACATAATGACCACCATTGTCTGAGAAAGCAAATTCCTAGAGAGTTAGGAACTATGTTTAAATAAATCTTTGCATGCTGTGCGTGGCCTAGCACAGCCCCTTAGATAGTTAGGCGCCTAACAGCCAAAGACATGGATGTTCTGAGATCCTAGATTCTATTTTATGCAGATAAATTGTGCAAATATTTCACCTGAATGAAGATCATTACTCCTTTAAAGTAAATTTAATGGAAGCTCATTCTTTAACATGGATTTTAACATTTAGTTTTCCTTTACTTTATATAGATGTGCTTTGTAAACTCAGGAAAAGAAAGAGCCCAAAAGCCCCTAAATGACCCAATCTTTAAATGCTTGCCAATATTATTGGCAGCTTAATTCTCACAGTAAAGAGACTTTCTCATAGCAAAACACAACATAGTTCCTGCCAATCTATTTTTAATAGCTATTTTCGTTAATATTAGTCAAACATGGCACAGAGAATTTAAATGTTTAAAACAATCCAAAGGGTGAAAAACACACAAACTCATGAGGATAAACTGGAATTGAGTGTAGAATACGAGAACCAGCCCGTATAGATAAGAATCCCGTGCAAAGAGTGTAAAAGAAAAACAAAACAACCCTTCAGAAAAGTCATCTTCTGATAACTTATTCTGTGACTGTCTTTATATTTGTCATTTTCCCCAAAACTGAAAAAAAGTAGCTTTACAATGTCAAAGATATTTTGCATAAGTAAACAACAAGTGAAGGAAGTGGCTGTGTACTTAAATAAGTCAAAAAATAAAGTATTATCTGTGGAACTCAAGGTCAATTTTAGACTTACCATGGTCAATCATACTGACATAGCAGGTGACATAAAACAATGAGACAGAGTCTAAAACTCATACACCAAAGCAGTGCTTAATTTTGGAGACTCATTTCAATACTTGAAAGAATTGCAAGCATTAAAGTGGTTTTTAAAGGTATTAAGTGACAGGATGCAGTGTTTGTGAAGTCTTCAGCTATCTGGAATGATCTGTAGTGTTTTTCCCAAAAGTACACTGAATAAAATCAGCCAGAGTCTAAAAATAAAAGTTTTGCTTGAGGGTATTCTGCCCATGCATGACACTTTTACAAGTGGCAAGATTCCTGGATGAATTGTTAACTAATCAAATCTTGGCATTTTCAATTAATGTAGTTATTGAGCCTCAAGGTAATACATAACTAAACTTGTATATTGAAGGAATAAGATGGAGAAGTACACAGAGTCTTAGATCAATATCTTTGCTTACGAAGTCCAGAATTTACTTACATAGGAACTGATATTGAGTTAAGGGGTCACAAGATGTTGGTATTCAAGTTTTCTGGCATCTTCCTCTCTTTACAAGAAAAATAGCTTCACTCTGGTATTTTCTTAAAGACATCATATGCCAAGATAAAATAATCCATTTTTTCATAAACACATTGGGTGATTTATTAGGTTGAATTACGTATGGCCCTATAATAGTATTTAAAAATATTTAAAATATTAAAAAGCAGAGCCAATCAGTTAAAATGATCAAAACCCACAAGATAAATATTTGGAATATATATTCATCTCTCATCTATATAGGGAATGGCTTTGGGTATCATTAAGAATTTTTAAAAAAAATACAGCAGTGAAATAGTACTCAACAATTGAACAACTTCGTATTCAAACTCAACAGTTTTTATTTCTGCCAGCTTAAGTAGCTAGTGAAACTGGAAAACTGCAGCATCTTTGATTATTTGGGTCACTCCATCTTTGTGAAATTATCCTAGTAATTCCACTGGAGATTTCAATACTTTCTGGGACCCATTAAACTTTTCTTGACCAAAAGTCTTCAGAAATTTCTTTACCTGCAGTCCCTAGTTGATTTGATAGATGACATCTAAACAGCCTATGAAATGTTAACTTTGATTTTTTTTTCTATTATAACAGCTTTATCTTTTAACTTTCTGGTGATGCAGAAACGAGTAACACGACACATCAGACAGAAATTGAACATCACCTAGTGGTATCAGTTCAATTCAGGTAGTTAAAGAATCCAGATGTTGTCACCTGGTACTGTCAAACGACTCTAAGCATGTACTTAAGTTTCATTTCCATAGCATCTGCGGCACTTTGAAGTTCCACTCCTTGTGCTCTCCTCCCACTCTCAAACTAGTGTGCCAATTCAAGTTCTTGAAGACCAGGGAAAATTATGTTTCTTCTGCCGTGGAGATTGATGCTAGTCATCTTAAGTCGTCTGGGGAAGAGGCTCAGAAATGTGTGCATCTTGTGTCTTCCACTTTTATTTTCCCAACCCGTTACGAAGTTTTGGAAGATATCTTGGTCCCAAAAACACTGACTTGACACTGTGCTATTCCTCTCAAGAATCTCATTAACTCCCATTAGAAAGGGGAGTGGTGTGGACTCCGTCTCGTGGTGAAACTCTCTGCAACCCCCTAACATAAATACTAGAGATGGGGATGGTTAGAGGGTCAAAGGAGGGGGACGGAAAAGGGTCGTGAGAAGAGACTCACCGCTGCTGCCAGTTCCTCGGTCAGGCACAACGTAACCAGGAGCAGCCACAACCTGAAATGGGAGGGAGGGTGAGTAATGGGCTCTCTAGGCTTCGGGGTCGTGCGTCTGCCTGTCGCCCCCCGAACCCTTTTGGATGCCTGCTCCCAATTTCTCTGCAGTGACAGAAGTACCAGTATAGTCCCGGCCTGGCAAAGTAACCCGAAGTAAGAAAGAGGAGGGGAGCTCGGGGCAGCAACAGCTCACCCAGGGTGCATGCTTGCGGCTCCTCCGGAGCTGGGTCCCGGGAGACTGCTAAGCGGCTCCGCGGCCCGTGCTCATCTGGGCTCTGCTGATGCTTGGAGGCTGTTTCCTTACTCAGAACAGAGTAGGTGGACGAAGTGGCCCAGTTTGGAAGAAACTAAACACTGCTTCTAGATAAGAAGTGCTCCAAAGGGAAACAGGCTCAGCGGTGCCCGTTACAACTTGCAGCACTCAGGAGATAGTTCCATGCAGCAGGAGAGGAAAGAATGGAGGGGAAAGGGGCGGGGCTGTCTGCTGTCAATCATCCCCCCTACCTTGGGCAGCCGGTAGTCTTTCTCACTTTCAGGCACCTTTCCACACAACAGCCCTAAGTATCTCCACAGCTTCACACACAGCCCCTTAGAGACCTATACGCTAAGACCTAAGCAACTGTGCATCATATACTTTCAACTTTACTGTTAGGTTACACATAAAGAGACATAGGCATACTATTCCCACATAAGACAGATGGGCCCGAAAGTGCCCTTGCACACATGCCCAAATGCATACAACACTGATTCAAATTGATAGTACACTAGGCTATTGGGAAGGGGAGACAGTTTCTGGAGTTGTAAATCCACTCTGAGCTAAGCAGAACCTAAGGATGAGTGGGCCCTCGTGAAATAGATCCAAAACCTTGAAAGACTCTAAAGTGGTTAATTCTAGGAAGATAGAAATGTTGTGAAGAATTCTTCATCAAATTCTTGAAGATTCTCCAAGGAGTCCGCAGAAAGTATTTTCTAGTTCTTTTGTTACTTTAAAAAAAATCTATATATCAGAATTATCAAAGGAACATTCAAGTCTTTATATGGGAGATATCGATTCAGCTGCCATCAACTCTATTTAAATATTTCCAATTAAGTGTTTATATTAATTCTAAGAAACACTGCACTAAATTTATTTAATTCCCTGCCCTAAATCTTTCTGAAACACAACTACAATGAGAGTCAATACCTTTTACATTAGCTCAATATAGGAGGCATTAATTATAGGATTCAATGCAGCTAAACAGAGATATAGCTGTATTATAATAACATAATACCATAGAATAATTACCAATACCTGCTGAATGCTCCCAGATCTTATACGTATATAACACACATAAAGTATTCACGCACATATACTTATTTTCTTACTTGTTTATAAGCATATACTTTATTTATTCCCAATATTTTCACATCTTCTGCTTGTATGTAGAAACTCTCTGTTCTGTGAGCAGCTGGAAGGTAAAGAAGACCAGCAGCCCAGGGAGCACCGACCAAAATTTGTTTCTAATGAGTAACAATAAAAAGCACGGCCCCTCTGAGATCCATCCGCTAAAAAAATAGTCCCAGTTTAGATCTATTTGTAATTGGCTTTGGTACGCACACCAATGAGATTGGAACTGAGCCTAGAAAAGTAGTATCAACGGAAGGTGCAAATGAACGAATAGAAAAGCTTCCCGGTTGGACTCATGGTGCTCAGTCAACTAGTCTGGAAGTTTCCCTCCCCCAAATAACTGAGCGTCACTCCCTCGCAGGTTGCCGGTGCAGTCTAAAACTGTGGCGGAGTGATACTCAAATTCCCTTGTGCTGGTGAGGAGGGGGGCCTTGCACGGGGAAGAGAGGGAGGAAAGTAGATCTGTAGGAATTGAGTGAAGAAAAAGTTTGCAAGTCTGGACAGAAGGGAAAAGTTCTCCTGAGAGACCGGCTTTGGGGAGGGGAGGGGGGAAGGAAGAGTAGCTCCTTCTTCTTCTTCTTTTTTTTTTCTTCCACTCTTAAAAAGCTTCTTTCTCTTCACCCAAGCCTCACTGTCCCTCTCCGGCTCTAGCTCTCTCCATATAAACCCTCAAGATTATGTCAATTGGTTAGAGCCAGCCGGGAATTTCGTGCGGGTGCTGAAGGAGCTGCGGGAGCCGGAGAAGAATGAAACTGCGTGGAGTCAGCCTGGCTGCCGGCTTGTTCTTACTGGCCCTGAGTCTTTGGGGGCAGCCTGCAGAGGCTGCGGTAAGTCCTTCCTCCCCTCCCCCGCGCCCATCACCGCTCTTTCACGCTGAAATTACCTTTTTTTTGGGGGGGGGGTCCCTTTATCTTCCTTTTGGCGTTGACTAGGGAATTCAAATTTGCTTTCTCATGTTTAGGAAGAAACGTTATTTGCAACACCGGTAACTCAAGCCTTCTGAAGTCCAACGGAGAGGTTTAAGTGCTTAAAAATAGGGCTGCTTGCTTCCCTGCAGCTAGCTCCTCCGGGGGCAAGAGCAAAGTCAGAAGTGGGGGACGCTAATTAAAGGCTCACTAGGCTGTGGTGGGTATTTAAAACTTTTCCTCCCCTCCCTCCACCGTCGGGTGTTTCCCTGCCTGGCGACTAACCTTTTCACTACTTGTACCCAGCCCACTCTTTGAATTTTGTCTGTAGTTTAATATTTTGGCTCTTCGAAAATCCAGCTTCCATCAAAGTGTTTTTAGCGCCTCAGTGAAGTTCGTCCCCTTTGCTCTTTCCTTAAGCAACAGGAACCTACCCCCACCTCAGGTCATTCAAGCCACTGACCTCCTTTTCCCTTTTGACATCCTTGTTACAAATGAAATGCTAAGGCAACATACCAAGAAGAGTGAGGTAAAGTCTCAGGCTTCAGGTCTTTTGCGTCTTTTTGTTGTTGTTGTTTTTTCTAAATTATGGGTTTTTTTGTTTGTTTACTTTTTTTTAAACCTACCAAGGCATCTGAACAAATTGAGAATTTGCCCATCACCTATTCAAAGGAAAATACTCCTTTTTCAAAGGAGAATCAGTGTTCCAGTTTAAAGGAAAGTGGGGGAGGAGGTACATGTGAAATAGCAGCAAAAAGCTCCATTCAGTTTTAGGAATGTAGAATTCAAACCTCAGTATATCTCTTAGAAGGGTATCTGGGTAGTCCCACCCACTGTCCTATTGGGGATGAGGGCCAGATGTTAAAAAAATGAATGGCTTTGTGAGAGAAAATGTTCTCCAGCCTGAAGCCCATCATCTTTAATTTCATATAACCTCTGAAGAATAAGTGTGTGACAAATTATTTAAATTTATTTGAGTGATCATTATGGATAGTTTTAAAAACTGTTTAATATGAGATCATGGCTTAGGCCTTCACATGGTTGAGTGACCGTCAATTCTTTGTAAGCAGCTGCTATGTTACAGCTCATCTGGGTCCACTTTTAAGTTAGCTGTCTAGCTTCCCTATAGCACTTAGCATGCCTCAAATCACATGTCCTCTTTCTATCCTTCTGAAGGTGTGTACCCGGTGTATGAAAACTAACTTTCATATTACTCTGAGCACAACATAATTATAATAGCAAATTTGCTGAAAAACCATGCATATCAAATATTTTTACTATGCATGCCATAATTTTCTTCCATCAAAGTAGACAAATGATTTAAAAATGCTTTTTTGATGCAGAGCATCTTAATGGGGGTAAGGTTTAGCCAGTCAATAGGGCTACAGACTTGGATAAAACTGCAATTGTGCTGTTGAAAATAGTTCATTTTAAAAACATCTTCTTGGTGCCCTCTGTTTCTGGCATTTGGCCCAGGGACAAAGATTTTGTAGATGTTTGATTAAATATATATATGTTTTTTGATGTTACTTTTAACAAATTTGCACCAGATGACAACTATACAGGTATGTATAGCAACACTACACATCAATTAATATTAAATCAATTTATGTTAACAATGAGGTTTCTTTTTATTGACAAAACTTGAGAGCAAGCTTGTTTTCTTGGATTCTTAAACTAATGAGTATTCATGAAGTCATTACAGCTCTTTCCCTTTTCCTCCTATATAATTTTTAAAGAACATTTTATATCCCCTTTTCCTATCATTAGGATATTGTGCCTCTATTAAAACCAAGGGTTTGTTTTTCCTGGTTCATACATAAATATTTTAATAGGCTCAAAAATATGAATGATATCGGCTCTGCATACTTGTGCTGGAGATATCGGTGACCATTTCTAGAGTAAAACTGGTTGGTGGTAGGGCTAGTCTTTGACTGGAGTAGTTTAGTATTGGGGTTTTTATATCAAAAAAGTGTTGCTATTTAAAGTGCTTTACTCTTTTATAGGTAAATGATTTCTTTATCTCTGAAATCATGCCAAATTGGTACATCACAAATATGTGGAAGATCTTTTTTTTAGGTAGAGCATTCATTAGGTGGAATAAAGTAACCTCTATGCCAAAAGGTTAGTAATAAGAGAAGACAGTTTTAAGTTGGAAATATAATTTTTAGTGATGGAAATAACATTTTTATGTGAAGGTAATTATACCTGTACTGATTCACTGTCAGTGGGATATGCACTTAGATTTGTGGATGTGGGTAGTATGTAAAATTATGTTAGTTTTATTTTACATAGTTAGTAAGTTGTTTTCTGTGCAGTAGATTGGATATTTTTGTCTACTTTAAACGTACTATCTTCCTTGTGACCAGCGGCACGAATTTATCAAGGGTAGGAGTGTTGTTTGTAGCCATGAAACACTTCATCCTCTATGAAGTATATTGCTCCATAGGAAAAACTTGTCATCATTGTCATCATTATTAATGTAGATAACATAATGAGTGTTTACTATGTGCCAGGCACTGTGCTAATATGATAATACATATTATCATATTTAATCTTCAGAACAGACTTATGAGACATATACCGTTATTATCCTCACTTTACAGATGAGAAAACTACAAATTACAGACGTTGAATACATTCCCAGAAATCCAGTCATGTAGGCAGTAACTTGTGAAGCTGGAAAATTTGAATCCAGGCAGTTTGACTCTAGAATCTTTGCCCTTAATGACTGTCCTATACTGCCTACTTTGTATGTGGTCTATAGAGATTTACTGGTGTGTAAAGTATTTGGATCTCTGCCACTTTTTTTGGACACAGGAGGTGAAATGGAAATGATAATGGGGGTTACATGTCTTCCTGCTGATGTTAGGAGAAGCAGCATGGTGTAATGGAAATAGCTTTGGGCCTAGAATAAAAAGATCAGAGTTTGACCTCTGTATCTGTATCTAGAGTGAGATTATTTAAAAGCAATCTAAAAGCAAATGCTGTTGAAGGTTTTATGATTTTATGTAATCACAATATGTAAACATTTCAACTTATATAACTACTATAATTTGTGACAGATGATTTGTTTTGAAGGAAGATTTGCCTTATGATTATTTAATTACTCAGTTACTGCATTAATTTTAAGTCCACCAAACTTTTCAGGAGCATGTCTATTGTGAAACAACCGGGTATGTGTGTATGGTAACACACTTTACTTAACATGCTTAATTTAGTTTTGTTCTTTTTTTGTACTAATTTGCCTACCTATCATATCCAATTTTATTCACAAACTATATAGATATATATCTTTAGTCTTATGCATATATCTATATATGTATCTGTCCCATGGCAGTGTAAGAGTTTGTATTTTTTCATGTGTTTTTATTTACCTTTTGATGTCTATACATGTAAGACATGAGACTCTTTACATCCCTGAAAGCTTGGTTAAGATGGTGTCTGCTAGGTTTATTCACTATAAAGTCACTATTTTTTCTTTTGTAATTACAAAGTGAGACTATGCAGGGCAATATTGTGAGACAATGTAAATATCCTGTTTCTCATCATATATTTGCCCACTAATTTTAGCATATGTTGATGATTCTGGCTTGAATAAATTATTGTTGTGACATTTGCCAGACATTGATTTCAATTTTCAACATTTTTACATTTATTAATTGATTGAATTATACTGTAATAAAAAACTTTCTCTTTACGCTTAATGTATATATTTATTCAGCTGTTTATAGCAGTATGGACTTAATGAATATTTGTTTTATTCTATAGGTTATAATGAATTATGCTCTTACTACTTTTTGTTTTTGCTGAAACCCAGATTTGGCCAACAGGAGCCCCTTCAAATTGGCTCCTGTGTCCTTTCAACATGTCTCCATCATTTTTTAAGCACCCTCTTACTTTCTGGCACCACAGATGTTCCAGACTCTTTTTTTTTTCTTTTTTTTTTTGAGATGGAGTCTTGCTCTGTCACCCAGGCTAGAGTGCAGTGGCGCGATGATCTCGGCTCACTGCAAGCTCTGCCTCCCGGGTTCACACCATTCTCCTGCCTCAGCCTCCCAAGTAGCTGGGACTACAGGTGCCAGCCACCATGCCGGGCTAATTTTTTGCATTTTTAGTAGAGACGGGGTTTCACCATGTTAGCCAGGATGGTCTCGAACTCCTGACCTCGTGATCCACCCGCCTTGGCCTCCCAAAGTGCTGGGATTACAGGCGTGAGCCACCGCACCTGGCCTCCAGACTCATTTTTTAATTTCCTTGCCCCAACTCTGGAATCAGAATCTTTTCTCCAAGGAGCTCTGATTCTTTTTATTGGAGAATGGTATGTAGAAGCCAAGATCTGGGTGCTTGGCATGCTTATTGCTACTGAGGTGTCATTGCCTCTAGGCCCTCTCAGCAGGCAGAACTAGGAAATATATGTATATATGCACACATACCTGTTTCTATATCGATTTCTTGAAGTCCCTCTTTATATATGTCAAAATCATGGATTCATAATGATACATCTGATTCCAGTCCAAGACCCTAGAATAAATATACATGATCTCATTCTCTTCTGGTATTTCTCTTCACACGTTTTGTGGACTTTGTAGAGGTCTTATACAGAGTCTTCAAGAGGTTGGCCTCTGAAGTCAGACATGGAATCTGACTGGTAGATGTGTAACTTTCAGCAAAATAGTAATCTTTGAGACTTAATTTCCTCATTGGCAAAAGGAAGGCCGTAGCACCTATCTCACATATTTTTTTTTTTAGGATGAAATGAGAAAAGTTATGTAAAACATATAGTATTTGACACCATAGTAAATGTTAAATCAATTTTAGATTTCATTATTGTCATTATATTTATTGACTTACCATTTCTTACTACATCAACTCTCAAATCTCCTGTCTGATTTTCAAGGCCTATCATGATCTTTTCCCTTATCCAACCTTATTTTTCATTACAGTTTATAATATACTCCCTCCAGTCTAGCCTAGGTAAGCTTTCCTACAATCCCGTGAGCACTGCATACACATTTTGGCCCTCCATCTTGATTAGAATTTTGTGGATTCAAGTCTTTGCTCAATTCCAGCAAATGTTTACATTTATTCAGCAGATATTTATTCAGCAACTTCTAAGTACTCAAAAATTCTATTTATGCTGTTCTATTTCTATTCATGGAGGTGTACTGCCTACAAAATCATTTTGTGCTAGACACTATGGCTAAAACCAAATAAAGACAAGGTTCTTCCCTTCATGGTGTTTACATACTGGTGAGAATAGCTAAATAGTCCTGTGAAACTTTCCCTTATTATAGTATCAAATACTGATTGTACCTTTCTTTGAACATTTGTAATATTTAGCCTCTCCCAGTTTCGTATCTGCATGTATTTGGTCTTATAGGCATTTTGTTTTATGACATTTTATCTGTTCTTTTTATTTGATTAAAGTCCCTTTTGAAGCAATAACTATATATTTGTTCATTCAACCAATTCATATGTTGATTTTATATGGTAACAAAAGTAACAGCTGCTCAATGTTGGAAACTTGAAAAACATAAAGAAAATAAAAATATGTCCACAGTTCTACCAGCAGGCCAGAACTGTGCTGGCTGAGCACAGAATAATGGTGTGTGTTTTGATTATTGTTGTTTTTACTATTTTCTTTCCTATATATATAATATGTTTTTAAAAATAAATTTGGCATAGAACAATGACTTGTAAGAGTACAATTTTTGAATTGTAAATGATATGTTAAGGTTTGGATGTGAATCACGAAACTCTAAGCACAATTCATGTTTCAATTGCTATGGTAAAGTTTTCATTTCATGAAGATACTGAATTTTTAAAATACTAAAAAACCTGATTAAATAAACACTAGCTAATAACTAAAAAAAAAGTTGGTTAAAATAAAAAAGTAAGTTGGGCTTATTCTACATATAGTTTTATTTCTTACTGTTTGATCACTTATCAAGCAGTTTCCCATGTTAACATTCTTAGTTTTAAAACGTTATTTTAAAATGATTACATACAACTTGTATTTATACACACTCCAATTTATTTACCTGTTCACTTTTGTAGAGTATATTTTAAAATGTCAAGATTTGTTAGCCATCGTAAGAAGTGCTGCCATGAACATTTCTTATTCCATATTTTTATTATTTTATTGCTACAGCCGCCTTCATGGGGAATTAGTGGGTTAAACGCTATAAGTATTTTTCAAGTCTTTGATACATACAGTAGACCCTGATATTTAAAAAGGCTATATCAACAGAGAAATTATGGTAACTTTTTTAGTGGTTACTATGTTATATCCTGTTAGGTAGCTAATGTTATTTCCACTTTTATATACAAGGAATCAGAAGCCCACATTGGTTAAATAACTTGCCAAAGGTCGTGCAGTTGATACATGATTGGGCCAAGATTTAAACCAAGGCTCTAGAACCTGCTCATGAGATTCTCCTCAATCCCTATTTCATACATGGTAGATAATAGAGAAAAGTAAAGTCATGATGAAAAGTTGAATAATTCTCATTGCCCTTTCTGTAAACCCTTCTGTGACTGGTCACTTAAGATGATTCTGAAGAAAGACTCTCCATTGGCTCATCTTTTAATAAGTCTTTACCATAACTGCCTAGGCCGTTCATCCTTAAGGGCTTAAATTTTAATTTTGTGCACAATATATCCTCCTACTTTTCTCCCCTGGGCAGAAGGTGGAGCTTGCCCTCCACAAATACCTCTCCTACTGATCTCTTCCCAGCTATAACAGTGGTATAACATACTCAAATTCATTGACATTCTCCCTCCCCCAGAAGAGTTTTGTGCATATGCATCTGAAATGAGAGCCCCTTCTGACCACTTTCCCCACCCCTCTCACCAGCCCCTGCACTGTAGCTGTCTTTCAGGCTTACACTTAAATGGCTGTGTCTTTACCTAGTATTGTCCCTAGCTTTCATCTCTCCCTTAGTGATACTCAGAAACTTCCCTTCATTAATTCTTAATCTTTTTTTTCCACTTTGGGGAGATAATATCACAGCCTCAATTCCCTCTTTTTAGAAAATTAAACTGGTTAGTACATACGGAATGTGAGGTCCCCCATCCATTTTGTACCACTCCCAATTTGTAACATACTCACTTTACCTTCTCCTCACATTTCCTCAGTAGCCAAATGACATCATTGCCTGTTTGCCAGCCCTATAGCTTGCGCAATTGAAATTTATTTCTCTGCAAAGTCACAAACTGTTATGCATTGTGGTTTTTCCAGGTGGCATTTGAATAGCTGAACTTTAAGCTCCTGAGTGATAGGGATCTGCTCTTGCCAAATTACTTTCCAGAATGGTTTTACCAATTATACTCCTATCAGTAGTGTATAAGAGTGCCTGTGAGACAGACTTAATTTTTCTTTCCTATCTACTACAGTGACTATGGAATTGATGCTCAATTGATTGCCAGTTGGTTGGCTGATTTGGTCTTAGTCTCTAATGATTTTCTTTTACAAATGTAATCATTCCATCATCTCATCCCCTTGTGATGATAGCAGCTACGGAACAGAAGTAATTTTTGAAAATGTATTCTTTCTAATTAACATTATAAATGAACCACCCAGACACTTAGCTAAATCTTTATTATAAAGATTTGTTTTTAAATAGCAGTAATTCTTGAGGATTTTAGAGAAACACCTTCAGTGTGATATGTGACACATAGGCTTCTTTCATTTTAACAAACCAGATTCTCATTTTATGCAACTTGAACTTATTTACCTCCATAGTCTGTCCAGGTCCACCCACACTTTGTGCCTTTAGCAGCTTCTGCTGGCCTTTAACCAAAAGGGCAGTCTATGATGGTACTTGCTACCCTGTTGAAATGGGAACCTTAAATCCCTTGCTTTTCATTAATTAAAGACAGTCAAAGGCAAATGTTATAAAAGAAACAGGCTTTTGCTAAATTTAATTTTTAACTTTTTTATTTTAATGAATCTGTTATAAATGTCAGATGCTTACTAACTTGTAGAGAATGTAAGTACCATTTACAAGCAAGTTCTATTCTGGTTAATGGAATTGTGTTTTTGACAGTAATAAAATAAGACTTCAAGAAATTCTGTTAAGGAATTTGTATCATGCTATAATTCAATCAAATAATATTTTTCCTGTATATAGGAGAACTGGCTGGTTTGCTTTCAAAATTTCTTACAGTGTATATGACATTAATTGAGTACTGAAAGAGATATGGAACTTTGAGAGGGGCAGTGGTATTAGGAGTGGGACATGACTGATGAATTATTTAGTATATTCTGTGTTTACAAGCCCTCCAAAAGCTTGCTAAAGGAGGACTGGTCCTTCTCTGTCCATATTCTCACAATTTAATTGATGTAGTAAAATGTTTCTGTATGTGGAAGATAGTCATGGTGGTGTCTGTTTATATTAGATAGGTTGTTTTTCTTGCAAGTGCTAAAAAACACTATCTGTCTTAAACAATAAAAACAATTTTTAGCTCACATAACAAGAAGTTTGGAGGTTGATTATCTCCAAAGTTAATTAATTCAGCCAAATAATGACACTAGTAAGGGCCAGAGTTTGTTCCATTTTTCTGTACTGCCATACTCTGCCTATCAACTTGCCCTCTAATATTAGTGCCCCTCATACTCTCAAGATGGCTGCTGCAGTTCCAGGAATCACATGCAGACACTGCAATGCCCACTAGAAAGAGAGTATGAACTATTCATGTGTATCTCTTTTTACTAGCAATGGAAACTTTCTAAGGAGTCCCACAGCACCACCCTGAAAACACCTCTTATTTATCATTGGTTGAAATCGTGTTATATGTATATGCCTACACCAGTACATTGGCAAGTGGTATACGGACATAAACGTAGAGTTAGTCCAGTCACTCACACAACCACCTCTCCCTGCCCTGCGTCTGGCCAAAACACATTGCTACCTAGAAAAGTTGGAGGGTGGAAAATATGTAAATAAACTCATGATGTTTTGGGGGGAAGGAAGAAACAGTTTCTATTTCACAACCTCATGAGTTTGTCCTCAGGATCAGTTGATACAAAAGATTTGTAAGAAACTGGTGTATTTGTTAAATGTGATATATTACTTATCTAGGGAAACGAATGTTTTGTATAGTTCTACAAATGAAAGTTGTTGACTGTTCATAGGCATTTTAGAGCTGGAGGGACATTAGTGATCTTTTAGGTCAGTAGTTCTCAAACTGTGGTCTGTGGACCCCTACGGTTCCTGAAATCCTATTAGAGAACATGAGGAATATTTTAACAGTAATATTATCTTAGTCTGTTTGGGCTGCCATAACAAAATACCTCAGGCTGGGTGGCATATAAACAACAAATTATATCTCATTGTTCTGAAAGCTGAGAAGCCTAAGATCAAGGCAGATCAAACCTAAGATTCAGTGTCTGGTGAGGGCCCTCTTTCTGGTTCACAGATGTTATGGTCTCTCTGTGACCTCACATGGTGAAAGGGGAAAGGCGTTTTTTTCTCTGGAGCGTCTTTTACAAGGGCACTAATCTCATTCATGAGGGCTTCTCCCCGTGACATAATCATCTCCCAAAGGCCCCACCTCCTAATGCCATCACCTTGAAGATTATAATTTTAAAACATATGAATTTTTTTGGAGGGGACATAAACATGTATCATAGCAAATACGAAGAATGTTTACTTTTCTCACTATGTTGACATTTGCACTGATGGTGAGTAAAATTACTGGTGCAGTGTACCACATTTTCTTAGTAGTTGTATTCGTCATACTCTCAGGGGGGAGAAAGCCAGTTTTACCTCAGAGGGTCCTCAATGTAGCATTAATTTATATTAATTGAATTTTGACCCTTGAGTGTATGTCTTTTTAATATTACATATGACAAAATTGGAAGTATACACAAAGCACTTATGTACGCTGAAGTAAGATAGTTGTTTCTAGGAAAAGCACTTGTGCAATTGTTTGAGTTACGAGCTGAACCAGTTGATTTTTGCATGGAACGCTTTTTTGTTTGTTTTAGATACAGGGTCTTGCTGTGTTGCCCCAGCTGGTCTTGAACTCCTGGCCTCAAGAGGTCCTCCTGCTTCAGCCCCCCAAAGAGCTGGGATTACAGGCATGAGCCACCAAGCCCAGCCAAAATTCATTTTTACTTGAAAAACAACTGAGACAAACTGTGGTTATTTATACTTGGGTATTTGGCGGGCATTTTCTTGAAAATGAGTAGAATTAGCCTACCACTTCAGGGAAAACTACTGGCAGTATTTGTGGCCAATGAAAAATTTGAGCTTTTCAAGTAAGAATGAGAATTTTGGAAAACTTGAACCTGACACCAAGAGTGTGACAGCTTCCCAAATCTTAGACTTTTCTAATGAAGCTGGTAATTATATTAATGTGTATTTTTTATATTGTACAATAAATTGTGTTAACATTTGGAAGCTCTGCATAGGTCAGTGAACTAATGTTTTCCAAATGACTAATACACAGTGTTACAAAATCATGCATAGGGAAAAGATCCCTTCAAAGGGCAAGATAGATCGAGTTTAATGTAATTGAATAAAAAAAGCTAGTTTTTTTATTTTTATTTTTTATTTTTATTTTATTATTATTATACTTTAAGTTTTAGGGTACATGTGCACAATGTGCAGGTTAGTTACATACATGTGCCATGCTGGTGTGCTGCACCCATTAACTCATCATTTAGCATTAGGTATATCTCCTAATGCTATCCCTCCCCACTCCCCCCACCCCTCAACAGTCCCCAGAGTGTGATGTTCCCCTTCCTGTGTCCATGTGTTCTCATTGTTCAATTCCCACCTATGAGTGAGAACATGCGGTGTTTGATTTTTTGTCTTTGCGATAGTTTACTGAGAATGATGATTTCCAATTTCATCCATGTCCCTACAAAGGACAGGAACTCATCCTTTTTTATGGCTGCATAGTATTCCATGGTGTATATGTGCCACATTTTCTTAATCCAGTCTATCATTGTTGGACATTTGGGTTGGTTCCAAGTCTTTGCTATTGTGAATAGTGCTGCAATAAACATACGTGTGCATGTGTCTTTATAGCAGCATGATTTATAGTCCTTTGGGTATATACCCAGTAATGGGATGGCTGAGTCAAATGGTATTTCTAGTTCTAGAACCCTGAGGAATCGCCACACTGTCTTCTACAATGGTTGAACTAGTTTACAGTCCCACCAACAGTGTAAAAGTGTTCGTATTTCTCCACATCCTCTCCAGCACCTGCTGTTTTCTGACTTTTTAATGATTGCCATTCTAACTGGTGTGAGATGGTATCTCATTGTGGTTTTGATTTGCATTTCTCTGATGGCCAGTGATGATGAGCATTTTTTCATGTGTTTTTTGGCTGCATAAATGTCTTCTTTTGAGAAGTGTCTGTTCATGTCCTTCACCCACTTTTTGATGGGGTTGTTTGTTTTTTTCTTGTAAATTTGTTTGAGTTCATTGTAGATTCTGGATATTAGCCCTTTGTCAGATGAGTAGGTTGCGAAAATTTTCTCCCATTTTGTAGGTTGCCTGTTCACTCTGATGGTAGTTTCTTTTGCCGTGCAGAAACTCTTTAGTTTAATTAGATCCCATTTGTCAATTTTGGCTTTTGTTGCCATTGCTTTTGGTGTTTTAGACATGAAGTCCTTGCCAATGCCTAGGTTTTCTTCTAGGGTTTTTATGGTTTTAGGTCTAACATTTAAGTCTTTAATCCATCTTGAATTAATTTTTGTATAAGGTGTAAGGAAGGGATCCAGTTTCAGCTTTCTACATATAGCCAGCCAGTTTTCCCAGCACCATTTATTAAATAGGGAATGCTTTCCCCATTGCTTGTTTTTCTCAGGTTTGTGAAAGATCAGATAGTTGTAGATTTGTGGCGTTATTTCTGAGGGCTCTGTTGTGTTCCATTGATCTATATCTCTGTTTTGGTACCAGTACCATGCTGTTTTGGTGACTGTAGCCTTGTAGTATAGTTTGAAGTCAGGTAGCATGATGCCTCCAGCTTTGTTCTTTTGGCTTAGGATTGACTTGGCGATGCTGGCTCTTTTTTGGTTCCATATGAACTTTAAAGTAGTTTTTTCCAATTCTGTGAAGAAAGTCATTGGTAGCTTGATGGGGATGGCATTGAATCTATAAATTGCCTTGGGCAGTATGGCCATTTTCACGATATTGATTCTTCCTACCCATGAGCATGACATGTTCTTCCATTTGTTTGTATCCTCTTTTATTTCATTGAGCAGTGGTTTGTAGTTCTCCTTGAAGAGGTCCTTCACATCCCTTGTAAGTTGGATTCCCAGGTATTTTATTCTCTTTGAAGCAATTGTGAATGGGAGTTCCCTCATGATTTGGCTCTCTGTTTGTCTGTTATTGGTGCATAAGAATGCTTATGATTTTTGTACATTGATTTTGTATCCTGAGACTTTGCTGAAGTTGCTTATCAGCTTAAGGAGATTTTGGGCTGAGATGATGGGGTTTTCTAGATATACAATCATGTCATCTGCAAACATGGACAGTTTGACTTCGTCTTTTCGTAACTGAATACCCTTTATTTCCTTCTCCTGCCTAATTGCCCTGGCCAGAACTTCCAACACTATGTTGAATAGGAGTGGTGAGAGAGGGCATCCCTGTCTTGTGCCAGTTTTCAAAGGGAATGCTTCCAGTTTTTGCCCATTCAGTATGATATTGGCTGTGGGTTTGTCATAGATAGCTCTTATTATTTTGAGATACATCCCATCAATACCTAATTTATTGAGAGTTTTTAGCCTGAAGGGTTGTTGAATTTTGTCAAAGGCCTTTTCTGCATCTATTGAGGTAATTATGTGGTTTTTGTCATTGGTTCTGTTTGTATGCTGGATTACATTTATTGATTTGCGTATATTGAACCAGCCCTGCATCCCAGGGATGAAACCCACTTGATCATGGTGGATAAGCTTAAAAAAAGCTAGTTGATAAAGTTTCAGATTCTACATTACAACTAACCTTATCTTAAAAGGCTATTAGAATGCACACTTTTCCAGCTATATAACTATTGGAAACCAGATTTTCTTCATATATTTTAAGTAAAGCAATGTATTCCAACAGAAGAAATGCAGAAGCAGATAGGAGGATTCAGCTTTTGTCAAAGCAAAGAAATCTACAAAAAAAGTAAAATAATCTCTCTTCCCACTATTTTTTTTTGTTTTGGAAAATATAAGTAATTTTCATAAAAATTCATAATATATGTTAACATTTAATGGGTTTATTGCCACTTGAAAATGAATAAATAATTTTAAATATTACTCAGTTTTAATTTTTATATGGTATATGTTGATAGATGTAATCCAGATGATGGGGTCTTCAATACTTTTTAAGAGAGTAAAAAGGTCTTGAAAACAAGAAGTTTGAAAACTACTGCTATACCGAGGCCAACTCCATCTTTTACATGAAAGTGATTAATGAAAGATGATAACTAGTTATTTAGTTGCAGAGGCAGAGATGGAAGCTGTATTTTCTGAATCTTATTCTCGTCCTCTCTCCAGTATACTACATTGGTTTAGGGATTGGTAAATTGATAATATGATGTGGTAATTTTGTTCATCGTGGTAGATACAGTTAAAATACCAAACAGAAAATGTAGATACTAGATTGTACTCGTCTTGCCTACCATTTTCAATCCAATTGCCAAGTCAGAAACATTCTTGCTACACAAACCACAGCAGAAGAGACACACACAAAAAATAGCTAAAGTTGCAGTTACTTTTAGGTACTAAATTGGAAAATTCATGAAACCAGAGTTCTTATCTTACATATCTTTGTATTCACCACAGTGCATGGACTGGTTTCTTCTATATAGTTATCTCTCAGGAAATAGTTGTTGAATGAATGTTGAATTTGGGGAAGGAGTAGATTTATCCGGATAACACTAAGAGGCAAAACTTAGAATCAATGGGTTAAGTTACAGGAACCCTGGATAGCAATAATTTTCTTTTTTCTTTTCTTTTCTGTTTTTTGTTTGTTGGTTTGTTTTGTTTTTGTTTTGTTTTTTGTTTTGAAGGAATCTTGCTCTTGTCGCCCAGGCTGGAGTGCAATGGCATGATCTCAGCTCACTGCAACCTCCCCCTCCCAAGTTCAAGTGATTCTCCTGCCTCAGCCTCCTGAGTAGCTGGGATTACAGGCGCCCGCCACCACACCCAGCTAATTTTTTATTTTTAGTAGAGGCAGTGTTTCACCACGTTGGCCAGGCTGGTCTCAAACTCCTGACCTCAGGTGATCCACCCTCCTCGGCCTCCCAAAGTGCTGGGATTACAGTCGTGAGCCACCATGCCCAGCCAGCAATAATTTTCTAACAGTTAATTATTTGCTACTTAGTAATGGAAATGTCTCATTAGTAATAGGAATGTTCCTTTACTAAAAATGCTCAAATAGAAGGTGGATGCTGCTCTGTCTGCCAACATACCCATGAGGTCCCTTTGGACTCTAAGATTCTGTTTTTTCTGGTAATTAGAAGGAAAATACTTTCTTACTGAGCTCAAGTCTACTTCTATGATTTTATCGAGACAAGGTCTCCTGCTGCCTAGGCTGGTCTCAAACTCCTGGACTCAAGGGATCCTCCAACCTCAGCCTCCCAAAGTGCTGAGATTACAGGTGTGAGCCACCACGCCTGGCCTACTTCTATGATTTTAAAGCAAATTTTAGGTATAATTGACATACAATAAAATGCATATATTTGAAGTGTACAATTTGAGTTGTGACATATGTATACACCTGCGAAACCATCACAACATTCAAGATAATGAACATGTAAATTGCTCCAAAAGATTTTTATTCCTCTTTGTAATCCCTCCCTTCCTACCCCCATCCTCCATCCCCAAATAACCACTGATCTGCTTTCTGTACAGTAGAAAGTTTCATTTTCTAGATTTTTATATAAATGCAATTATATGATATGTATACATTCTTTGCTCTGACTTATTTCACTTAGCATAATTATTTTGAGATTCATCCATGTCATGGTGTGTGTCCATAGTTTATTATTTTATTGCACAGTAGAATTCCATTGTATTGATACACCACACTGTTGATGGACATTTGGGTTGTTTTTTGTTTGTGGCTATTAAAGTTGCTATGGGCATTTTCTTGCACTTTAAAAGTACTAAATTGAGCTATAATTTCCATAAAGTGATACACAGTGATCTTAGGTGAACAGCTCAATTATTACTTAACTCAATTATAACTTAACAAAGTGTATACCAATCATATATACTTTGGTAACTACCAACCAAGTGAAGATGTAGAACGTTTCCATTACCTTGGAAAGGTCCCTCATGCCCGTCCCATTTCAATGTCTTTTGTGTCTTGTCTGAATAAGCCACAAGGTTGTGAAGATACATGTTTTCTTCCATAATCTGTATAGCTTCAGATTTTGTATTTATGTCCATTTTTCTTATATAGATACCCAGTTGTTCCAGTATTGTGTATTTAAAAGAAAAATTCCTTTTTTTTTCATTGAATTACCTTGAGGACTTTATTGAAAATCAATGGAATGTGTATATGCAGGTGTAGGTTGAAACTCACTAGTCTGTTCTATTCACCTGTTTGTGCATCCTTATGCCAGTATCACACTGTATTGATTACTGTGGCATTACTTTGGTAGCATAAGTCCTTTACATTTCTTCTTATTCAGGATTGTGTTAGCTTTTGTGTTGGCTATTTATTCCATATAAATTTTACATTAATCTTGCCAAATTTTGCTTAAAAACCTTTTGAGGTTTTGATAGGAATTGTAACAATTGTGTAGATCAATTTAGGAACAACTGAAATCTTAAAATTATTATTTTTTTCAATCCATGAACACCATATACCTCTCCATTAATTTAGGTATTCTTTAATTAGCTTCATCATAGAGGTCATGCACATCATTTGTTAAATTTCTTCCTATATGAATAATTCTATTCTAAATGGTATCATTTTTAAAATTTTATTTTTAGTTACTTGTTGCTAAGATGTAGAGATGTGATTCATTTATATATTGATCTGTTTATCCAAAGATAAAATGCTAATTAATTTTCTTATGGTATGATTTACATACTGTAAAATTCACCCACTTTATGCACAGTTCTATTATTTTTGACAGATGTATACAGTAATATAAATATAGTCTCTAATCAAGATATAGAACAGCATTTCTAAATTTATTCATTAGTTCTAGTAGTCGTGTCCATTTCTTTGGATTTTGTATGTATACAATCATATCATCTGAAAATAAAGAGGGTCATAGTTTTTCCTTTCCATTACCTATGTCTTTTTGTCCTGGCTATCTTATTGCACTGGCTAGGACCTCCAGTACAAATATAATGGAAGTAGTAAAGAATGACTTTTTTTTTGCTGTCTTTTAAGGAAGATACTCAATATTTTGCTATTATATCAGCTGTAGGTTTTCCATAAACTTTACAGATCGAGGTGGTCCTTTTTCATTTCTATTTGCTGAAAATCTTTTTTAAAGTAATGAATGTTAAATTTCATCAAAAAATAATTTGTATCTCTTTAAACAATCATATTGTCAGGAGCTCAGCCGAGCTGCTAGGTGTCAGACACCAAGCCAAAATCAAAATAATAGTCAAGCCTTTAATCACTTAGTGTGATTATATAAACAAGAAGCTAAACCGGAGAAAGTGCTGAGGACTGTCCTCACTTCCCAGTTACATTTTTCCCCATGGTAGATTGGACCAGCACAGGCTTCGGGGGTCTGTGTTTTCTCACTGACAAGGGAGCCCCAAACAAAAGGCTCTGGCAGTGTTAGGGACCCAGGGGTTTGGGGGAGGAAGAAGGAAAAGGCTAGGTGTGGAAAAATACCTAGTACTGAGTCAGAGTGGAAAGAAGTGTCTTCAACGTTTGCTCCCACTTCCTCTGCTGTGAATATTTGTAAACAAGTCTTTGGGTAGACAAATGCTTTCATTTTCCTTGGATAAATATCAAGGAATGGAATTGCTGGGTTGTAGCATTAGTCTATTTTTAGCTTTACAAGAAACTGCCAAATTGTTTTCCTAAGTGGTTGTACCATTGTACTTTCCACTGAAGTATGAAAGTTGTAGTTGTTCCTCGTCAGAACTGTGCATAAAATGGGTGAATTTTACAGTATGTTAATCATACCGTAAGAAAAATAATTAGCATTTTATCTTTGGATAAACAGATCAATATATAAATGAATCACATCTCTACATCTTAGCAAGTAATTAAAAATAAAATTTTTACCTGCATTTGATATTGTCACTCTTTTTAATTTTAGTCATTTTGATATCTTAGTATTGGTATGTTCTTGTCATTTTCTTATAGTCACCTTTTGTTTATATTGAGTAAAATTCGCTATCTTTGGTGTACTGCTCTATGAGTTTTGATAAAAGCATACAACCTTTAACTACTGCCGTAATCAAGACTCAGAATACTTCCATAACCTCAAAATGTTTCCTCATATTGCTATGTAATTAACCTCTCTACTTACCCACAGTTTCTGGCAATCACTCATCTATTTTCTGTTCCTATAATTTTACCTTTTTTATAAATGTCTTATAGATTGACTCATCCAGTATGTAAAATTTTGAGTCTAGCTTTTTCCTCTTAGCATAATACATTTGAGATCCATCCATGTTATATGCATCAGTAGTCCATTTCTTTTTTATTTGTTTTCTTATAATTGAGTAGGAAGAGCTTTTTGTGCATTCTGCATATAATATATTCATTTCATACATACATGCCATGCGGATATGCTCTGCCATTTGGTGGCTTGCGTTTTTGTTTTCTTACCTATAATTTTCAGAGAATAAAAGTTGAATTTTGATATAGTCCATTTTATCACCTTTTTATGGTTATAGCTTTCTGTCCCCTTTATAAGAAATCTTTGACTTCCCCAAGGTCACCAAGATTTTCTTTCATATTTGCTTCTAAATGATTTTATAGTTTTTGCTTTTGATCCATTTACTTATTTTTGTGTGGTGTTTGGTAAGAGTTCTGGTTCAGTTTTTATCCCATGTGTTTAGTTCCAGCACCATTTGTTGAACAGACTATCCCTTCCCCATTAAATTACCTTGATACTTTTGTTTTGTAGGTCTGTTTTGTATTCTAGTCTGTTTCACCAATCTCTATGTCTATCCTTATGCCAATACCACAATGTCTTCACTACTGTACTTTTATGATAAGGTCTGAAATCAGGTAATGTAAGTTCTCCAAATTTGTTCTTTTCATATTTTGGGGTCTCCTCTTCGCCCCCGCCTCCTTCTTTGAATTTCTATATAAATTTTACAGTTACCTTGGCAATTTGTACAAGTAAAACTCCTGGAGTTTTGAATGGGATTGTATTTAATCTATAGGTCATTTTTGGGAAAAATGATGTCTTAACAGTATTCAGTGTTCTGATAAGTGAACATGGTGTATCTTTCCGTTTATTAAGATCATCTTTGGCCGGGTGCGGTGGCTCACGCCTGTAATCCGAGCACTTTGAGAGGCCGAGGCGGGTGGATCACGAGGTCAGGAGATAGAGACCATCCTGGCTAACACGGTGAAACCCCACCTCTACTAAAAATACAAAAAATTAGTTGGGCGTGGTGGCGGGCGCCTGTAGTCCCAGCTACTGGGGAGGCTGAGGCAGGAGAATGGCGTGAACCCGGGAGGCGGAGCTTGCAGTGAGCCCAGATCGCGCCACTGCACTCCAGCCTGGGTGACAGCGAGACTCCGTCTCAAAAAAAAAAAAAAATCATCTTTAATTTCTCTCAGCAATGTTTTCAGTGTGCAGGTCTTATATGTACTTTATTGAACTCATCCCCTAAGTATTCATGTATTTGAATTGTACTATAAATGGTATCGTGTTTTATTTTCTTTCAATTGTTTGTTGTTGGTATATAGAAATACAACTGATTTTTTTTTCTATTGACCTGTACACTGTGGTCTTGCTAAATTGATTATTTTTAGTAGCTCTTTCATGGATTATTTATAATTAACTACATACATGATTATGTCTTCTGTGAATTAAGATAGATTTGCTTCTTTCTTTCTAGTCTTCACACTCCTTTTTTTCCCCTTATTGTACTAATTAGGGCCTGTAGGATAACGTTTAATGTAAGTATTAAGACCCCAGTTCTTTGCTGCCTTTTCCCAATGTTTGAAAACATATGCTTCACACATTTTGTACAGTTTCCTAGTTGTTTGTAGCAAGAGGGCAAGTCTAGTAGCAATCATTCCAACAAAATCTGCTTTCAGTTTTTTGATATTTATAAATAACAATGATGTGAACATTTTTGAACGTATTTGCACTTCAGATTATTTCCTTTGAACAGAGTTCTAAAACTATATATTGTAATCTATATACATATATCTGTATCTATCTCTCTGCCTGCATATTTAAACCTACAGTATAAGAGCTACCTCAAGAGCAGTGACTATATTTCAAATTTATATACCTTGCATCATCTAGCAGACAGCCTTTCATTGGATTAATGGAAAGTAAAATCTTTATGATTAATTTTCTCATACCCAGAGTATCTATTTAACTATAGCATAGAGATATTTCTAATCTTGCCTGTGAAGTCTAAAAAGACTGTGATCATTACCATAGTTTTAATTTACTATTACTTTATTTTGCTTCATTTTAACTGTCTTATTTCTCTTTGATAATGTTGTAGGAAACAAGAAATATGTAGGTCTTAACTTTGGCCACTGTTAAAAATTTTTTTTAAAAAAATATAATTTGGTTTATTTTGAGAAAGGGAAGACATTTTTCCTAACTTTCCTACATTTTGTGTTAACTTTGTAGGATGTTGTTTGAGCAATGACCCTGTAGGACGTGGCCTTACACATTTTGAGTTCATTTGAGTTAATTTAGTTTCAGGAAGGCTTCTGAAATAGGAAGCATTTATTCAAGCTTTAGTATTCCTTCTGAATAGTTTTGCTAGCTAGCTATAAACAGGCCAATTTGCCCTAGCTCTAAGTTTATGTTAATTTTCATTACTTTGTTTCAAAATAAAAGGGCCAATTCCCGTTACATTTTGATTTAAAAAATTAAGCTATACATTTTTCTTAGATGTGGGTATGTTAAAGCTTTTCAATGTCTGGCAAAATTAATCACCCTAGGCCGTGGATTTCCTTGCCCCCAACTCCCTCCACCCCCTAAAGATACTTGATAATATGTTGGAAGGAGAGAAATAATAGCTTTTTTCTTCCAGTTCTTATGGTCAGGTGAGTTCCTAGGGTTTTTGTTTGTTTGTTTGTTTTGAGACAGAGTTTCGCTCTTGTTGCCCAGGCTGGAGTGAAATGGTGCGGTCTTGGCACACTGCAACCTCTGCCTCCCGGATTCAAGCAATTCTCCTGCCTCAGCCTCCTGAGTAGATGGGATTACAGATGCCTGCCACCACGCCTGGCAAATTTTTTTTTTTTTTTTTTTTTTTTTTTTTTTAGTAGAGATGCGATTTCACCATGTTGGCCAGGCTGGTCTCGAACTCCTGACCTCAAGTAATCCGCCTGCCTCGGCCTCCCAAAGTGCTGGGATTATAGGAGTGAGCCACCACGTTTGGCTGAGTTCCTAGGGTTTAAATGTTTTAAAATATTTTTATTCATAGTATACTCAAGTTATAGGAATTTGGTTAATAGTGAATAAATTCATTCTTAGCACCAGCCTCTCTCAATTCTATTTGCTTGCTTATCTTTTACAGCCTATTTAGACATATCATTTTTCTCCACAGTTGCAGTAAAGACTTCTTTCTGTTATAGCGCAAGCTTATTAGACCTTATCACAGCCTTCATGCCTTCATTTGTGTATACTATATAATGGGAAAAAAAAGACTAATGTTGTAAATTAACAAGTGAGATCAAACTGAAAAAGGTCACCTTTCTTAGAGGCTGAAAAAGAGATTCATTTTCTGGGGCCTGGATTTGTTTTTCTGACTAATTTTACTGCCACTTTTGAATTTGCAGATTGACAACCTTTATACTAAAAATATTTATCTGTATCCTAGTAGATTTCCAAATCCATATTCTCAGTTTTCTCTACTCCATGATATGCAGATATGGAAAAGGAGGCATTTTTTTTCCCCTCAGATGGTTAATGTTATAATTTGAAATTGGTAATATGCTAATAAACAAAGGTAGGTTCAAAATCAGATCTTTCTGATTTCCATGAGGCATTGTAAATATTATATTACTTAGGATTTGTTTTAAAATCAGGTTCCAATTTAAGTTGGAAAAAACTGAAAATGTTTAGAGGTAACAGTGATTAAATTATTTCAGATTATTATATTTTTCTTAGTTTTCCCTACATGTCTACTTCTTCATCTGTTGTTTTACTTTATGGTACTTAAACATTCTATAAAGTTTTTTGTTTTTTTTTGAGTTGGAGTTTCGCTCTTGTCATCCAGGCTGGATGGCATGATCTCGGCTCACTGGAACCTCACCTCCCGGGTTCAAGCCGTTCTCCTGCCTCAGCCTCCCAAGTAGCTGGGATTACAGGCATGCGCCACTACCCCCGGCTAATTTTTTGTATCTTTAGTAGAGACAGGTTTTCACCATGTTGGCTAGGCTGGTCTCGAACTCCTGAACTCAGGTGATCCGCCTGCCTTGGCCTCCAAAAGTGCTGGGATTACAGGAGTGGGCCACCACACCCAGCCTCTATAAAGATTTGTAGTGCGTTTAAACATTAATAGAATGAAAAAGTATTATAAAAGGCAAGAATATAGACATAGGTTCTCATTAAATCACAATTAATGGAAATGTATACTCATAGCAAAATTAATTATGCTCTTTTTGGGTAGAATATTCTGGAGCCTAAAGTTTCATCTCCTTTTCATACCACTGTCCTTAAAAATGCAACATTAGCTTAAACATGAATTTGTTTATATTAACATAAAACTTCTCTATAATAAATGTTTATTCAAAATTGAAGGAGGAAAAAAGATTTAGAGTAAGATACATACTAATATTAAATACTAGTGCTGAGATTATGAGTCATTTTTTCTTATATGTATTTTCTGTTACCTACAGAGAAATAGTAATAGTAAATGCCTATTACTATTACAATAAAATGATTTTAAAATATTTAATATTAGTTTAACATATATTTCAACAGTTTTTTGATTTAAATAATTTAACAACATATTTTACAGTCATAGGGTTATTTTATTTTATTTTTGTTTGTTTCTTTTTTCAGACAGGATCTCACTCTATCACCCAGGCTGGAGTGCAGTGGTATGATCATGGCTCACTGCAGCCTTAACCTTCAGGGCTGAATCAATCCTTCCACTTCAGCCTCCTATGTAGCTGGGATTACAAGTGCACGACCCCATGCCCCGCTAATTTTTGCAGAGACAGGGTCTCACTATGTTTCCCAGGCTGGTCTCTACTACTGGGCTTAAGTGATCCACTGGCCTTGGCCTCCCAAAGTGCTGGGATTACAGGCCTGAGCCATTGCGTCCCTTCCTATCCTCCCTCTCTTGTAATAAATGTTTTAGGTAGTTTTTAAAGTTTTCTTTTACTTGGCTTTCTTAAAGGAGAACTTCAGTTGCTTTTTTCCAGTAAAAAATTCCAGAGACTGCCAGAAGAAGCCTAATGCCAGTAATAATTCTGTCATTGAACATAATGGAGAGGAGTCATCTTAATTTGTATGCACTCTTTTTTATATCAAGTGTAACACATATTCTTCTTGTCCTTCCCTCCAAGTGGGTTACAAACAGCTTTTCTCTTTCACTTTACCAACATTAAAAAGAGTGATTTTAAGAATGCTGGATCCACCTTTTTCCACTTATATTTGGAATGAAATGTGTAATTTATGTATGAAACCTTTAATTTTAATTTAAGGTCTCGTGAAAGCACCAAAACTCTTTAGATAAATTGACACGGAGTTGCTTTAAGATACAAATTCCTTCTTAGTAAAAAAAAGGAAGAATTTTAAAACTTTATGTTTTAATTGTTTCTAGTTGAATTCAGAATATTAAAGCTTTGTTATATATGTGGTAACTCTCTAATAAATACTTCAAGAAAGTATCTCAGTATTTAATTAATTATGAGTACTATAATTTATTCTAAAGCCTTAATAAAATCAAATTTCTATTAGTTTATGCTTTTCTCAATGTTCATTGAAAATATTGAGTCATATTACCTATTACTGCCCCAATCCCCAGCCCAGCTTGTAACTTTCCTGAGGAGGAAAATTGAGTAAACCTCAGTGATTATTTGACAGTTGACTCCATAGCTAAGCTGGAAGACAGGGTGTTGTGGGAGGGAGATAACGCTTTTAGGGTTTTACTGAAGAAAGGATGTAGATTTTCTGATTCTGTTTTGAAGATGATATAGGTGGATGCTGCTGGGAGAAATGACAGTGGCATCCCATTAGGCCTGTCGTGCCCATCCCCTTTTAGGATTCTGCATATCTCTTAGTTTTTCCTTTGTCAGGTAACAAAGGTGTAACATGGGAGATATATTCCACTTCTCCACATTGTTAGCTTAGTGTAGTACTCTATCCAGCAAATTATTGGAAAGAGCAGGATTTGGAAGTTAGACTAGATTTTATTGCTTGGGTAGAGAGAGAATGCTCAAGAGAGCTTATCCTGGACACCAGAGGATGAGCAATTGGAAAGATGGACTGCTTTATCATTTTTGTGTTATTTTGCAATAGATAGGGCAGATTCCCCTCTTTTTATTGCAGTACAAAATCCCTTTAATAGCTAGCTCTAACGTTACTATGGCACTATAGTGTAATGGTTTAGTTTAGAGTATGGGCATGGATGTCAGACTCGACTTGTATCGAGACTCTTCCACCTACCAATTGGGCTAACATTATTAGTCTAAAGTGTCTTAATGCCTGGCGTAGAGTAAGTGTTCAATAAATAATTTTCCACAGGATCTATAGTGTCCTCTTCCAATATAATTTAGTTCAATCTTAAGCCTAATAGTTTGTTTTCCTTCCTGATCCCCTTTCTTCATCTCTAGCATTTTACCATAGGAGGGAAAGATGTCTTAGAAACACTTTTTTAGTTTATTTCTAGAGGTATTGGCTAGACTTCATGTCAGTTATATGCATATACCAATATTTTATATATTAAAAACAAATATAATCCCTAGAATAGCATTGTCTGATTAGAGATAAAATGGTCTCAAAAGAGGACAGGAAAATAGGGAAGTGGGAGTAGTAGTAAAGAGAAATGTAAACCAATGTGTAAACAAGAAAGCAGGTTTATCTGCAACTATAGGGAAGAACTGTTCAAATTACCTTGCACATTTTTATTTCTTAGGAGGCTTCTTAAGATTTTAAATTAAGTTATTAAACTATTTATTGGGTTGAATTAAATATTTAGATAAATGCAGTATATAGATATGTCTGTCTGTATGCATATATGTTAAATACACCTAAGTTTCTTATACTTTAACTAATTTTGGGATTCCTTCTCACCCAAAAGAAATTTAAATAAATACTTTGGATATTTCTGTAAATACAGCATGCCATTTAGCAAATTTAAGGGAACAAGTGAATAACTTAGCTATGCCAACAATGTTTTGCCTCCGCATTCCTTGGCGCAAACAGGGACCTCAGTGAAGCGTTCCTCATGGGAGTTGCCTGGGGAAATCTTACTGAAGAAGTCTAGGTCCCAATTCAGGCTCCTTTCCCTTCTACTTTCTAAAATATCAACTTTATTGAGGTATAGTTTACATACAATAAAATGTACTAGTTTTAAGTGTACAATTTAATGATTGACAAATGTGCACACCCACAACATTTTCAATATTGAGCAGTTTCATCACCCCAAAAAGTTCCGTTTGTTTTTCTTCCCAGTAAATCTTTCCCTATCCCTGTACCCTGAAAGCCACTGACCTGCTGTCACTATGAATATTTGTGTACAAGTCATTTTGTACACATAATTTTCATTTCTCTTGGGTGAGTGCAAAGGAATAGAATTGCTGGGCTGCATAAATATGTAATGTATTGAACCTTACAAGAAACAAATATGTTTGCAAAATAATAGGAATATTTTACATTCTCACCAGCAGTTTATAAGACTTTTTTAATTATAGCTATCCTGGTGGGTATGAAGTGGTATCTTGTTGTTTTAATTTGCTTTTTCTGATGTTGAGCATATTTTCATGTGGTTATTGGCCATTCAAATATCTTCTTTTGTGATGCATATTCTCAAATCTTTGCCCATTTTTTTCAAAAGTTGGATTACTTGCCTTCTTATAATTGTAAGAGTTCTTTATTTGTCATGTTTACATAAATATACACACACGTATATTATACACACACCTAGTATTTTTCCCATTCTGTGGGTCGTATTTTCTTTTTCTTAATGGTATATTTTAATTAGCAGAATTCAAAAATTTTATGAAGCGCAGCTTATCATTTTTTTCTTTGATCTTTATTGCCCTTTGCATTATAAGGAAGAATCCTTTAACTATTAATACACTAAAGTTTTAAATTTTGCCTGCTTTCTTCTAGATATTTGGTGCTTTTAACTTTTGATAAACTTAGTGTTATTTTGGTGTGCAGTGTGAGTTAAGGGTCCTGGTTTAATTTTTAAAAAAATTATCAAGGTGAAATTTACATAACATAAAATTAGTCATTTAAAAGTGAACAATTTAGTGACATTTCGTATATTCATCATGTTATGTGACCACTTCTACCTAGTACTAAAAATTTGGTTTCTCTCACTCCACCTTGTCCCTGGAAACCATCAATCTGCATTCTGTCTCTGTGGATTTACCTATTCTGGATATTTCATATAAATGAAATAATACATTATGTGACATTTTGTGTTTGACTTATTTCACTTAGTATTTTCAAAGTTCAACTTCATTGTACATCATCCCTTTTTATGGCTGAATAATTTTGCATTGTATGGATATACCACATTTTGCTTATTCGTTCATCCATTGTTGGACATCTGGGCTATTACCACTTTTTATCTATTGTGATGAGTGCTGCTATGAACATGTATATATATATGTATTTGTTTGAGTACTTGTTTTTAATATTTAAGGGTGTATCCTTAGGTGTGGTATTATGGGCCATATGGTAATTCTATATTTACGTTTTAAGGAACCACCAGACTATTTTCCTTGGCGGTTTAAACATTTTACTTCGCCACCAGCAAGGTATCAGCATTTCAAGTTCTCCACAATCTTATCAACACTTGTTATTTTTGTTTTGTTTATTTTAAGTTTTAATTTTTTAATTATGGCCATCCTAGTTTGTTATGGAGTGGTTCTTCATTGTGGTTTTGATTTGCATTTTCCGAATGCCTGATGATACTAAGCATTTTTCAAGTGCTTGTTGGCAATTTGTATATCTTCTTTGGAGAAATATCTATTCAAGTCCTTTGACCATCAGTATTTTTTTTTTTAGACTTAAGGTCTTGCTCTGTTGCCCAGGCTGGAGTGCAGTGGTGTAATCATGCCTCACTGCAGCCTTTAACTCCTGGGCTCAAGTGATCTTCCCATCTCAGCCTCCTGAGTAGCTGGGCCTGCAGGCAGGTGGCACCACATGGCCAAGGTGGCTTTTTTTTTTTCTTTTAGAAATGGGGTCTTGCTATGTTGCCCAGGTTGGTCTTTCTTGCCTCTGCCTCCCAAGCAGCTGGGATTCCAGCCCTATTTTCAAGTTGGGCCGTTTATCTTTTTGTTGTTGAATTGTAAGAGTTATTTATACATTCTGAATACTAGACAAATACATAATTTGCAAGTATTTTCTCCTATTCTGTAGGTTGTTTTTTTCACTTTTGTGATAATGTGCTTTAATGCAGAAACATTTTAAAATTTCATGAAATCCAATTTGTTTTTTTTCCTTTCTTGCTTATGCTTTTGGCGTCATATCTAAGAATCCATTGCCAAATCCAAAGCCATGAAGAGTTATCTCTATGTTTTATTATACAAGTTGTGTGGTTTTAGCTCTTATGTTTAGGTTGTTGATTCATTTTGAAATAGTTTTTGTAAATGGCATAGAGGTCCAACTTTATTCTTTTAAATGTGGATATACAGTTGTCCCAGCTGTTATTTTCTCATTGACTAGTCTAGGCACCCTTATCAAAAATCAATTTACCATTGATGTATGGGCTTATTTCTAGACTCTCCGTTCTATCTCAATGGCTATGTTTATCTTTATGCCAGTACCACACTGTTTTGCTTACTGCAGCTATGTAGTAAGGTTTGAAATCAGAAAGTGTGTGTCTTCCAGCTTTCTTTTACTTTTTCCAGATTGTTTTGGTTCTTAGGGCCCCTTGCAATTCCATATGAATTTGAAGATTGACTTTACTATTACTCTTTCTGCATAAAAGGCTGTTCAATAGGGATTTCATTGAATCTGTAGATTGCTTTGGGTAGTATTGCCATCTTAATAATATTAAGTCTTCCAATCCAGGAACACAAGATGCCATTCATTCATTTAGGTTTTCTTTAATTTCTTTCCTCATTGTTTTCTAGTTTTCTGTGTACATGTTTTTTACCTCCTTGGCCAAATTTATTCCTAGGTGTGTTTTATTCTTTTGGATGTTATTGTAAATGGAATTATTTTCTTAATTTCCTTTGTAGATTGTTCATTTGGGCTCTATAGAAATAAAACTAATTTTGTGTTTTGATTTTGTACCCTAGAACTTTGCTGAATTTATTAGCTTTAGTAGTTTATTTGTGGATTCTTTAAGGCTTTCTGTATACAGGTTGAGTATCTCTTATCTGAAATGCCTAGGACCAAAAGTGTTTCAGATTTTGGAGTTTTTCAGGTTTTGGAATGTTTGCATATACATAATGAGATATCTTGGGGATGGGACCCAGGTTTCAATATGAAATTCGTTTATGTTTTATATACATCTTATACACATAGCCTCAAGGTAATTTTATACTATATTTTAAATAATTTTATGCATGAACCAAAGTTTAGACTGCGTTTTTACTGTGACCCATCACATGAAATCAGGTGTGGAATTTCCCACTTGTGGCATCTTGTTGGCGGCACTCATAATGACTTGAATTTTGGAGCATTTTGGATTTTGGATTTTCAGGTTAGGAATGCTCAACCTGTATGAAAAAAATATATCTGCAAAGAGAGATAGCTTTGTTTCTTCCTTTCCAATTTGGTTGTCTTTTATGTCTTTTTCTAGCCTAATTACTTAGCTAAAACTTCCAGTACTATGTTGAATGGAATTGGTGAAACCAAGCATCCTTAGTTTGTTCCTGATCTTATAGGAAAACAGTTTTTCACCTTTGAGCATTCAGTTAGATGTGGGTTTTTCGTAAGTGTTTTTTTTTTTTTTTATCATGCTGAGACTGCTCCTTTACATTCCTGGATTTGAGTGTATTTATTAGGAAAGGGTGTTGGATTTTGTCAGATTTTTTTTTTTATCATTGAGATGATCCAAATGTTTTTTCCTATTGGTTCTATTAATGTGGCATATTGCATCAGTGGGTTTTCTTGTATTGAACCACATTGCATTCCTGGGATAATTCTCATTTGGTCATGGTTTATAATTCTTTTAGCATGCTGTTGGATGTGGTTTGCTAGCATCTGTTGAGGGTTTTTTTTTTGCCTCTATTTTTACAGGGACTATTAATCTATAATTTTATTTTCTTTAGCATCTTTGGCTTTCATATCAGAATAAAACTATATTTATAGAATGAGTTAGGTAGTGCTATTCTGCTTTTTGGAAGAGTGCGAGAGTAATTGGTGTTGTTTTCTTTAAATTTTTGGTAGAATTCACTAGTGAAGCTATCTAGCTATGGACTTTACTTCGTTGTTAGGTTTTTGATTATTGAGTCAATGTCTTTACTTGTTATGAATCTTTTCAGATTTTCTATTTTTTCTTGAGTTAGTTTAGGTAATTTGTATGTTTCTAGAAATTTGCCCATTTCATCTAGGTTGCCTAATTTACTGGTGTATGATTTTTCATAGTATTTTCTCTCTCTCTCTCTTTTTTTTTTTTTTTTTTGAAACGGGATCTTGCTCTGTCACCTAGGCTAGTCTCAAACTCCTGAGCTCAAAGGATCCTCCTTCCTCAGTCTCCCGAGTAGCTGGGACTACAGGCACCTGTCACTGTGCCTGGCTAATTTTTTAATTTTTATTTTTTGCAGAGATGGGGTCTTGCTTTGTTGCCCAGGCTGGTCTCAAACTCCTGGGCTCAAGTGATCCTCCTGCCTCGGTCTTCCAAAGTGCTGGGATTACAGGGATGAGTCATCATGCCTGGCTCATAGTATTTTCTTATAATTCTTTTTATATCTGTAAGGTTAGTAGTAATGTCTTCATTTTCATTTTTTATTTCAGTTATTTGTATCTTCTCCCTTTATTTTTTAGTTTAGCTAAAGATTTGTCAATTTTCTTGGTCTTTTCAGAGCACTAACCTTTGTTATTTTATTTTATTTTCAAGTTTTCTTTTTGCTTTAAAGCTATAATAGTAAACAACATAATTTGCACATATATTCAGGCTCATTTTCAAATTTTATTTTCATTTCAAAGGGCACATGTGCAGGTTTGTTACATGGGTAAATTGTGTGTAACTGAGGTTTGATGTATGAATGATCCCATTACCCAGGCTACCTCCTCTAGTAGTCCCCAGTGTTTATTGCCCCTCTCTTTGTGTCTGTGTGTACTCATTGTTTAGCTCCCACTTATAAGTGAGAACACGTGGTATCCGGTTTTCTCTTCCTGCATTATTTCACTTAGGATAATGGCCTCCAGCTGCATCCATATTGCTGCAAAAGACTCGATTTCACTCATTTTTATGGCTGTGTAGTGTTCCATGGTGTATATGTACCACATATTCTCTATCCAATTCACCATCGATGGGAATCTAGGTTGATTCCATGTCTTTGCTATTGTGAATGGTACTGCAGTGAACAAAGACATATATGAAAGTGCATGTTTTTGGTATAATGATTTCTTTTTTGGGGGGTATATACCCAGTAATGGGATTGCTGGGCCAAGTGGTAGTCATGTTTTAAGTTCTTTGAGAAATCTCCAAACTGCTTTTCACAGTGGCTGAACTAACATACATTTACACCAACGGTGTACAAGCATTCCCTTTTCTCTGCAGTCTCACCAGCATCTGTTTTTTGTTTTGTTTTGCTTTTTAATAATAGCCATTCTGACTGGTCTAAGATGGTATATCATTGTGGTTTTGATTTGTATTTCTCTAATGATTAGTGATGTTGAGCATTTTTTCATATATTTGTTGCTTGCATGTATGACATCTTTTGAGAAGTGTCTGTTCATGTCCTTTGCCCATTTTTAAATGGAGTTATTTGTCTTTTGCTTGTTGAATTAAGTTATTTGTAGATTCTGGATACTATACTTTTGTTAGATGCATAGTCTGTTAATATTTTCTCCCATTTTGTAGGTTGTTTGTTTACTGTGTTGATAGTTTCTTTTGCTGTGCAGAAGCTCTTTAGTTTAATGAGGTCCCACTTGTCAATTTTTGTTTTTGTTGCCATTGCGTTTGGGGATTTAGTCATAAATTATTTCCCAAGGCTAATGTCCAGGATGGTGGTTCCTAGGTTTTCTTCTAGGATTCTTATAGTTTGATGTGCTACATTTAAGTCTTTAATCCATCTTGAGTTAATTTTCATATATGGTGAGAGGTAGGGATTGAGTTTCATTTTTCTTCATATGGCTAGTCAGTTATCACAGCACCATTTATTGAATAGAGAGTCATTTTCCCATTACTTGTTATTGCTGAGTTTGTCGAAGATCAGATGGCTGTAGGTGAAAGGCTTTATTTCTGGGTTCTTTACCCTGTTCCATTAATCTATGTGTCTGTTTTTGTACCAGTACCATGCTGTTTTGGTTGCTGTATCCTTGTAGTGTAGTTTGAAGTCAGGTAACGTGAGGCCTCCAGCTTTGTTCTTTTGGCTTAGGATTGCTTTGGCTATTTGGGCTCTTTTTTGGTTCCATATGAATGTATAAATAGTCTTTTTCTAATTCTGTGAAAAATGACATTGATAGTTTGATAGGAATAGTTTTGAATCTGTAGATTGTTTTGGGCAGTATGGCCATTTTAACGATATTGATTCTTCTCATCTGTAAGCCTGGAATGTTTTTCCATTTGTTTCTATCATCTATGATTTACTTCTGCAATGTTTTGTAGTTCTTCTTGTAGAGATATTTCACCTCCTTGGTTAGGTATATTCCTACATATTTTTTGGTGACTATTGATAATGAGATTGCTTTCTTGATTTGGCTCTCAGCTTGAACCTTACCAGTATATAGAAGTGGCAATCATTTTTGTACCATGATTTTGTAACCTGAAACTTTACTGAACTCGTTTGTCAGCTCTAGGAGCCTTTTGGTGGAGTCAATAGGGTTTTCTAAGTAAAGAATCATAGCATCAGTGAAGGGAGATAATTTGACTTCTTTTACAATTTGGATGCCTTTTATTTGTTTGTGCTGCCTGATTGCTCTGCCTAGGACTTCAGTACTATGTCGAAAAGGAGTGGTGAGAATGGGCATTTTTATCTTGCTCTGGTTCTTAAGTAGAATACTTTCAGCTTTTGCCCTTGCGGTATGAACTTGGATGGGGGTTAAAGAACCAACTTTTGGTTTCATTGATTGTCTCGATTGTTTTTATATTTTCTATATTGCTTATCTCCACTCTAATCTTTCATAATTTCCTTTCTTTTGCTAGCTTTGGGTTTAGTTTGCTCTTCCTTTTCTAGTTTCAGAAGGTATAAATATAGGTCATTTATTTGAGCTCTTTCTCATCTTTTAATGTAAGCATCGACTACTATAAATTTTCCTCGTTACAATTTCCTTCACTACATCCCATAATTTTTAGTATGTTGTATTTTTATTTTCATTCTTCTCTTAAGTATTTTCTAATTAGTTTTGTAATTTCTTCTTTGACCTATTGGTTGTTTAAGGGCTACATTATTTAATTTGTACATATTTGTGAAATTTCCAGCTTTCTTCTTTTTATTGATTTGTAGTTTAATTCCATTGTGATTGGAGATTACATTTTGTATGACTTCAGTTTTTGATATTTTTTCAGACTTATTTTGTGGCCGTACATATGTTGTGTCTTAGAGAATGTTACATATGCACTTGGGAGGAATGTGTATTTTACTGTTGTGTATTCTATATATGTCTAGAAATAGGCTTATGATGTTGTTCAAGACTTCTGTTTCCTTATTGGTCTTCTGTGTAGATGTTCAATCCATTATTGAAAATTGATTTTCGAAGTATCCAACAATCATTATAGAACTGTCTATTTCTTTTTTAAATTCTGTCAAGATTTGCTTCCTATATTTAGAGGCTCAGTTACTTGGTGTGTATATGTTTATAATTGTTATATGTTGACGAATTTACACTTTTCAATAAATAATATTGTTGTCTTTTGTAACAGGGGTGACTTAAAGCCTAATTTGTTGGATATTATTATAATCAGCCACCCCAGCTCTCTTTTGGTCATTATTTTCCTGGGATATCTTTTTTTCTTTCTTGAAATTTCAGCCCATTTGCATCTTTGAATCTAAGGTGAACCTCTTGTTGAAAGAATCCCTTCAGAATGCTAATTTCATTTCCTTTGGGAATATACCTAGTAGTGGGATTGCCAGATCTTATGGTAATAACACTTTTAGTTTTTTGAGGAACCGCCATACTGTTTTCCAAAATGGCTGTACTAATTTGCAGTACCACCAACAGTATATAAGGGCTCCCTTTTCTCCACATCCTCGCTAACATTCATCTTTTAGCTTTTTGATAACAGCCAGTCTAACAGGTGTGGGGTGTTATTGTGGTTTTGATTTGCATTTCTCTGGTGATTAAAGATGTTGGACATTTTTTTGTGTATCTGTTGACCATTTGTATGTCTTCTTTTGCTAAATGTCTATTCAAGTCTTTAGAACATACATTCCTCACATGTTTGTGGTGATGCTGGTTTAAACCAATTGCAGTGCTAGTCATATAAAAGTATAGTACATACAATTATTTATAGTATGTAATATAATAAGTCACTATGTTACTGGTTTATGTGTTTACCATACTACACTCTTACCATTATTTTGTTATCACTACTTCATAAGTAGAAGGAGTGTATTCCTTCTTCTCATAACACAAAAAAGTTAACTGTAAAATAGCCTCAGTCAGGTACTTCAGAAGGTATTTGAGAGGAAAGTATTGTTATCATAGGAGGTGACAGCTCCATGCATGTTATTGCCCCCAAAGACCTTCCAGTGGGACAAGATGTGGAGGTAGAAGACAGTGATATTGATGATTCTGACCCTGTGTACGCCTAGACTAATACGTGTGCTTGTGTCTTAGTTTTTAACAAAAAGTTTTAAAAGTTAAACAATAAATACAGTATTTTAACAATAGAAAAAAGGTTATAGAATAAGGATATAAAGTTTTATATATATATATATATGTATATATATATATATATATATTTTTTTTTTTTTGAGATGAAGTCTTGCTCTCCAGTAGCCCAGGCTGGAGTGCAGTGGTGCAATCTCGGTTCACTGCAACCTCTGCCTCCCAAGTTCAAGCGATTCTCCTGCCTCAGCCTCCCAAGTAGCTGGGATCACAGGCACCTGCCATCACGCCTGGGTAATTTTTGTATTTTTAGTAGAGATGGGATTTTACCATGTTGGCCAGGCTGGTCTCAAACTCCTGACCTCAAGTGATCTGCCTGCCTCTGCCTCCCAAAGTGCTGGGATTACAGGTGTGAGCCACTGTGCGCTGCCAATAAAATATTTTTGTACAGCTGTACAATATATCTGTGTTTTCAGCTAAGTGTTATTACAAAAGTATCAGAAAGCTAAAACAATTCTAAAAAGTTTATAAAGACAGTCAAAGTAAGCTAAGGTTAATTTATTATTGAAGGAAGAAATTTTTTATGAATTTAATGTAGCCTAAGTGTACAGGGTTTACAGAGTCTATAGTAATATGCAGCAATATCCTAGTTCTTCATGTTCACATACTACCCACTCAACTGGTTCAACCAGAACAACTTCAAGCCTTGCAATGTCCATTCATGGTAAGTGCCCTATACAGGTGTACCATTTTTAATCTTTTATATCATTTTTAAAATCTTTTATATCATATTTTATATTTCATATCATATTTTACTGTACCTTTTCTATATTTAGATATTTCTAGATACATACTTACCATTGTGTTACAGTTGCCTACAATATTTAGTACAGTAACATGCTGTACAGATTTATAGCCTAGAAGCAATAGATTATACTATGTAGCGTAGGAATATAGTAGACTATACCATTTAGGTTTGTGCAGGTACACTCTATGATGTTTGCACAATGATGAAATTGCCTAACAATGCATTTCTCAGAACATATCCCCATTATTAAGTGATGCATGACTGTAATTGTTTCCTTTGCTTTGTAGATTTTTAGTTTGATGCAATACCATTTGTTTATTTTTCCTTTTATTGCTTGTGCTTTTGGGGTCATATACAAGAAATTGCTGCCCAGAACAATGTCATGGAGCTTTCCCCCTATGTTTTATTCTAGTAATTTTATAGTTTCAGATCTTACATTTAATCCATTTGGGGTTGATTTTTCTATAAGGGATGAGATAAGAGTTCATTTTCTTTCTTCTTTATGTGGATATCCAGTTTTCTCAACGTCATTTATTAAAGAGACTGTCCTTTCTCCAATTTGTGTTTTTGGTGCCTTTGTCAAAAATCAACTGACTGTAGATGTATGGGTTTATTTCTGGGCTCTCTATCTTATTCCATTGGTTGATATGTCTGTTTTTATTCCAGTACCATGTTGTTTTGATTACTGTAGCTTTGTTATATATATTGACATCTGGTAGTGTGACACCTCCTGCTTTGCTCCTTTTGGTCAAGATCGTTTTGACTATTTGGGGTCTTTTGTGGTTTTATATTAATTTTATTATTGTTTTTTGTATTTCTGTGAAGAATAGCATTTTAATTTTGATAGGGATGGCATTGAATCTGTGGATCGCTTTGAGTCTTTGTATACATGTTTATGGTATATTTAGTTTTTTAGGCCTTTAAGAACTTATTTTAGCAATGTTTTATACATTTCAGTGTACCTGTTTTATTATTTCTTGTAGTAGTAGTAGTATTAGTAGTAGTATTCGTAGCTTTTTGTAGATTTTTCAAGATTTTTAATATGCACAATTATGGTGTCTTTGAAAAGAGACAGTCTTACTTCTCCCTTTCTTCCCTATATGCTTGTTATTTGTTTTCCGTGCCTTGTTAAACTAGCTAGGACCTCCAATATAATATTCAAAAGAAGCAGTGAGAGCAAAGCAGTGAGATCAGACATCCTCAACTTGCTTCTATTATTAGTGGGAAGGCATTCAGTCTGTTACCATTAAATGTGATATTATCTCAGTGGTTCTCAATGAGTGGGGGATCTTCACCCACCAGAGGACAGTTGGCAATGTCTGGAGACATTCTTTGTTGTCACAACTGGGGGCTGTTATTGGTTTTTTAATGAGTAGAAGCTCACCAGAGCCCCTCTTCCAGGCCTAGAGCCCCTTCATGTTTTACTAACTCTGGCACCAAAACTCAATTGATCGCAAAAACTGATGGGAACGTATATGAAACTACTTATAGTCTTGATCCAACCTTAGGATATTCATAAGTTTTACTGCTAAATATTAATTTGTTCAATTACAAAATGTTATGTAACTTGTACAGTATATAAACCTCTCTAAATTCTGATTTTCAAACAGTATATAGACATAAGGATTTCAGGATTTCATTTAAGGGTCTATAGAGATGCTGCCAAACATCCTACAATTCACAGGACACCCACTCACCCAGACTCTGCAACAAGAAATCATCTAGCCCAAAACGTCCATAGTGTTGCTGTGGAGAAACTATGTACTACCTGTAGGTTTTAAGGGATATCCTTTACCAGATTGAAGAAGCTATCTCTTAGTCTGCTAAGAGTTTTCATCAGAAATGGCTATGAAATTTATGTCAGATGGTTTTTCTTCTAATTGTATACGCCTTTATACTCATGTATTCTATGAATATAAAAAATACCTTGATTTATTTATTTTAAATTTTTAATTAAAAAAGTTTTTGATTTTAATTTTTATGGGTACATAGTAGGTATATTTATGGGATATGTGAGATGTTTTGATACAGACACACAATGCGTAATAATGACATCATGTAAAATGGGGTATCCGTCCCCTCAAGCATTTATTCTTTGTGTTACAAACAATCCAGTTATACTCTCTTAGTTATTTTATATGTACAATTAAATTATTATTGACTATAGTCATCCTGTTGTGGTATCAAATACTAGGCATTTTCTAACTGTTCTTTTTTTTTTTTTTTTTTTTTTTTACCTATTAACCATCCCCACCTCCTCCCTACCACAACCTCACTACCCTTCCCAGCCTCTGGTAACCATCCTTCTACTCTCTATCTCCATGAGTTCAATTGTTTTGATTTTTAGGTCCCCAAAATAAGTGAGAACATGCAGTTTGTCTTTCTGTGCCTGACTTATTTCACTTAACATAATGACTTCTAGTTCCATCCACCTTGTTGCAAATGACAAGATCTCATTCCTTTTATGGCTGAATAGTACTCCATTGTGTATATATACCACATTTTCTTTATCTATTCATCTGTTGATGGACACATGGTTGCTTCCAAATCTTGGCTCTTGTGAATAGCGCTACAACCAACATGGGAGTGAAGATATCTCTTTGATCTACTTATTTCCTTTATTTTGTATATTGCATTAGTTGGGGTTCTCTTAGAGGGACAGAACGAATAGGACAGGAAGCATACAGCATGGGAGAAAGATGTAGGCTGGGAGGCTAGGCCCATCTCTCATTTTCATGTTTTTCTGCCTGCTTTATATTCGCTGGCAGCTAATTAGATTGTGCCCACCAGATTAAGGGTGGATCTGCCTTCCCCAGCCCACTGACTCAAATGTTAATCTCTTTTGGTGACACCCTCAGAGACACGCCTAGGAGCAATGCTTTGTATCCTTCAGTCGAATCAAGTTGACAACTCAGTTTTAACCATCACAAGTCCACCCCTTGTCAACTTGAACCCATACACATCTCCTGGGATCATACATAATCTTCAAATAAAGACAATAATAAGGTCATAATTACGCCTAACATAATACAGCTATCCTTCATACAACCAGAAACACAACAATCCCCAACCCAAATACTATTACATAAAGTTAACATACTTAAATGCTGATATGAAGTCAATAAATCGTACATCACATGATAAAGGAGAAAGGAAATAAAATGAAGATATTAGTACAAGTGTGTACATGCACAAACATGTTTTTAACAAAAGAAAGAGGAAAGGCCGGGCGCGGTGGCTCATGCCTGTAATCCCAGCACTTTGGGAGGCCGAGGTGGGTGGATCACCTGAGGTCGGGAGTTCGAGACCAGCCTGGCCAACGTGGAGAAAAACCCTGTCTCTACTAAAAATATAAAAATGAGCCGGGTGTGGTGGTGCATGCCTGTAACCCCAGCTATTTGGAAAGCTGAGGCAGGAGAATGGCTTGAACCTGGGAGGCAGAGGTTGCAGTGAGCTGAGATCGCGCCACTGCACTCCAGCCTGGGCAACAGAGAGAGACTTTGTCTCAAAAAAAAAAAAAAAAAAAAGAAGAAGGAGAAATACTCATGACAATTAGTCCCCATTTCTGTAGCTGGTCACATGGTTGTAGCTAATATTGATGATTACCTTGTTCTACTACCTATTCTGTATTCCCTTTGCCTTCAGCAAGCAGCTTAGCAGGTCGTGGTTTTTTTTCCTGGTGGAGTGACCCAAACCTTCCTTCCTGAAGGGTCTGGGCCATTTGTAGTCCTATCTGGATTGCATTGTTGTAGTTTCCCATTGACCTTAATCACAGAGATGGTAATACCCTAATGGATCTCCTGTATTCCATGCATACTCTTTCTTACCTCCGTTATGGAGTAGTACACTGAATTCATCTTGATAGTATGGGTCAGTCACCCCAGCCAACACTGTAACTCCCTTCTTAGCTTGTTGACTTAAAGGTAGGAGGGGCCCAAAGTGTCCAGGTGGCAATCTTGACTTACGGTTTAATGGAATTGTTGTTGTGTCTCCTGGTGGCAGCTTTCCTCCCTCTGGAACTAAGACCTCTAGGCCAGTAGAACGTAATGTTGTGGGAACAGGAAGCAAAAATTTTGCTAGTGGATCACTAGGGGTGATGGTGAGTGCTGCCACTTCCACTTCCACCCCTTGATTCCTGGACCTGTGAATCCTGGCTATGGAGAAAGAGTACCATATATTGGATGCTGATTCAGATCACACACAGCCTTCTGGAGAACTTTGCCTCAGCTCTGCAATGTATTGTCACCTAGTTGGCATTGTATTTGTGACTTCAAAAGGCCATTCCACCGTTCTATCAATCCAGCTGCTTCAGGATGATGGGGAACATGGAAAGACCAGTGAATTCCATGACCATGAGCCCACTGCCACACTGCTTTAGCCAAAAAGTTAGTGCCTTGGTCAGGGGCAATGCTGTGTGGAATACCATGATGGTGGATAAGGCATTTCGTGAGTCCAAGGATCGTAGTCTTGGCAGAAGCATTGCGTGCAGGATAGGAAAACCCATATCTGGAGTAAGTGTCTGTTTCCAGTGAGGACAAACCTCTGCCTTTTCCATATGGAAGAGGTCCAATATAATCAACCTGCCACCAGGTAGCTGGCTGGTCACCCCGAGGAATGGTGCCATATCGAGTGCTCATTTTTGGTCTCTGCTGCTGGCAAATTGGGCACTCAGCAGAGGCTGTAGCCAGGTCAGCATTGATGAGTGCAAGCCCATGTTGCTGAGCCCATGCATAACCTCCACCCCTGCCACCATGGCCAGGGCCCATTGGTGATGACAGGGGTGGCTGGGGAAAGAGACTGAGTGGTGTCCACAGAATGGGTCATTCTATCCATTTGATTATTAAAATCCTCCTCTGTTGAGGTCACCTGTTGGTGAGCAATCACATGGGATACAAATATCCTCACAGTTTTTGACCACTCAGAGAGGTCCATCCACATACCTCTTTCCCAAATTTCTTTGTCACCAATTTCCCAGTCATGCTTTTTCCAAGTCCCTGACCATCCAGCCAAAGCATTGGCTACAGCCCGTGAATCAGTATACAATCGCACATCTGGCCATTTCTCCTTCCATGCAAAGTGCACATCCAGATGCACTGCTCAAAGTTCTGCCCACTTGGAAGATTTCCCTTCACTGGTGTCCTTCAGGGATGTCCTAGAAAGGGACCGTAGTGTTGCAGCTGTCCACTTTCGGGTGGTGCCTGCATATCGTGCAGAACGATCTGTGAGCCAGGCCCTGGTCTTCTCTTCCTCTGTCAACTGATCATAGGAAACTCCCCATGACACCATCATTGCATGCTGGGGAAGAGAAGACAGGGTGGCAGGAGTGAAGACCATGGTCATTTGACCCACTTCCTCACGTAACTTACTTGTACCTTCAGGACCTGCTCGAGCCCAATCACGTATATACCACTTCCATTTGATGATGGATTGCTGCTGTGCATGACCACTTTATGGCTAGATGGGTCAGAAAAGCACCCAGTTTATGACAGGCAGTTTAAGTTGCACAGTGGCTTGATGACCCATAGTCAAATGTTCAGTTTCCGCCAAAGCCCAGTAACAGGCCAAGAGCTGTCTCTCAAAAGGAGAGTAGTTTTTTGCAGAGGATGGCAGGGTCTTGGTCCAAAATCCTAGAGGCCTCTGCCGTTACTCACCTATGGGGGCCTGCCAAAGGGTCCAAACAGCATCCCTATCTGCCACTGATAGCTCAAGCACAATTGGATCTGCTGGATCATATGGCCCAAGTGGTAGAGCAGCTTGCAGGGCAGCCTGGACCTGTTGCAGAGCCTTCTCGTGTTCCGGACCCCACTCAAAACTGGCAGCCTTTCGGGTCACTCGATAAATGGGCCTGAGTAACTCACCCAAATGAGGAATGTGTTGGCTCCAAAATCCAAATAGGCCCACTAGGCGTTGTGCCTCTTTCTTGATTGTAGGAGGGGCCAAATGCAGCAACTTATCCTTCACCTTGGAAGGAATATCTTGACAGGTCCCACACTACTGGACCCCTAGAAATTTTACTGAGGTAGAAGTTCCTGGAATTTTAGTCGGATTTATTTCCTATCCTCTGGCATGCAAATGTCTCACCAATAAGTCCAATGTGTTTGCTGTTTCTTGCTCACTGATCCAATCAGCATAATGTCATCAACATAATGGACCAATGCAATATCTTGCAGAAGTGAAAAGCAATCAAGGTCTCTCTGAATAAGATTATGACACAAAGCCAGAGAGTTGATATACCCCTGAGGTAGGACAGTAAAGCTATATTGCTGGCTTTGCCAGCTGAAGGCAAATTGCTTCGGGTGGGCCTCATGCACAGGAATGGAGAAAAAGGCATTTGCCAAGTCAATGGCTGCATACTAGGTACCAGGAGATGTGTTAATTTGCTCAAGCAATGAAACACACCTGGTACAGCAGATGCAATTGGAGTAACCACTTGGTTAAGCTTACCATAATCCACTGTCATTCTCCAAGATCCGTCTGTCTTCTGCACAGGCCAAATGGGAGACTTGAAAGGGGATGTGGTAGGAATCACCACCCCTGCATATTTCAAGTCCTTGATCTTGGCACTAATCTCTGCAATCTCTCCACGGATACGATATTGTTGTTGACTTACTATTTTTCTAGGTAGAGGCTGCTCTAATGGCTTCCATTTGGCCTTTTCCACCATAGTAGCCCTCACCTTACCAGTCAGGGATCCAACGTGGGGGTTCTGCCAGCTGCCAAGTATGTCTATGCCAATTATGCATTCCAGAACTGGGGAAATGACCACAGGATGAGTCTGGGGACCCTCTGGAACCACAGTAAGTTGGACCTGAGCTAAAACTCCATTAATTACCTGACTTTCATAAGCCCCTACTTTAACTGGAGGACCACAATGACATTTTGGGTCCCCTGGAATCAACATCAGCTCAGAGCCAGTGTCCAGTAGTCCCCGAAATATCTGACCATTTCCCTCTCCCCAATGCATAGTTACCATGGTAAAAGGTCAGAGGTCTCCTTGGGGAAGGATGGGAAAAAGATTCACTGCATAAATTGTTGGTAATGTAGTGGGGTGCTTCCTCAAGGGGACCCAGCCTCCCCTTCATTCAAGGGGTTCTGAGTCTGTAAACTGGCTCAAGTCTGGAAATTGATGGAGGGGTTGCGATTCTCTGTTTTTATAATTCAAATTAGGCTTTTGTCTATTCAACCTAGAAGTTTTCTCTGTATAATTTAAGTAGGAATGAAGTAGGCTTCCTATCAGTTTCGCTTCTAGGAACACTGTGATTGATTAGCCAATGCCAGAACTCTACATGAGTCAGACTATGCTGATTGCTGCTTCGCTTTTGCTGTCCATTACGGTAGGTACACCCACCTTGCCTTTGGCGGTTGAGTACCACCACTTGGCCGCTGCCACCTCAGGATCCAATTATTCCCATCGAATTTAAATTTTGTAGTTGAGTGACTGCAGTTCCCACCATTAGATCTGACATACAGAGATGAGCAATTACAGGGCTCTTTGAAGATGCATGTTCTGCCCTCACAAATCTATTTCACAAGGCATTGGTCAAGGGTATATCTTCTGGACCCTCCCAGCTGGGATGAGTAGGTCTAAAATGACTAATCCACTCCACCATCCCAATCTCCCTAAGCCTTTAGATCCCTTCCTCTACATAAAACCAAGGGAGATCAGGCATTTCCATCTTGCTCACAGTGGGCCATCTTTTAATCCATATTTCAGCTAACCAAGCATATAAACTGTTAGAACCATTTTTAACTCCCCGAGCTGAAACACTGAATGCAGAGTCCCTAAGCAGTGGGCCCAAATCAACAAATTCAGCCTGATCCAACTCTGTGTTCCTTCCACCATTATCCCATACCCTTAATATCCATTCTCATGCCTGTTCTCCAGATTGCTGTTCTTATATAAATCACAGAACTAAAACAGTTCTTTTCTAGTGTAGTGCACCTCCTCATGGGTCACACTCTCAAACTCACCTCTAGTGGCCGCTGGGACTTTAATCTAATTATAGGTCTAGAAGCAAATGGAGGTGTTGGGGGTAGCTTCTGAAGAGAATCAACATTATCTTGCCTGGCAATTGCCTCAGGGGAGGCCATCACTGTTGCTTCAGGCAGTGTTTATCTCCTTAGACAAAGGTGGAAAGGCTGATGGCAGCATGGGTCAGGGAGGGGATGTTGCCACTACTGGGGATGGGGAAGCTATTCCTTCTGGCAAAAAAGGTTCATCAGAGTTTACAAACTCAGTGTCCCCAGCTTTATCAGGGTCTCCCCACACATCCCCATTCCAAGTTGCAGGGTCCCATTATTTTCCAATCAATGCCCTCACTTTAACAGTAGCCACCTGGAGAGGCTGTGCATGCATCTTTCATTGCAGGCCAGTCACTCACATAAGAGCTTGTGTATGTTTTTCCACAATTTTAGCTCTTTCTCTACAAGGGCGAAGACTCTCACTCAGGACAATCTTAGCAGATTTGAGGCTCAGTATCTCCTTCTGAAGCCAGGAGGCAGAATCCCTGAGTTCCTTATTTTCTTTCATCACTTTGTCCTCTGAACTTAGGAGCAACCAACTGGCTTCATTATGTTCCTTGGTTCTCCACATAAGGTCAAATGTATTATGCATAGAGTCACTAAATTCTTTGCCACTCATGAGTGGTGAATCAAGAGTGTCAAATGCATTTATTTTGCATAATTCTCTAAATAGTTCATGCCAAAGACTATCATTGTTCTCCATACTATTTGAAGTAGAGTCCTTAGCATTTTGGGGTCTAATCATATTAAGCAGCCAACTCCAGAAACCTCCAAAAGAACTCCATCCTTAATATTCTGTTCCTCTAGAACCACTCCTCGTACCAGAATCTGTATTAGTCAGGATTCTCTTAAAGGGACAGAACTAATAGGATATGTGTGTGTGTGTGTGTGTATGTGTGTGTGTGTGTGTGTGTGTGTATGTAAAGGGGAGTTTATTACGTATTAACGTACATGATCACAAGGTCCCACAATATGCTGTCTGCAACCTGAGGAGCGAGGAGAACCAGTCTGAATCCCAAAACTGAAGAATTTGGAGTCTGATTTTCAAGGGCAGGAAGCATCCAGGATAGGAGAAAGGTGTAGACTGGGAAGCTAGGCCAATCTCTCCTTTTCAGGTTTTTCTGCCTGCTTTATATTCGCTGGCAGCTGATTAGATTGTGCCCACCAGATTAAGGGTGGATCTACCACTGACTCAAATGTTAATCTCTTTTGGCAATACCCTCACAGACACACCCAGGATCAATGCTTTGTATCCTTCAATCCAATCAAGTTGACACTCAGTATTAACCATCAAAGATGTCTACCTAGGAGTGGAATTGCTAGATTATATGGTTGCTCTATCTTGTTTTTTGAGGATCCTCCAAACTGTTTTCCATAGTGGTTGTACTAATTTACATTCCCACTGACAATGTACAAGTGTTCCCTTTTCTCCACATCCTTTCCAGAATTTGTTATTGCCTGTCTTCTTGATAAAAGCCATTAACTGGGGTAAGGTGATATATTATTGTAGGTTTCATTTGCATTTCTCTGATGAACAATGTTTAGCACTTTTTCATATATCTGTTTGCCATTTGTATGTCTTCTTTTGGGAAATGTCTATTTAGATCTTTTGCCTATTTTTTATTCAGATTATTAGACTTTATCTTGTTCAGCTGTTTGAGCTCCTTATATATTCTGGTTATTAATCTCTTGTCAGATGGGTAATTTGCAGTTATTTCTTTCAGTCTTTGGGTTTTCTATTCACTTTGCTGATAGTTTTTTTGTTTTTTGCTGTGCAGAAGCTTTTTAATTTCAATATGTCAATTGCATTTTCAACTCTAGAATTTCTGCTTGATTCTTTTAAATTATTTCAATCTCTATGTTAAATTTATCTGATAGAATTATGAATTCCTTCTCTGTGTTTGAATTTTTTGAGATTCCTCATCACATCTATTTTGAATTCTCTGTCTGAATGGTCACATATCTCCATTTTTCTGGGATTGGTCTCTGGTGCTTTATTTAGTTTGGTGATGTTTTCCTGGATAGTCATGGTGCTTGTAGATGTTCATCTGTGTCTGGGCATTGAATAGTTAGGTAGTTATTGTTCACAGTTTGGGCTTGTTTGTACCTGTACTTCTTGGGAAGGCTTTCCAGGTATTCAAAAGCACCTGGCTGTTGTGATTTAAGCCGTATCTGCATTAGGGAACATCCCAAGCCCAATAGTGCTGTGGTTCTTGCAGACTCGCAGAGGTACCACCTTGGCGGTGTTGCATAAGATCCAGAAGAATTCTCTGGATTACCAGGCAGAGATTCTTGTTCTCTTCCCTTATTTGCTCACAAACAAAGGGAATCTCTCTGTGGTGAGCCACCTGGGGCTGGAGATGTGTTGACACAAGCACCCCTGTGGCCACCACCCCTGGGATTGTGCTGGGTCAGACCTGAAGCTAGGACAGCACTGTGTCTCATCCAAGGCTCAATGCAACGACTTCTTGGCTACCACCTATGTTTGTGCAAGGCCCTAGGGCTCTATAGTTAGCAGGTGGCGAATCCAGGCTTGTGTCCTTCCCTTCAGGGCAGCGGGTTCCCCCAGGCCCCAAGCAAGTCCAGAGATACTGTCAGGGAGCTAGGGACTGGAATTAAAAATCTTTGCACTCTACCTGGTGTGTTCTATTTTACTCTAGCAGATTTGACCCTCAATCCATGAGGCATAGTCTTTCCCACTCTTCTCTGCCCTTATCACAGGCAGAGGAGCCTCACCTCATGGTCACCACCACCACAGGCCCACGGGGACTACTGCCAGGCTACCATCTATGTTCACTTAAGGCCCAAGAGCTCTTCATTCAACTTGTGGTGAATGCTGCCAGGCCTGGGCCTCATGTTTCAGGGCAGTGGGCTCCCCATTGTCCCAGGGCAGGTCCCAAAATGCTGTGCAAAAGCCAAGGCCTGGAATTGAGGACCCCAAGAGCCCTCTTGTTGTTGTACCCCACTGTGGCAGAGTTGGTACCTAAAGTGCAAGCCGAAGTCCCCTTTACTTTTCCCTCTCCTTTTCTTAAGCAGAAGGAGACTTTCCCAATAGCCACCACAGCTGGGAATATATTGAGTCTTACCTGAAGCTAGTGTATCTCAGTCTTACCCAAGGCCCATGGTGTACTACCTGGGTAGCTGGGTATTGCTACTGGTTATTTAGGGCTACTGGTTATTTAGTCTGCAGGTGATGGATCCTGCCAGGACTTGGCCCTTCTCTTCAAAACAGCCAGTTCCTTTCTGGCCTGGGGTGTGTCTGGAAATGTCACCTGGGGATTAGGACATGTAATGGAGTCCTCATGACTCTGACTGGAGCCCTATCCTACTGTGTCTGAGCTAGTACCCCAGACACAGGCAAAACTCCTCTTTACTCTTCCCTCTCGTCTCCTCAAGTGGAAGGAAGGGATCTGTGGTGGACGAGTGATCTTTGCAGCCTGGGGTTGAGGGAGCGGTGACACAAGCATTCCCTTAGCTGCACCAACTGGTGTCTCAGTAAGTCGTGTGCCTCCCCACCCCCAAATCCACTGTCTCCAAGCCCAGCTCAGCACTGGGACTTGCAGACTTTGTGGCCTAGATTTTCTTTCAAGTTTATTTAATGTCCCAGAGCAATTTAGCCTGCAGTGGTGAGCCTTGCTGGAACTCAAGTTCTAGTCACAGGGATGGGTGATTTCCTCTGACTAGGGCTGGTTTGAATGCTCCCACTGTAGGCGGGTGTCAGCTGTGTTCAGCCTTGTTTTGCTTTCTGCTGTGACAGGGCAGCATTGAATTCAATGCAACATCTCACTATCACTGCAGCCTCCTTCTCCTAAGCACATGTATTCTCTCTCAGTCCACATGGCTGCTGCCAATGGGTGGGGAAGGGGTGGTGTCAGTGATTCAAGACTCTTTTCTACCCTCTCCAGTGCCTCCTTCAGTGATATGAAGTTAAAATCAGGTACTGTGAGTGCTCACCTAATTTTTAGGTTTTTTTTATGAAGATGGTTTTTTGTGTAGATAATTGTTAAATTTGGTGTTCAGGGCGGGGATGATCAATGCGGCCTTTTATTCTACTATCTTGCTCCACCCCCAATTGATTAAGTTTCAATTTATTTATTTATTCAAATAGATTTTTGCGGAACAGGTGGTGTTTGGTTATATGAATAAGTTCTTTAGTGGTAATTTCTGAGATTTTGGTGCACCCATCACCCGAGCAGTGTACACTGTACTCAATGTGCAGTCTTTTATCCCTTACACCCCTCCCACCCTTTCCCATGAGTCCCCAAAGTCCATTGTATCATTCTTATGCCTTTGCGTCCTCATAGCTTAGCTCCCACTTATGAGTGAGAGCATACAATGTTTGATTTTCCATTCCTGAGTTACTTCACTTAGAATAATGGTCTCCAACTCCATCCAGGTTGCTGCCAAAGCCATTATTTCATTCCTTTTTATGACTGAGTAGTATTCCATGCTATTTATATACCATATTTTCTTTATCCACCCATTGATTCATTGATTGATGGGTATTTGGGCTGGTTTCCATATTTTTGCAATTGTGAATTGTGCTGCTGTAAACACAAGTGTGCAAGGTTTTGTTTTGTTTTTTCTGTTTGTTTTTGCTTGTTTGTTTGTTTGTTTTTTGTATAATGACTTCTTTTCCTCTGGGTAGATAACCAGTAGTGGGATTGCTGGAAAGAATGGTAGATCTACTTTTAGTTCTTTAAGAAATCTCCACAGTGTTTTCCATAGTGGTTGTACCAGTTTACATTCCCCCCAGTAGTGTAGAAGTGTTCCCTTTTCAGCTGGGTGTGGTGGCTCACGCCTGTAATCCCAGCACTTTGGGAGGCTGAGGCAGGTGATCACCGGAGGTCAGGAGTTGGAGACCAGCCTGACCAACATGGAGAAACCCCATCTCTACTAAAAATACAAAATTAGCTGGGCGTGGTGGTGCATGCCTGTAATCCCAACTACTCAGGAGGCTGAGGCAAGAGAATCACTTGAACCCGGGAGATGGAGGTTGCGGTGAGCCGAGATTGTGCCGTTCCACTTCAACCTGGGCAATAAAAGCGAAACTCTGTCTCAAAAAAAAAAAAAAAAAGAAGAAAAGAAGAAGTGTTCCCTTTTCAGCACATTCACACCAACATCTATTATTTTTTTATTTTTTTTTAATTATGGCCATTCTTGGGGAGTGAGATGGTATCACATGGTGGTTTTGATTTACATTTCCCTGATCATTAGTGATGTTTATCATTTTTTCATATGTTTGTTGGCCATTTGCCAACTGATATGTTTTCAAAGGCAAAATAATTAAATGAGATTGTTTATTCCACTTAAACGAATTCAAAAATAATGACTTACAAAGTAGTAATATAATTCCACCGCCCATGTGTCCAAAATGTTGATTTATTTATGCCAGAATGTTGTTTCTCTGACCAAATATTGTCTTTTGGAGCTGGAGGATCTCCAAAAGGGAAAGCTCTTATAGCTAATCAAGAAGTTTCAGTGGGGAAACTTATAATACCATGAACTAAGCATCAGCCTGATTAGCTACTGATTTTGTGACTGAAATAAAATGGTACCTTTCGTTCTTACCCTGCCCCAAGGTGTTTTTTAGACAGGGGAAATTAGGTGTAATAATTTCCTCTGAAAGGTGAGTTATGCTACTTTTGATTATTTTTCTTTTTACTTCTTTGTATTTTTTCCTCTTACATTTATTTTTGATTAGGTAACACATTCATGTGGTTCAGAATTTGAAATTTACAATAGAGTGTACAATTAAAGGTCTCACATTCTTTGTGCCCACCCCCACAGTTCTTCCCAGAGGCAACCAGTGTTTTTACTTTTATAAATATTTTATGCATACACAAGCACAGGCACTTGCAAACATGTGCACACATTCTTCCCCCCAGTTGTTTTTACACATTTTTCTGTACTATGCTTTAGAGCATTTCATATCAGTGCATAAGGAGCTATGGCTACATGGTATTATTTGTTTGTATAGAGATGACATAATTTATTTAACAAGTCCCCTATTGAGGGATGTTTAATTTGTTGCCTGTCTTTTGCTATTGCATTTCTGCAGTAAGTAATCTTGTAATACATCATTTCAGATGTGTGCTATCTGTAGGGTGAATTTCTAGAAATGGAGCTGTTGGGTTGGATAGTATGGACCCTTGTCATTTTGGTAGATATTGCCAGAATGTCCTCTATAGAAGTTGTGCCCAATTTACACTCCTACCAGCAATGTATAACTGTGTTTTCCTAACCCTCACCAACACATTGTATTATCAAACATTATATCTTTATGAATATGATATGTAAAAAATACTATGTTTTTAATATGCATTTCTGTTCTGAATAAGGTTGAGCACCTTTTCATATATTTAAGATCCTGTGATATTTATAAAAATAATTTCCTTTTTTATAATGGCTGGAATGCTGCAGGATTGATAGGCACAATGTCTTTTCTCCTTAACTTATACCTGCAGGTATATTCTTTTACACAGCAGTATGAGAGTGATTCCAAAGAGCATATTTAGGTTAAATAAATAATCCAGGAACACTTTGTGTTTTAAAATTTCGGTAGCATTTTATAATTCACTCATTATACAACTAACATATTATAGTTGACAAACAAATGAACCAACATCCCCTAGTAACTTTAAATGATTTAAATTACTCAAGAAATTTAACTCAGTGGTTTTGTTACTTCTTAATATACACCATACTTTATAATTTTTTCATATTCCAAGAAAAATAGAATTATCCTTTATTTAGGAAGTTACCAGTGTGTTAGAATTTGCACGGAGTTATCTTAAATTATGGTCTGTTTACATTTGCAATATGTATTTGAAATTTTCTTCCTTAATACCTAAGCCACATTGCAGGAAGGTGAGAAGTTCAGTGTATATTTAAATGTGTTGACTGATTCATAAATGGCCCCGGACTCTTTTGCATCACACAACAAATTTTTGTCAGATCTTTGTCTATGGCACTGTAGATCACCTCTATTATAGCAGCTATCAAAGTCTGTCATGTATTGTCATTATTTATTTATGTGTCTGCTTTTGTCACTAGATTATGAACTTCTAGAGGATACAATTTGTATTCCCCTCTAGCACTGGTCTGGAGCTTTGCATATATTTCAGACTTATAAAATGTTTGTTGAACTGAATTGAATCACATTTATATAGAGGTTCTGAGGTTGCCTTTTAAAAAACGTTTTTCCACGTATTGTTTGCTTTTTTAAATGTAAAGTCTTATTTTAATACCGCCCAAGTTTGCTTTCTGCTAATATTATTGAATTTGTATTGAGAATAATTATTCAAAATACTCCTGTAATAATATCAGTGAAGAGGCAGATTTTTATTGTGCATATTTCCTAGCTGTTCATAGTTTTAACCATCAGAGTCCTGCTTTAATTTTAGCCTCAGGCAATTCTAAATATTTAGTGAGCAAAGTGGGAATATTAGACACTTTAGTGCGGGATGTTATTTGTTTCATCTCACTAAGATTCCCAATTTATATAGGCCATTTGAAATGTGCAATTAAAGTTCTGGTCATTGCTAATATTAAGGAATTTAGAAGGTTCTATAGCAGAGTAAACAGCTTTACAAATGATAGTGGTGTTTTTTAATTTAAATTTTTATTGAGATATTTGTGGATTCATATGTAGCTCTAAGAAATAATATAGAGAGATCCCTTATACACTTTATGCATTTCTCCCCAGTGGTAACATCTTGCAGAACAGTTGCCTACTATCATAACCAGGATACTAATAGTAATATAATCTGCCACTCTATATTCAGATTTCACCAGTTTTACTTGTGTTCATGTGTATGTGTGTTCTGTACAATTTTATTACCTATATATGTTCATGTTTCCACCACCACAGTTAAAATACTAAACAGTTCCAACATCGCATATATTCAGAAGTATGCTATCTGTAGGGTGAATTTCTACAAATGGAGCTGTTGGGTTGGATGTTTGTACCTTTGTCATTTTGATAGATATTGCCAGAATGTCCTCTATCGAAGTTCTATCAGATTTACACTCCTACCAGCAATGTATAACTGTGTTTGTTTTCCTAACCCTCACCAACACATTGCGTTATCAAACATTGCCCTTTTATAACCACCCCCTGACCCCTATCATCCTAAATCATTGCAGCCACTAATCTGTTCTCCACTTCTAAATTTTGTCATTTAAAAATGTTATTTATTTAGAATAATGTAGTATAACCTTTTATGATTAGCCTTTTTTATCATTATCAAGTATTATGTACTTTGCATAATTGTATGTGCTATACTTTTTAATGAGTATTTTTATGTAAATATTTAAAAATTTATCTTATTTTAGGTTTGGGGGTACATGTGAAGGTTTGTTACACAGGTAAACACGTGTCATGGGGGTTTGTTTTACATATTATTACATCACCCATGAATTAAGCTTAGTACCCAATAGTTATCTTTTCTGCTCCTCTTCATCCTTCCACCCTCTGTTCTCAAGTAGACCCCAGTGTCTGTTGATTCCTTCTTGGTGTTCGTAAGTTCTTATAATTTAGCTCCCACTTATAAGTGAGAACATACAGTATTTGGTTTTCTGTTCCTGCATTAGTTTGCTAAGGATGATAGCTTCCAGCTCCATCTGTGTTCTCACAAAAGACATGATCTTGTTCTTTATTATGGCTGCATAATATTACATGGTATATATGTACCACATTTTCTTTATCCAGTCTGTCACGGATGGGGATTTAGGTTGATTTCATGTCTTTGCTATTGTGAACAGTGCTGCAGTGAACATTCATGTGTGCACATGTCTTTATGGTAGAATACTCATGAAAGTGTCTTGGAGCTATTTGGACAAGGAATTTTAGGATCTTGGGTACTCAAATTATGATATGGAAGGGGAAACACAGGCTTTCAGTGGTTCTTTCCCTTTTGCCCCACAGACTCTTCCTCTCTGAAACTGACAGCAGCTGAGGAATGGCTAGAGTGGGGTCTGCTACATTGGAGAGCATCTCTTGTCCATGTCAAAGTGTGACGCTTCATTTATTAATTGTTTGCTATGATTTAACTACTAAATGCTATTTTAATTTTTTTGGCTTGAAAATAAGTCTTAAGATGTCATCAAGCTTGATGCCAGCAAATATGGCAGAGTAGGGAACCCTCAAAATTTATCTTTTTTTACAATTGCACTAAATAAACTGGCAAATACTCTCAGAATCAACTTTACTGGCATTATGGAAACTAATCAAAAGTTTACAGCAACCAGACAAATGCTTAATAATAAAAAAAGTTGAATCTCAGTAGGAGAGATTTGTGGCATTTTAGCTTACCCTTGTCCCACCCCCTGCTCTCTAGCTTGGCAGTGGCTCTGAAGACAACAGTCTACATTTCACTGTACTAGTCCACTGAGTACAGGTTCTTAGTACCTGAGGGAGTAGAAGTAACCTTATTCTTAAATAAGTGTGTTTGTTGGTTTTGATCTGTGTTGTGGATCTGAGGGACCAGTTCAGAAGGCTTGCCTTTATTTTGCCTAACTCAGAACTTTTCCAAGGTTGAGGCAGCTATGGGGGTGGAGGAGAGATTTGTGAAAACATTTACAGGCAAATGTATTAGCTGCTACTTCCTAGGGGTAGGGATAAAGGTTGGTCAAACAGTAAACTAGCTAAAAAGCTTGGGAAAAAAGTCTGGGAAATGAGATGCTTTGGAGAATTAGAGCTTTGAAAAGCTTCAACATATTCCTGGTAATTTCGAAGGCCATGTGCCCCCAAGGCTATGTGGATGCTCAGAAAAGACCTGAGAACGCCCTAAGCTTTCACCTCTGGCTTATCTTCAGGGTCTCAACTAGCAGGAATTTAAGGCTAATGCAGAATAGTAAACTTCCTGGCTGAGTGTTGAAGGTGTGCACATCTGCAAAGACTGGGAATTTATTGTTGTTGTTGTTCCAGGCGTTTTAGGAAATTTCTGTTTCAAATCACTAGATGCTCACTACGATAATGAAACAGATTTCAGTGGCCACACAACAAAGAATACAGACTTTACAAAATTAGTTTAGAAAAAGTCACTAAACAAACAAACAACTACTATAATAAGCATCAATAACAAACCCTGGAGAGGGAAGAGAATCTGATTTTCAGATTTGCTGCATCATAATATTCAAAATGTCCTATCTTCATAAAAATATGAACCATGCAAATTAAAAAGAAAGTATTACACATAGGAAAGAAGAAATTACTATAATTCCCCAAAGAATCCCCTGGCTGTAGTATGGGAGAGTCATTAATCTGCTATTTAGCTAATTGAACAAGTAAAATGGACAAATCGAATATTGAGCACTACTAGAGGATCCCCATTTACTAGTAAAACATGCTTTTATAGAGATGGATAGCTGTTCCAAAAATGTCTGGCCATTTTTATTGCATTATAACCTTAAGTTAAATTTTAGTTTTCATTTTATCTTGTGATATATGATATATGGAAGCTAACTCATTTCCTATGAGCAAATGAATTGATGAGTTTTGCTCAACTGCAGAAAATCATTGAGTCTTTTATAGGATTTTTTGGTCTCTGACTTTAGATAAAATGGTATGTATGAACTCTTTCCCAAATAGTACCTGGATCTGCTATGTTTCTCTTTCTACCAAGCAGATAGCCTAATTCTCAATGCCTGGCTGTCTCACTTGTGTCTTGTGCTGGATATTTTTATTTGCTGAATATTATGTTAAGTACAGTTGACTATCATTTTCATCTTTATAAGGAAATCATTGTATAGCTATATTAAAAAATGAGTAGTTTTTATACTGTTTTAACTATAGACCCTTAGTGGTTATAAAGACTTAGCAAAGGGCCAAAGAGTTTTTAAAATGATATATTTATAAGCAAGTATAGAGAGGAATTCAATAAGTGAGTCTGGCATTGTGCATCTGTTTTAGAGATTTCATTCATTAGAAAATAGAGAACACCATGGGGAAAGACTCTCAATTTTATTAACTAAGTATGGTCCATGCATATGAAGCGACTTCAGTAGAATAAGTTCAAAGGAAAAATGAATGATGTCAAAGAGAAAAGTAATAATTTTACTTCATAAGTTGCCAACTCAGGTAGTTGTCATTTAGGAAATATACTGGGACAGCCTAAAGGTAAGTTAACTTTTTTCTTAATTAAGCCTTCTTTGAAGAAGTTAAGTTTAGTGAGTAAGATGCTTCTTTTTTATAATGGTTTTTATTTACATATCTCATGTTGGTGAATCATGTGTTAGTAGAAATCATAAGGGAATAGATATGCTGCTATTTAACTTCAGTTCTGTTTTTTCAAAAAAATAATAAATTAATGGATAATGTAGCTTCTCACTTATACAGGGGTTACAGGGACCTAATTCTTGGATCTACATAGCCATCAACTGTAGTACCATATTTCTCTTGAGGGAGCTCCCCAAATGAATGGGAGAGTTAACCAGCATTTATATGGCTTACCTTGTATCTCAAATCTAAAAAGAAAAAAAAAAAAAAACGGATGTAGCTAATGGTATCTTTTAAATGTTCTTTGACATTTAATCAATTTTCACTCTTAATGGTTCTGTATATCTTATTTTGCTCGGAAAGGGTCAAAGCCATGCCTGAAAGACCTTAAAATAAAATGTTAAATTTTGACTATGCTTTGGTAACTTTGTTTATTTTGATATTGCCTGATGCACAGAAAATGATAAAAATTTCCATAAGAAAATAGATTGCAACTATTTAAGTCTACAATACTTTTCCTTGTTTTTATAAATTAAAATTTAAATACAATTTTAAGTCTATTTTTTGACCTAAACAATTGTAATACTGAGTTCTTTGTGTATTTCTTAAGAATTTCTTTGCAGGTCCAAACAGATCTAGCATTATTGAGACTGAATAAAAGATGCTTCTTTCAGGTGGCCCCTAATTTAATTGTTTGTAATGATTATTCTAGAAAAAAGCACCACTCTGACACATGGATTTTCTTGTAGGTCAGCATTTTATAAAAAGTATCCTAACGACAAATGGATGATAGGAAGAGCAAAAGAGGAAAAAATATCCGTAAGAAAAGATGTAATACAATTAGTACAAGGGGCAGGAGGTAACAGGAATTTGGTTCTTCTTTCTATATTTTTTTACTTTGAGTTCCTCAAATATTTTATATGCAAGAAAATATTTCAAGTTTTAACACATATGTCATACCATTTTCTTAGTTTGTATTCCATCATGCCATAAGCATTTACTTTCAGAAGGACTTTTGGTTTTATAAATTAAAGGCCTGATTTTTTTTTTTTCAGTGCACTTCTAAGTTAGATAACGCAGAGGGAGGTTTATGTGGAAATGATCGTTTTTCTAAGTGAATGTTCAAACACTGAGTCACTCACAAGTTCTTAAAATCCTATATGTTTTAAGATATATTAGAGGCAGATTCTATACTGAAGAAATAGTGCAAATTTTGCGCAGTTAACATAAAATTTAGCATTTTTCATCCTCCCATTATCTTCAGCCCCATGATTTTGTGTCTTTGGGGATGAATACTTAGACTTTCACTTGATGCATTCAGGCTCTGGGTTAGAAAAAGATGCTTAAAGACTGAGTCATGAATATTGGAAAAGAATATAGTGGGAGGAATCACTCTACATGATATTATGACCTACTATATAGCTGTAGTTAATTAAAACAGTTGCAGTAGTAGAGAAGGAATAGACACATAGATCAATATGATAGAAGGGAGAATTAAGAAATAGACCTTTACAATATGCCCAGCTATTTTTTGACAAAGGAGCAAAAGCAATTTAATAGAGGAAGAATAACTTTTTTTTTCAACAAATGATTCTGGAACAATTGAGCATCCATAGACAAAAATATGAACCTTGACCTAAGCCTCACACCTTACAAAAAAGTTAACTCAGAATGGATCATGGGTTTAAATATAAAAAGAAAACAATAAAACGTTTAGAAAAAAATAAAATCATCACCTAGAGCTAGATGAAGAATTCTTAGACGTAATACCAAAAGCCTAGTTCATGAAATAATCAAAATTTAAAAATGTTTATTCTGTGAAAGTCCTTGTTAAACAGAGAATGAAAACACTAGCTATAAACGGAGAAAATATTTGCAAAACACATATCCAGTAGAAGATTATTATTTAGAATATATATTTTTAAAACTCCCAAAACTGATCAGTTCAATAAAACCCCCCCAAATCCCATTAGAAAATGGACAAAAGATATGATCATACATTTCATGTAAGAGGATATACATGGAAGGAACATTATTGGGAAATTGGTGACAAAGAAATTTGGAGAAGAGATGTGTGAATAGACCTCCCTGAATGGGCAAAAAACATGAAGATAATTGTGTCTCATCAAAGGGCAACCTCAGCAGAGGAGGATTTTAATAGCCAAGTGGATAGGATGACCCGTTCTATGGATATCAGTCAGTCTCTTTCCCAACCACTCCTGTCAGTGCCCAATGGGCTCATGAGCAAAATGGCCATGATGGCAGGGATGGAAATTATGCATGGGTTCAGCATCCTGGACTTCCACTCACCAAGACCAAACTGGCTATAGCCATTGCTGGATGTCCAATCTGCCAGTAGCAGAGACCAACACTGGTAGCAACACCAGATGAGGCAACATTGCCTGGAGTGATCAGCCAACTCTCTGGTGGGAGGTTGATTACATCGGACCCCTTCTACCATGGAAGAGGCAGCGTTTTGTCTTTAATGGAACAGACAATCGGGATATGGATTTGCCTTCCCTGCTTTGCAGTGCTTCTCCCAAAACTGTCCATGAATGGCTTCATTTTGTTTTTTCCTCTCCAGTTTCTCAGGATGTAGCTTTAGATTATTGAATTGAGACATTTCTTCTAATGTATGCATTTAATGTAATAAATTTCCCTCTAAGAACATTTTAGCTACACACCACTCATTTTTGACATGTTATGTTTTCGTTTTCATTTTAATTTACTCAAAACAGTTTTTTTCAATAATTTTACTTTGACTCATATGTTAATACTTGGAAGTGTCTTGTTTCATTTGCAAACATTTGAGGATCTTCTCAATATCATTCTCTTTTTTGATTTCTAGTTCAACTCTATTATGATCAGATAATGTACTTTGTATGATTGCTATTTTTTAAATTTATAATTTTTTTATGTCCCAGAATATGTTCTATCTTGGTGTGTGTTCTATATACATTTGAGAAGAATGTGCATTCTGGCTGGATGGAATATTCTATATCAAATTGGTTGATAGTATTATTCATATCCTTACTGATTTCTTCATATTTTTTCTGTTAATTACTGAGAGAGAACTGATGAAGTCACAAAATATAGTTGTGTGTTTGCGTTTTTTTCCTTTTATTTCTGACAGGTTCTGCCTCATGTTTTGAAGCTCTGTTAGTTGTATACACATTCAAATATTATGTCATCTTGGATAATCGATCCCTTTATTGTTATGTATGTTTCCTCTTTCTCTTGGATTATATTTCTTATTCTATAGTGTCAAAAATTAATATCACTATTACAACTTTGTTTTTTGATAGTCGTTTCTTTTTGAAAAAAGCTTTATTGACTTGTGATTCACCAATTTAAAATGTATAAATCAATGTTTATTAGCATATTCACAGAGCTGTACAATCATACTCACAGTCTAAATTTTGAGCATTTTAATCACTCCATAGAGAAATCCCATACCCTTTACCAGTAACTCTCCCGTAATCCCCCAAATCTTGGCAACCACTAACCTACTCTCTGTTTCTATAGATTTGCCTATTCTGGACATTTCGTAGAAATTGAATTATACATTACGTGGTATTTTGTGATTAGTTTCTTTCACTTAGCAGAATGTTTACAAGGTTCAGCCATGTTGTAACATGAATCAGTATTAGATTCATTTTCATCACTGAATCACATTACATTGTATGGATATACCACATTTTGGTTATCGGTTTATAAGTTGATGGACATTCAAGTTGTTTCCTCATTTGGCTATTAGAAATAATGCTGCTATGAATATTTGTGTAAAAGTTTTTGTATAGATATATGTTTTTTTAATCTTGGGTATATACCTAGAAGTAGATTTCCACGTGATGTGGTAACTCTATGTGTAAACATTTGGGGACCTAACATCCTGTTTTCTAAAGTGACTGCATCATTTTCTATTTTCACCAGAGAGCCTGGTGGGGTTCCTGGAGAAGGCTGTTAGAGAGTGTGAGTTCCTCTATGTTTGTGGGCCCCAGAAGTTTCACATTATCTTATTAGCCCACACCTGGCCTTTAGCAATTAGTTGAAATGTCTAATTGAATCTTCCTACCTGCTTGTATTCTGTATTGCATTCTATATTGTCATTCAATATTCAATTTTCTTATAAGTAAGGAAATGCTCTGGACCTATTTCTCTCTGGAGGTTTTGGGCTGATTCTTTGCTGTGATCTCTATTATCTCTGATAGGTCCAAGAAAAATTGTTACTCTGAAACCTGCTTGACTTTTTTCTTATTGCAAGTTTAGGAGTAACATCTTTCTAGCTCTCTACATCTTCAAGCTAAAAAATGTCATTTAATAATGAGTTTACCTGTTTTTTATATATTATGGATACCAGTTCTTTATTATATGTACATTTCACAAAAGTTTTCTTCCAGTTTGTTGCTGGCTTATTCTTTTTCTTAATGATTTTTTGATGAGCAGGTGTTTTACATTTTAATGAATCTAGTTTATCATTCTTTCTTTTATTATTTGTGCTTTCTGCTGCCTAACAAATATTTTTCTATGCCAAGGTCACAAAGCTGTTTCCTGTTGTTTTTTCTAGAAACTTTAAAGTATTTTATATTTAAGAACATCTTTGATCTTGAAGTAATTTTTTGAATGGTGTGAATTAGAGGTTGACGTTTCTGTTTTAAAATATGGGTATACTGTTGTTTCATCAAAATTTATTGGAGAGATTTCCTTTCCCAGTGAACTTTTATGTTACCATTTTCAAAGATCATTTGACTTTATTTGTCTGTGTCTAATTTTGGACTCTCCATTTTGTTTGTTTGACCTGTTCATTCATTAATACCACACTGTCTTGGTATTGTATAGTGAGTGTTAAAATAAGGTAGAGTAAATATTAAATATAAATATTAAAACTTCCTTCCTCTTTTCAATATTATTTTGGATAGTTTATGTTCTTTCCATTTCTGTATAAATTATATAATCACTTTGTCAATTTTTACAACAATATCTCTGATGATTTTGATGGGTGTTGTAGTGAATCTATGGGCAAATTTTGGGAAGATTGTTAACTGAAGAATATTTCATCTCCAGTATATGAGTCTAGCATATATTTCCATTTACTTGATAGGTATATATTTACTTTACATTACATTTAATATTTCTCAGCAATGTTTTTATCATTTTCATAGCATAGGTTTTGCACATCTTTCACTAATTTTATCTCTAAGTAATTTATGACTTTGGATGCCATTGTAAATGGTATTAGTATAAAATTTTTCATTTTATAATGATAACTGATTTACTAACTTCAGTTTTATAATCACTTTTATACTGTGAGTATACAAAATTTACTTGTTTAAATTTTATGGCTTTTTAAAGATTACTTAGAAGTTTCTACAATTAATAATCACATTATCTTCAAATAAGAGATGATTTTGCTCTTCCCTTTTCAATTATTTTGCATTTTTCCTTATCTAATTGCGGTGGATGAGCTCAATGGCAAATGCTAAATAAAAGTGATGAGATAAGATATTTTTGTCTGTTTCCCAAGCATAAGGAGGAAAAACTTCAGTATTTCACTATTAAGTATTATGCAATATGTATGTATTTTACATGCACATCATCAGATTGAAGAAGTTCCCTCTATTTTTAGTTTGGTGACAATTTTTATCATGAATGGATATTGAATTTTGTTCAATGATCATATAATTTTACCCCTTTAATTTGTTAATGAGTAAGTTTTATTTGTTGATTTTTATTGTTAAGCCAATCTTGCATTTTGGGGATTAAATTCTATTTGAGCAAGATGTAGTATCCTTTTAATATGTTGTTGTATTCTATTTAGTAATATTCTATTAAATATTTTTGGATCTGTGTTCTTGAGAGATATTTGTGTATAATTACATTTTCTTGTAATTCATTTATCTGGTTTTCATATCAGTGTAATATAGGCCTCCTAAATGAGTTTGAATGTGCTTCCTCTTCCTTCATTTTCCAAAAATGCATTTGTAGTATTGGTATTTTTCTCTTAAATATTTGATTGAATTAACTAATGAAGCTGTCTTGGCCTAGATTTTTCTTTGTGCAACAGTACAATTTTGTATTGTGTTTATTTAATTAACGTTTTATCATGGGCACTTTTCTATTTCATTAAATATTTTTCAAAACCAAGATTTTTCAGTTACATAATACTCATTTGAATAAATATACTGTAATATATGTAACTAGTCCCCTACATAACTGTTACTTTTTTTCTCAAACATACGTCTGTGTGTATGTGTGTATTTGTATACAAACATATGTATACGTTTATATATAATATGAAGTATGCATAATATAGTATATTGCATACATAGTATACATACATAATAAATACATGTATGTATAAAAATGTACATATGCATGCCCACACACATAGACCCACTAAGAGAGGCAGACAGACTGATGGACTCTAGAATTAGATATATCAGTACATTAACAGAGTTTAACTTTGGATGTTGGGAGTTTGGGCACTTTTTACTTTCTTTCACAGTTTTCAGTATTCCTATTCTTTTCAGACCAAGAGTGTTACTCTATAATTAGAAAGTAAATACCTGAACTGTTTTCATTCTTGAGAATTAAAAAATGGATAATTTCTTAAGCTAGCACAGGCAGGTAGGGAAATTACCAAAATACTGCGTGGTAATTAAAATTATAGCAATGTTCATGTTTGTGATCCCCAACCACCCAAGAGCGGAACATTAAATGATGTCGGAGGAGGTGCAGTCTTTCAGGCTCCCATGAGAATTGCCAAATGGGGCACTTATGCTTTTTGGGACGAGGTCCAGGTTTTATTTTTTTCTTCTTCAAAAGTCTTAAAATAAATGAAAATTGTCACAGCAAAATGCATTTTCCCTTTCATTTAGAGCATTGAAGGCTACGCAACGTCAGGTGACACTGGAAGAATTTGGCTTGAATTTTTAAAGTTGCTTGATAGGGGAAAGGGAGATGAAAATTACTTTGAAGAATTATCTAGTCACATTTGGTTAATGTGGGCAATGATAGAATAAAGTAAAAATTTTAGACATGTAATCCATTGTGATGGCTCCAGTTTTTCAGGACAATTAAGAAATAGCCTCTATTGCTCAAAGTCTCAAGAAATACTGGAAAAAAATGCATGGATACTTTATTGGGTGCTTGTTAAATTATTAAATAGGTGACAACTTAGGGGTGCTGGCTAAACTTTTTAACTTCTTGTTTGGCCTTGTACAGTTTATAAATTTTAGAAGTAACACTGAGAGGACAGAAAATATCTAGAAGACTTTTTAAAGGTGCATACATATATATACACACATGCATTTCAGACCAACGAGTGAGGGATGAGTATGGCAGGAGGAGTGGGGACAGAGGACCGAAGAAGAATGAGAGGATGTTGGGAGGTGGAGAGAGAGATAAGAAACAAAATAATTAGAGAAAAATTAAAAGGTGTATTTATTAGGTATAGGGTGAAAAAATTTGCCTAATTCCTGAATTTGGATGATTTCAGAGTGTTCTTATCTGGTTCTGTACCCAAAATAATTTATTCTTAGGGATTCTGTGAGGGATTAAATGACACTAGAGACAAACGATGAGGCAATGAGAAAATTATGAAGAAATTAAGGAGAAGAGCAATATCTTCTTATTTGCTATAATTCATAATACATGGATGTTTGAGAATCACTATTATCTAGTGTATAAGGCTGACTTGTTCCCATTATTTCCTAATCCATAATGCTGCTCCTTTTTTACCCCATAATCCTTCCCTTAAACCACATGTGCATCATTTCTTTCATCTGGAATGGATGTCTTGTGTTTCAAAAATGTTTTACCTTATCACTCTTATTTTCACTTCTGAACTAAAGGTACATTGCTTGTATAACCCCCTTTTTGCTGTTTTGATAAGGTACTAAATTGAATAATGTACCTTTAGGCCAGAGAGCAGTATAGGGCAAGTTACTTAGTTTGTGAGAGAGCCTAGGCAACCGATTGCTGAACAGCTATTATCTCCTTGTGATTTCATTTCCTTTGCTCATTATTAGGCACACTATAAGTATTGTGATATTTTCTTTGGAAAATTTTGGTCCTAATCAGAAAGCCATCTGCTAACAATTGTGCTGGAAGTGAAGCAGCATGATAAAGTTACCTTTAGCCATGATATAGTTGTGTCAATGACCTTTCAGTTACATATTACTATTATATAATTTGTGGGGAACATTTCATGTCTTAGTGCTTTTTGTAATGTGGGAATTTGGCAGTTTGAAAATGTATGGAAAGCACTACAGTTATTGACTCTTTTTTTTGGTCATCCAAGTTTCATTGGGTTCTTCATGTTTCTTTATTTCCCTTAGACTATTTGAGAGGTAGGAAACCAAGGGAGAAGGAAATGGACTCTTATGGTGGAGCAAATTGAAGTATCACTTCTGCTTTTCTTTTTTTCTTTTAATCCAGATGTACAGTAAACATAGACAAGAGTATAGACTACAGCCAGGTTATAGAACAGATAGGTCTCAGTAGTAGGCAGTATGTTAGCTCAGATATCTGGGTAGTCAACATGGTTGAGAGTGTGGTAGCTATCATTCATAGGTGAGTTGAGTGCAAGAGCCAGGGTAGCTGGTAGCAGGCAATATCCAGAGATCCAGGTGAACATTATAGTTCTGACAGTGGGATTGGAGTTCATGTTACTATTTTTCCACATCAGGTATGCTGGAAGGTAATAGTTTTGTTTTGTTTTGTTTTGTTTTGTTTTGTTTTGTTTTTTTGGAGATGGAGTTTCGTTCTTGTTGCCCAGGCTGCAGTGCAATGGCGCAATCTCGGCTCACTGCAACCTCTGCCTCCCGGGTTCAAGTGATTCTCCTGCCTCAGCCTCCTGAGTAGCTGGGATTACGGGCATGCACCACCATGCCCGGCTAATTTTGTATTTTTAGTAGAGACGGGGTTTTTCCATGTTAGTCAGGCTATTCTCGAACTCCCGACCTCAGGTGATCTGCCTGCCTCGGCCTCCCAAAGTGCTGGGATTACAGGCATGAGCCACCGCGCCCGGCTACTGGAAGGTAATAGTTTTTTGTGTAGTCCGTTGCCTGAAATTTAAAACATTTTTTTTCATTTAAAAATAAAGACAGGCTTAGAAAATCACACACACAATATATGGTTTAATAAATTATTACCAAGTAAATACCTTTGTAACTAACACCCAGGTCAAGAAATAAGAACTATGCTACCCACCCCAAAAGCTCCTTTTGTGGACCACATCCTAATCCCAACCCAGTTGCTCCACAGAAATAAACATTGTCTTGACTTTCTTTGGACTTTTTATGGTTTTATCACCCAAATTCGCGTTCCTAGGTATTACTGTTTTATTCTTGTTCATTTAGAAAACTTTGATATGTTTTTTAAATATCTCTTAAATGTGTGGGTTTTCCCTCTATCCCTTACTTTTCTTTACAATTAATATTTCGAAGAACCTATGCCATCTGACTTACAGAGCATCTCACCTTTTGGATTCTTCTGACTGCAAATTCAAGGTGCAGTTTAACATTTTTTTCTGCCATTTATATTTTCTACATATTGGCAGCTGGATCCAGTGGCTTGATCAGACTTAGTTTTGATCTCTGGCAAGATTATAAGTGGTGTCTGACAGTCATATATGGGGAAGATAATGGGTACTCGTCTTTCTTTTTGTGATAGTAGTAGCTATTGGTGATTAATGACAATATTAGTTAACTCAGTTTGAAAAGTAGTGATATTCTTGGCCAATATCATACTGAATGGGGAAAAGTTGAAAGCATTCCTCGTAAGAACTTGAACAAGATAAGGATGCCCACCACATTCACCACTTGTCTTCAACATAGTACTTGAAGTCCTAGTCAGAGCAATTAAGCAAGAGAAAGAAATAAAGAGCATCCAAATTGGAAAGGAGGAAGCCAAACTATCTCTCTTAGTCAATGATATAATCTTATACCTAGAAAACCCTAAAGGCTCCTCCAAAAGCCTTCTAGGCTTGATAAATGAATTCAGTAAAGTCTCAGGTTACAAAATCAATGTATACAAATCAGTAGCACCACTATGCACCAACAACAATGAAGCTGAGAATCAAATCAAGAACTCAGTCCCTTTTACAACAGCTACAAAAAGTAAAACACCTAGGAATATATTTAACCAAAGAGGTGAAAGATCTCTACAAGGATAATGACAAAACACTGATGAAAGAAATCATAGATGACAAAAACAATGGTTCATGGATTGGAAGAGTCAATGTTGTGAAAATGACCATACTGTCCAAAGCAATCTACAGATTCAATGCAATACCTATCAAAATACCAATGTCAGTTTTCACAGAATTAGAAAAAACAATCCCAAAATTCATATGGAACCAAAAAGGAGCCTGCATAGCCAAAGCAATCCTAAACCAAAAGAACAAATCTGGAGGCATCACACTACCTGACTTCAAATTATACTATAAGGCTACAGTAATCCAAACAGTATGGACTGGTACAAAAGTAGGCACATAACAAATTGAAAAGAATAGAGAACTGAGAAATAAAGCCAAATACAACCAACCGATCTTCTATGAAGCAGACAAAAATATACAATGGAGAAGGACTCCCTATTCAATATATGGTGCTGGGAAAATTGGATATCTGCATGTAGAAGAATGAAACTGGATCCTTAAGTCTCACCATATACAAAAATTAACTCAAGATAGATTAAAGACTTAAATTTAAGACCTGAAACTATACAATTTTAGAAGAAAACATAGGAAAAACTCTTCTGGACATTGACCTAGGCAAATAATTTATGACTCAGACCCCAAAAGCAAATGTAACAAAAACAAAAATAAATAAATGGGACCTATTTAAATTACAAGCTTCTGCATAGGAAAAAAATAATCAACAGAGTGAACAGACAACCTACAGAATGGGAGAAAATATTTGTAAACTATGCATCTGATAAAAGACTAATAGCCACAATCTACAAGGAACTGAAACAAATCAGCAAGAAAAAATCAAATAATCCCATCAAAATGTGGGCAAATGACATGAATAGACATTTCTGTCTTCAAAAGAAGGCATGCAAATGGCCAAGAAACATGGAATCATGCTCAATATCACTAATCATCAATGTAAATGCAAATTAAAACCACAATGAAGTGCCACCTTACCCCAGCTAGAATAGCCAGTATTAAAAAGTCAAAGAACAATACATGTTGGCATGGATGTAGTGAAAAGGGAACACTTCTACACTGCTGGTGAGAATATAAATTAGTACAACCTCTATGGAAAACAGTAGGGAGATTTCTCAAAGAACTCAAAGTAGACCTACCATTCAATCCAGCAATCCCACTACTGGGTATCTGTCTAAAGGAAAATAAGTTATTGTATGAAAAAGACATGTGCATGCATATGTTTATTGCAGCACAATTCAAAGATATGGAACCAACCTAAGTGCCCATCAACCAAGGAGTAGATAAAGAAAATGTGGTATATATGCATCATGGAATGCTACTCAACCACAAAAAAGGAATGGAATAATGTCTTTTGCAGCAACTTGGATGAAACTGGAGGCCATTATTTTAAGTGATGTAATTCAGGAATGGAAAATAAAATACTGTATATTCCCACTTGTAAGTGGGAGTTAAGCTATGGGTACAGAAAAGCATACAGAGTTGTATAATGGACTTTGGACACTCAGAAGTGAGGAGTCGGTGAGGGATAAAAAAAAAAAACTACATACTCAGTACAGTGTACATTATTTGGGTGTTGGAGTACACTAAAATCCCAGACTTTGCCACTATACAATTCATCCATGTAACCAAAAACCACTTGTACCCCTAAAGCTATTGAAATAAAAAAAAAACTCAAAGAAAAGTAGTGATATTCTAATGTAATTTTTTTTCATGTGTTAGTTGGTGTTATGGACTGAATTGTGTCCCTCAAAATTCATATGTTGAATCTCAAACCCCAAGGTAACTGTATATGGAGTAAGAAAGTAATTAAGGTTAAATGAGGTCATAAAGGTGGAACTCTAATCAATATTAGTGTCCTTATAAAAAGAGACACCAGAGAGTTCACTCACTCCCTGCCATGTAAAGACGCAGCAGGAAAGCAGGCATCTGCAAGCCAGGAAGAGACCCCTCACCAGAAATCACACCTTGCCAGAACCTTGATCTCACAGCCTTGAGAAGAGTGAAAGAAATAATTTTCTGTTGTTTAAGCCACTCAGTCTACAATATTTTGTTTTGGTAGGCTGAGTTGACTAATACAGTTGGAATACTTTTAAAAAGAGATAGTTTCCCCCATCCATTATTTGGTTATCAAGTGATACTGTTTATATTGAAGAGACTATAAATGTTTGAGGCTTTCTCTGTATGTACTTACCAGTTTTCAAGAAAATGAACTGGTTCCCCATCATCCTCTTAAAGTGAGTAATTCTTTTCTCTTTACAATATCATTATGAACTCTTGAACTTAAACATATTTGATGGGTTTCAATCCATTTCAAATATTGTTGTCACTGAAGCACATATTGTGTCATAGTTGACTAATGGGAGTGTCCACAAGTTGGCTCCTGAGTCCTTTAACAAGACTCTAGTCTTTAAAAGCTTTCTTATTACCTAGTATGACACAATGTTTCTGGTTCATTTTATACATTCCTTGCCTCAAATTTAGAATCAGGCATTCTACATATGTCACTTGTTTCTATTAATTCATAATGGTATCTCAATACCACAGTCTTGGTGGAAAAGATACTTATTGTTACTTCTTTGATAATTGTTTTTTTTCCCACTAGCCTTTTATTCTATCATCTATCTATCTATCTATCTATCTATCTATCTATCTATCTATCTATCTACCTACCTGTCTATAAGACAGTGTTCTCCAACATTTTTGGCACCAGGGACAGGTTTTGTGGAAGACAATTTTTCCACATACTCAGGGGATGAGGTGGATGATTCCAGGATGAAACTGTTCCACCTCAGATCATCATGCATTGGATTCTCATAAGGAGAGTGCAACTTAGATTCCTCCCATGTGCAGTTCACAATAGGGTTCACATTGCACTCCTATGAGAATCTAATGTCAATGATGATCTGACAGGAGACAGAGTTCAGGTGGTAATATTTGCTCGCCCACCACTCACCTCCTGCTGTGTGGCCTGGTTCCTAATGGTACGATTTGGTTCCATAGACTGGTACCTGTCCATGGCCCGGGGGTTGGGGACTCCTAAGAGATAGGTCTGACTCTGTGCCTAGGCTACACTGCACTGGGGCAGTCATGGCTGACTGCAGCCTTGATCTCCTGGGCTCAAGCAATCCTCCTGCCTCAGCCTCCTGAGTAGCTGGGATTACAGGTGCAAGCCACCACACCTGGTGGTCATTGTTTATACATCTTTTCAGTGGAGAGAGCTAAGAAATATAAAAATAAATTCACATACACCCTCCCAAGACTGAACCAGGAAGAAATGGATTCCCTGAACAAACCAATAACAAGCTCCAAAGTTGAATCAGTAATAAATAGCCTACCAACAAAAAAAAGCCCAGGACCAGGTGGATTCACAGCCGAATTCTACCAGATGTACAAAGAAGGGATGACACTGTTCCTACTGAAACTATTCCAAAAATTTGAGGAGGAGGGACTCCTTCCCAACTCATTCTATGAGGCCAGCATTATCCTGATACCAAAACCTGGCAGAAACACAACAACAACAACAAAAAAAAAAAAAAGAAAAAAAAAAAAAGAAAACTTCAGGCCAATGTCCCTGAACATCAGTGCAAAAATCCTCAACAATATAGTTGCACACAAAATCTAGCAGCACAACAAAAAGCTAATCCACTGCAATCAAGTAGGCTTCATCCCTGGGATGCAAGGTTGGTTCAACATACACAAATCAAGAAATGTGATTCATCATGTAAACACAACTAAAGACAAGTCCACATGATGATCTCAATAGATAATGCAGAAAAGGCTTTTTATAAAACTCAACATTCCGGCCGGGCATGGTGGCTCACGCCTGTAGTCTCAGCACTTTGGGAGGCAGAGGTGGGTGGATCACAAGGTCAGGAGATCAAGACCATCCTGGCTAACATGGTGAAACCCTGTCTCTACTGAAAATACAAAACATTAGCTGGGCATGGCAGCATGCACCTGTAGTCCCAGCTGCTGGGGAGGCTGAGGCAGGAGAATGGCGTGAACCTGGGAGGTAGAGCTTGCAGTGAGCCTAGATCACACCACTGCATTCCAGCCTGGGCGACAGAGCGAGACTCCATCTCAAAATAAACAAATAACCAAAAACTCAACATTCCTTCATGTTGAAAACTTTCAATAAACTAGGTATTGAAGGAACATGCCTCAAAATAATAAGAGCTCTCTGTGACAAACCCACAGCCAACCTCATACTGAATGGGCAAAATCTGGAAGCATTCTCCTTGAAAACCAGCACAAGGCAAGGATGCTCTCTCTCGCCACTTCTATTCAACATAGTACTGGAAGTCCTGGCCAGAGCAGTCAGGCAAGAGAAAGAAATAAAGGGCATCCAAACAGGAAGAGAGGAAGTCAAACTATTCCTGTTTGTAGACGATATGATTCTATATCTAGAAAACCCCAGAGTCTTGGCCCAGAAGCTCCTTCAGCTGATAAACAACTTTGGCAAAGTTTCCAGATACAAAATCAATGCAGAAAATCACTACCATTCCCATACACCAACAACAGCCACACCAAGAGCCGAATCAGGAAGGCAGTCTCATTCACAATTGCCACAAAAAGGATGAAATACCTGCTAATACAGCTAACCAGGGAGGAGAAATATCTCTACAATGATAATTACAAAACACTTCTCAAAGCAGTCAGAGAAGACACAAACAAATGGAAAAACATTCCATGCTCATGGATAGGAAAAATCAATATCATTAAAACGGCCACACTGCCCAATGCAATTTACAGATTCAGTGCTATTCCTATCAGACTACCAGTGACATTCTTCGCAGAACTAGAAAAAACTAGTTTTAAATTCATGTAGGACCAAAAAAAAAAAAAAAAAAAAAAAAGACAAGAAAGAGCCTGCATAGCCAAGGTAATCCTAAGCAAAAAGAACAAAGCTGGAGGCATCACATCACCCAACTTCAAACTACACTACAGGGCTACAGTAACCAAAACAGCATGGTACTGGTATAAAAAACAGGCACATAGACCAATGGAACATAATAGCCCATAAATAAGGCTTCACTCTGCAACCATCTGATTTTAGACAAATATGACAAAAGCAAGCAATGGGGAAAAGACTTTATATTCAATAAATGGTGCTGGGATAACCAGCTAGCCATAAGCAGAAGATTGAAATTGGACCCCTTCCTTACATCACATACAAAAATCAACTCAAAATGTATTAAACAATTAAATGTAAAACTCAAAACTGTAAAAACCCTAGAAGACGATCTAGGCAATACCAATCTGGACATGGGCATGGGCAAAGATTTCATGACAAAGACACCAAAAGCAATTGCAACAAAAGCAAAAATTGGCAATGCGATCTAATTAAACATAAGAGATTCTGCACAGCAAAGAGCAAAAGAAACTATCAACAGACTAAAAAGACAACCTACAGAATGGGAGAAAATAGCTTGCAGACTATGCATCTGACAATGGTCTAATATCCAGCATCTATGTTCTCAGTTATAAGTGGGAGCTAAATGATGAGAACACATGGACACATAGAGTGGAACAACACACAATGGGGTCTTTCAGAGAGTGGAGGGTGGGAAGAGGGAGAGGATCAGGAAAAATAACTAATGGGTACTAGGCTTAATATCTGCGTAATTAAATAATTTGTACAACAAACCCCCATGGCACAGTTCACCTATGTAAGTAACCTGAACTTGTACCCCTGAACTAAAAAGTTAAAACAAATTTAAAAAACAAATTTACAAGAGAAAAACCAACAACCTCATTAATAAGTGGCCAAAGGACATAAACAGACACTTTTCAAAGAAGACAAAACATGCGGCCAACACACATGAAAAAATGCTCAATGTCACTGATCATTAGAGAAATGCAAATAAAAACCACAGTGAGATACCATCTTACACCAGTCAGAATGGCTGTTTTTTAAAAGTCAAAAATAACAGATGCTGTTGAAGATGTGGAGGCAAAGGAGCACTTATACACTGTTGGTGGGTCTGTAAAGTAGTTCAACCATTGTGGAAAGCAGTATGGCAATTCCTCAAAGAGCTAAAAACAGAACTACCATTGCACCCAGCAATCCCATTACTGGGTATATACCCAGAGGAATATAAAGCATTCTGCCATAAAGAAACATGCACACAAATGTTCATTGTCACACTAGTCACAATAGCAAAGACATGGAATCAACCTAAATGCCCATCAGTGACAGATTACATAAAGAAAATGTGGTACATTTACACCATGGAATACTATGCAGGCATAAAAAAGAATGATCTCATGTATTTTGTGGGAACAGAGATGGAGCTGGAGGTTATTATCCTTAGCAAACTAATGCCAGAACAGAATACCAAATGCTGCATGTTCTTACTTGTAAGTGGGAGCTAAATGATGAGAACTCATGAACACAGAAGGAAATAATAGACACTGTGGCCTATGTGAGGGTGGAGGCTGGGAGGAGGGAGAAGAGCAGATAAAATAAATATTGGATACTAGGCTTACTACCTGGGTGATGAAATAATCTGTACAACAAACCCCCGTGACAAGACTTTACCAATATAACAAGCCTGCACATTTACCCCAGCACCTAAAATAAAAGTTAAAATAATAATAATTTAAAAAGTACTTTGTAATCTTAAAAAATTAACACACATAAAACCTTATGAGTTTATACTGATACTTGCAATTCAAATGCAGTGCCATATATATAGACTTCTGGTTAACTTTTTTTTTCCTGTTCCATCCTTTGTCTTTCCCACCAAGAATTGTGCTTTTTAAGGCCAGAAGGGATGACAGAATTAGAATACCCTGAAAGTATTCATTTATCTTATTTCACAATAGAAATACAGCAGCCTCAGAATAACAATACGAATACTACCACCATAGTCGGATGAATATTAAATAAAAGCAGGAAAGGAATTAGAACAGAGAGAAAAGGGGAGGAAGGAATAATAGATACCATTCTATTGAAGGTTTGGTGGCTATTGGTAGTTTTCCTCATTCTCATATTTTGCCTTTGTGATACCTTGTCTCCCAAAGTTTTATGAAACATTCATGTGTTTTTGGTTTTGCTTTAGTTCCTCTATTTTTACTGTCTATGTACTTTTCATACAACTTTTTGTTTATTTTTTAAATTTTATTTTTTAATTGACAATAATTGCACATATTCATGGGGTGCATAGTGATGTTTCAAAACATATTATGTGTAGTGATCAGATTTGGTAACTAGCATATCTATCATCTCATACCTTTATTATTTCTTCATGTGGTGAATATACAATATCTTCCTTCTAGCTATTTGAAACTATATATTATTGTTCAAAACTACAAAGAAGTTTAAAGAATAGTACAATGAACCCTTGTATACTTTTCACCCAGATTCACCAATTTTTAATATTGTGTCACTACATTTATAAATATATAATTCTTTCTTTCTACTTAATATTTTAATATGAGAAATTTTAAGCATAAAGTTGAAAGAGTTTTACAGTGGCCACTCCTGTAGCTGCTGCCTGGATTTTACTGTTAAATTTTGCTATAGTTTTATCAGTGTCAGTTTATCCATTCCATTATCTATATATTAATACATATTGATGCATTCAGAAATAAATTGCAGAAAGACATTCATGATCATGCATCAGAAAAATTAATATTGTTAATATGACTGTACTTCCCCAAATTGATCTAAGCATTCAGTGCAGTCTTCCTTAAAGTCTCAGCTGGTTTCTTTGCAGAAATATGAGAAGCTGACCTAAAATTCATATCGTATGGAAATGTAAGAGATCCGGAATAGTCAAAACAGTCTTGAAAAAGAACAAAGTTGGAAGACTCTTCCAAGATTTCAAAATTCACTAGTAAGTTACAGTAATCAAGACTGTTTGGTGCTGACATAAGGATAGACATAAATCAATGGAGTAGAGTTGAAAGCTCAGAAAAAAACTCTCACCTTTATAGTCAATTGTTTTTCAACAAGGATGCCAAGACAGTTGGAGGAAAGAAAATATTCTTCAACAAATGGTGCTGGGAAAACTGAATATCAGGTGCAAAAGAATAAAGTTGGACCTATATTACCTACCTTATGCCAAATTTAATTCAAAAAGGATTTTTTATATGCAATGTACAAAATAGGCAAATCTATAGAGACAGAAACTAGATTGGTGGTTGCCTAGGACTGGGTGGGGGATGTGGTTGGAAGAAAATTTGAAGTGACTCATTGGTATGGGGTTTCTTTTTGGGATGATAAAAATGTTCTAAAATTGATTGTGGTAATGGTTGCATAACTCTGTGAATATACTGAAAACCATTGACCTGTACGGAAGTCATAGCCCAATAAGCTGTTAGAGAAAAACAATTGCAGAAACCAATACACTTTCTCCTAAATGGTTCAACATTTATATTAATAACTAGGGTTCAATATTGGTTTATGCATTTTAGTTTTGATATAAAAATTCCATAAGATGAAATGCAGAAATCTTAAGTGAACATTCACTGAGTTTTGACAATACATACATCTGTGTAATCCATTCCCCATCATGTTATAGAACATTAACATCACCGTTGGAAGTTCCCTCCTGTCATCCTTCTAGTGAGTTTTCTCCTATGTACCACCTAAGGCATACTTTGATCTGATTGTTTTCCAGCACGGAATTATCCACCTGATTTAGTATTTTACATAAAATGCATAATTTAATAGGTACTTTTTTATGTAAGACTTTCACTCAGTATGCTATTAATGAGATTAATCCATATTGTTGCATTTCTTTAGTGACTGAGTCATATTCCATTGTATGAATATACCAATGAAGATTTATTTTTTTTTAATTTTTTTTATTTTTTGAAGTTTTAAAGCTGGGCATCCGGGGGAGACATCACATGTCAGTAGGTTCCGTGATGCCCCACAAGCCGCAAAACCAGCAAGTTTTTATTAGGGACTTTCAAAAGGGGAGGGAGTGTACGAATAGGTGTGGGTCACAGAGATCACGTACTTCACAAGGTAATAGAATATCACAAGGCAAATGGAGGCAGAGCAAGATCACAGGACCACAGGACCCGGGCGAAATTAAAATTGCTAATGAAGTTTCGGGCACCATTGTCATTGATAACATCTTATCAGGAGACAGGGTTTGAGAGCAACCGGTCTGACCAAAATTTATTAGGCGAGAATTTCCTCTTCCTAATAAGCCTGGGAGCGCTATGGGAGACTGGGGTTTATTTCATCCCTACAGTTTCGACCATAGAAGACGGCCACACCCAAGGGGGCCATTTTAGAGACCCACCCTCAGGGGTGCATTCACCAATGAAGATTTATTATCATAATGATACTTAGGCTCAGTTTAGTTTCTGTATATTGTGAATAAAGGTGCAGTGAATATTTTTAAGCAGGCTTTGTGTGAACCTATGTTTTAATTTCTTTTGGATTAATAGCTGGGAGTGGAATTGTTGAGTCATAGGGAAGGTGTATGCTTAGTTTCATTTAAAATTGCCTCAGTTCAGGAGAATGGCGTGAACCCAGGAGGCGGAGCTTGCAGTGAGCCGAGATCGTGCCACCGCACTCCAGCCTGGGCGACAGAGCAAGACTCTGTCTCAAAAAAAAAAATTGCCTCAGTTTTCTCAAAATGGTTATATCATTTTATATTCCCATCAATCAAGTATGACAGTTCCAGTTGTTCTATAATTACTCCAATATTTGATGTCAGTCTTTTAAATTTTAACCATTCTAGTGGTTTTATTGTAGTATCTCAATGTGCTTTTAATTTGCATTTCCCTGATGACTAGTGATGTCGAGCCCTTTTCATGTGCTTATTGGACATTTGTGTATTTTCTTTTGTGAGGAGTCTGTTAAAATCTTGTGCCTATATGTCAATTGGGTTGTTTGTATTTTTATTGTTGAGCTGTAGTAATTCCTTTTATATCTTGGATACCAGTTTTTTGTCAGATGTATGTATTGTGAATATCTTCTTTCAGTCTCTGGCTTGCTTATTCATATTAATAATTGTATATTTTGATGAGTTATTTATCCACTTTTTGTGGTTTTTCCTGTCTTTGCCCTGTCCAAAAAATCCTGCTTAATCTCAAGTCATGTTTTGTTTTTTATATGTTTGTTTATAAAGGTTTTTTCCTCTGTGTTCCTGTAAAAGTTTTGTAGGTTTTTATGTTTTATGTTTCTAATCCATGACCTTTTATGTTTTAATCGATGATCTTTCTCAAATAATTTTTGCACTTAGTAATGAAGTAGGGATTCAGGCTCATTTTTTTCCAATAGGGATATCCAGTATTCCAGTACCATTTTTGGAATATGTTTTTTCCCTATTGGATTGCTTTGGCACCTTTGTTGAAAATCAAGTACACTATCTCTATTCTGTTTCATTGATTTATTTGCTGATTCTTAAGATGATACCACACCGTCTTAATTACTGTACCTTTATAATAAGTCTGGAAGTCAAGTTTGTGGCCAACCCACATCCCAAGATTATGCAGAAGATCTAATAAAGAAAAGCAAGCTTTTAACTAAATTATAATCAATGCCTTCATCTTTATAATATGAATAATGATTCACTTGGAGCATTTTCAGCTTGTTTATCTGAACCATTAAAGTCATTTTAAAGTCAGTTTAAAGTCATTACCATTTCCTGGGAAAATTGCTCTAATAATTTGTATAATTTGAAGCATAATCCTTAGGAATATTTAGACCTAGCATTAGGTAATGTTTCCTGGAACTCTTGGTCAAACTTGGGCTTTCAGGACCACTGCACTAGTTTTGCACTGCTCAGCTCCAGGGAACCATTTACACTGGCATAGTTGCTAGAAAGGTAAATAAAAGCAAGAAAGAAGTTAGAACAGAGTGGAAAGAAGTTAGAACAGAGTGGAAAGATGAGGAAAGAGATAAAAGAAATATTTGTGGTATAACGTGGTAGGTCGTCATGTGTCTGGTATCTTTTAGATAGACTAGTAAGGTTAGTTTCAATCACTTATTTTAATTGTATCAAAAAAGTAAAGCAGATAAAAGTAGAGCTTTCTGGCTAAAGTATATGTGTATAAGATCACCGCAGATCATCCCCTTCACACCTCCTCTTTTATCACCCACAGTCCCTAAAGCTGAAATCCAGCATATAGTAAGGTTGTTACATTGCATATTGCAGTTTGGACATTTATAAATTATGGAGGCAAAAAAGTGGTGTGCTTTTTTGCCAAAGTGGAAACTATGTGTTTATAATTCTTTGAGCTTTTTTGACACTAAAGCAGTTGTCTCATGGGTATAGCATCTCCAATCAATTTCGACCATTGGGAATCCTGTGTATAAGATAGATTTATGTAAGAACATTATATATATTGAGGTTGCTAACATGTGTCTAGTTAAAAATGTAATGAATAAACTACAATTTTATATATACACTTACATAGTTTTTTATTTCTCCATTTGTTCCAGTTTCTTTCCATGTTCTGTTAACTAATAGATGCTCAAAAAGTTAATTATCAGCATGATTGCCTCAATCAGAAACTATGACTTTTTCCTAACTTAGGAAGAGAGAGAATAGTTGCTTGGATAATAGTTTTCTACTGTTGTGGTTAGTCCTGAGGCCTCCATCTTGGCAGGAATAATTTATGCTAATAAGAAATAGGTTGATGATAAATATCAAGTATAACCTCATGTCAACAAGAGGCGAAGCAGCAAATTGCCAGGTTGTTGCTATTTTTATTAAGATCAAAGCTCATTGGTTGACGATATGCATATAAGACATATCCTGGACTCTTTCTGCCTGTAAAGAATTCTGCACCTCCATCTTCCAGACCTGTTTATTAAATCTCTTTCTCACCCATGCTTCCACTGATTTCTGTAAGATGGAGCTAATTAAAGGACAGTTTTTTTTTTGTCATGACAAGAGCATAAAGTGACAGTAGATTTTGAGTAGTATATAAATGGAAGCTGCTTTGGAAATAATTGCTATATTTGAGTGACGAGTATTGAGAAAACACTACTAGCTTTAATATTTGAGGAAGTCATATGTTTTCTAAATATTAATCACTAGCCTGTTGCATAGAACTGGAGCTTTTGAATTTGGGAAGGTCTGTGGTGGCAGTGGTACATTTTTTCCCACCATTGGTATCTGATTTTATGTAATCAGTGTTTGATAATAAAAAACATTATTAAGACTGCATTTTTTTTTCTGTTGGTTACAAATGAAACAGCCAGAACTGTAGCATTCCTTGTTTTTGTGATCCTACTAAACTATGGTTTTCCTGATTTCTGCTCATGTTGGAAAATACCATGGGAACTTTCATGCAGAACACTTGCCTTACTGAAAATGGTAGCAGAGCTTCTTCTTTGCTGCCTGTGAAGTAAAGATCATATTAGCTCTTTCTATTGTGAGTTCCAGATGCTTTGATGATCAGCCAGTAATTGTGTTAGAAATGCACAGGAAATGGTTGATCCACTTGGTGTAAAGGCAAAAACCAATTTCTTCTTACTGCCTGTCAGCAGGCAACAGGGAGGCCTATGGCATGTTAGTGCATTTTTACACTGGCATAGAGCCCTGGAGTTAGACTTACTGAGTCTTAAATGCACTTCGAACACAGGTTTTGACTGCTTCATAGGAGACATTCCAGACATATTTATGCTCAGCACAACTCTGAAGTTTTTATTCTTATTATCATGGTACTGTGGTCTTTTTGTTTGCTTCTTTTATCTGTGATGTTAGTACTTTTCCAAGGCCAAGTTAAAACAAATAACTACAGTTAAGTTCAACTTGTGTTAATCTGTTTACATTTATGGAACAGCTTTGCTGCAATCTGGAGAAAGATAATGAAACACAGGATACGTCTGTACATGCCTGGTAGAATGGAAAGCTGCAGTACTGTCAATAGGCCATCAATAAAGATATTCTTACCATAAAATTAAGGTTCATCTTATTTCCCAGTTTTCTTTTTACAGTAAGGCTATATCTGTTGATTAACTCATTTATCTGGAAGTAAATCATTCTAAATGATACTGGACATTTTCATAACATCCAGAAATAAATTCTAGCTTAAAATCTGATGATTTTATTATGTTACTCATGTTTTTTACTTCACCATTCTCGACCACTAATTTTTAGTTGGAAGTCTTGGATAATTTCTTCCAGTGAAATTAGTTAGTAATGGAAGGAATGTGGCATTTGAAAGCAAAAGATGGAGTTCAAGTGTTAGCCTACGGTGCTATTCTAATCTAAATATTCATTTAAGCCTTCTAAACCTCAGTTTCTATATCTGAAAACATAGGTAAATATTCCTGCATACATCAGAGCATTATTACTGAGAGGACCAGATAAGTATATGTCATATTATTTATAAATTGCAAAGAAATATACAAATGTTCATCATCATTTTTGTTGTTTGCAATGCTTTTAACTCAAGCTTCTTAACACATCAATCCCATGTATATAATTCCTTATGTGCCAGGTTAGATATAATAATATAACTTGAGAATGTATATTTCATTTTATTTTTGAAAATATACGTATCTTAAGATTTTCTTCCCAAGGTTTCATATTATAAATGAATAACAATCATGACTGCAGAAGAAATTTAATTATAAGCACTGTCCATCTCTCCCCATTCCCAAAGTAAAATAACTGCTTTCAGTTTGAATAGGTAAATTAAATGTTTCTCTGCTCCTTCTATTATAGCTTTTAAGAAACAGTATTAAATGATTCCTTGAGTTGATTTCACTTTAAGATTATTTTAATCCATTACTCATTTGAGTTTGCATCATTGAATTTTCTTTATCAAGGACGTAAGCAGGTTAAATGTGTATTGGGGAAATGTCTTAAATGTCAGTACTATGGTCTGGCTGCCTTGTGAGTACCTCATCATTGGAGGTGTTAATAAGGTGTGACTGGATGGCTAGAAATATTTTAGGTGGATATCATACATCATGTAGAGCTGAAGACTGGAAAACTGCTAATTCTATGCTGTGATCCTTACTTATGTTTATTTTCCAATTTAGATGATTAACAGATACAAATAGTTATTTCCTTCAAACATTGCTTGTTTCACTTCAAAACTTTGGGAATGCATGCTACGGAAAAATCTACTTCAGTAGCATGTGAAAAAATACATCTTATTTGCCTTACCATCAGTTTTCTAAGCATTTTTTTTCTCTTTTGAATACTCATAATATTTTATGTTTGTCTTATACCATTTATCTCATTCTATCTAATAAATACTAACTTGTTTATTTCTCTTATTGTCCTTATTGGGTTTTAAAGTTCTTCTGGGGAGATATTTAACAATCTCCGTATACCCCACATGAGCTATACAGAGCCAACACTATATAAAATAAAGTTATCAAATTTCATTTATTGTCATTAGTGCCTAAAACTTGGGGAAAAGTTGCTATTGAATAAAATAGCGTACACTTGGTTTCTTTCTTATCTGCCAGTCACAGAATCTACTCTTAGCAAATGTCATTCTGATTTAGAGTAATTTTCTAATATAGAAATCTCATTTACCCAAATACCATTAAAATTATCTAATAAGGTAACGATTTTTAAAAGGTCCCATTTCACTATTTCCAAATGGTATCCAAAAGTACTTGTAAATAAAAAATTTACCCTAAGTGAGCTGTAGGCATAGCTTCCCCATCCAAAACATAAAGTTATAGAGGCTAATCTCACGAACTTTTCTGTGGATTTTTAAGGTTAAACTACTGGTAAAGAAGCAATTGGTAATTTGTTCAGACTGGATGCCAGAATAGCTCCGTTGTCTGTTAGCTGATGTCTTTGAATCTTTGGGCTCACTTTTTATCAATGTGAGTTTATGAGAAGCCTTAAACTCTGGCATACTTCAAAGTCTGGTAACTTTTTTTAGGCCTCTCACCTCCTTTCTGCAACCTTTCTTAACTCTCACATTAGGGGGAAAAAACATATGGGATCTCAAAAAAACTAAGTAAGCATATTTTATTGTTTATCTTAAAAAATGCATTTTTTTAAATCAAGGAAAATCATTAACTACATCAGTATCGATGAATTACATGTTGTAGTCATCATATTTTAATGAGTCTTCTCTAATATTTTTAGTTCTGAGTTTGTAGAAAGTGGCAGATGCTGTTCTGGTTAAAAGGCTTTCCAACTGATTAACGTGTTCATCCCTAATTTAATTTTTTAAGAAAGACACTTATGACAGCGAGAAGAAAACGTTTCATCTTCATAGGAAATCTGGCAAAATATCTTGGCTTTTGCTCAAAATTTGAAAGCAAATGGGAATCAGTTTCAAATATTGGAAAAGTCAAGAAAACGATTCTAGCTCTGGCTCTGTCATTGGCTCTCTATTTCTTCATGTATAAAATGATGGAAATAGATTAATTTCTAATACCTCTTTCAACTCCACTAACATTCTTTTATTGATAGCATTTGTTAGGGAGAAATAACAAGATTTGTTTATGGATTGTGATAGGATATCAATAAGGGGGTATAACAAAGATACCTAAAATTTTCATCCTTGGACTAGTAAAGAATGGTCAGTCCACAAAAACAAAATAGGGGTTTTGTGTTAAGGGTAGCCAGGTCGAAGATAACTTCTGTTTTGAAATGTTAAAGGAATATCTTCTACAAGTTTATGAGACTCATGGGAGTGGCCATTGCATGGTAATATGGCATAGTATTATATTGTTTACATACAATTTAAAAAGTACAGGTAGTACTGAAAAACATCTGTTCCTGTCCTCATCCCTTTTGACTCCTAGATCAGTTTTTCCAGGGCAAAAGTTGCAAATAATTTTTGCTTTATCAACATTTTTTATTAACTTCATGCTATGATAGATGATGTACTCTTTGTGCTACTTCCCTTATCCCTCTTCCACCATCTCCTCCCAATGTGTTACTGTTTTTAATTAAATCAATAAGCAATGTTTACATTATTTTGAATATGTACATATTATAAATATGTTGCTTATTGTATTGTCAGGTAATACTCTATGGTTCTATTTCTTTTTATCTTTTCCCTATAGTTTCTAATTACATTTCTTTTATTCCTGTAATACATTTCTTATACTATTTGGGTTTTTCTTAATGCTCCATGATATCCACTTTCCTCACTTTTTCCCTGAGAGACTACACTGGGAACCAAATTGTCAGTGGTCTTTTTTTATTTTCTGATTTTGTTTATGGTACATAAAAATAGAATTCACTTTAACATATTGGTTTCATATCCAGCAACTTTGCTAAAATTCATTAATTCTAATTTCTTTGTAGATTCTTTTGAATTTTCTCTGTATGCAATCATATCACCTGTGAATAACATTTTTGTTTCTTTTTTTTAAACAAACTTTTTCTTTTCTTTCAATAATGGCTAGGCCCTAGGTTAAATCCAACTTTATCACATTTTATTTAATATTTTTGCATCTGTATTCATTGGTAAGATTGGCCTGTAATTTTTCTTTCAGACTCAGTTCTGTTTAGGTTTGATATAATGGTTATGCTAGGTTTATCTCTCCTCTTCTGTTTTCTGGAAGAGTTTGGTTAGGTTTAATGCTTTTTGTTCTAGCTTAATTACATTATGGTTAGAGATCATGTTCTGTACAAATTCCATCCTTCGAGATTTGTTTAGACAAGCCTTAAGGTCCAGTATATGGTTAGTTTTTATAAATATCCCGGATGTGCCTGATATAAATGTGTGTCTTTCATTTCATGAGGCATTGTATTATATATGTCCATTAGAACACGTTTCTTAGTCATGTTCAAATCTTTCTACATTTTTACAGTTTATTTTCTTTACATGTTCAATCAGCCATTAGAGGTCTGTTTAAAATCTCCGACTCTGATTGTGGATTTGTTTATTTCAATTTGTTTATTTCAATTTATTTTAATATCTTCCTTGGGAACCAAACCTTTTATCATTCTGAAGTGGCCTTGTTTCAGCTTTTGCAACACTTGTGCCTCAAAATCTACTTTGACTGAAATTAATACAGCTATACTAGCTTCTTTTGGTTATTATTTGTGTATGACTTTTAAAATTTTTAATTCCAACCTTTCTGTGTAACTGTATGTTTTTGATATCTCTGATGAATGGCTCAAATGTTGAAATTTGCCCCTGTTTTTGCAGTCTGAAGGTATTTGTCTCTAGAATGTTTCTCAATGTACTTACCTAACTTTTTAGTAACCAGATTTTCAAAAAATTTAAAGACGATATAATGAACACCATTGTATATTCATCTAGATTCAACACTTGTTAGTATTTTGCCATATTTGTTTGTCTCTTGCTTTCCAGGGTATCTATGTGTGTGCATGTGTTTAATGATTATGTAAGTATATGTGTGTTTATACACATTTTGCTAAGCCATTTAAAAGTAAGTTGCAGAAATCAGACACTTTATATGCATAAATACCTGAGCATGCATCATGCCTCACCTAAGGAAACATAAACATGACATAATTATCAAACATAAGAAAATCAACAGCAATCTTAAAGTGTTATTTAATATTCAAGTCATAAACAAATTTCCCTAATGGTCCTAAAAAGTCTTTCATAGCTGTTCATGTACTGCATTTATTTATTCTCTTACAAATTTGAATATCTAGAATGCGTTGGAGGAAAATTTTCCGTGGATCTTTCATGTCTCTGTACATCCTGAGAAGAGAGGCATTGTCATTGTTCTGAACTCTCTTTTCAAGGATCTGTTATAATGAATAACTCGGAAAATTGAGATAGTATCTCACTTTGGAGGAAAGGCCAGGTTTGTCTACCTTCTAGTACAATAAAGATATTAAAAATATCTCTGGGCAAAGATAAAGCAAGCTTACTGCCCACTATAAAATATATGGATTCCCTAAACACCCAGTTTTTCTTCTATAACCTATTGCACTGCATGTGAAGGCATCACCTTGTCTGCTTTACATCACCTTGTGGGAATTGGGGCTCGCGGAAACCCAGGGTATTACTGTAAATAATAAATTAGTTGTTGTCTCTGATTAAGAAGTCTTGTAGCGTTTGCTGGTGTCTATAAAACTATGGCAAGGCTAACTTGTTAACTTTCAAGCATAGAAAAGTCTTAGTCCCTTCACGGTTCTTGACAGAATGGTCTTCCCACTTTTTACTTCATTGCACTGATTTTTTTTAACAGCTTCATTGAGATATAATTTACATACCATACATTTTACCCATTTAAAGTTCTCAGTAATTTTAGAATATTTACAGTAGGGCAAGCATCACCAAAATCAATTTTAGATTTTTTATCAACCCAAAAAGAAACCTCATGTCTCTTAGCTGTCACGTTCCATGGCAGCCCAGCCCCCCAGCCCTAGGAAACCATCAATCTACTTGTCACTATAGGTTTGTCTATTCTGAACATTTCATAGAAGTAAAATCATGCAACGTGTGGTATTTTTTGTCTGGCTTCTTTCACTTAGCATAATGTTTTCAAGGTTCATCCATGCTGTAGCATAAATCGGTACTTCATTCCTCTTTATTGCCAAATAATATTATATTGTATGCATATACTACATTTTGTTTTTCAGTTCATTTTTTCATGGACATTTAGGTTGTTTTATACTTTTTTGACTCTTATAAATAATGATGCTATGAACATTCATGTACAGATTTTTGCATAGACATGTTTCTGTTTTATACCTAAGAGTGGAATTGCTGGATCACGTTTACTTTGTTTAGGAACTGCCCGACTTTTATAAAGTGGTTACTCCATTTTGCATTCCCACTAGCAATGTAGGAGAGTTTCAGTTTCTCCACATCCTCAATAATACCTGTTATTGTCTGTCTTGATTATAGCTATCTAGTGTGCGTGAAGTGGTATTTCATTGTGGTTTTGATTTTCTTTTCATTTCCCTGATTATTAACGATGTTGAGCATATATTTATGTACAATAAGCCCATAAAAAGATATATATATATTTTGAAAAATGTCTATTCAAATCTTTTGCCCATTATAAATTGTATTATTTGCTTTCTAGTACATTATAAGAATTCTTTATATATTCTTGATATGATTCTCCTGTAAGGTATATGATTGGCAAATACATTTTCCCATTCTGTAGGTTGTCTTTTCACTTTCTTGGTAGTGTCCTTTGAAGCTCAAACTTTTACAATTTTGATAAAATTGTTTTTAACTTTTTTTGTTACTTGTACTGTTGCTATAATATCTAAGAAGGCTTTGACTAAACAAAGGTAAAAAAAAAATTACTTTTTTTTTTTTTTTGAGACAGAGTCTTGCTCTGTCACCCATGCTGGAGTTCACTGGCTCAATCTTGGCTCACTGCAACCTCCGCCTCCCGGGTTCAAGTGATTCTCCTGCCTCAGCCTCCTGAGTAGCTGGAATTACAGGTGCGCGTGCCACCATGCCCTAATTTTTGTATTTTTAGTAGAGATGGGGTTTCACCATGTTGGCCAGGCTGGTCTTGAACTCCTGACCTCAGGTGACCTGCCTTCCTCAGCCTCCCAAAGTGCTGGGATTACAGGCATGAGCCACCCTCCCCGGCCCAAGAATATTTAGCTCTGTGTTTTCTTCTAAGAGTTTTATAGTTTTAGTTCTTGTGTTTAATCTTTGATCTGTTTTAAGTTAATTTCTATGTATAGTGTGTAGAAGAGGTCCAAGTTTATTCATTTGCATATAGGTATCCAGTTGTTCCAGCAGTGTTTGTTGTAATACTATTCCTTCCCTCAGTGAATGTCCTTGGCACCTTTGTCAAAAATCTATTCACCATAGATGTATGGGTTTATTTTTGTAATCTCAATTCTGTCCCATTGATCTACACGTCTGTCCTTTTGCCAGTACCACACTGGTTTGATTATTGTAGGTTTGTAGCAAATTTTGAAATTGGAAAGTGTAAATCCTTCAGCTTTGTTCTTTAAATATTATTTTGGCCTTTGGGGTTCCTTGCAATTCCCTATGAATTTCATGTCAGTTTTATGATCAGCTTTTCCATTTCTGCAAAGAGGGCGGTTGGAATTTTTATAAGGATTGCCTTGAAGGTGCAGAAAAATGTAGGGAGCATTATCATCTTAGCAATATTAAGTCTTCTGATCCATGAACATGGGATAATTTTTTATTTAGTTAGGTTTTCTCTAAATTCTGTCAACAATGATTTGTAGTTTTTCAGAGTAAAAATTTTTCATTTCTTAAGTTTATTCCTAAGAATTTTATCATTTTCATGCAGTTGTAAATGGATTTTTTCACTTAACTTTATGCTAGTCTATAGGAATACAATTGATTTTTATATAGTGATCTTGTACCATGTGACCTTGCTAAATTCATTTATTTGCTCTAATAGGATTTTCTGTTTACAAGACTGTGTCTTATGCAAAGAGATAGGGCTTTACTTCCTTCTTTTTGATATGGATGGTTTGTGATGTGATTATTTCACATTGCATGCCTGTATCAAAACATCTCATATACCCCATAAATACATAAACCTACTATGTACCCACAAAAAATTAAAAATGAAAAAATTTGCATAGGGATTGTTAATTTCCTTGTGTAATTGCCCTACATAGAACCTGTAGGATTATGTGGAAAAGAAATGACAGAGTGGACATTCTTGTCTTGTTCCTGGTCTTATAGGGAAATGATTTAGTCTTTTACCATTAAGTATAGCGTTAGCTGTGGGTTTTTTGTAGATGCCCTTATCAAGTTGAGGAATTTCCCTGTTATTCTGATCTTAATAGTAATGTCCTCTCTTTTATTTCTGATTTTAATTTGAGTCTTCTCTTTTCTTGGTGGTTTGACAATTTTTTTGAGCTTTTCTGAGAACCAGCTTTTGATCTTGTTGATTTTCCCTATTCATTTTTTATTGTTCATTTCATTAATTTCAGCTCAAATCTTTATTATTTCCTTCTTTCTACTTGTTTTGGGGTTACTTCGCTCTCTTTTTCTGATGTTTTACATTGAAATGTTAGTTTATGATTTGGCATCTTTTTTAATATAGGCAGTTACTGCTGCAAATTTATCTCTAATCACTGCTTTAAATGAGTCCCATATGTTTTGGTATTGTGTGGTTTTATTTTCACTCACCTCAAAATATTTCTAATAAACCTTGTCATTTGTTCTTTGACCTATAGGTTAATTAAAAGTGAAATATTTCTTTTCTTTATACTTGTTGATATCCTGTTTATTTCTGTTATTGATTTCTAATTTTATTCCATTGTGGTTGGAAAACATGCTTTGTGTAATTGCAATACTTTTAAGTTTATTGATGTTTGTTTTATGGCCTAGCATATGATCTATCCTGGAGAATGTTCTATGCATTCTTGAGAAAAAGGTATATTCTACTGTAATTGGGCAGAGTGTTGAATAGATGTGTCTTAAATGCAGTTGGTTTATAGTGTTGTTCAAGTCCTCTATTTCCTTGTTGATCTTCTGTCTCTCACTGTTCCACTGATTATTAAAAGTGGAGTATTGAAGTCCCCAACTATTTTTGAATTGTCTATTTCTTACTTTGATTCAGCCAGTTTTTGTTTCATGTATCTTGGTGTTCTGTTGTTAGATGTATCTGTGTTTATAATTGACATGGCATCCTGTAGAATTGACCCTTTTATCATTATAAAATTCCTCTCTCTATCTCTAGACTTTTTTTGTTTTAGAATATATTTTATCTGTTATTAGCACATCTACTCTAGCTTCCTTAAGGTTGCTGTTAGCATGACTGTATTTTTCAATCCTTGTAGTTTCAACCTTTTTGTATGTTTTAATCTAATGTGTTCTGTAGCTGCCATTGGATCTTGATTTTTTTATGAAGTCTGCCAATCTCTGATTTTTGTTTGGCTTGTTTAATCCATGCACATTCAATGTTATTATTGATATAGTTGGATTTTTGTCCGTAATTTCACTTTTTGTTTTCTATGTATCTCATGGTTTTTTGTTGTTGTTCTTATGTTCCTCCTTTACTGCCTTCTTTTTTTTTATTAAGTGAATATTTTCTAGTTTAATATTGCAGTTTCTTTAATGATTTTATTTAATGTATTTTTATTTGTTTTTCTTAATGGTTGCTTACCACGTAAATTATAACCTATTAGAGTTTACTTAAGATTTATAGAGTTCTCTATTCTTACTGTCTTCTCTTACTCTAGGCAAAATTGCTGATACTGTTCCAGAGCTGGGAGCGGGAACACTGTTCCCCTTCTTTTGGAGTAACACACCTGCTTTATTAGCAGGGCACTAAGCAGGAAGAATAGCCTTTGATCTTCCTGGCTTGCCTCTTTCAGCATCATCTTCTGTTCTATGAGCAAGTTAGAGTGAGGGCAACCAGATCAAATACTCCTGGGCTGCTGTGCCTGGCTGGAGTAGAGCTTTTGCCTTATGAGTTAGGGCTGTGTGGAGGACAAGAGTCTAAGAACTCTCAGCTACTCTCACTTGGAACAGAGCTTCTATAACAGGACACACACGGTAGGGGAAGATCAGAAATGCTGATGACTTGTTCCTTCCTGTGAGATACTGTAGTGCTTAACTGGGAGCTGGGAGGAGAAGGAGCCCTGGTTTATGGATGCACCTACCTTGGGTGAAGCCTTTGTGAAGCTGAGCAAGGGAGGTGGAGAAGGAAGGAGCAGGTCATAATGCCATAGATACCTGTTGTACATATCAAGATTTAACACATATTGTTGAACGTTTGTTCATTGGCTGTATGTTCGTAGGACAATATCCAGATACTTGAGTTTTTAAAACATAAATTTCCCCACTTATCATTGTTTTGCTAGGGAGATGGTCCACAGAGGTCCTCACACTGCCATTCACAAAGTCATCTCTCCCATGGCATGGCATTGACTTTTTCCCTTTCCTTTTCCTCTTTCTTTCTTCCTTTCTTTCTTTCTCTTTCTTTCTTCTTTCCTTCTTTCTTTCTTTCTCTCGCTCTCCCTTCCTTCCTTCCCTCCCTCCTTCCTTTCCTCCCTCCCTCCCTCCCTCCCTCCTTTCTTTCTTTCTTTCTTTCTTTCTTTCTTTCTTTCTTTCTTTCTTTCTTTCTTTCTTTCTTTCTTCTTTCTTTCTCTTTCTTTCTTTCTTTCTTTCTTTCTTTCTTTCTTTCTTTCTTTCTTTCTTTCTTCCTCCTCCTCCTCCTTCTTCTTCTTTTCTTTTCTTTTCCTTTCCTTTCTTCTTTTTTTTTGACAGGGTCTTGCTCTGTTGCACATACTGGAGTGCAGTGGAACAATCATGGCTCACTGCAGCCTTAATCTCATAGGCTCAAGTGATCCTCCCTCCTCAGTCTCCTGAGTAGCTAAGACTACAGGTGCATGTCACCATGGCTGGTTGATGTTTAATTTTTTTTGTAGAGATAGGGATCTCATCTTGTGTCCCAGGCTGGATGTGAACTCCCAGGCTCAAGTGGTCCTCCCACCTTGGCCTCCCAAAGTGCTGGGATTACAGGAATGAGTCACCACACCCAGCTGGCATTGACTTTTTGAAGAGTCCGTGCTAGTTGTTTTTTATAATGTACCTTATTCCAAATTTGTCCCATGTTGTGTCGATTTACACTTAATTACACTTAATGTAATTACTGATATATTTGTTTTATTTGTCTTGCATTTTAAGGTATCACTTTCTCTGTCTGCCTCTCTTTCGTCTTCTTTTGGATGTATTAAGTATTGTGCCCCTCAATTACTTTGGGATTAATACTCTATTTATCTTTTTTAAAGGTTTACCCTAGAAGTGACAATTTCTAGGTTGTATATGTATCAAAGTCCAAAGTAATCAATATCCTTACCAGTTTTCTATACAATTACAAAGACCTTAAGAATGCTTTAACTTCTTTCACCCTATCTCACTTACATCATATTACCAATGTGTATTTCTTTCAATTCTATATTTTAAATGCCACAGTATGAAAGAGATGCATGTTGCCTACCCACCAGCCCAAGCTGAGGCTACCAAGGCAGCCCCACTCTTTCCAGTGGCAGAGTCTCAGCATGGCTGCTACCACCCCTCACCTGAACACTCCACCTGGATACTGAATATTACCCTACCCCCACCTAACAGAGCTGGTGCTTGCACTCACCATTGGGGTCCTGAGCACAAGCCGCAGAGCCGAGCTTCTGCTCTGAGAGAGAACACATAGCCTGAGGTCCTGGGGATTATCTAACCCAATCCACCACCGTGGGCCCCAGTCCTCCTGGGGGCCTGAGGTTGGGCCTAAACTCCCAACCACTACCACTTCAGCTGGTACCTGCCTGCAAGCACCACATATGGGCCTGGACATGGGCCTACCCAGCCCATTGCAGCTACTATCAACGTCAGTGCACACTGCTCAAGACCCAGACAATTGTCCGTCCACTGCTACTGCCATCACCCACACCATGCCAGCTGCCCAGGGACTGAAGAACCTGCTCACCCACCTGGTCCACTGCTGGCATTATCAGCATCCAAGCAAGACACCTGGAGGCCTAAGAATAGGCCCACTGACAACAGCCAACACCAGTGCCAGTGTAAAATGCTCTAGGGCACAAAGATATGCATGCTCAGCCCACTGGTGCCACCACCGCAGCCTTAAGACTAGCACACCTGTTGTTCCAGTCCCCAGCACAACTTCACCACAGCCTTCACTAATAACCATACCCTAACACACCAAGGAAACCATAAACACCACTAATGCTGTTTACAGCCAAAGAAATCACACAGAGACTATAGCACTATGAACAGAATCAAAGTCAAAGTACCATACACAGCCAATATCTTAGATACATCTTCAGAAAAATATCCTTCCCTATGAAAGTAAATTCAAAAATAGGAAGAAATGATTGTTACACCAGATGCACAGTTACCAACACAAGGACACAAGAAATATGAAAAAGCAAGGAAATATGACACTTGCAAAGGAACACAATAATTCTACAACAATAGATCTTAATCAAAAAGACACTTTTGAAATTCCAGAGAAAGAATTCAAAATATTGATTTTAAAGAAGCTGGGTGAGATATAAGATAATTCCGAAAAACAATACAAAGAAATCAAAACACAGTTAAGGATAAGAATGAACAATATTACTAAAGAGATAAGTATTTTTAAAAAGAACCAAATAGATTAGGTGGAATAAAGAACCTCAAAACTTGAAGTCAGTTCTTTTTAAATAAACCAGTCAGGTAGGAATAAAGAAATAAGAATTTTAAAAAGAATGAGCGAAGCTTTGTGTCATTTGGGACAACATAAATTGATCAAATCTTAAAAATTATTGTTAGCCCCAAGGATGAAGAGACAAAGAAAGGATTAGAAAACCTATTTAAAGAATAGGTGAAAACTTCCCAAGTCTAGTGAGAGATTTACATAATCAGATACAGGAGGCTCAGTGATCCCTAGGTAGATATAATGCAAAGAAATCTTCTCCATGACACATTATAGTCAGAAAGTCTAAAGTCAAATATAAAGAGCAAATCCTGAAAACAGTAAGAGAAAAGTGTCTAGTCACTTCTAAATGAAACCCTATCAAATTAACAGTGGATTGCTCAGCAGAACCTTACAGGCCAGAAGAGAAAGGGAATAAATATATTCGAAGTGCTGAAAGAAAAAAATTGCCAGCCAAGAATACTACATCCCTCAAAATTATCCTTCATCAATGAAGAAGAAATAAAAAATCTTTCACAGATAAGCAAATGCTGAGGGAATTCTTTATGACTAGACTGACCCTACAAGAAATGCTCAAGTGAGTCCTAAACCTGGAAGCAAAAGGACAATATTTAAGATCATGAAAGAACATGAAAGTATAAAACTCACAGATAAACCAGTCAATCAAAGAAGGAAAAGAAAGGACTGAAGCGGTAACACTATAGCAATCTACCAAACCTCAAAAACAATTAAAAAGAGAAAAAGAAATAAACAAAGAATATATAAAACAACCAGAAAACCATTAACAAAATTACAGAAACAGAGCTTCACATATTAATAATAACCTTGAATGTAAATGGATTATATTTTCCACTTAAAATATATTAAATGGCTGAATGAATTTTTAAAAAAACATGATGCAACTATATGCCATGTATAAGAAACTCACCCTAACAGTAAAGACACATATAGACTGAAAGTAAAGGGATGGCAAAAGATATTCCATACAAATGGGAAATAGTAGTAAGCAGGAATAGCTATACCTATATCAGATAAAAGAGAGTTTAAGTCAAGAACAGTTAAAAAAAAAAGGCAGAGAAGGTCATTATGTAATGATAAATGGAACAATCCAGCAAGAAGATACGACAACTCCAAATATATATGCACCCCATACTGTAGCTTCCAGATTCATAAAGCAAATATTCCAAAGAGAGAAATAGATGACAATACAATCAAAGTGGGGGTTTCAACACTCCACTCTCAGCATTTAGACACATCATCTAGACAGAAAATCAACAAAGAAACATTGGGTATAAATAGGGCTTCAGACCCAATAAACCTAACAGACATTTACAAAACATCCTACCCAACAACTGCAGGTTATACATCCTGCAGTTATACATGGACCATTCTCCAGGATAGATCATGTGTTAGGTCACAATATAAGTCTCAACAAATTTTAAAAATTGAAATAATATCAGTTTTCTTTTCAGACCACTTTGGAATAAAACTAGAAATCAATACAAAGAGGAAGATTGGAAACTCTGAAAATACATGGAAATTAAATAACATGCTCCTGAGTGGCCACTGGGTCAATGAAGAAATTATGATGGAAATTTAAAAATTTATTTGACAAATGGGATCTAATTAAACTAAAGAGCTTCTGCACAGCAAAAGAAACTACCATCAGAGTGAACAGGCAACCTACAAAATGGGAGAAAATTTTCGCAACCTACTCATCTGACAAAGGGCTAATATACAGAATCTACAATGAACTCAAACAAATTTACAAGAAAAAAACAAACAACCCCATCAAAAAGTGGGCGAAGGACATGAACAGACACTTCTCAAAAGAAGACATTTATGCAGCCAAAAAACACATGAAAAAATGCTCACCATCACTGGCCATCAGAGAAATGCAAATCAAAACCACAATGAGATACCATCTCACACCAGTTAGAATGGCAATCATTAAAAAGTCAGGAAACAACAGGTGCTGGAGAGGATGTGGAGAAATAGGAACACTTTTACACTGTTGGTGGGACTGTAAACTAGTTCAACCATTGTGGAAGTCAGTGTGGCGATTCCTCAGGGATCTAGAACTAGAAATACCATTCGACCCAGCCATCATCCCATTACTAGGTATATACCCAAAGGACTATAAATCATGCTGCTATAAAGACACATGCACACGTATGTTTATTGTGGCACTATTCACAATAGCAAAGACTTGGAACCAACCCAAATGTCCAACAATGATAGACTGGATTAAGAAAATGTGGCACATATACACCATGGAATACTATGCAGCCATAAAAAATGATGAGCTCATGTCCTTTGTGGGGACATGGATGAAATTGGAAATCATCATTCTCAGTAAACTATCTCAAGGACAAAAAACCAAGCACCACATGTTCTCACTCATAGGTGGGAATTGAACAATGAGAACACATGGACACAGGAAGGGGAACATCACACTCTGGGGACTGTTGTGGGGTGGGGGGAGGGGGGAGGGATAGCATTAGGAGATATACCTAATGCTAAATGACGAGTTAATGGGTGCAGCACACCAGCATGGCACATGTACACATATGTAACTAACCTGCACATTGTGCACATGTACCCTAAAACTTAAAGTATAATAATAATGAAATAAATAAATAAAAAATAAAATAAATAAATAAATAAAAATTTATTGAAATGAAAATGTAAACACAACATACATATTCAGCAAAAATAGTGCTATGAGAGAAGTTTATAGCAATAAATGCCTACATTAAAAACGTAGAAAAATAAAAATTTAACAATCTAGCAATGCACCTCAAGGAACTAGAAAAGCAAGAACAAACCAAATCGAAAGTTAGCAGAAGAAAAAAAATAGCAAAGATCAGAGCAGAACTAAACAGAGACTACAAAAGCAAACATAAGGGCCCAACAAAATGTAAAACTGCTTCTTTGAAAAGATACACAAAATTTGTAAACTGCTAGCTAGTCTAACCAAGAAAAGACCCAAATAAAATCAGAAATGAAAAAAAGACACTACAATTGATATCACAAAAATACACAAGATCATCAGAGATTATTATGGACAACTATACACTGACACACTGGAAATCCTAGAAGAAATGGATAAATTCCTGGAAACATACTACTTACCAAGATTGAATCAGGAAGAAATAGAAAACCTGAACAGACCAATAATGAGTAGTGAGATTGAATCAGTAATAAAAATTCTCCCTACGAAGAAAAGCCCAGGACCAGATGGATACACAGCCAAATTCTAACAATCGTACAAGACAGAAATAATACCAATCCTCCTGAAACTATTCCAGAAAATCCAAGGGTAGGAAATTCTCCCTAATTCATTCCTCGAGGACAGCATCACCCTGATATGAAAATCAGACAAGGATTCAACCAAAAAAGAAAACTGCTGGCAAATATCCCTGGTGAAGATTGATTGAAAAACAATTTAAAAAATACTAGCAAATCCAATTCAACAGTACGTCAAAAATATAATACACATGGGTCCATTGGGATTGAAGGCAAGGAAGGCACAACCTTTGCAAATCAATAAATGTGATACATTACATCAACAGATTGAAGGACAAAACAATATGACCATCTCAATAGATGCAGAAAAGGCATTTGATAAAATTTAACATCCCTTCGTGATTGAAACTCTCAACAAACTAGGCATAGAAGGAATATACCGTAGCATAATAAAGGCCATATACTTCAAATCCACTGCAAACATCATATTAAATGAAGAAAAGCTGAAATCCTTTCCTCTAAAAACTGGAACAAGACAAGGATGTTGACTTTCACCACTCCTATTCAACATAGTACTGGAGGTCCTATTAAGAGCAATCAAGCAAGTGAAAAATAAAAAAGGCATCCAAATGGGAAAAGAAGCAGTCAAATTGCCCCTCTTTACCGATATATCTATCTAGAGAAGCTTAAAGAATGAATTCAGTGAAGTTGCAGGATACAAAATCAATGTACAAGAATCAGTAGCCTTTCTACACACCGATAATGATCTAACCAGGAAAGAAAGAAAGAAAGCAATTCCATTTACATTTGGTAAAATAAGTAAAATACATAGGAATAAATTTAACCAAGGAGGATTGATTCTACAAGGAAACCTACAAAACACTGTTGAAAGAAATGCAGGTGATAGAAACAAATGGAAAAATATTTTATACTCATGGATCAGAAGAATTAATATTGTTAAAGTCATCGTATTGCCCAAAGGAATCTATACATTCAACATAATCGCTATCAAAATGCCAATGCAATTTTTTCACAGAATTAGAAAACAAATCCTAAAATGTATATGAAACCAAAAAAGAGCCTGAATAGCCAATGCAACCCTGACCTAAAAACAAAGCTGGAGGCATCACATTACCTGACTTCAAAATATATTACAAGGCTGTAGTAACCCAAACTGCATTATATTGTTATGAAAATATAGACCAATGGAACAGAATAGAGAACCCAGAAATAAAGCCACATCTTCATAGCCAATTGATCTTCAACAAAGCTGACAAGAGCTTACACTGGGGAAAGGTAATCCTCTTCATTAAATGGTGCTGGAAAAATTGGATAGCCACATGTAGAAGAATGAAACTGGACCCGTATTTCTCACCATATACAAAAATTAACTCAGGATGGATTAAAGACTTAAATCTTCTTTTGCACAGGAAAAGAAACTATCAACAGAGTAAACAGACAACCTACAGAATGGGAGAAAATATTCGTGAACTGTGCATCCAACAAAGGTCTAATATCCAGAATCTACAAGGAACTTAAGCAATTCAACAAGCTAAAATTTTATGTAAATATAAGACCTGAAAATATAAAACTACTAGAAGAAATTCCAGGGGAAAACTCTCCTGGACATTGGTCTAGGCAAAGAATTTGACTAAGACCTCAAAAGCACAGGCAACAAAAACAAAAATAGCCAAATGGGGCTATATTAAATAAAAAGCTTCTGAACAGCAAACGAAGCAATCAACAGAGGGAATAAACAACTTGTTGAATGGGAGACAATTTTTGCAAAGTATTTATCTGACAGGGGACTAATATTGAGAATACAAAAGGAACTCAAACAACAGGAAAAAACAAACAAAACAAAATAAAACTCCAATTAATCCCGTTTAAAGTAAGCAAAAGACCTGAATAGACATTTCTCATAAAAAAGACATACAAATGGTATATGTAAAATGCTCAACATCGCTAATCATCAGAGAAATGCAGATGAAAACCACAATGAGATATCATCTTATCCCAGTCAAAATGGCTATTAATAAAAAGACAAAAAACAACAGATGTTGGCAAGGATAAAAAAAATAAGGGAACTCTTATATGCTGTTGTGAACATAATCTAGTACAGCCACCAGAAAACTGTATGGATATTTAAAAGAAAGAGAGAAAGAGAAAGAGAGAGAGAGAAAGAGAAAGAAAGAAAGAAAGAAACTAAACATAGCATCACCATACAACCCAGCAATTCCACTACTAGGTATCTATCCAAAGGTAAAGAAATCAATATATCAAAGAAATACCTACACTTGCCTGTTTATTGCAGCAGTATTCATAATCACAAAGATATGCAATTAACCTAAGTGTGTATCAACAGGTGAATGGATAAAGAAAATGTGGTACATATACAGAATGGAATACTACTTAGCCATAAAAACTAGTGAAATCATGTCATTTGCAGCAACATGGATGGAACTCGATGTCATTCTCTTAAGTGAAATAAGCCAGCCACAGATTGACAAATATTGCATGTTCTCACTTGTATGTGGGAGCTAAAAAATTGACCATATGGAGGTAGACAGTGGAAAGACAGAGAACAGAGACTGGGAAGGGTAAGTGTCAAGGAGGGGGAGGATGAAGAGAACTGGGTTCTTAGCATATTAAAGATGTCATTCCGTGGTCTTCTGGCTTTGATTATTGCTTCTGAGAACTAATCTGTAAATTAATTTTCACTCTCTTGAAGGCGGTCTGTCTTGTCTTTTTTGATGCTTTTAAGGCCTTTCCTTTACTTTTATGTTATGCAGTTATGTTCTGCTGCACCTAGTTTCAGGTTTTATTTTTATGCCATTGAATCTGTTTGGTTTCTTGAATCACAAATATCTGTAGATTTTTCTTGAGAAATCTTAGCCGTTGTCTCTTTAGTATTGTCTTTATTCCCTCTCTCACCTCTTCTAGAATCCCAATTTCCTTTATGTTATTCTTCCTCACTCTTTCTTCCATGTCTCTTAATGATTATTTCACAGTTTCCATGTTTTATCTCTATGCCACATTATATATAATTTCTTTTTAGCTTTACTAAGTCTTTTAACTTTATACTGTCTCTCTTCAGCTCTATCTAGTCTGTTGTGAAGCCCATCCATTGAGTTTTAAATTTCAATTACTATAGCTTTTACTTCTAGAATTTATATTTTATTTCGATTGAGCTATGTCATTTTCATACAATTGCTGGCTCCCTTTATTATTTTTAAGTTAGAAAAATTCTTCTATAATTGTAAAGATAGTTACTATATATTTTTTATCTGATAATTCCAATGTGTGAAATATTTAGTGAGTACTTTCTGTTGTCATATGTTTCTTTTGGCTTTTGCTTATGGTTTTTTTTCTTGTATGCTTAATGGTTTTTAATTAGGAAATCTCATCTTCCTTTAAAAAAATGATACATTAGAATTATTTGAAGTTTACTATGAAGGCATGTTTTTTCTACGTAGAGTCAGTATGTATTTTTGCCCAGCCTCTAGAAGGTCAATGCAGTCAGAGTCCACTCAGGTAATGCTAATTTGGATTGCAAATCTGGCCAGTTTGTGGTGAGTTTTTTAAGGGTTTTTTTTCCTGTACTTCTCTGCTAAGCACCAAGAGATCTTTTCTTCCACCTCCCTGGGTGTGGGATTGTGAGGTACATTTATGCGTGGTACACCCTTATAGTAAAAGAAATTATAAAACAAAACCCAAAAATTATCCAAGTTTGGCATATGTCCTCCGGGAAAAAGTAGTTTCATTGATCAGTTCATTTTTTGGTTTTCCCTAGATTTTGATTTGATAAATCCTACTGTGCTTCCCTTTGATGCTTTTAGGAAGAAGTTTTTACTTTTTTCCAAGCATTTTTTTTTTAAGTAAGCATTTCAGTCTGGATACCTAACTGGCCACATTATTGGAATATTTCTTATTTCTCTCTGCCATTATTTTGTAGTATGTGTCTCCTTGGAACACCTGAATCAAAATTACTTAGAGATGTTTATTAAAATTTCAGATTCTGCTATTCAACTTCAGCTTACTGGAAGAATCTTTACGATGGGTTGCTGGTATGTAAATTTTTGTGAGGTTCTTTAGGTGACCCTAATTCATACAGAATTTGTTTTTATTTGTACTTTTAAGTCTAATATCTGCTGTTTTAATTGTAGCAGCATGAGATCTAAATTTATTATTTTTTATATTTATTCTAGCACCATATGTTGAAAAATTCATTGTTTTCACATCTATTTGACGTCAACTTTTATCATATAGTAGTTGTGTGTGTGTGTGTGTGTGTGCACGTGCTTGCATGTGTAAATCTGTTTCTGGCCTTCCTATTTTTGTTAACTGAATACCATACTATTTTAATTATTGTAGTGTTGTGATGTGTTTTACTGTGTGATAATACAAAACTTTCCTTACTCATTTATTACTTTCTCCCACAATAAAAATTTAAAATATTACTGTAGTTTCATCATTTTCTTGCTTCTTTCATCTTCAGTGATTTCGAAAAATTAGTTTTTTTCATATGAACTTAGCCTTTTAGACTGAGGTACTTAATGTTCATTTTACTTCTTTGCCCCAATCAATTTTGTATTTTAATCATGCTTAGCATGGCAATTTTTCCTCTAGGTAGCTTTCTGTCTATCCTTCCAAGTTGAAGTCCAGGTATTCACTTTCTCCACAGAGCCTTTGTCAATACTTTCAGGCTCAAGGGAACTGTTTTTCTTAACTTTGATAGCAATTATTGACTATACCACTCATTTTTACCTGGCAAATCCTACAGAATCACAGAGAGTGAAATCTGGAAGCTACCTAAGGAGATCATATTGTCTATGTATGCCATTTTACAAATGAGAAAACAGCCAAAGAGTATGGAAATGATTTGTCCATGGTCAAATGTTTCAACTTCTGAAGTAAAATTATGATATACCGCTGTATCATTATTCCATTGTATTTTGATATTCTTTTCATATGTCCTGAAAATACCCAGTTACTTAAAAAATAAAATACCTAGTTACTTAAAAAAACAAAAAACCTAGACTGGAAGTTCCTTAAAGGTAGCACCTGCATGTACTTTTGTACAACTCATAGAACTATTATTGTGCTTGTGTTTATTAGACACCTAATCAATATTAATAGATGTTGGTAAAAAAACAAATTGTTCCATTAACCAGATGTCAAACTGGGGCTATCTCCTTGTGGGCGCCACTGTTATAACTGTATAGAAAGTGGCATCTAGTGGTTGGTGTGCGTATTACAATTGCCTGTTTTGTTTTAACCTATGAGTACCAGAGTCATTCTCATAACCTAGGTGGAATAAATAGACTATAAATTAAAATTTTAAATTGAATTTAAACACATTTATCTATAATTCACAACTGTTTTAATCTGTGCTCTCTCTAAAGTAAAGCTACATGTTAATAAAAAATTGCAAAAAATTATACAAAATTACTTGTAAAATGACATGCGAGAGTATTTAAGGTTTTGCTTGTTTATAAATTATATTAGGAGTTAGGGGCTATCGTTGGATACTGAGAAGTCAAAATGCAATTATAAAGAAAGGTCACATAGAAACTTGTTCATATCAATGAAATCCTGTCAGGTTATTGCTTTGCATTATTTTTAGGAGCTTAATTTGTATTTAAAAGAAGAAGATCTCTCAATAAAGGCTGAAGATGGAAAGCTACACTGTCTTCTACTCGCAACAACAAAAACCCATGCACATATATTCACATATAAAGTTCAGACATGCATTTCAGTGTCAAATGTTAATTATTCTTACATTAACAGCCATTTGGGGTTATCACTACTCTTTACCTCTCCATTAATGCATGAGTGTTGACAATATGCACAATTTAATTCAGGGACTACGACTGTTGACAGTTACTGTCTTGTGAACTTGTGAATCAGTATCTTCTTGTGAAACGGTATCTTCTAAATTTTATAAAATCCATAGTCTGGAACTTAAAATTTATGTTTGCAGAAAAATATTATATATTTTTAATTAACCTCTGTTTCCTGCACATTGTAATATAATTTTTTGTAGATGGGTTCATCCTTCCCATTAGAGAGCAATGATGTACTTTGTACTTCTACTTGCACCTAACATAACATAGTGGCTGTCACATAACAGGTGATCAATAAGTATTTCTTGAATTAGTTACACATGTTGGAGGGAGCTGTGTGTTACTCATCTTAGAAGTCTAGTGCCTAACAATTTTTCTGTCCTCTAGTAATATTCAATTCATATTTGATGAATGAGTAAGTCTGAATAAGCCTATTTAATCTGTAGTGTAGTTAGCGTAAAATACTAAAATCAGTATATAACCCCCAAACATCTATGAATAATAAATAATAGCGGCATAGCAGACTTTCTGTTTGACGTGTCAGGAGCACAGCTTTCACTGGAGCAGCCTCTTGTAGTGTGAGTGAGAGATTACTGCAACATCAAGCCATTGTAGTTTGCTCTTATAATCAGGAAAAGAGGTTTCAGTATGAAGGTGACTTTTAGTTGCAGCTGAGTGAGTTAGGAGTTCTGACCAGAAGGATAAGGTCAGTACTTTCAAAAGGGTTGAGGAGGGTACTTTGGTAGTGACTAGAGTAAAGGAAATCATGGAATGTTGAGCAGCAGGCTAAGGTATTTTATATCAAAGGCCCTCAAGATTGATGGGCATTATTTGGTATTTATGTCACATGAAGGTTTCAGTAACTCAGTCTGGTATCTATCTGATGAAAAGAATGCCACCTCCTTGTAAGTAAACACTGAGCTATCCATGTATATTAAACTAACTTGTTTTTCTAAGCAGTTCATTTTCTAAGAGTAAAGGATAGTACTGAATGGCAGAAGTCACATACTGTATTCTTTTCCTCTATAGGTTTTCTATTTTGGAGGAGGATATTTTTCTGGCTTGAGGACCTCAATTCCTAATATGATTGAATGCCTGTTTAGAACATCTAGACTGTGGGAGCAGCATTTATGGTAAAGCTGTTAGAGACTGAGCTATTATTAGTGATGAAGGAGTAGGAGCAAAGAAAAGAAAGAAAGGTGGTAAAAGATAGTGTTATATATTTTATGCTCCATGATTGCTCATGAATGGAGAGAAACAAGTGACTTGAAGTGGTAGGCATTGTTGTCTAGTTGCCAAGGTCATTGCTAATACAGAGTGAGAGGTAATTTTTTACAAGCAATGTTAGAAGAAAAAAAGGAGAGTTCCTGAGAGTTTGGACATGTGGCAAATCATATTACAGGGAAGTTGTATGAATTTCTTTTCCATTTTTAACATATTTTAGATTGTGCATACTGTCAACACTCATGCATTAATGAAGAGGTAAAGGGTAGTGATAACCCCAAATGGCTGTTAATGTAAGAATAATTAACTTTGAAATGTATGTCTGTACTTTATATGTGAATATATGTGCATGGGTTTTTGTTGTTGTAAGTAGAAGATGGTGTAGCTTTCCATCTTTAGCCTTTATTGAGAGATATCTCATTTTTAATGTCTTGTAAAATGATATTTTTCACTTTAAAATTATAAAAATTATGTTTGCTCATTTTGAAAAGTTAAGACAGAAGTGTATATAATAAAAGGTGCAAGCTTCCTGAGAGGTAACTGTTATTTGCAATTTCGTATATCTTTTCAGATATTTTTCTGGTATCTATCTTTCAAGTTTGGATTGTTGATTTCAGTTGAGCTGTAAGTCAGAGTCTGATTTTTGGGTTCATATTTAATGATTTTTTCCCTCTTTCTCTTCCTTATAGGCTTGCTATGGGTGTTCTCCAGGATCAAAGTGTGACTGCAGTGGCATAAAAGGGGAAAAGGTGAGGTCTTAGATTGGCATTTGAAAATTTAGTAAAGCCAGTAAACTAATGGTTTTAATAAATATTTTTTTAAAAACAGAGCTTCTATCTCAGTACTTAAGTAAGTGAAATGAATCCTATTGCATTGCTTATTTTAGAGAGCTTATAAGGATTAGATTATATCTTAAGGTCAGCAAAGATTTTCTGTAAAAGGCCATATAGCAAACATTTTAGGATTTATGGGACACATCAGTTTCTGTCACATATTCTTATTTATATAAATAGAACTTTAAAAGTGACTAAAAAATATTCTTAGCTCTTGGATCATAGAACATGAGCCTCTTGGGATCTGGATCAGGACCTCTTTCCCGTAACATATTTCTGGCGACCACAGAAGGGACTATAGTGCAGAAACCCTAGCTTAATGGCTACCTTTGGGTAAGTGTTGGGGTCCTTTAATATCTGCATTTGGCCTGAGAGCTATAATCTGCCAAACTCTGATTGGTCTTGTTGAAGGCACTGACTTACTTAATAGGCAAAGACAGGGGAAAAACACTTAAGAAGGAAACTAAACATTTATCAAGCTACTAATCTCTGCCAGATACCAGGCAATATCATGTATTTTTATCTAGTCTATGCAGTTTAATAATAGATGAAAGTCTTTTTTTTTGTTTTTTCGTTTTTGAGACACGGTCTTGCTCTGTCACCCAGGCTGGAGTGCAGTGTCACAATCAAGGCTCACTGCAACCTCCGCCTCCTGGGTTCAAGCAGTTCTCGTGCCTCAGCCTGCCAAGTAGCTGGGATTGTAGGCATGCACCACCATGCCTGGCTTATTTTTGTATTTTTAGTAGAGATGGGGTTTCGCCTTGTTGGCTAGGCTGGTCTCGAACTCCTGGCCTCAAGTGATCTGCCCACCTTGGCAGGGGATTCCAGGAGTGAGCCACCATGCCCAGCTGAATGTTTATTTCTATCTTACTTTTTCCACAGCAGCATCTCCTATTGTACAGATATTATGATTACAAAGTAAGTATTGGTGAAGATTATATAGCATAAGCCTAATCACTATCAGTGAATGACATTAATATTATCAAATATAAAAGGGATAGTAAATTATAGCCTAAAGAGAGTTATACTAGGAGATGGGATCATACTCTTGTCTCCACTCTTTGGGGCTCAGTATTTTTGAATGAATGAGTGAATGCTGCTAATTATATATGAAGCAGTTTAGGACAGTATGTCTAGGGCATAATCTACTTAGAGGTATAGAAGGTACGTTAGCATATTAGACATTCTTAAAAGTTCTGGAGCAAAGAAACCTATTTGTTTGTTTTGTAATGCTACATTTCCAAGCCCCATTTGACCATGTTATAGACTTTCCCCTTAACAGAGCAGCTATTAATATTAATTGGATAGTCTTCTGCAGAACACTTATTTGAGTAACATTAGTTTGATGGGAGTAGTTTCGCAGTAAGGGTGCTTTCTGTAGTGGAGAAAATACCAAGAGGGATTAACTTCATATAATAGTAGAGTGATGTTTATCAGATTAACTTTTGAGATAAGAATGGAATACTCTGGACAAAATATAACAGCTACTTGATAGTACAAGAGAATAACCAAAGGAAAAAGAGGAGAGGCATCTGCACTTGAAAGAAAGGAAATACACTGGGCATATTTGCATTTATATGGCTTTTCCCCTGAGTACAGCCCTTAGTCTGCATGGCAAAGGAAGGCTAAAACCCAGACAAAAACCCATGGTCTTACTGGCTTGAGTCAGCAGAGTTGAGGATGCCAGAATGGCTGAAAAGTGAAGAGGGATATACTGGAATGTAGGGAAACACATTGGAAAGAGCTCAAAAAATTGCTTATAGATTCCATCCAAATTCTTGCTTGAATCCTGAAGTTTATAACTATAGAGGAAGGTTCATACAACCCAGCAAAAAGGAACAGCTGGAAGTCTGCAATAACTGAGCATAGATTTAACCGTTGTCCGTTGAAAGGAGAATGGAGTTTTAAGTTCAAGTTCAGCTGAGTTAACTATACTATTTCTTAAAATAGAAGTTTAATCAATACTCTTCAGAGGAAGTTAAGAGAATCCAGAATCTCTCCATATTACCTACAATATCCAGTATGCAATTAAAAATTACCAAGTAAAAGTGATCTACAGTCAATAAAAAGACCAATCAATGAAAACCAACCCTGAACTAACACAGATGTTGGAATTTGTAGACTATGATTTAAAGCAGAAAATAGAAAAGGAAAATCTCCTCATGATGCGTGACCAAATAAGGAATCACAACAGAGTAATGGAAACTGTATTTTATTTAATTTTTTTTTATTGTTATACTTTAAGTTCTAGGGTACATGTGCACAACGTGCAGGTTTGTTACATATGTATACATGTGCCATGTTGGTGTGCTGCACCCATTAGCTCGTCATTTACATTAGGTATATCTCCTAATGCTATCCTTCCCCCCACCCCCACCCCACAACAGGCCCTGGTGTGTGATGTCCCCCTTCCTGTGTCCAAGTGTTCTCATTGTTCAATTCCCACCTATGAATGAGAACATGCAGTGTTTGGTTTCTTGTCCTTGTGATAGTTTGCTGAGAATGATGGTTTCCAGCTTCATCCATGTCCCTACAAAGGACATGAACTCATCCTTTTTTATGGCTGCATAGTATTCCATGGTGCGTATGTGCCACATTTTCTTAATCCAGCCTATCATTGTTGGACATTTGGGTTGGTTCCAAGTCTTTGCTATTGTGAATAGTGCCGCAATAAATATACATGTGCATGTGTCTTTATAGCAGCATGATTTATAATCCTTTGGGTATATACCCAGTAATGGGATGGCTGGGTCAAATGGTATTTCTAGTTCTATATCCTTGAGGAATCGCCACACAGTCTTCCGCAATGGTTGAACTAGTTTACAGTCCCAACAACAGTGTAAAAGTGTTCCTATTTCTCCACATCCTCTCCAGCACCTGTTGTTTCCTGACTTTTTAATGATCGCCATTCTAACTGGTGTGAGATGGTATCTCATTGTGGTTTTGATTTGCATTTCTCTGATGGCCAGTGATGATGAGCATTTTTTCATGTGTCTTTTGGCTGCATAAATGTCTTCTTTTGAGAAGTGTCTGTTCATATCCTTTGCCCACTTTTTGATGGGGTTGTTTGTTTTTTTCTTGTAAATATGTTTGAGTTCATTGTAGATTCTGGATATTAGCCCTTTGTCAGATAATAGGTTGCAAAAATTTTCTCCCATTTTGTAGGTTGCCTGTTCACTCTGATAGTAGTTTCTTTTGCTGTGCAGAAGCTCTTTAGTTTAATTAGATCCCATTTGTCAATTTTGGCTTTTGTTGCCATTGCTTTTGGTGTTTTAGACATGAAGTCCTTGCCCATGCCTATGTCCTGAATGGTATTGCCTAGGTTTTCTTCTAGGGTTTTTATGGTTTTAGATCTAGCATTTAAGTCTTTCATCTGCCTTGAATAAATTTTTGTATAAGGTGTAAGGAAGGGATCCAGTTTCAGCTTTCTACATATGGCTAGGCAGTTTTCCTAGCACCATTTATTAAATAGGGAATCCTTTCCCCATTGCTTGTTTTTCTCAGGTTTGTGAAAGATCAGAAAGTTGTAGATGTGTGGTATTATTTCTGAGGGCTCTGCTGTGTTCCATTTGTCTATATCTCTGTTTTGGTACCAGTACCATGCTGTTTTGGTGACTGTAGCCTTGTAGTATAGTTTGAAGTCAGGTAGTATGATGCCTCCAGCTTTGTTCTTTTGGCTTAGGACTGACTTGGCGATGCAGGCTCTTTTTTGGTTCCATATGAACTTTAAAGTAGTTTTTTCCAATTCTGTGAAGAAAGTCATTGGTAGCTTGATGGGGATGGCATTGAATCTATAAATTACCTTGGGCAGTATGGCCATTTTCACGATATTGATTCTTCCTATCCATGAGCATGGAATGTTCTTGCATTTGTTTGTATCCTCTTTTATTTCGTTGAGCAGTGGTTTGTAATTCTCCTCGAAGAGGTCCTTCACATCCCTTGTAAGTTGGATTCCTAGGTGTTTCATTCTCTTTGAAGCAATTGTGAATGGGAGTTCACTCATGATTTGGCTCTCTGTTTGTCTGTTACTGGTGTATAAGAAGGCTTGTGATTTTTGCACATTGATTTTGCATCCTGAGACTTTGCTGAAGTTGCTTATCAGCTTAAGGAGATTTTAGGCTGAGACGATGGGGTTTTCTAGATATACAATCATGTCATCTGCAAACAGGGACAATTTGACTTCCTTTTTTCCTAATTGAATACTCTTTATTTCTTTCTCCTGCCTGATTGCCCTGGCCAGAACTTCCAACACTATGTTGAATAGGAGTGGTGAGAGAGGGCATCTCTGTCTTGTGCCAGTTTTCAAAGGGAGTGCTTCCAGTTTTTGCCCATTCAGTATGATGTTGGCTGTGGGTTTGTCATAGATAGCTCTTATTATTTTGAGATATGTCCCATCAATACCTAATTTATTAAGAGCTTTTAGCCTGAAGGGCTGTTGAATTTTGTCAAAGGCCTTTTCTGCATCTATTGAGATAATCATGTGGTTTTTGTCTTTGGTTCTGTTTATATGCTGGATTACATTTATTGATTGGCGTATGTTGAACCAGCCTTGCATCCCAGGGATGAAGCCCACTTGATCGTGGTGGATAAGGTTTTTGATGTGCTCTTGGATTCAGTTTGCCAGTATTTTATTGAGAATTTTTGCATCGATGTTCATCAGGGATATTGGTCTAAAATTCTCTTTTTTGTTGTGTCTCTGCCAGGCTTTGGTATCAGGATGCTGCTGGCCTCATAAAATGAGTTAGGGAGGATTCCCTTTTTTTTTTATTGATTGGAATAGTTTCAGAAGGAATGGTAGCAGCTCCTCCTTGTACCTCTGGTAGAATTCGGCTGTGAATCCATCTGGTCCTGGACTTTTTTTGGTTTGTAAGCTATTAATTATTGCCTCAATTTCAGAGCCTGTTATTGGTCTATTCAGAGATTCAACTTCTTCCTGGTTTAGTCTTGGGAGAGTGTATGTGTTGAGGAGTTTATCCATTTCTTCTAGATTTTCTAGTTTATTTGCGTAGAGGTGTTTACAATATTTTCTGATGGTAGTTTGTATTTCTGTGGGATCGGTGGTGATATCTCCTTTATCATTTTTTATTGCATCTATTTGATTCTTCTCTCTTTTCTTCTTTATTAGTCTTGCTAGCAGTCTATCAGTTTTATTGATCTTTTCAAAAAACCAGCTCCTGGATTCATTGATTATTTGAAGGATTTTTGTGTCTCTATCTCTTTCAGTTCTGCCCTGATCTTAGTTATTTCTTGCCTTCTGCTAGCTTTTGAATGTGTTTGCTCTTGCTTCTCTAGTTCTTTTAATTGTGATGTTAGGGTGTCAATTTTAGATCTTTCCTGCTTTCTCTTGTGGGCATTTAGTGCTGTAAGTTTCCCTCTATACACTGCTTTAAATATGTCCCAGAGATTCTGGTATGTTGTGTCTTTGTTCTCGTTGGTTTCAAAGAACATCTTTATTTCTGCCTTCATTTCCTTATGTACCCAGTAGGCATTCAGGAGCCGGTCGTTCAGTTTCATGTAGTTGAGCAGTTTTCAGTGAGTTTCTTAATCCTGAGTTCTAGTTTGATTGCACTGTGGTCTGAGAGACAGTTTGTTATAATTTCTGTTCTTTTACATTTGCTGAGGAGTGCTTTACTTCCAATGATGTGGTCAATTTTGGAGTAAGTGCGGTGTGGTGCTGAGAAGAATGTATATTCTTTTGATTTGGGGTGGAGAGTTCTGTAGATGTCTATTAGGTCTGCTTGGTGCAGAGCTGAGTTCAATTCCTGGATATCCTTGTTAACTTTCTGTCTTGTTGATTTGTTTAATGTTGACAGTGGGGTGTTAAAGTCTCCCATTATTATTGTGTGGGAGTCTAAGTCTCTTTCTAGGTCTCTAAGGACTTGCTTTATGAATCTGGGTGCTCCTGTATTGGGTGCATATATATTTAGGATAGTTAGCTCTTCTTGTTGAATTGATCCCTTTACCATTATGTAATGGCCTTCTTTGTCTCTTTTGATCTTTGTTGGTTTAAAGTGTGTTTTATCAGAGACTAGGATTGCAACCCCTGCCTTTTTTTGTTTTCCATTTGCTTGGAAGATCTTCCTCCATCCCATTATTTTGAGCCTATGTGTGTCTCTGCACATGAGATGGGTCTCCTGAATACAGCACCCTGGTGGGTCTTCACTCTTTATCCAATTTGCCAGTCTGGGTCTTTTAATTGGAACATTCAGCCCATTTACATTCAATGTTAATATTGTTATGTGTGAATTTGATCCTGTCATTATGATGTTAGCTGGTTATTTTGCTCGTTAGTTGATGCAGTTTCTTCCTAGCATCAATGGTCTTTACAATTTGGCATGATTTTGCAGTGGCTGGTACTGGTTGTTCCTTTCCATGTTTAGTGCTTCCTTCAGGAGCTCTTGTAAGGCAGGCCTGGTGGTGACAAAATCTCTCAGCATTTGCTTGTCTGTAAAGGATTTTATTTCTTCTTCACTTATGAAGTTTAGTTTGGCTGGATATGAAATTCTGGGTTGAAAATTCTTTTCTTTAAGAATGTTGAATATTGGCCCCCACTCTCTTCTGGCTTGTAGAGTTTCTGCCAAGAGATCCACTGTTAGTCTGATGGGCTTCCCTTTGTGGGTAACCCGACCTTTCTCTCTGGCTGCCCTTAGCTTTTTTTCCTTCATTTCAACTTTGGTGAATCTGACAATTATGTGTCTTGGAGTTGCTCTTCTCGAGGAGTATCTTTGTGGCGTTCTCTGTATTTCCTGAATTTGAATGTTGGCCTGCCTTGCTAGGTTGGGGAAGTTCTCCTGGATAATATCCTGCAGAGTGTTTTCCAACTTGGTTCCATTCTCCCCATCACTTTCAGGTACACCAATCAGATGTAGATTTGGTCTTTTCACATAGTCCCATATTTCTTGGAGGCTTTGTTCGTTTCTTTTTATTCTTTTTTCTCTAAACTTCTCTTCTCACTTCATTTCATTCATTTGATCTTCAATCACTGATACCCTTTCTTCCAGTTGATCGAATTGGCTACTGAAACTTGTGCATTCATCACGTAGTTCTCGTGCCATGGTTTTCAGCCCCATCAGGTCCTTTAAGGACTTCTCTGCATTGGTTATTCTAGTTAGCCATTCGTCTAATCTTTTTTCAAGGTTTTTAACTTGTTTGCATTGGGTTCGAACTTCCTCCTTTAGCTCAAAGAAGTTTGATCATCTGTAGCCTTCTTCTCTCAACTCTTCAAAGTCATTCTCCTTCCAGCTTTGTTCTGTTGCTGGTGAGGAGCTGCGTTCCTTTGGAGGAGGAGAGGCACTCTGACTTTTAGAATTTTCAGTTTTTCTGCTCTGTTTTTTCCCCATCTTTGTGGTTTTATCTACCTTTGGTCTTTGATGATGGTGACATACAGATGGGGTTTCGGTGTGGATGTCCTTTCTGTTTGTTAGTTTTCCTTCTAACAGTCAGGACCCTCAGCTGCAGGTCTGTTGGAGTTTGCCGGAGGTCCACTCCAGACCCTGTTTGCATGGGTATCAGCAGCAGAGGCTGCACAAGAGTGAATATTGGTGAACAGCAAATGTTACTGCCTGATCGTTCCTCTGGAAGTTTCATCTCAGAGGGGTACCCGGCCGTGTGAGGTGTCAGTCTGCCCCTACTGGGGGTTGCGTCCCAGTTAGGCTACTCAGGGGTCAGGGACCCACTTGAGGAGGCAGTCTGTCCGTTCTCAGATCTCAAGCTCCATGCTGGGAGAACCGCTAATCTCTTCCAAGCTGTCAGATAGGGACATGTAAGTCTGCAGAGGTTTCTGCTGCCTTTTGTTCAGCTATGCCCTGCCCCCAGAGGTGGAGTCTACAGAGGCAGGCAGGCCTCTTTGAGGTGCGGTGGGCTCCACCCAGTTTGAGCTTCCAGGCTGCTTTGTTTACCTACTCAGGCCTCAGCAATGGCAGACGCCCCTCCCCCAGCCTTGCTGCCACCTTGCAGTTCGATCTCAGACTGCTGTGCTAGCAATGAGCGAGGCTCCGTGGGTTTAGGACCCTCCGAGCCAGGCACGGGATATAATCTCCTGGTGTACCATGTGCTAAGACCATCAGAAAAGTGCAGTATTAGGGTGGGAGTGACCCGATTTTCCAGGTGCCGTTTGTCCCCTCTTCCCTTGGCTAGGAAAGGGAATTCCCTGACCCCTTGCACTTCCCGGGTGAGGCGATGCCTCACCCTGCTTTGGCTCACGCTCGGTGCGCTGCACCCATTGTCCTGCACCCACTGTCTGACAATCCCCAGTGAGGTGAACCTGGCACCTCAGTTGGAAATGCAGAAATTACCTGTCTTCTGCATCGCTCACGCTGGGAGCTGTAGACTGGGGCTGTTCCTATTCAGCCATCTTGGAACCACCCATTTTGGAAACTGTATTTTAAAAAGGAAAATTTATATTTGAAAAGCAGAATATAAGAAAAAACAATTGACCTTATGGGCTTAACAATAGAATGGAGATGTCAGAAGAAATAGTCAGTAATCTTAAAGATAAATCAGAAGAAACAACTGAATCTGAAGAGCACTGAAGAGAAAATGAAAAAAAGAAAAAACAGAATAGGACCCCAGTGACCTCTGTGACAGTGTCAAATGGTCTAATACAAATATAAATGGAGTCCTCTAAGGACAGGAGAGAAAGAACAGGGAAGCAAAAAGAAGAATAAATTATGGGGCACTAAGAATGGCAAGAATTCTCCACACTTGGTGAAAAGTATAAATTTACAGATATAAGAAGTCCAGCAAACCTCAAGCAAAGTAAAAACGAAGAAAACTATACCTAGGCCCATCATAATGAAACTACTGAAAAAATAGAGATTGAAAGAAAATCTTGAAAAAAGCTAGAGAAAAATTTACACCGTGTATAGTGGAACAATTATACGAATGATGACAGACTTCTCATCAAAAAGATTGGATAATGTACAGCAATGTGAAAACATCGTTAGAGAGCTAAAAAAAAATTTGCAAGCACAATTATTATATACAGTTAAAATATACTTCAAAAATAAAGGCAGATTTAAGACATTTTCTCATAATAAAAATAGGGAATTATTCATGAAGAGGCTTGCATTAAAATAAATATAAAGAAATTTCTTCAGGCTAAGGGGAAATCTCACTAGATGGATGTGTGAATTTATAGGAAGGAATGGAAAGTAATAGAAATGGTGTAAATGCGGGTAAATATAAGAGGATTATATCTCTTTTCCTCTATTTATTTAACAGAAAGCACTGTTTCAAGTGTAACAACAGAGATTCAAAATACATGAAGCCAAAACTGAGAGAATTAAAGGGAGAAATAGACAAATCCACAATCATGGTTGTGATTCTAACACTCCTATTTCAGTTGTTCCACTCTTAACAACTTAGGCTTTATTGACATAAAAAGAGCCCAACATCAAACAACTACAGAATATAATTTTTTTCAAGAGCCAAGGAATTTTCACCAGTGTAGACTATGTGATAGGTCACAAAATGAGACCCTCTAAATACCAAAAGATTAAAAATATCAGTATATTCTCTTATTACAATGGAATGAGTAAGAAATAAATAATAATATTTGTAGAAAATTCCTACTATTTGGAATTTAGAAAGCACTGTTCTAAATAACTGCTGGACCAAGGAATAAATCAAGGAAAATTAGAAAATGATTTTAGTTACATATTGTTGAAAACTGAAAATTTTGGAATGGGGTTAAAGCAGGGCATAGGTGGGAAATAGATTTAAATGTCTATGTTAGAAAAGAAGAAAGATTTAACATTGGTGACCTATGTTTCTCACTTTAGAAGCTAGAAAAGGACAAGCAAATTAAATTTAAGAGAATGAAGGAAATAATAAAGACAAAAGTAACAATATATTAACTACAAAAAAAATAGAAAACACAGTCAAAATTTGGTAATTGATAGCACAAAAGATGATAAGAAAATAGAAAACACAAATTACCCATATCAGGAATGTTCCTACAGCCATTAAAAGATCAATAAGGGACTATCATAAATCACTTTGTAACAATAAATTTGACAGCTTAGGTGAAATGGACAAATTCCTTAAGAAACATACATTACCAAAAACAAAAACAAATAAATGCGTGAGTGAAAGAAAGAAGCAAAATATAAATTAGCCCTATATATACTAAGGAAGTTGAATTATCAACCCTTCCAACTTAGAATTCCTGTTCCAGAAGAGTTTACTGATGAATTCTATGAAACATTTTTGCAAGTGACAGTGTCAATCTTGCATAAATTTATTCAGAAAATAGAGGGATATTGAATGCCCTCCAATTAATTTTGTGAAGCAAGCAAAGCCCTGATACCAAAACCAAGCAACGACAAAATTACAGAAACAGAAAACGACAGACTAGTATCCCTCATGAGCATAGATACAGAAATTATTAAAATTTTAGCAAATCAAATCCAACAACATATAAAGTGGATGATTGGTTGTGACCAAGTGGGATCTATGCCAGGAATCCATGTTTGGTTTAACATTTGAAAATCAAAAATTGTGACTCACTATATTAAAGACCAAAACAAAATTTAGAGCATAAATATATAAACCCCCAATAATTATCTTAATCGATAACAAAGAATGCATTTAATGACATTCAATATCCATTTCTAATAAAAATTACTCTTAGTAAACTAGGAGTAGAAGAGATTTCCTCAACCTTAAAGGGCATATGCCAAATCCCTAAAGCTAAAATTGTACTCAATGGAGAAAGACTGAGTTCCTTTCTCCTAACTTCAGGAACATCTGCTCTCACCATTTCTATTCAACATTGCCAGTACAGTAAGACAAGAAAAAGAAAAGAAAAAGTATCCGTATTGAAAAGGAAGAAATAATTTTTTTTGTTTTTTTGATGATGACATGATTTTTCAATGTAGAAAATGTTATGACATATGCTAAAATACTCTTAAAACTTATAAGTGAGTTTAGAAAGATCACAGAATAAACAAAACCAACAAACTAAGATCAGTAAATAAAAATCGGTTGTATGAGCAATGGGGAAATAATTCCCTGTTCAATAAATGGTGCTGTGATAACTGACTAGCCATATGTAGAAGAATGAAATCAGACCCCTGCCTTTCACCATATACAAAAATTAACTCAAGATGGATTAAAGACTTACGTGTAAGACCTCAAACTATAAAAATCCTAGAAGAAAACATAGGAAATACCATTCTAGACATTGGCCTTGGGAAATAATTTATGACTAAGTTCCCAAAAGCAATTTCAACAAAAACAAAAATTGACAAGTGTGACCTAATTAAACTAAAGAGCTTCTGTATAGCAAAAGAAACTATCAACAGAGTAAACCAGCAGCCTACAGAATGTGCAAAAATATTTGCAAACTATGCATCCAACAAAGATCTAATATCCAGAATCTATAAGGAACTTAAACAATTCAGCAAGAAAATAAATAAATAAATAAATAACCCCATTCAAAAATGGGCAAAGGACATGAACACATACGCCTCAAAAGAAGACATACATATGGGCAACAAATATGTGAAAAAATTCTCAATGTCACTAATCATCAGAGAAATGCAAATTAAAGTCATAATGAGATACCATTGTCTCCGTTAAAATGGCTATTATTAAAAAGTTAGAATGGCTATTATTAAAAAGTTAAAAACAGATGTTGGTGAGGTTGCAGAGAAAAGAGAATTCTTACACATTGTTGGTGTAAATTTAAATTAGTTCACCCACTGTAGAAATCAGTTTGGAGATTCTTTAATCAGTTCAGCCACTGTAGAAAGCAGTTTGGAGATTTTTTAAAGAACTTAAAACAGAATTCCCATTCAACCCAGCAATCTCAGTACTAGGTGTATACGCAAAGTAAAAGCAATCATTCTACTGAAGAGACACGTGCACTCATATGTTCATCACAGCACTATTCACAATAGCAAAGATGGAATCAACCTAGATGCCCATCAGTGGTGGACTAAAGAAAATGTGCTACATATACACCATGAAATACTATGCAGCCATAAAAAAGAATGAAATCATGTCCTTTGCAGCAGCATGGATGCAACTGGAAGCCATTATCCTTAGCTAATTAACACAGGAACAGAAAACCAAATACCACATGTTCTCACTAATAAGTGGGAGCTAAATATTGAGTACACATGGAAATAAATATGGCAGCAATAGACACTGGGGACTACTAGTGGGGGAAGATGTTGGGGAGACTGTTGAAAAACTGCCTATCAGTACGACACTCACTACCTGGGTGATGGGATCCTTTGTACTCCAAACCTCAGTGACATGCAATTTACCCATGTAACAAACCTGCACCTGTACCCCCGAACCTAAAAGTAGGTAAAAAAAAAATGTTATACAAATGGAATCATAAAGTATGTAACTTTTTAAGACTGACTTTTGTCACTCTGCATAATTCCTTTGAGAAGCATCCAAGTTGCTGCATGTATCAATAGTTATTTCCTTTTTATTGCTTAGTATTCCATGGTATGGATCCACCAAAGTTTGTTTAACCATTCACCCATTAAAAGACATCTGCTTTTGTTTTTCTTTTCCAATTTGGGAATATTATGAATAAAGTTGTTATGAACATTTGAAAAAAAATCAGTCATATGTCCATAATCTAACAATGAAAAGTAGTAAATTGGAATTATAATAGTGCCATTTAAAATAACAACAAAAATTTGAGATACTTAGGAATAAATCAGACAAAAATGTGCAAGTCTCATACCCTGAAAACTACAAAAAATATTGCGGTGAGAAATAAAAGAAGACCTGAATAAATGGAGATATATATCATATTCATGAATTGGAAGACTCAATATTGTTAAGTTGACAATTGGCCCCAATTTATCTATAGATTCAGTGCAACTCCAATCAAAATTCTTGTGGTTTTCTGGGGCTACAAATTTAACAAGCTGATCCTAAGAGTTAGATGGAAATACAAATACAGCTTTTATAAAAAACAATGTTGGAGGATTTACAGTACACAATTCCAAGACTTAGTATAAAACCACAGTAAACAAGATAGTGTGCTATTAGCCAAATGATAGACATATAGATGAATGGGACATAATAGAGACTCACAGGTAAATAGTGAATCTGTTTTTTGACAAAAATGCAAAGGTAGTGGAGAAAGTCTTTTCAATAAATAGTCCTGGAAGGGTTGCATATGCGTATGCACAAAAATGGCTCACACTTTATATAAAAGTTAACTCAAAATGCATCATAGACCTAGATGTAAAATCTAAACCTTAAAGTCTTTAAGGAGGAAACAAAGGGGAAAATCCTTGTGACTTTGGGTTAGGCAGATATTTCCTAGATCTGATATCAAAAACACGATCCACCAAAGAAAATACTGTTAAGTTGTATTTCCTCAAAAGTAATAACTTGTTCTCCTCTAAAAGTATTGTTAAAAGAATAAAAAGATAATCCACAGTGCAGGAAAAATAATATTTGCAAATTACATATCTGATAGAAGACTTGTATCCAGAATATATAAAGAACTCTAAAAATTTAATAATAAAACATACAGCTCCACATAAAATTTAATTATAAACAAATTGGAAGAATATTTTGACACTTAAATAAAAGCAGATATATAGATGGCAAATAGATACACGAAAAGATCCTCAACATTATTAATTAGGGAAATGCAAGAGAAAACCACAATGAGATGCCACCATAAACCTGTTAGAATATCTAATAAAAACTTTTAGCCAAAGCAAGTATAGATGAGAATGTGGAAGCAACTGGAACAATTATAGATTATTGGTATAAGTGGAAAATGATCTACACAGTTTGGCAATTTCATAAAATGTTAAACACCTATTAAATGACCCTGTTGATTCCTAGGCATTTACCCATGAGACATCAAAGCGTATGCCTATAAAAACTTGTACTTGAAAATTCATAGTAGCTTTATTTGTAATAGCCAGAAACTGGAAACAACTCAACTTCCCATCAACAGGTAAATGAATCAACACATTGCAGTATACCTCTACAATGGAATACTACTCAACAATAAAAAGTAATGAACTATTGATATTCACCATAACAAGTTTGAATCTCTAAGTAATTATGCTGACTGAAAAGTTAGACAAAAAGAGTACATTCTTTATAATTCCATTTATATAAAATTCTAGAAAATGCAAATTAATCTACAGTGACAGAAAGCAGATCTCTAATAGCCTGGGGTGGGTAGGAGTAGGGAGATGGATATAGGCATAAGGAAGATATGGGCACAAAGAAGCTTTTGTAATGGATTGGCTATGCTCATTATTTTGATTGTGGTGATGATTTCTGTATTAGTCCATCTTTGCACTGCTATAAAGAAATACTCAAGACTGGGTAATTTATAAACAATGGAAGTTTAATTGACTCACAGCTCCGCATGGCTGTGCGACCTCAGGAAACTTACAGTCATGGCAGAAGGCTTAGGGGAAGCGGGCACCTTCTTCACAAGGCAGCGGGAAAGAGAAGAGTGAGGAGCAAAGAGGGAAGAGCCCCTTATAAAACCATCAGATCTTGTGAGAACCCACTCACTATCAGGAGAACAGTGTGGGGGAAACTGGCCCCATGATCCAGTCATCTCACACCAGGTTCCTCCCTCAACACTTGGGGATTATGTGGTATACAACTCGAGATGAGATTTGGGTGAGGACCCAGAGCCAAATCCGTTTCACTGGTGTATATATGTGTCAAAACTTTTGGCCAGGCATGGTGGCTCACAACTGTAATCCCAGCACTTTGAGAGGCTGAGGCAGGTGGATCGCTTGAGCCCAGGAGTTTGATATCAACCTGGGCAACATGGTGAAACCCTGTCTCTACAAAAAATATAAAAATTGGCTGGGCATGGTGGCACACACTTGTAGTTCCAGCTACTCAGGGAGGCTGAGCTGGCAGGATCACCTGAGCCCAGGAGGTATAGGCTGCAGTGAGCTGTGTTTGTGCCACAGCACTCCAGCCTGTGCAACAAGGTGAGATCCTGTCTCAAATAACCACCCCCCAAAACAAACAAAAAACCCCAAACTTTTAAAATAGTATACTCTACGCATGTATGATTTATTCTATGTTAATTATACTTCAGTAAAACTGCTTTTAAAACATATGTTTTTAACATAGAAATAAAACATCTAGATTTCCCTAAAAGAAATGTGTCCAAGTGCATATTAATAAACAAAGAAAACTTGCTAGACCCCTGATGAGATCAAGTTAACCAGTTGACAATGTAAAATCTGTGACACAATCAAACATTAACTAAACAAAGTGTGCCTCTGTCAGTGGCATCAGCATTTACTGGGCGCTGGTTAGAAATGCTAAATCTCAAGCTTTGCAGCTGACCTACTCAATCTAACTCTGGTGTCAGGGCCAGGTAATGTGTGTTTTAATAAGGTCTCCAAGTGGTTCTAATGCAAGCTAAAGTTTTATATCTGACTTAGAGTATCTCCATTTTGACAGTCGCCAAAGGTCTATTTTCTTGTTCTACCAATTGTAATACATCAAATATTTCTAGTTCTACATAACTACAAAAACAAAATAGGTATTATGCAAAAAAGAGAACCGAATTGCCTATAATTGCATTACCTAATTAAATTATCATTTTCATTTATTCATTAAGGGTCTTGCCTTCTCCACATGTTTATATAAATATGTTCATATAATGTCTGCATTTTTACAATATTATAATCTGAAGTAATTTTAATCTCAATTATTATTACAGCAGTTTGTCCTATTTTGTATTTTTCCTATCCTCAGAATTCTAATATTTTCCTGTTTAATTTTTCTTCCTTGAGAAACTATTCTTAAAATGCTTTTTTATTTTAAAGTGGCATGATTATACAACTGTCTTATTGTCATTATAAAGTGCGCTTCCTGAAGATGGTAACACTTTTATGGATGCCTTTAACTCACAAACTAGTCTACTTCTCAGTACATTAGATTTTTATTCTTCTTAATAAATGATATATAAACCACTAAAAGTTATCCTTTGTATAATTTCCCCTAGCCCTAAATCTTACATGTTTTTAACTTTTGACAAAAGTGTATGCCATATATTTTATTTAATCCATTAAGGAAGTTTATTCATTGAATGAGAATTTACTGAGTATTTGTTCTGTTGGGCACTAAGAATACAAAGTTGAAGAAGATATAATTGATTAATGAAGTAGTAATTCGAGGGGAGTTAAAGTTATTACAAATTTCTGGCTGGGGTAGTTGGGTTGTGCTATTTCCTGGAATGGAGAAGACAGTAGAACATGAATTCAGTGTTGTTTATATCAAGTTTGTTCTTAGGAAAATTACAAAATTTTTCCTTGTCCTGATTCTTCATATATAAAATGGAAATAATAATGTCTACCTCATATTATCATTGAGAGTATTAAATAAGATAAAACATGGAAAGAGTTTAGAGTAATTATTTGGTATATAGAAAACACTAAATACATGTTAGCTATTATTATTGTCATTGAGTTTTAGGTGCCTGTATGCATTCAAGTGAAGATGTTTCAGACAGTTGCCTATGAGAGCCTAGTTTTTTAGTAAAAAGAGTTGATATTTTAGATTCCCGGGTAAAGAGAGAGAAGATCAAAAAAGGAATCCAGTGTAATACCAGTATTTAAAGGATAGGCAGAGAGAGAGAAATATTATTGCACAAAGGAAAATACGAATGATATTTTTATGCAAATATGGGCAGGCAGCATAAACCGGTTTTTTTTAAGTTTGACCTTTAGAAATAGCCATTTTCTGTTTGTGAGTGTTAGCAAATTACAGGAAAATCTACAGTAGTTGTAAGGATTAAACGAGTGCCTAACAACAGGCAGCAAAGAGTAGGCAACAACAAACGTCAACCTTCCCTACCATATGTATTAGGAATTAGGTGGAGGATCCCATCCCCACCACATCCTCGCTCAAGGCTTCTATAATTTCTACTTAGTAACCTTAGTACCTTTCAAAGGCTGTGGTATTGATCTTTGAATTCCTTTTGCTACTGTCTGGTAGTTGCCCTTCTCTCTTCTTTACTATAATATTGCTCACTCTGCTAGATAGGACCATGATATTATTTGACTGTAGTGCAAGGAGATTTCAGGATATATCATTTATAGGTATATGGTTTTATTAATATCAACAAAATTAAGCTTTTTAGCACCTCCACTTAAAATTTTTAGCTTATTCCTCTCTTATCTGTAGGCGAGATAGCAGTTTTGCTTCTGAGAAAATATGGCTTTCTTCAAGTATTATCCTCCAGTTTTGGCAGAGATATGCTGTAAATACCAGCTGAGATCCCAAAATGTACCTGTTTTCCCCTCATGAAAATCTACTGTAACTAGATTTTTTTTCCTTTGTGCTTTCTTTCTGACTGAAACTTGTGATCAGATTTCTACTACTAGCTCTGCCAGTAATAATTTGAGGGAATCTAGCTCTAAAAATTTTAAAACTTTTAATTTCTTCCTCTTGTTTTATTTCCTCAAAAACAATTGTGTTGAGGTTGATGAATACTAAATTATCATAATTTAAACACTAATTAAAACAACAAGGGGATATATGTCTAGAAAATAAGAAGTGTAGTAATATGTCAGTAATAATTATTGTCAAAACTACAGGAATGTTGCCATCTATCATTAATTGACTAAAATTAGCTTCATTAACTTTGAAATGAAAAGTGGAAACTGACCAGTAGTCTTTTCAAAGTACTTATATTTATTATAGGATGTTTGTTGAATTATTCAGCATAAAATCATCTAAGCTTTTTAGACTAAACTTAGTACTTACAAAACACACACACACACACACTTTCAGAGTAGAAATAAAAGTGTGCTGTACCTTAACCTCTAGAGATATGTGTCTTCAATGGCCCCTTAGTCAGCCACCTAGTAGATATGGATGCTTTCTCTTTCTCACGTGCTGTCCAGGCTGTCACTGTGGGTAGGATCTGTTAAGAGGGTTCCCAGAATGAGGTCTGACCAGAGGCAGCCTTCGAGCCTTAGAAAAGTGGAGGAACTACTTGTAACCCTGTAGTTGGGAGCACGTGCCATGAAGCTGTCCTTCGGGGTTCTTTTATATATATATATATTTTGTACTTTAAGTTCTAGGGTACATGTGCACAACTGCAGGTTTGTTACATATGTATACATGTGCCATGTTGGTGTGCTGCACCCATTAACTCATCATTTACATTAGGTATATCTCCTAATGCTATCCCTCCCCCCTCCCCCCACCCCACAACAGGCCCCGGTGTGTGATGTTCCCCTTCCTGTGTCCAAGTGTTCTCATTGTTCAATTCCCACCTATGAGTGAGAACATGCGGTGTTTGGTTTTTTAAAGTTGGAAACCATCATTCTGAGCCTTCGGGGTTCTTAAACTTCATAGTGATGAATTATCTTTGTGTAACTGGATCCCCTAGTTTTGGAGTTTACACCCTTACTAGGATTGGCTATATGCAGATTAACTAACCCTAATATGTTAATCCAAATAGCATTAGTACACATGCTGGCTCTGCTTCCCCACCTTTCTGACTGTACAGATATTCACATCAGGCAACCCTACTGTAAAGGTGCTGATAAGATATGATGGGTCCTCACTGGTAGATAGGCAGTCTTCCTGTCCTGGTGATGATAAAGGCTGCGGTTAGAACTGAGACCTGAGTCACAATTCAAGTAATTATTCTGAGTAAAGGAATTAATGGTGGTATTTTCTTTATACTTTTGTTTTCTACATTGAATATGTATTCATTTTTAGTATTAATTTTACAATTAGAAAAAGTAATAAAAGTTTTGATGTTTTGAAGGTTTTTTTCTGGTTAATTTCAAGTCTGGGAGCTTCTCTGATGGTTTCCTTTTACCCTTCCCTGCTCCATACTTATTTAATGTAACCCTTACAGATCTGGTTTCCTGGATTTATTGCTATCTTCCCTATTAAACTCTTGATGTCAGTATGTTTAAATCTCATTTCATCTCTGATATGCTTTTTACTTTTACAAGAAAGAAAGAGATTACCACATATGATATAACTTCCAGACGGTTTGTGTTTTCTCCCCCCACATCTTAACAGGTTTTCCCATGTTAGTAGATACTGTGAATTTACATAATTAAATTAAGTTAGTTTTGTCTAGATAGTCATGTGATCTTTTTGAATCTCAACCATGCCTGTGCTTGAAAATTCACAAATGACCTTACCTTTCATTCTCATTTAATTGCAGGGAGAGAGAGGGTTTCCAGGTTTGGAAGGACACCCAGGATTGCCTGGATTTCCAGGTCCAGAAGGGCCTCCGGGGCCTCGGGGACAAAAGGTATGTATCATGTTGCCAACCAGTAATGCCAGATGAATTAAGTCATCTTAAATGTGGGACTAGGTGTCACATCAACTAAAAAGTTACTGAATTATAGCAAGAAACTAATATGTAAATGAAACAATGGAATGACGGGGAGTCTGTACTTTATTGTATTTTGTTAAAAAACTAAATATTACTGCCATATTCAGATGCTTTTGGAAGATGCTGTTGATTGTTTGTAGTTATTGGCTGCCTTCACAAAAATTAAGTTCTGTCAAGAGCTTAGCTGAGCTGGAGAGAGCTGAATTACCAGTTGTTAGAGTAGCTGATTAAGAGAAGAAGCCAAAATGAAAGTAACAGTCAAACCTTTACTCACTTACTGCAATATTATAAGCAGAAAGTTAAACTGGAGAAAGTGCTGACTCCCCCACTGTTCTATTTGTCCCCATGGTGCAGCATCAGCAAAGGTCAGATGGATCAGCACAGATGTTGGAAATCATTTGACTGCTGAGGGAGCTCAGAACGAAAAGCTCCTGCAGTTGTATGGACCCAGGGGCAGGGTGGGAGAAGGAGAAGAGCTAGGATGGAAACGTACTGAATCAGAGTGCAGAAAAAGTATTTTTATGGTTTCTTTCTCCTCTCATAAGAAGGTCTCCACCAAAAGAGGCCTTTAAATGCAGAAATGCAGTTGAGCACAGCCAGCCATGGTAGCCTGAATCTTTGACTGATACTTCAGAGATTGCAGTGCATTAGCTGTGCACCAAGTTTGCTGTGTGGAGGGTAGCTGTCCCTTATGAGGCCTACCAAGAGGACTTTGGTTGGACCCGAACAGTCATAGGTGTTTAGACAAGAGCCATATTCTCAATTCCATACCTTGATTTTTCAGGACCTGAGTGAGAAACATAAGCTGCCCCATCATGGACCTGAATGGGTTGGACTTTAAAGGGCTCTGTCAAAAAACAGGATAATATCTGAGGCCACAGTAGATTATGGTCATGATCAATCATGTTCTAAGCAGGATGAACAGGCCTGCTTGGAGAACTGAATGTAAGCATGAGCCCCAGCTATTGCCAAGCCAGTAATAGATGTCCCATAGCCCACTTGATCTACGTTAGAGAGCCAGGAGGCTTTTTTCTTAAGTCTTATGATGGATTGTTCTACTTTGCCAGTTTTCATTGATCTAGGTGCAATATGAGGTGCTGGCAATTCCAGAGACCCCTCACAGTTGGCCAGCAGGCAGCTAAGGGCTATATGGTTAGCTAACACTATGTGGGCCAAGGAGTTGAGGCTAGTCTGTTTTGTTTCCAAAGCTGAAGTAATGTCATTAATGACCTCAGCAAGGGTCAAAGACAGGTTGCGGACAACCTTTTCTAATTGAGCGATGCTCACAGTGAGAAAAGTTGTCTGGAGTATTCCCATGAGTAGACAGTAGGTAATGCCAGCTGGCAATTCTCCTGAATAACCGGAGTCTATCTAGTTTTGGAGTTCTCATTTTGTTTTATGTAATGTTATATGCTTAATGGGAGGGACTGTTTTGAATATTTGAGTATCTCTTATCAATGTCCTATTATGTATGTTACATTGGTAGGAATGTTGAAAGCCTGATTTTTATAAAAGAAATAATACCCCAAGAAGAGTGCACACAGTTCTGGGAATGTAAGAGTCATTGGTTACCATGGAGATCAACCAGCCAGAAGTCCCTCCTGGTGAGCAGAGTACTTGAGTGGAATTGAAAAATTTGTGTAAGGTGGAGGCAGAAATAGAGAAATAAATTGCCACCACCATCGAGGCCAAAATGGCTCCAATGGCAGATCATATGTCCCTTTTCCCAGATAATTCAATTGCTTCCATATGGGACAGGAGTGAGCTGACATCCCAGGAGGTATTTTCTTCCTGTGGTATCAGAGTCAATTGTTGCAATCTGTCAGATCCAGTGTAATAAAGTTAGGGTACATGAAGTACTAAAATGGTCCATGTTTAGAGAAACGTCCATTCGTAATATTCAGCAGCACAGCAATCAGATGTTTATCTGCAGGGTTCAGCGATAGGTGACATATCCATTAGTTTGTCAAAATCAGAATCTTGTGAACTACCCGGGACAGGCAATCAATGAATTTAGTAAGGTGGAAGTCACAAGGTTAGTCTGTAGGAGAAAGGGAAGAGAGGTTAGATCCCTACCTTCCAGCCCCATGGATCAGCCCCATGGATCAGCTCATGGATCTGGAGGTAGTCTCAACCTATCAGTTGTGGGGACTCTGTCTTTTGACTGCCATGTGGGCAGTCTGTCCTATACCATGAGCAAGAATAGCATCTCAATGTGCATATTAAGATATAGAATTGGAAGAGATAATAGTGAACTTAAGACTCAGAGAATTTTCTGGGTTTTTTTTTTTAATGACTCTTTTGGCTTAGTGCCTTTTTCCATCTGTATTAGGTAGACTGATGAATTGATATATGAAAGGGCTACTTCTCCTCATTTGCCTGGAAAGGAAAACTGGCTTAAAACCCTTTTTCTTAATTTTATTATTTTATATGATGGTGGTACATCATGTTGTTACAATATTAAGGAAATCAAATGGATACTCACCAGGTAGTCTTCCAGTAAAGGGAGAAAATTAATTTAAATGCATGAATATTTTTTAACACTTAACTATAATCAGAGCTTAGATTTGGGGAGAATGTTGGTCATGATCTCTGGGAAAATAGGATTACATCAGGTAGTTTTGTTAGATTCAAGAGCAGAAGGGACCTGTGCTAAATTTCCCAAGTAGAACTTTAGTACTTAGAAAACAGCAGGACCCTGAATGTGTGCATACAATTTTGGTGGATGAACTACTCAGCTGAATTTCCTGTGTCTAATGGCACATCAAGAGCAAGAGCAACAGAATGATTCTTGTGCACCCAGGAGTAGCACAGAAGTATCAGAGATATCTGAAAGAGTCAAGTGGATGGAATTGAGCAGTAACTTGGCAGCAATCTATGCATACTATTGGCATGGAACAACTCAATGAATACCAGCTTGGACTACACTGTCACACTCCTCAACATATTGGAGCTAGTTAAGTTCTCCAAAACTTAGACACGATCTTGTGAAAATGAGGTGGCAACTCCAATGGACTGAGATTAAACTTCAGCCATGTTATAGAAATAGGTGTTTTGGAAGAGAAATTAAGTTAAGCTACAGGAAAAGTTACATTTCTTGTATCTGAGTTTACTTGGGATTAGGGACTGAGTTTCTTGCACCCCATGCTTGCTGAGAGATGGTAGTTTTAATAAAGATTTGTATTAAATTAAAATAAGTTACCTAAATTAGAATTCCTTTGAAATAATTTAGTATTAACTAGGACTATTCTACAATAACATGATCATTTATAAAGGTGTGCTTGTATGCAGGTTAAGTTTAGAAAGCAGTCCAATCTTTTTTTGTGATTTCATTTCAGTTATCTAAAAAGAGAGAAGGTAAACTGCTTTCTAAACTTTCAGGATTCTGAATTTGAAGCATTGTGTACTTCTGCATCCAGTATGACTCCATGTTTCCCCAAATGGCTGAATTTATACCTTTTATGTGATTGGGTATTCTGGTACATGTGTATGTTAACATATATACTAAGTCAAAAAACTTGTAGGAGTATTCTTTAATATGCACACTCGCAATTTTCCAAAGGTTTTTTATTCTAAAAAATCAAATTTAGTTAATTTTGATAGGCAGTACGTTCATGTCACTCAAGTTAAGAGGGTATACAATGAAAGATCTCCTTCTCACCTGTGTCCATTAGTCCCTGAGTTACCCACACACACTTTAACCACCTTTGTTTGTAAAATAGTAGCACATTAAACACACTGTTTGACCTTTGTTTTTAATTTAATATACATTGTAGACATCCTATTATCAATATATACAGAACCTCCTCATTTTGTATAACTGCATTGTATTTCATTGTATATATGAACCATAACTTAGCATTGTATGTATAAACCATAAATTATTAAGCCAGTCCCCTATTGATGATTATTTAGGTAGGTTTCAATTTTTTGCTATTAAAAGTTCCTTTTTCTTGGAGCAGAATTAGGTTTTTTAATTCTATTTTTTTAAAGAAAATAGTTAACGAAAACTCAGTGAGGTAAGACTAAATTCTCAGCAATGCGGTTGTGACTAGAAATGGGTACATATGTTAACATACACACATGGGTAGGTTCTTTTGCATGGAACTGACAGCTAGGAAGGAAAGTTTATGGTTCTTTTTAAATCGTTCTTACGCTCTGCCAATACAAAGTGCATTATAAAACAAAGCAGAGGTTTGAAAACAGCAAATTCAAGAACAGCACATATTTAGGCTCAGAGATGATGCTCATTATACCAGCATGGCAAGCAGATTAACATAATATGGGAACTGCCCAGATTTTCAGCTCCTATTTTGTTTACGAATAAATTATTTGGGGAATGACTATATCAATATTTTATCTTTGTTTTCTTGTATGATTCATAATTAACTGTACAGGTATAGAGTTTGATTCATATGTCAGCGATTTCCTTCTCAGGAAATAAAGGCCTTTCTTATTTTGGGTCATACAATTTACCTCAGTGCTTTCAGTCTCAATAATAAATGCTTCTTCCTTGGGTGTATAAGTTTTTCACTAACTTTCACAGATGTTTACAGTAGTTTAAATCTCCTATTTTATAATTGAAAATGAGTTATTTGAGGACTTTTTTGACGGACAAAAACCTAAAAATATTGCATTTTTCAGGGTGATGATGGAATTCCAGGGCCACCAGGACCAAAAGGAATCAGAGTAAGTAGTATTTTCTCTATATCAAATACTTTGTTGGTGGAAACAGATAGAGAACAAATGAAGTATTATGAGACAATTGGAAAAGACCCATATTAAAAGCCAAGAAGATAAATACAGTCTTCAAAAAGTTAAATTTAAGAGTTGGTATATGTCTATAACTAGCACTTCTTTAGTATTTTGATAGCTATTACATATATTTTTATATATATGTCTATTTAATATAAAAGGATTTTAAAGTAGCTTATGGTTGAGAATTATGAAAGTCCTAAATTCTAAAGTTTGTCATTTAATTAAAAATCTATATCATATAGTTGGTTTAAACCAGAACTTCCTAACCAGTGTGATTATCTCAGCCTAGGTCCAGAAGGCTGGTTACCTCAGGCTGTGTATCCTCCTAGTGTACCATGTATAAACATTATCATTTTTTTGTGTATCTAGAAGAGAATAAGTTTAGTTTAAACCACTGTATTAAAGAATAACTATTTTTGGAATACTGCATTTCTTCAAATCTAACGTGCATGACTTTTCAAGTCTTGAGGCTCTGAAAAATAAGGATGCATCTCAAAATTGAAATGTACATTTAGTATAATTTTTTCTCAAAAGCTTTTAAGTTGACATATGTCTTACAGTGTATTTTACAACTGAGAGGAAACTGTAGTTTAAAAAATAGTACTGGCTTTTAAAAAATCACATTTAGCTTTCTGACCCTCAGTTTCTTCATTTGTTAACTTAAGAGAGCTAAAGAGAACAATCTCCAAGGTCCCTTTTAGCTCTGAAATACTGTGTTCATAGATTGATGAAGCTCTCTAATTTGAAAATAAAATATATAGTTGGTGACATAGCATGTTTACGTGTGTGACAAAGATAACCATTTGATCATCAGAAATTTAGTAGATGCATAATTTTACAAACATTAAAAACATTCTGTTTGCTATATACTTCTTAACATCATGTAGCTTGCCTTATGTGCATCTTGTGACTGATACGGATAGGGTACTGGAGAAGCAGGGAAGAAACTTAAAACCCTTAGTTTATTTCAGCAGACATAATTCTTTATTTTTCTGTTAAAAATTGATATCAATATACTATTAAAGCTCTTTATAATAATAAAAATAATTTTTAATATCCCTATAGTTAACATTAACTATATTCTATATTCTAAGCACTATTGAGACTAAAAAGAATTGGCTATTTTCTCAGTTTCCATTGCAGGTGTTTGAGATTGCTTGGATACTCCATGTCCCTCAACTAGAACTCCAAGAGTGCTTGGGAATAGGTGGCCTGATAGTTTCTGCATCCTCAGGTGTCAGCTCACAGGCAATTCTTGACACGCAGAATTTTGAAGACATTATTGTGGAAACTGATAAATGTATACAAATGTACAGAGCATATAGTATAATGAACCCCCATGAACCCATCACCCAGCTTCAAAAATGAACAACATTTTGATAGTTTTGTTTAACATATACCTTACCACTTTATTTTTTGAAGTATTTTAAAGTAAATCCCTCACATCATTCATTCTACCAATGAAAACTTCAGCATGTCCCTCTAACAACCACGTAACAACTAAACCATCATCATACCTTTAAACATTAGGAATAGTTTTTCAGTACTCTGACGTTCAGTCCACATTGAGTTTTCCTCAGTTGTCTGAAAGATGTCCTTTTACAATGGTTTATTCAATTTACAACCCAAGCAAGTTCCACGTATTGCTTTGGGTTGCTGTTTATTAAGCTTGTTTTACTATGCCATCAGAAAAACTGGGTCATTGTACTGCATTCCACATTCTGAATTTGGCTGATTTGTTTCCTCATGATGTCATTTAAATTGTTCCTCTGTCCCCCATATTTCTTGCAAATTTCACGTTGCCTTGGAAGAGGCACTAAAGAACTTTCTGGGGGTACAGAACTGTACGCTTAAGATTAGTATATTTTGCTGTGCATAAATCATACTGCAATAACATTAAAGAAAATAGGAAAAAGTATACTTTATAGGTAGTGTTGTGAACTTAACTATTGAATAACATTATGCAGCATGAATATCAGGCTATTCTTCTTTTTTTTTTTTTTTTTTGATGTTAGGTTTGATCAGTAGTCTCAGATAACATTAGCCTGATTCTGCCATCAAAAATTTCCCTGTCAACTTTGACTAATGATTTGGCACCCATGGATGGTCATTATTTTGCTCAGACTTGCAAGATGCTGATTTTTAAAATTCTATTAATCATTCATTTATTAGCTGGAATTCTAATAGGACAATGAGTTGCTACACCAGAAACTTCAAGTGGTCATCAAGGAAAATTCTTCAACTTTTTTTTTTTTTCATTATATGCACATGGAATTTGTGTGTTTCAATCAATTTTAGTCATTTTTTTGAAGGCCAATTTGTCCCATCTTTTGCCTGTGAAAGCCTTTTAAAGTTGACTCCTGTCCTGTGCTCTTTTCAGAAAACTCCATTGATCTTTCATAACTTCTCCCTTTTTGACACAACAAGCTCTTTCATGCTCATCCTTGGCATTTCCCCTTTAGATCTGAAATGGGACATATCTCTGATTCCAGGTTCTTTTTAGTGAAAAATGTGATTTAGATACCACAGCCTGAATGTTAGGGTTTTTTTTTTTTCTTTCTTTCTTTTTTGGAGACGGAGTCTCGCTCTGTCGCCCAGGCTGGAGAGCAGTGGCGCGATCTTGGCTCACTGCAAGCTCCGCCTCCCGGGTTCACGCCATTCTCCTGCCTCAGCCTCCCGAGTAGCTGGGGCTACAGGCGTCCACCACAACGCCCGGCTAATTTTTTGTGATTTTTATTAGAGACGGGGTTTCACTGTGTTAACCATGATGGTCTGGATCTCCTGACCTCGTGATCCACCCGCCTCGGCCTCCCAAAGTGAGCGGTTTTTATTGCTACTCGATTTGTCACTGTTTCAATGTCTTCTCAGTGGAAATATGTATTTTTAAGAGAAAAATTAACATGAGTTCATATTATTGCTTCCAATTGCAATTTAAAATTAAGAAAGGTTTTGTATACTTATTATCTCTTCCCCTCATCTCTCTCTCTATTGAGGTGAAAATGTTCATTCCTAATATCATAAATGTAATTTCTTATTTGCTTTTTCCTACAATATGCCTATTTCCTACAATATGCTTTAAAATAACAATGTATAACTTAACAAAATAAAAATTTAAATTTTAATAGTGATGATAGGATAATAGGATTCTTGAAAACCATTAATTATTTCTTTGTTGAGTTTTCCCCCTTTGAATTGACCAGTTTTGCTAAAGAATTAGAGTTAAGATACCATGTTTGATGAAAGGCACTTGAAGTAATTCTTTTCTCTGTATGGTTTTGTCAACAACTTGAAACAGACGTACACTGGATCCAATTTATTTTTCATTTTTAATGATTTCCTTTTTACCTTTTTTAAAATTTTAAATTATTTAAAACATCTACGTGGTTTTATAAGACAAGGTGTAGTCAGAGATGCTTCTCTTTCATTCTTGCCATTTCCCTAGTGTTTTAATCTTCCTCTGAGAGGTAATCATTAGTTTTTACATAGTAATCATAGTTTTACATTATGTGAATGTGCCATAATTTATTTAGTCATGTTCCTATTGGTGGTCATTTGAGTTGTGTATTAGTCTGTTCTCACACTGCTTATAAAGACATACCCAAGACTAGGTAATTTATAAAGGAAAGAGGTTTAATGGAGTCACAGTTCCACATGGCTCCGGAGGCCTCACAATCATGGCAGAAGATGAAGGAAGAGCAAAGGGACATCATACATGGCAGCAGACAAGAGAAAATGAGAGCCAAGCGAAAGGGGAAACACCTTATAAAACCATCAGATTTCGTGAGACTTACTATCACAAGAACAGTATGGGGGAAACCACCCCCATGATTCAATTATCTCCCACCGGGTCCCTCCCACAACACGTGGGAATTATGGGAGCTACAATTCAAGATAAGATTTGGGTGAGGACACAGCAAAACCATATCAAGTTGTTTCTAATTTTAACTATAACTGGTTACATGGTTGTTTCTAAACTTTAGCTATAATAATGCTGCAATTGTTAACTTTGTTTCTCATATTTTGTTTCATAATTTCTAGGGTATCTTCAGGACAGATTCTTAGAAGTGAAATGCTAGGTCAAAGGGCAAATGCATGGGTAATTTTGCTAGATATTTTCAAATTTCTCTCCATAGAGTTTGAATCTTCATTAGCAGTATATGAGAATACTTTTTCACCATAGTCTCACCTACAGAGAATATTGTCAAACTTGTATTTTTGCCAATCATGACAGAGAAATTTAAGAATTTTGGGGGTGATCACTATTAATGTCTTCAGTGGAAATATATTTGCCACTCCCCCATCCCCTGCTGAATTAATTTTTCATCACAAACCTGGGAGATCCTTATCCATTAGAAGAGACATTTCATCCACGAATTTGCCTGCTCCTAATAAGTGCAATGAAGACAATGCTCCCTCAAATTGAAGTTTCTTTTATAGTTTTCAATAAAAGAGACTTTTAAACACATGTAAGAGATTTTTCTCTAATGTTTCAAAGAACAATGAGTAGTAATAAATAGTGAGACACAATTTTTCCAAATCTATTCTAAAATAATTTTCATAATATCCTTAGGTAGGATATTATTTTATTTTTATGGGTTGTCATTTAGTTTAAGGATTTTATTTCTTCTTATAGGGTCCTCCTGGACTTCCTGGATTTCCAGGGACACCAGGTCTTCCTGTAAGTAGCATTTCACTTTTTACTTTGAAATCTCTTGAAAAGTAATCTAAGACATATTATACATGTGTTATGTCGCTTTTCAAAGGGAATGCCAGGCCACGATGGGGCCCCAGGACCTCAAGGTATTCCCGGATGCAATGGAACCAAGGTGAGATCCATCCATTTAATCTTGGGTAGTATACTTGACAATAATTAACTTAAAAACCTAAAGAAATCAATATGAAGAATGTAGAAGAAGGGATATAGTGTCTTCAGGTCTTGGCTATTACATAAAGTATGCTCTGACTATAATTTTCTATATATTGAACTATCAATAATTTCATTAAACATGTATAATTAGCTGGGATATTGCATTGGGTTAAAGATTACTTACCAAACCCTTTTTTGACTTTAGCATAAAGTAGGATGAGAATTAAAACGAAATTAGGATATATATGTTTCAAATATTATATCAATTGTTGAAAGTAATACTTCTGAATGTCATTCATTTGCTTTGCCATTATTAAAAAACTAGGTACAATTTATGTTTTCAAATATTTCATGTTTTTAAGATTTTTTAACACGCCGAATAACTTCCTTAAGAAAAATCTTAAAAAATTATATGTAATACAGCACATCCGTTTTTACTATAAACTGTCAGTATGAAACCTGAAACTTCTTCATCAGCAAAGATGATACATTTAACAATTTTAAATAACCCTAACTTTAGATATAGCAAACATTTTTTTTTCTGATCCAATGTTTCTTCTCTTTAGTCAACTGTTGGATTGAATATAAAGTAATAGATAATAAGAAAAAATGAGGAAAATTTGCTCTGCTTGTAAGCTTACAATATTATAGCCAATTCTTATTCCCTCCCCTTTCTCCTTTTCCTTTAGGTTAATGCAATATATTGTTATTCTCTGTATTTTCTTTTGGTATTTTCTGTTTTTCACATAATATTCTGTAAAACTATTCATAAAATACCTTAGGTCCTTCTTTCTTTCTTTCTTTGTTTTTGTTTGTTTTTTGTTTTTTGTTTTTTGAGACAGAGTCTTGCTCTGTTGCCCATGCTGGAGTGCAATGTCACGATCTCGGCTCACTGCAACCTCTGCCTCCCGGGTTCAAGTGATTCTCCTGCCTCAGCCTCCTGAGCAGCTGGGATTACAGGCACGCACCACAATGCCCAGCTAATTGTTTTGTATTTTTAGTAGAGATGGGGTTTCACCATGTTGGTCAGGCTGGTCTCGAATTCCTGACCTCTTGATCCGCCTGCCTCAGCCTCTCAAAGTGCTGGGATTACAGGTGCGAGCCACCGCGCCCGGCCAGATCTTTCTAACTAATGGCATATGTCAGATTTTATATAGGGCATATTTTTAAAATAACTTGAACAACTATTTTGCATTACAGTGGCCATATTTTGTGATAATTACTGTACTCTATACTTGAGGCAGTACAGTTCTTTTCATCTCCAGTATTTCTTCAGGTCAATGTAACCCTTGTCAATAATAATAATTTTTAAAAAAAATTTTGGATTCATGAGGACTAATCGTGTTCTTCATTTTAGCTAGGGCAACCTTAAAGTGATAAGACCAATGTGGAGTTGGTTTGCCTGATACATTTCATGTTAAATTGGACTAAATTTTTGTGCCTCTTCTGGTTATTTGTTTATTTTTATTTACTTATTTATTTTTGCCAGTGTGCTTTAAGAAACAAACAGACCACTAACCAAAGTTTCAAATTTGAAGGGCCAATGTATCTATAATCAGTACAGTGTGCTATATGATTAAAGGGAGCATTGATTAACTTGTGTTTCAGGCTTCCAATTATGTGAGTAACAAATTTTAAACAAATTAAATTGATTTATTATGCATATTTTTAAAGTCTGAATGCTTTTCTTATATTTCTTACTATGTAAGTAAAAGAATGAACTTTAAAGTTGGAGCCACAATGTATAGGTTTTTTTCTTTTTCTGTCTTTTAAACTTGATGTCTAGGCCACTTCCTTTCTCTCGGGACCTACTTTTTCCATGTGTAACAAGGTGGAGAGAAGGGTATTGGACTCACAAAGACACACAACAGTAGTAATTTTATTCTTTCAAACCTTCTGATGAAGTTGTTTCTAGGATTACCGTGGCATACAGGTATTTGAAAGGAGGTTGCTTTGGTGTTCTTCTACAGCAATTTCAGCTTTTGTTTTCTAAACCAAGTGTCCATATTAGTACTTTACAGTAGTGAGTGAGAAAAGCTGGGTGCCTAGAAAACATAATGACCTGCAATTGCTAGAACTATTGCTATTATTGTCCTCTTGGTGATATTAATGGCCTTCTTTCTTACCATCTTTTCCCCTTTACAAAAATAATTTGAAATAGTTTACAATAAAAGAAAAATGCAACAGAGCAGTTAAAATAAGAATCTATATAACACATGGGCAGGAAATGGGGCAGATCATTAACTATTAAATGTGATGATAGAATTTATGGCGTGATCGTCTCAAAATGTCTTTGTTGGAAGAAAAGAACTGAGGTAGATAATTTTTTTTCTTTACTTCTAATTGGGATAGATGAATTGGGATAAAAGTTGAATTGATATGGATAGTTGATATTGAAGTAATTGGAAAGTGAAGGCTAATGAACTTTTTGGCAATCTGGCATGTTTCAAAATGGCTTTTATAGAAATCTTTTCAAGAAGTCATATCTTGATGGTATAGTTATTCTTTGTTTCTTGTTCCTCCATGCTCTTTATTTTTAACTCCTTCTAGGGAGAACGTGGATTTCCAGGCAGTCCCGGTTTTCCTGGTTTACAGGGTCCTCCAGTAAGTTATAAAATTTGGGATTATGATGAACACAGGAATTAACAAAAGAAGCAGAAATGTAGTGAGAGAGCCCAATGCATTCATGTGGAACAAAGTAATACATTTTAAAGTAATAAACTAGAGGAAAATGTTTCAAAAAGAAGTTGGTAATATAGCTTTCTCCTGGGCAAAAGCAAGGATTTTGTATGTATATAAATGTCACCTCTAAGTATCCTAAGGTATATCCTATTCAGAAATGACGCTACAGCAGTCTACTCATTTTATACTCTATTTAGAAAGCATTCTGTAATTGGCGTGTTTCTCTCTCATACATATAAAATAATCCCTTTTCTTTTTAATAATAGGGACCCCCTGGGATCCCAGGTATGAAGGTAAGCATCTCATTCTGGGGAACAAATGTTTTGAATAAAATATTAGGAAAGCTGGCAACTTCAATAGGATAATGACTCAAACTTCTGTCTTAAAATCGATGTTTCTAGAAGTTGTGCAGGTGTAAACTTACAAGCTCTCCTTAAGTAGTCTCCTGTGTTCCCATGGCTTTAAGTACCTTGTATGTGCTGATACACTTGAAAATGTGTATATCAGACTTGAGTTTCTTTGCTGACACTTTAAGTCTTCATCTTCTTACACTTTGATACAGTTAACCACTTACTCTCTGTAGAATTACTTTTTTCCCTGGCCTCTGTGACACTATCCTTTCCTGATTTTTCTTCTACACCTCTGGTTAATTTGCAGTCTTCTATGTAAGGTCATTATTTTATGTCCATCAAGCATCAGGTCACAGTCTGTACTCCTTCCCTGCAATGCCCAGAAATATTACTAATGCCCATATTATTGATTACTATCTAGTTACTAAATACCAAATGAGACTTTTCTTCTGAGTTAGCTATGTGTATTCATCAGCCTCTCTGACATCTCCACATGTTCCAAGTTAATCCACCCACAAAATAAACCCGCTCCTCCCTGTGGCTCCTCATATCTCAAATTTGCATCTTTATATGTTATGTACACTTTTACACGATCTCAAAACCTGGGAGTTAATATTTATATCTTCCATTCCTTCACCCACCACCTCATTCAATTCCATCACTAAACACTAAGTGTGCCTGTAAAAGGCACCTTAAATTCATCCACTTTTCTTCATTCCCACTGTTACCACGTTAATCATAATGTCTCATCTGGATTACTGCAATAACCTCTTACGTAGTCTCTAGTCTCTTTTTTTCACCACTACTCCGCCCTTACCTCCCATCCTGTTTTATTCTTTACAAAGCAACCAAGAATGACATTTTAAAAGTGTTCATTGATAATTTAATATGCTTATAAACCTTCAAGGGCTTTCTACTGTGTATCTAAGGTAAAGTCCATAGTTTGTTTGTAAGAACTGCATGCTCTGGTCCTTGCCTACATTGACAGCCTTATCTTAAACCACTAAACTTATCCCTTAGCTCACTGACCACATCAGTCTGCATTTAGTTATTGGGATGTGCCAAACGTTTTGCTTTTAGGGTCTTTTGTATATATGGTTTACTTTGCCTAATATTCTTCCTCCTATCTTTGCCTGGATGACTCCTTATTATCCTTCAGGTCTTAACCTGAATGTTACCTTCACAGATTGCCCTTCTTTGACTACCCAAGCTAATTTTCTCCACTAGTTTTTTTTTTTCAATTATTGTACCATGTTATTTTTCTTCATAGCCCTTAATATTCACAGCCCTTGATATTGTCATCTTATATTTTTACATATTAGGGTCTGTATTTTCCCATTATATTGTTAGCTTTATGAGAACAGAGGCCTTGTTTATCTTCTCCATTACTGATTACCCAGAACCTACCACAATTGTTGGCAAATACTTAATATTTACTACATATTTTTTAATGAGTAACTGAAGGTACTACACTCTTAATAAATCTACTGTTCTTCAGTGTACTCTGGCCACTTCCTCATTTTCCTTTAAAAGGTAAACTTATCATTTTTATTACTGAGATGGCCTAATCTTTTAGTACATCTCTGTTACAAATTGAATCTTCAGATCATTTTTCTGGTTTTGCTGGTTTTCATGTATAATAACTGTGTCTTAGAACTTCCATTGATGGCTTCTTTTAGGGTGAACCAGGTAGTATAATTATGTCATCACTGCCAGGACCAAAGGGTAATCCAGGATATCCAGGTCCTCCTGGAATACAAGTAAGTATCCAGTGATTTTCTTTTTTTGCTATATTGATTAAACCAGAAGATTACAACAATCCCTCAACCTTTAGTACTCTCTGTTTTTGTCATAAAAATTATCATCAGATGTTTACTAGACATTACATGTACTTTCTACCTGAAAATAAAAGCAATCTGGACCAGGGAGAATTTTAACAACATCGGCTTCATTCTTTTGCCTTTCTATCCAGTGTTTTGGGGATTGGCAGCAGAAATAGGGTTCTATATTCTTATTCTTGTACTGTGGAGAGCAGTAGGGTCTTTTGTACATTTACAAAAGACCTAATTAAAAATAAAAATTATGGAAGTCCCATTGAATATATTAAGATATATCATTTGTAACACTATCAGTTATGCATAATATATGAACATATTTTGAAGGCTGAAGGAATACAGTTTATGCATGGTGAACATCAAATGTAATCTTAAGAAAAAAATTTTAGCCTACAGAAAACATGCATAGAGAGAGCAGTAACTTTTGAGTATAGATTAGGAGGTCAATTTCTTAGGGTTTATATTTCATGATAATCGAATCCTTTGCCAAAAATGAAAAATCAAAACTTCCTGGTAGTTTATCACTAAGATACAAGATTGGGGACTTTTTTCATTAGCTACCTTGTCATTCCTTACTTGATATCACCCATCCATAGTTTTTAAAATTCACTCAATCTTGCCCTTTATATTTTATAAATTGTTATGAAGTAATATTTGAAAATACAACAGAATACATGCAAAATATATGTATGTTATGAAGCATAACTATAAAGTGAACAACATTTAAGAGCTAGAAAATTACAAATAATTTTGAATCAACCTGTGTCCCCCTTGGTAATCAAATCCTTCTGCATTCCCCCAAGACATAGCTACCATCTGTGCCTTAAAAATAGCTTTATTATATATGCATATATTTCTAAGCAATAGAATATTTAGCTTTGCTTTATAAAATAATGTAATATTTATGTAGTTTTCTGCAACTTACTTTTTCTACTTGATATGCTAAGATTCATCCATATTATTGGATATGGCTTTAGTTCACTCTGTTTCACTTTCATATAACTTTCCATTTGTGGACATACTACCATTTGGTGTTTTTTGTTTTATGTGGTGTTTGTTGTTGTTGTTGTTGTTTTGAGATAGCATCTTGCACTCTTGCCCAGACCGGAGTGCAGTGGCATGATCATGGCTCACTGCAGTCTTAACCTCCTGGGCTTAAGCAATCCTCCCACCTCAGCTTCCTGAGTAGCTGGGACCATAGGTGCACATCACCACACCTGGCTACTTTTTGAAAATTTTCGTGGAGACAAGTTCTCACCATGTTGCCAAGGCTGGTCTCAAACATCTGAGCTCAAGTGATCCTCCTGCTTAGGCCTCCAAAAGTATGAGGATTACAGGTGTAAGCCTCTGTGCCCAGCCTACAATTTTTTCATTACAAAAAAAAATCCATGATTTATATCTAAGTATAGAATTGCTAGATTGTAGGCCAAATTTTCAGTTTTTAACATGCCAAATTATTCCATAACACTTGTATCATTCTCTTATAATTTATCCCAGTTCCTCTCATTTCCCTCTGTCTTTAATCTTATCTATTTTAAAATTAGAGAAGCTATCTTGAAAGTAGTAGCCTTTCCCTTCTCATTGGTAGCATAAAAGCCCTAACTAAATGCATACCTTTATCACTTTGTTTTGTAAATTTTCCTTATTATTTGTCTTATGTTTATTTACCACTTTAAACCACAAGTTTTCTTATAATTACTTAATCCTTTTATCCCTTTGCATTTTAAAATTTCACTTATAATATTGCTGAATGATAAAATTGTAGAGCAGAATTCCAATGACGACTGAAGTTTAAATGAAGTCTAAATTTCATCCATTTAGTTCTTTGTAAGATACAATTAGGGGGCCGGGCACAGTGGCTCACGCCTGTAATCCTGGCACTTTGGGAGGCCAAGTCATGAGATCAAGACCAGCCTGGCCAACATGGTGAAACCCCGTCTCTACTAAAAATACGATAATTAGCCGGACCTGGTGGCAGGTGCCTGTAATCTCAGCTACTCAGGAGGCTGAGGCAGGAGAATTGCTTGAACCCAGGAGGCGGAGGTCGCAGTGAGTTGAGATCATGCCATTGCACTCCAGCCTGGGCGACACAAGTGAGACTTTGTGTAAAAAAAGAAAAAATACAATAAGGGGCTTGTTTTTCTTTTTTTTCATCATTTTCTTTACTCACTTTATAACAGGGCCTACCTGGTCCCACTGGTATACCAGGGCCAATTGGTCCCCCAGGACCACCAGGTTTGATGGTAAGCTCTCTTCTTTAATTTAATTTCCCCCCCTTTCCTTTCTGACTTCTTTCAGGAATATTAATATTATTTATAATACTTGAAAACATAATGCATTCTCAACATTCATAATTTATAATTTTCTTATGTAAAGGTGACTTTACAATGATATGGTGAATAATATGCATTCTAAGTAATGGCTCCATTTTATAGATGGAAAAATGAGGTATATAAAAGGAAAGATTTACAATGAAATATTTTGTTGGTTGCTCTTGATGTATCAGTGTTGAAGTCAATTCTGGCCATTTCAGAAAGTCTTTTAAGGCAGTTTTCTAATCACTTGATGAAACATGTTTCTTCAAACTGCAATTGTTTGTTTAAGAAGAGCAAAAGCAGGGCTTCATAAAAAATATTGGCTCTCATTTCCTAGGCGCCTGGGACAAAACAGTAGAATTGGTGAGGGGAGTGATCACTATGCAATTGGTCACAGGTTTTTGTACCCCAAAAACTTCTACAGATCCTGAATGTGCAACCGGTTCTCTTACTTTACTAGCTCTGTAGTCACTCTTATTTTCTATCCTAGTAAATTCTAAGTATTTTTACTTCTGCAATACTTAGATTTCATTCAAGTCATGTTTTGGACTTACAGCTTTGCTGTTGCCCTCTTAAAAGGGCAAGAAAATTGTATTTCAGTAGAAGTAATTTCTCATGTGCCACTCTATCTCTCATCTACCATATATTTAAGTGACAGTTTTCATTATACCTTTATAGGTTGTACATTTTTGTTTGTGACAATTGGTCCTGCACTTTTGAGTGAAGGAAATAATGTTTGATAACTGCTAGAAGAATCTACCAGAAAAGATTGTGATTTCTGCTTTCCTGTAACTTTTTGGGGGAAGATGAGAAAACCCTTTTGTTTGTTTTAGTTGTAGACTTCATGCAAAGCATGAAACTATGGACTTTCGCACTTTTTCCTAATTCTGCTGTTGGAACATTGGTGCCCCTTGAGTATATTGTTACACCTTGAATTTCCTCAACCATTGTGGCCACTTAACCGATTCACTTTACGTTTCTGGATATTCCTTGAATTAACGCTAATTCAACAGGTGAAGCCAAATCTTAGAAATGCCACCAAGAGGCCAGGTGCTGTGGCTCATGCCTGTAATCCCGGCACTTTGGGAGGCTAAGGTGGGTGGATCACCTGAGGTTGGGAGTTTGAGATCAGCCTGACCAATATGGAGAAACCCCATCTCTACTAAAAATACAAAAAATTAGCCAGGCATGATGGCACATGCCTGTAATCCCAGCTACTCGGGAGGCTGAGACAGGAAAATCGCTTGAACCCAGGAGGCGGAGGTTGTGGTGAGCCGAGATCGTTCCATTGCACTCCAGCCTGGGCAACAAGAGGGAAACTCCTTCTCAAAAAAAAAAAAAAAAAAAAGAAAGAAAGAAAGAAAGAAATGCCACCAAGATACAATATATAAATAAATAGGCCCATTGAGGTTAAGAGGCAACATACTTGAGCAGAAAGGTGCCTATTTAATTTTTTAAACCTTGAAACATTCTCAGATACACAAAGTCATATTGTATAAAAATCAAACTGGATTTTAAAAAATAAACACATGCTTTTTAGAACTTGAGAGTTAATTAGAGTTAATTGCTTTATGGTACCTAAGTTTACCTATAATTCTGATGTGAAAAATTTGATGGGTCTGTTGAGATTAACTTTTGAATTGATTTTTGACAATGGGGCTACCTCTCTACCTCTGCCCATCCCAGCTTTTTTCTCTTGCCCATTTCTATTTTGTCATCAGAGGTACTCACATTCATCTAGCTCATTTTAATCAATTAAAATGTGTGTCTCTGACTAAAATGAAAACAAACAAGAAAATACTATTTTGATGGGCTTTTTCACACCTTACTCTTTCTGAAACTAAATAACTTTTAAAATTAACTTATTAATATAACATTTTATTTTCTCTTTTGTCTTCTCTTCTTAGGGCCCTCCTGGTCCACCAGGACTTCCAGGACCTAAGGTAATTTTCTTTTTCTTTATATCTTTTATTTGGTGTGGATTCCTTTTCTTACTGTCAGTGAGATTTTTAAATGGAAACTTCTCTCTCCAGGGGAATATGGGCTTAAATTTCCAGGGACCCAAAGGTGAAAAAGTGAGTAAAGAAAGAGAGCTGGTTATTCAGCCCTCAGCTTTCTCTTTTTGTAGTCATTTGAACTGTCTTTTTCTTTCTCTTGCTTCTTGAAGTTATCTTATCTTACATGTTATATTACTGTCTGTGGAGATTATGAAGTATCACCACTGTCTTATTTTATCTTGCAAACAGGGTGAGCAAGGTCTTCAGGGCCCACCTGGGCCACCTGGGCAGATCAGTGAACAGAAAAGACCAATTGATGTAGAGTTTCAGAAAGGAGATCAGGTGAGTAAGTAGGGAGGAAGTCAATGAAAATCTTGCTATGGATATGTTAATTAGTTTGATGGTGGTAATCACATCACAATGTATATGTATATCAAAACATCACATTGTTTACACCTTAGATATATACAGTTTTTAATTTGTCAGTTATACCTCAATAAAGCTGAAAAAAATAAAATGATAAAAAGTTAAAAATAATATTTCTATGTAAGTGGAATTCCATTAAAATGCATTATAAGCTGAAATGTGGTTATATATAAGGGTATTTTTTTTTAAATAACAAGGATTTGAGATTATTAATTTTTTTTTTTTTTTTGAGACTAAGTCTTGCTCTTGTCACCCAGGCTGGAGTGCAATGGCATGATCTTGGCTCACTGCAACCTCCGCCTCCCAGGTTCAAGCGATTCTCCTGCCTCAGCTTCCCAAGTAGCTGGGATTACAGGTGCCCACCACCACACCCTGCTAATTATTGTATTTTTAGTAGAGACGGGGTTTCACCATGTTGGCCAGACTGGTCTCGAACTCCTGACCTCGTGATCTGCCCGCCTCGGCCTCCCAAAGTGTTGGGATTTCAGGCATAAGCCACCATGCCTGGCCAAGATCATTAAATTTTCAAAATAACTTTATCAAGATACAGTCTACATACATATAATCCACCCATTTAAAGTGTACAATTCAATTTTTTTTTTAGTGCATTCACAGGGTAGTGAAACTATCAGTGCAATCTAACTTTAGAAAATTCTGAGGCTTCCTCAAAAAAATCTCCATACCTATGTTAGTTGTACTCCTTATTTCTCCCCAAATTGACCAGCCCTAGGTAATCACTAATCTACTTCTTGGCTCTGTAAATTTTTCTATTCTGAATATTTCATATAAATGGAATCATACAATATGTGGTCTTCTGTGTCTGGCTTCTTTTACTTAGCATAGTGTTTTCATGTTAAATCACTTTGCAGCACATATCAGTGCTTCATTCCTTTTTATGGCTGAATAATATTTCATTGTGTAAATAGTCTACATTTTGTTTATCCATTTATTCATCAGTTGATGGGCATTTGGGTTATTTCCATTTTTGGCTATTTGAAGAATCCATTCATGTATAAAATTAGGTTATGGTAAGTCAGAATGATGACAGTGTTCCCTACATTTCACTGATATGCAAGGAGAAAGATAATGTTACTCTATAAACCTTTGTTGTGTTTAGAAATAATTATCTGATACCCTGCTTTTGCTAGAGTAGATGAGGGAAATTAGATATATTTTTAAAGCATACTGGCCCACACTTTAACAAACAGAATGTGTGCATTTTTGTTTCACTTAAATGTGAATAAGAAAGTTAAGAATAAAGGAAAAGTTGTATTGAAACTCTATCATCAATATGAATTTGGCCATTTAATTATCTCCCAAAATATATGTATGCCGTGTGACCCCAAAATCTCTTTGTTTTAGGTATTCTTGCTTTTTATAAAATATTTTATAAGAATAAAAAATTGTCATTATTTTCATTTTAAGTGTTGCCTTGTTATTTACCTCAAATCTTGGCTTGTATATAGACAAAAAATTAACTGAAATGAGCAAAGATAGCTCTAGTTAATTTTGCCTAGAAGATTTCAACTTTAAGTTAGAAACACCCTATTATCTTTGGTTGTACTACATGAGTATTCAGTTCAGTTTAATTTTTTTAGGGGGAGATTTATTTTTATTTTATTTTATTATTTAAAAAAGTCAACCTTTATTTTAGATACAGGGGGTACATGTACAGGTTTGTCACATAGGTATATTGTGTGATGCTGAGGTTTGGGGTACAGATCCCATCAGCCAGGTAGTGAACATAGTACTCAGAAGTTAGTTTTACAAGTATTACCTGCCTCCCTCTACTCTTAGTAGTCCCCAGTGTCTATTGTTGCCATCTTTATGTCCTTGTGTCCCCAATGTTTAGTTCTCAGTTATAAGTGAGAACATGTGGTATTTGATTTTTTGTTCATGCATTAATTCACTTAGGATTATAGCCTCCAGCTCTAACCATGTTGCTCCAACATAGATGTAGCTGTGGTTCAGTTTATTAAAAATGCTCCTAGCTAGCTCTAGTGCTTAGAATGAAAATGCATGTTCCAGTATTAACATTGATTTCCTTTCCCCTACTACTGCATAGGGACTTCCTGGTGACCGAGGGCCTCCTGGACCTCCAGGGATACGTGGTCCTCCAGTAAGTACCTAAAGTGCTTTAGCATCATTTAATGTAAATTGGTATTGGTACACAGTATCCCATGAACCATTGTGAAACTATTTTTATGTGTACAGGGTCCCCCAGGTGGTGAGAAAGGTGAGAAGGGTGAGCAAGGAGAGCCAGGCAAAAGAGTAAGTGATGTAACTGCTAATATTCTTTGCAAAAAAATTCTAAATGTGTGTGTGTGTGATTTTATTCTTTCTTCCTACATCTTCCATTGTTTCAAAATATCACTACTGACATTATAATGTTGATGTCTAAAAAGTCTACTTAATATAGTCCAAGCCAGGAATAAAGCTTGTTATATTCTTTAACTTTATGCTTCCTAACTAACAAATGTATGTTGTTGCCCTATCATTTCTTTGTATCCTATAGGGTAAACCAGGCAAAGATGGAGAAAATGGCCAACCAGGAATTCCTGTAAGTAGCTAAGGTTCTTTCCCCCTGCAAAACTGGAGACATTTATGTGTTGGTATAACATAAGGTGGCAGAGAAGCAGTATGACAAAAATTGTGGGGTCTGGAAATAGTTTAAATGAATTGAAATTATCCAGTCTTTGTCTTTTGAATATAATTTTCAATTTTTAAAAAATTTTGTGAGTACATAGTAGGTGTATATATTTATTTATGAGGTACATGAGATGTTTTGATACATGTATGTAATGTGAAATAAGGACATCACAGAGAATGGGGTATTCATCCCCTCAAGCATTTATCCTTTGCATTACAAACAATCCAGTTACACCAAATATAAATTTGAGGTTCCTCTATTTTTTAAAGTCAGATTTATTGAGATATAATTTACATAAAGTAAAAGGAACTATTTTTAGTTTACAGTTCTGTGTTTGACAAACACATACAGTTGTGTCACCACCACCATAATCAAGAACACTTCCATCACCTTCAAAAGTTCCCTCATGCTCTTTTTTAGTTATCCCCTCCCTATTCCCCTATCCCAACCCCCTTATAACGACTGATCTTTTGTCAATCTCTTTAATTTTGCCTATTCCCAAATGTCAGATACATTGGATCATATTGTATGTAGCCTTTCGAATCAGGATCCTTTCACATAACATAATACATTGAATTGTGTATCAGTTCATTTTTTTATTGCTGAGTAGTATTTGATAGTTTGAATATACCATGGTTTGTTTGTCCATTTACACATTGAAGGATATTTTGGTTATTTCTGTGTTTTGGCCATTATGAATAAAACTTTTATATTCATATAAAAATATTTATATGAATATAAATATTCCCATACAGTTTTTTTGTGTGTGTGTGAACATGTTTTTTCAGTAAAAGTTTTGACAGGTAATTCTTCTACTTACTACCAAAAAGGGGCATGGGAAATAAAATATGTAAGTCCAAGAACATTATTTCAAGCAGCTTCAGTATCAAGAGTATCCGCAGTAGGCAAGAGTTTTTCAAAGACAGAGAGAATATTTGATGAAATTTGTAAGTTATTCTAAGGGAAAAGGATAATTCTTAACAAGACAGGTTAGAATTACTAAATTCAGATAAATTGGTTTCAGGATATTTTACTAAACAGGCAATCCTCAACTTACAATCTCTAGTTCAAAAATATTTTATATTATAAAATATCAAGAGGTAAATTCAGGGCCTCAGTTCCTGGCTTCTTTTGGAACAATTGGTCTTTGTCTTGATTCAGGCAGCTGTGATATTCAACAATTGCCTCTTAGTGTTTTCAACAAATTGGGGTTGCGGGGTGGGGAGGCTGTTCTCTTGTTCTCTGTTTGCACTGGGAGAACCCAAGTTGGGTCAAATAAAGGCAGCCTTGCAAATAGCCTTCTTTTGAACCAGCAGACAGATCAAATAATGATAATTCTCTGGATATGGGGCTTTGAAGGAGCTCCAACCCTGTTCTTTCCTCTCCAATTGCTGCTAGGCTGCTGGTTTTCACCTTGATTGTGAGGAGAGGTGGTGTGAATAGAGCAAGTTAAAATGCCACAAAGCTCTGAGAGGTGGTGGGAATAGAGCAAGTTAAAATGCCATAAATCTCTGAGAGGTGGTAGGAATAGAGCAAGTTAAAATGCCACAAAGCTCTGAGTTCTCACCAAGATTCAGCTTTTTTTTTTTTTTTTTTTCTGAGAAAACACTCCTTGAATTGCTGCAAGCTTTGGTTAAGTTCTGAAAGTTAATTCTGACTGACCATTTTTGCCAGTATTCTCATTGCTTCTATGGAGAAGACAATCTTTGGAGATTTCCTAACACCATCATTTGTGCTGATGTCACCCTATCCTCTATGTTTTAAAGGGTTTGCCTGGTGATCCTGGTTACCCTGGTGAACCCGGAAGGGATGGTGAAAAGGTAAGAATTTTAATACTTTGAAGTGACTGGTTTAGTCTAGCTAAAATAATCCTTTTCTTCTCCCAGGCTTGAGTTATAAATGGAAAAAGTCTACATAACTAGCTTTTATATTCAAAATATGCCTTCTTTATTCATCTTTTGCTCATTTTTCTTTTATACCACACTTGCTAAATTTTATTCCATTGCCATAAATCACAGTCCATGTTGCAGAAATACATTAAGCATTGTTTAACTTTAGCATTTCCACTGTGAAAAGTCATTGCCTTTACTTTGAGCATGTATCGGCAAAACTTCTTTTTTTCCACAAAGAGAATTCAGCACTATTTTAGTGAGGTCCTCTTACTAAAAAGGCTTATAACTGTGAATGTAGAACGTCGCCACTAAACATTTCCATTCTGTATGCAATTATTGTCTGTAAGTCTGTGGCTAATTCTTTGTTGTTTTTTCCCCCCTACTGGGCCAATGCAGTCTGACTGAGGTCATTTATTTAGTTACCTATTTTTCAAGTGACTTTGAAAGATTGTATGAAGCATACAATTACCAGATTTTTAGCAGGGCACAAAATAACCAGTCCTCCAATCCCTCTTGTTTTTAATTGCTTCGTATCAAAAACTGAAAGCTTTTTGGTTTTTCAGGCAAGGAAGGAAAGGCGTTACAAACTTGAATGTACCCAGAAGGCACATATTTTAATGGTGGTTTATTTTTAAATTAGGTCCAAGTTCTAGCATGGCTTAAAAGGCACAATTAGAATAGATGGAGGTAGGAAATACTCCGATAAAATGATTTTTTGTCAAATAGTATTTGTATATAGATGGATGGCTTCTATGAACAAGTTTAGAGTCAGAATAGAAGTATGAAAAAGACCATCCTTGTGTCTTGGCCAGTAGTAGAGTAACACTTGAATATTGAATATTGTGGTTTTTTTCATGCTGTTGTAGCTACTAATCAAGGATAAAAGTTTTATCTGAACTTGTCTTTCATTAGCTTCTAAGAGCAAGCTCATGAAAGCAATTCAGATTTACTAGCTATTATTGATGATAGTTAAGTCCATCACATCTAAAATGTCTGTCACTAATAGAAATGGCACTACATTTATGTCCTTGACTAGTTTTATGAGAAGAAACATGGCTAAATGTAAAAAAAAAAAAAAAAAAAAAAGTAATTTTTTCACTGATTCTAGTGCTACCATTTTTTTTCTATTATCTTCTTTATAGAGTATTTGTAGTTGGCTAGAAATAGGAATCTTAAAAATCAAAGAATATTACAACTAGAAATACCTTAAAACTCTGGTCCAAAAATCTTTATTCTTTCTATATAAACCAGAGAAGTTAATTAACTTGGTGAAGATTACATAGCTAGTAAATCTGAGACACCATCACAGGTTAGGCTTAGCTCAGAATTGTTTCATTACTTCATGTTGCATTTCTCATTTGAGGTATTTTATGATTGATTTCTGGGTCTTTTTGGAAAGTTTCTCTTATATTCTTGAGGAAATTGATGTTTTCATGTGAATTTTACTAACCTATTTTACAATTGCATTGAACAGGGCCAAAAAGGTGACACTGGCCCACCTGGACCTCCTGGACTTGTAAGTTTTTTTTTTTTAGTCTTCGTTTATCAAATTTATTAATGCATTATCATTTTTGTGCCTTAATCGCATACTCCCTACTTTTTCTTGATAGAACACAAAATTTCAAGTCATTATCAATTTCTACTGGCTTAAAAGTCTTTACATCTAAAATCTTCAGTAATGTTGACCTCAAGGTCTTTGTATTGTTCTGCCTATGCATTACTTCTGCATGGTAAAGGTCTAAAATTATGGCATTGGGTTGTTTTGCCTCATGATTGCCAGATCATTTCTCAAGCAACCAGCAGGTGGTGCAAGTGTTGCTTACAAAGGTTCAATGAAAACAACAACAACAAAACAAAACTTGGGGAAGTTGGGGTGGGGGTGGGGGATTGGTCCTTTCCCCTGCAGAGCTCAGGAGAAAGATAGATTTGGTCTTAATAGGTTTTCTCAATTTGTAATTGTCTGATTCACACTTCTTTCTTTCCTGAGTGTGTGCTTTCTAGGGACTTTTAATAACGCATGTAGGAAGCTGCTTTATGAAAGAATAATTGAGGGTGGCGGAGCTACAGATTTTCTGTCATGTTTGTGTTCACTATGAAATTTAAGTCAAATATACTTCCAGTCTTATTAGGAATAAAATATCATTGCTGAGGTTTAACATATTGGTTTTTCTTTGGTTGAAATTTAGTAAGACTCTTGACTTCAAACTGCATTGAAGCCGCAACAGTGCGAATGTTGGAAAACTTATGTGTCCAGACATGTTAGTAACATTAACTTAATTCGTATTATCCATAATGAGTCTCAGTTATTAATACTTAGGACTGTACTAAATCTAATGAGGATATACTTAAAGAAGATCTTAGATATTTTTTATTCACTTTCATTTTAAAATCAGCTTCAGTCCTCTAGGAAATAATCTCTTTATAAAATGAGAAGATAAAATTTTAATAAGTATCAGAAGAAATGGAAATTTTGAGAGTACAGTCCTATTTAGCAGCCTAGTTTCCCTTTTGAATCACTATTCCAATCTTAGGTCCCACAACTTTTTGTCTTCTTTTGTGTGAATATTTCTTATATCCATCCAATAGAGACAGGATGAAATATCACACTGCTATTAGGTGTTGATTTGTACATCAGACTGGCAGTCTCTTAAATCTGAAGTTCATTTACCTTTATAGGTCTATAAGAAGAATTTGTTAATATTTAATTTATTTAATATTAAGTTTTTTAAGAAAATACTTAATGAGTTACAAGAATACAGAGTAAAAAGAAATGATTAGTTAGTTGGGTTTAATCAATAAAGAACATGGGTTTTATTTTTAAATTTTTTTGGTATATAGTAGGTATATATATTTATGGGGGAGTTTTCTTTTTTAAAGGAAGAAATAAATGTGGGTTAATAAAGAGAAAGATTGGGGAAAGGCATTACACATGTTTGGAATGAAATATGCAAAGACATAGACAAGAACGTGCAAGTTGAATGAAATGGTTAGAATCAGACAGACTTCACTATAATAAAAATTTATTGTAAGACGTAGTAGGAGATTAAATAGGTGAGAGAAGTATTGGAAGTGAGAGGTGACTTACAGTTCAGGATTAAAAGTAGCAGCACTTATAGTAAAAAGTAGTGAGCAATTTTGAGTCCTTAAGCAGAATAGTTAACACACACACACAAATGGTTTTTGAGGAAGCATATCCTAACAATAGATTGGAATTCAAGGGACAAGATCAGAGGTGCTTCTATTACTCTAAGTGTGAGTTGATAATATAGCTGTGGCAGCAGAAATCAAGGGAGCAAATTGGAGAGACGTTTTCTGTAAAGAATTGTCAGGCTTAGGAGATTGGAATGAATTGAATGTGAATTATAGGAGAAGAGACATCAAAAATACTTTTAGTTTTATATGCTTCGGGCTCAGGAACATGGTAATGTTGTTACTTGTATTGGACATTTTCTAATCAGTTGGAGGATGGGAGTGATACAAAATGTGACTCATAAACTATGTGAAAATGATGACATTGTAATCATATGTAGCTCCCATAATGTTTTCAGGAGAACAAGGCTTTTCTTCTTTGCATTTCTTTATTTTTTTTTTCTTTGGTAATAAAGGTAATTCCTAGACCTGGGACTGGTATAACTATAGGAGAAAAAGGAAACATTGGGTTGCCTGGGTTGCCTGGAGAAAAAGGAGAGCGAGGATTTCCTGGAATACAGGGTCCACCTGGCCTTCCTGGACCTCCAGGTAAATGAGATTGCATTTATGGCCTTGTTCTTATAGCATCCTTACTAATCCATGTATACTTTTTATCACATTAGTTCCATGGTCAGCATGGAAGTAGGAGACACAAGTCCTTTTTAATTGACAGATACTTCCCAACTCTTACTATACCTTCTCTCACCATATTACTCACTTGTACTTTAAAAAAGCCCAAGTGAATAGTGTCCTTTAATCCTAAGATTCCTATTTCTACATTTTATTTTTTATTGATACATAATTGTACATATTTATGGGATACATGTGATATTTTAATACATGAGTCCAATGTATAATGATTAAATCAAGGTAACTAGAATATCCATTACCTCAAGTATTTATCTTTTCTTTATGTTGGGAACATTCAAAATCTTCTCTTCTAGCTGTTTTGAAATATACAGTAAGTTGTTGTTAACTGCTGTGAATCTACTGTGCTACCAAACACTGAAACTTATTGCTTCTATCTAACTGTATGTTTGTACCCATTAACCAACCTTTCTTCATTTCCCCCGACCCTTCCCAGCCCCTGGTAACCATCATTCTACTCTCCACCTCCATGAGATCAACTTTTTTTTTTTAACCTCCTACGTAAGAATGAGAACATGCATTTGTATTTGCCTTTCTGTGCCTGGTTTATTTCACTTAACGTAATGTCCTTCAGGCTCATCCATGTTGCTGCAAATGATAGAACTCCGTTCTTTTATGGCCAAATAATATTCCATTGTGTATTTATACCACATTTCCTTTATCTGTTCATCCACTGATGAACATTCAGGTTGATTTCATATCTTGGCTATTGTGAATATTGCTACAATAAACATGGAAGTGCAGATATCTCTTTGAATTACTAATTTATTTTCTTTTGAATATATACCCAGACGTGAGATTGTTGGAACATATGGTAGTTCTATTTTTAGTTTTTTGAAGAACCTCCATACTTTTTTTCATAATGGTTGCATTAATTTACATTCCCACCAACAGTGTGTGAGAGTTCCCTCTTCTCTGCATCCTTGCAGCATCTGTTATTTTTTGTCTTTTTGATGATAGCCATATTAACTGGGGTATATTTTATTATTAATAAATTACACCAAACAATTCTTAATTTAGTAGGCAAATCATCACACTTTTCATGCTAATAGGGAAGGATATTCTCCCCAAGTAATGCCTAGTTTTGCAAGATTTCCTGTATAAAAATGGCAAGCAGCGTTATCCACCTAAAATTTCAGAAATACCTAACTAGAAATCCCCATGGTGATTTTGTTATACAATAAAATCTTAGAGCTCAATACTGAGTTTTATATTATTCCCTTTGAAAACACACAGTATAGTGGAACATTTCTAATTTGGCCACAAATTGAGTACTGCCCTTATCTAGAATGTTTATTTGAATGTTCTCTGAAATAGGGTAATAATAGTGATTTCCGTAAGATTTCTAGATGCATGTGGTACAGTGCCTGGCACACATACATATTCAATAAATTATTATTCCTTTTCCTTCAAAAATACGTGGCTAATGAAATACTAAAATGATGAGATGAGTGATATTCAGTGATCTTTCCCAAGAGAAAGAAAATAAATATAGGTTCCATTATGCTCTAAATGCAAACTTCAGATTCCTAAATGTGAACTTCAGATTCCTAACCTCAAGATAGTGAATTAAATACAGACTGTATCTGGAAAATTGAAATAAAGAATTATCTCAGGATGCAGTAAAAGAGATAAGGAGTTGGGAAGTATGAATGAAAAGTTAAGAGGTATGAAAGATAAACCTAGAAGCTCCAAAATTATCTCATGAGGGAGGTCAAGGAGGAGAGAATGGGACAAGAGGCAGCATTTGAAAAAAAATAATGGCTGAGAACTTCCATCTATTAAAAAACACATGCATCACTATGAAAAAGCTCATGAAGCACTAAGCAATAGTAAAATAATAGTAATGCAAAGGTCCATAACTAGACACATTGTAGGGACATTTCAGAATTCAGGGATAAAAAGAAGCTCTTAAAAACTATTTGAGAACAAAAGGCCAATCACCTACAAAGCAGTGAGTCAGAGGATGATAATGGAGCACATTTTCAAAGTGATAAGGACAAATTACTATGAATTAGGGATTCTGTATTACATTAAACTATCATCCTAATGTGAAGATGAGATACATAGGAAGTTTAACACCTTCAGACTGTCTCTGAAATAGTTACTGGAGGTTTTACTCCAAAAAGAAAAAAGGGAATTCTGGATAAAATGAGAATAGCGGTAGGATGCAAGAACCAAAGCTTAGAAAATATATTAGTAAAGCATATTAAGTCTAAATCAGTACTGGTTATTTTTTAAAAAGGTGTTTTAAGTAACAACTTGGAGCTATAATTGTAAACATTATTAACGTGATGTGTAGATGCAGAGAGAATAAGGATAAGAGTTTTTGTCTTGTTAGGGAAAGATAATATAAATCTTGTTAACTGTATAAATTTTTAGAAATGTATACATGTTTAAGTACATAGGTTAAAATGTTAATAGTAGCCACTAGAGAAGAATAGAAATAAAATGTATAACATACACACCAATTGAAGAAAGAAAATGACTAAAAGTCTCATATATAGTATAAGTTAAGATGGGGGCAAAATAAAGACAAATCTGGGTAAATAGAAAATAAAATATAAGGTGACAAGAAGAAATTAAAAATAAGTCAGTAACTCCAACAAATTTGAAAGGACTAAACACTGATTAAAAGACAGTGACTAAAATAAAATTGAAATTAAAAATACCTATATATAGTGCACAGTAGACATATCTAAAGCAAAGTGACAGATACAATCTGAAAATAATGCAGTATATATTGGGCAAATGCTATACATAAAAAAGCTGGTTTAGCAATTCTAATATAGTATGAAATATAATTAAATTCAAAACTTGAAACTATAAAAATTCTAGAAGAAAATGCAGGAAAAACTTTTCTGGACATTGACCTAGGTAAAGATTTATGACTAAGACTTCAAAAGTAAATGTAACCAAAACAACAATAGACAATTGGGACTTAATTAAACTAAAGAGCTTCTGCACAGCAAAAGAAACAATCAGTGGAGTAAATAGCCTACAGAATGGGTGAAAATAATTGTAAACTGTGCATCTGGCAAAGGACTAATATCCAGAATCTATTAATATAAGGAACTTAGACAAATCAATAAGAGAAAAAAATAACCCCATTAAAAACTGGGCAAAAGACATGAACAGAACACTTCTTAAAATAAGACATATATGTGGCCAACAAACATGAAAAAATGCTTAACATCACTAATCAGCAAATAAATGCAAAGTAAAACCACAATGAGATACTAACACATTAGAATGGCTATTATTAAAAAGTCATAAAATAACAGATTTGGGCAAGAAATAATTTCAGTTATTCAGAGACCATCTGATTATCTACCAGAAAGCTTTAAAAAATCCATTGACAAATTCCCAGAACTTAAAGAGAATATGTGTGCAAGATGGCCAGATCTGAGTAGCATACTTAATTTGCCTTCCTCTTCACCAGCAAACGTACAAGAGAAAAAAATACACTTCACAATAGTAATAGTATTAAAATTCACAGTAGAATAACCCCAACAATACATGTGTAAGACTTCTTTGCAGAATTTTGTAAATTATTATTAAATAATATAAAATTACTAAATAGAGAAATAAATTTAATTATTACTTGATGTGAAAAACCAATATAATAAACAGTTGATTCTACCAAAAAATAATCTTTAACTTCAAATTAATCCCATTCAGAATCCCAACCAGTTTTTGAAAATGAAACTGAAAAATTTATTTAGAAAAGTAAATTTGTAGATGGTTTTAAAAATGAACAAAGATGAGCGTATTTTCCTTAGCAGTTTTGAAAACATTATAAAGTCATAGTAACTAAAAAGTGTGTTAATGGTGCATGAATCACCAGTGTAACAGAAGAATGTCCGGAAACAGAGCCATGTTTATATGGTAACTTTGAAATACCTTTTTATCTTGCTAATGACTTTCCGGTATTTTTGAGATTATAAGAACAGATTGTCAAAGGATGGGGTTACTAGTAATTTCCAAAAGTAGTAAACCTACTTTAAATTATTATTTCCTACCCTCAAACTGTTACTTACATTCTTTGAAACTTTTCAACCTTTTTTTCAGACTTTTGAGTCTCATAGAAAAAAAATAACATAACCAGAATTATATGTTAAAGGAAGATCTTATCATTATCTAATGTCTCAATGAGAACTAAAGTAACATCTCTAAGATGAAATCATTTTGATCACTTTTTTGAATCTTAGGGGCTGCAGTTATGGGTCCTCCTGGCCCTCCTGGATTTCCTGGAGAAAGGGGTCAGAAAGGTGATGAAGGACCACCTGGAATTTCCATTCCTGGACCTCCTGGACTTGACGGACAGCCTGGGGCTCCTGGGCTTCCAGGGCCTCCTGGCCCTGCTGGCCCTCACATTCCTCCTAGTAAGCTATATTTTTCTCCTATTAAGTTCTATTTTTGTTTTTGTTTATTTTGTTTATAAGTAACTCTAGCTAAAGGTTGGCCTCATTTGTTGCGTTTCTGATATCTAAGAAATTCTACCACTGCTTCTGCTTTTTGGGTTTTGGTAGTTCTTGGATGTTTACATTTGCTCTTCATATAGTATTTATCAGCAATGTTATATTTTCCTTTTGCTTATAGGTACTTTTATTTCTTCAGAGAATAGGTCTTTTTCTGGCTTGTCAGGCTTTCTTTTGTTTAATCTTCTGGATATTTCACAATTAGCTTGCTATCCTTTCTTTATCTTACTCAGGTGATGAGATATGTGAACCAGGCCCTCCAGGCCCCCCAGGATCTCCAGGTGATAAAGGACTCCAAGGAGAACAAGGAGTGAAAGGTTTGATCTCCAAACATATTCATTCCTTCATTTTCTTCATTCTTTCAAATCATCAGCAAAATCCCCTGTATCCTCCATCACACCTTAGCCACTGACTCCCATGGTCATACCCCAAGACCATCTCATTACCAATAGTGTTATACTTACATGACCTTGGTTTCATGCATCCCATTTTTTGGATCGCTCTCTTCTTTCTAGCTTACTACCTCTAGTAACCTGACTCCAGCAATACTCCAACCCCACTGAGACCTAGCAACTTTGACTAATGCTTAACTTTTTGATGTCCTTTCTTCCCTCTTAACCTTGCTTAAGTTCCATTATCAATCACTGTAATCAATTCCATTCATAAATCCATGATTCCTTTGCCCTTCTCTCACTTCATTGCACTCACTTGGAACAAAAGCATAATCCAAATTTTCATGTTTTCTGAGCCTACACTTTCTCTTCTCTTTTCAAGTTTTAACAGTTCCTCCCCTATTCTTACCTTGCTTCCTACTTCACTGACCAATTAAAGCAATAACAAGAGAACTTTCACTGATTGCTACCACCATATTTACTTACCTACTTGCACCTGTGCCCATATAGTCTCCCTTCTTGCATATTACTGTTACTGCTCCTATCTAAAGCCAGTTCTTCTATTTATACAATAGATTCCATTTCCTCTTATTTCCCCAAGGATTTTTTTTCCAGCAATTTTTGCCTCTCCGACATCACCAATTTTTCCCTCTCTATTCAGTCATTCCAAGGAGCATACAAATATGCTTTTTTCACCTATCTAAAAAAATGTAATCCTACATTCCCTGCCAGCTGTTTCTCTATTTTTCTATTCTCATTTGCAACAAAACTTCCTAAGAATTTTCTCCTCATTACCTCTAGATACTCTCCTCTTGTTTTCTCTTAAACATACTCCAATCAAGATTTCATCCCCTCTTCCCCCAACTCCCCACTGCCTACCACTCCACAAATGCTGGTCAGTCACCAGCAGTCTATATCCTACTAATCCAAATGTCAGGTCTGTCCTTTTTTTGCTTGCTTTTTGCCTTCTTTAAACATTTGCATCCCTTAGCTTTCAGTACATTTCCTGTTTTTTTTTTTTCATTCCTCTGTGGTGTACATATATGTGTGTGTGTGTGTGTATGTGTATCCATGTAATTACCATCTAAACCAAAATATAGAACATTTTCAGGACCCTGGAAGACTCTTGTGCTCCCTACTCAGTATCCCCCAAAGGTAATCACTATTTTATCCTCTGGCATATATTAATTTGCCTAATCTTGAACTTTGTGTACATGGAATTATACTGTATGAGCTCTTTTGTGCCTGGTTTCTTTAGCTAAATATATGTGAGATATATCTATGTTCTTGTTTGTTGCAGTATTTTTCCACCATTCTTTGTTTTCCACTGCACATTACCTCAATATTCTAATGTTGATGGACATTTGGTCTGGAGCTATTGTGAATAAAGCTGTCATAAATATTCTTGTACGTGTATTTTTTTTGTAGGACATAAACACTAATTTTTATTGGGGATATATCTGGAAATTGAATTGCTGGGTTATAGGTTAGGTGTAGGTTTTGTTTCATAGATATTACCAAACCATGTTCCAAAGTGATTTTCATTTGCGTTTGCCTAATGACTTGATTATGAACTATTTCCTTACAGTTTTTATATTCTCTTTTGTAAAGTGCCTGTCTTTATCTTTAATTTGATTATTGGATATATGTATTAAAACTATCTTCTGTTTTGTTAACTTTTGTTTAACAAAAGTTGCTAATTAAATGAAATCAAATTAATTAATTTCCTATTTTATCGTTAGTACTTTTTATGCACTGTTTTAGAAATCTTTACTTATCTCAGAGGCCTGATGATATTCCTCTGTGTTTTCTTCTAGACACTTTATTGTTTTACCTTTCACGTTTTGATCTTTCTTCAATTAATTTTTGTGTATAGTTTGGAGTAGGGATCAAAGTTCATTTTTCCCATATGGATGTCCAGTTGACTCAGTACTATAGAACAAAAGATCATCAATTACCCCAATGAATTGCATTAGCACTTTTTGTAGATCACATGACCATATGTGTGTAGGTCTGTTTCTGACTGCTCTATTCTGTTCTGTTGTTTCATTAGTCTCTCTTTGCACCAATACGATACTATCTTAATTACTGTGGCTTTATTGTAAGTGTTGGATATTCTAGGTTCTTTGCATTATTTTGTGTGCATCTTAGAATTATCTATCCAACTTTTAAGTTTAAAATGCTCCAAGGTTGAGTCCTTGTTCTTCTTTTCTATATAAACTCATTTATTCAGTCTTGTGACTGTTAATACCACCTAATTGCCCATGACTTCCAAATTTATGCCTCCTATCCAGATATAACTCTTTTCCTCTAGATTTGTGTATCCATTTGCCTAGTCAACATTTTGAACTTGACATCCTGATCAAATTGAAGTCTTGATTTCTGCCACCTCCTCCCCATAGTTGCTGCACTCACATCTTCAGCTTCTTACTTAAAAAGCAGGCCACTTTAGCCTTCTAGTTGCTCATGCTGAAAACCTTGGAGTCATCCTTGATTCCCCTCTTCTTTTGTATTTCATATATGATCCATGAGAACATCTCATTGGCTCTACTTTCAGATATGTCTATAATCTAACCGGTTCTGATCATTTTCATTGCAGTCACTTTGAAATGAGCTACCACCATCTCTCTCCTAGATCATTGCAACAGTAGCCACTTAAGTGGTTACCCTGTTTCCATCATTGCCTTTAGAGGCTATTAACATAGCAGCTAGAGTCATCCCTTAAAAACTTAAGTTATAACATGTTGCTTTTCTTTTTAAAATTTTCTACTAGATTCTCATTTCACTCACAGTAAAAACCACAGCCTTTATATTTCTTATATGCCTATATGCCATTCGTTATAAACTGTCAACTTTCTGACCTTGTTCCCCTCCCTCATTCTGCTCTAGCAATCTGGTCTGCTTGCTGTTCCTTGTATATACCAAACATGGCTATTCTTTCTGCTTGGGATGTTCTACACTCTTATGCACATGTCATGTCCTTTAAGTTTTATCATATAACAACTTCTCAATCAAGTCTATCCTGACTACCCTATTTAAAATTGCAACCCCCCACCCTTCCCTGGCATACTCAATACCACTTATGTAGTTCTATTTTTTCCTATAAAAATAATATATTTTAAAGCATATTAAATATTTAATGTATATTTAATTTTTTTAGACAGGGTCTTGCTCTGTTGCCCAATCTGGAGTGCAGTGGTGCAATCACAGCTCACTGCAGCCTCAATCTCCTAAGGCTCAAGCAATCCTCCCACTTTAGCCTCCTGGGTAGCTGGCAAGTACAGGCATGCACCACCATGCCTGGCTAATGTTTTTATTTTTTCTGTAGAGATGGGGTTTCGCCATGTTGGCCAGGCTGGTCTTGAACTCCTCATCTCAAGCTATCTGCCTGCCTCGGGCTCCCAAAGTGCTGGGATTACAGGCATGAGCTACTGCAGTCTGCCTATACTTAATATTCTATTAAAATATTTCATATATACATTTTGATAATTCATTTCCTTTATTGATTATTATCCCTTTCCCCTGGTAGAGTGTGAGGCATGTAGACATGAATTTTTATCCATGACTTTTCTTTTGCTCACCAATGTAACACAAGCATCTGGAACAGTTCTTGGCACACAGTAAGCACTCAGTAATTTATTTGTCATAAATTGATTCAGGATATAGGCTTCTCCAATCACACCATTAAGTGGAAATGCTGTCCCTTAGTGCTAACATTTTTAGAACCTATCTATAGAAGGTATATGTACCCCTTTCAGTAAAATTTGTTTGTTATTATGATTTCACTAGGTGACAAAGGTGACACTTGCTTCAACTGCATTGGAACTGGTATTTCAGGGCCTCCAGGTCAACCTGGTTTGCCAGGTCTCCCAGGTCCTCCAGGTAAATTATGCCTCAGGGTAACCTTCTAAATATTTTTTGGCTAGATTTTGTTGAGCTTATACTTTTAGAATGTTACCAGTTTCTCATTTTATAACTAGTCACTCATATCTATAAAGAATTAAGTATGAAATGCCTCCATTTGTTATCAAATTAATTATGCTCTTGTTTCTAATACCTGAAGCTACCAATATATTCTATTAAAGCATTTTGACAATATAATTTCAGGAAATATATCTTCCCCATTTTCCATATGGAGAAGAAAATCACTTATACAGAGTCAGACTTCTTTCTTCCAGAATACTGGGAGAAAAGTTCATAATGCCTAGCCCCTGAGTGTAGTTTCCAGTGGCAGAGATTCCAGTCACTGGGGATGTATCACATGTTGTTGTTCAGGAATAGGGGTTCTATTGGAGTTTGGCAATCAACTGCCAGTATTCCTCTCTCTCTATATATAACACATCTATCCCCCTTTCCAGTCAAAACTATATGTGATATCTGTCAGACCCTCAACTGTTTCATTTAACTGCCCCTTAGGTATCCCAGTATTCTCTTGAAATTACACTTTATGTTTGAGTCAGGGCTGAGAATAGACACCAGATCTCTTACCTTTCTGTCTAGTGAGTCTACTAAGGACACCAATTCATTTGGAGGTTGGGAATACTTTCAACAAATCTTGTAGACATTATTGGACATTAATAATCTAGCCTTGTACCTCTAGTCTCATGGTTCTCAAACTTGAGAGTGCATCACCTGGAGGGCTTATTGAAGCCCAGAATGCTGAGCCTCACTCTCAAAGTTTCTGATTCAGTAGACCTGGATGAAGGCTCAAGAATTAGCATTTCTAATTAGTAGCCAGGTGGTGATGATGCCACTCATCCAGGGATCCATTTGGAGAACCACTGCTTTAGTAATGTTTCCTCTAGTCTTTGGGCTGCAAATGTTTCTCATAAACCAAATTTCAGGGAATGACAAACCAAAGAAAGGACTGGTAAGGATCTAGGAAAACTGCATAAGTCAGAACAAAGATATTCAAACCTTTTCATTATCTTTTTTCTCCCTTTGGCAATGGGAACATCATAGGAACCCAGGAAACGTTGTGCATAGTATTTGGCAGTTGCAAGGTCTGAGAAAGTCTGCTTTGGAGTTGAAAGTTTCTTAGGATACAATATTGTATGTAACATGAAATGTTAAATTTATTTTTTAAAAAGGATGATTACCTCATTTTGTGAACATAAAAGGAAAATACAAATGTGACTTAAATGGGATTGAATGGGGTTCTTATTTTAAAAACTTGACTTTCTGACTTGATGATTTCTGTATGAGCTTTGTCAGGAGTTCAAGCTCAAAGCTTACGTTATTGTGTGTGTGTGTGTTTGTTTGTGTGTGTGTGTGTTAGGATCTCTTGGTTTCCCTGGACAGAAAGGGGAAAAAGGACAAGCTGGTGCAACTGGTCCCAAAGGATTACCAGTAAGTTTTGAGTATATTATAAAACAAAAAGAAGTAGAAGGAAGGCATTTTACACATTGATTTTCAATTATTCATATATATACACACATATACAATTTAATTTTTCCATTAAGTTGTACTTTGTTTGATTCCTTGACTCTTCCTGACTCACATGCCTCACTTGATTCAGCCCTTTGTACATTAAATGTTATTGGATGGGTTGAAGGGGTAAACTGGAGAGAAGAAAATGTTAGAAAAAAAGAAACTGATTTTCTTTTTCTCTTTCTTCTTTTTCCACTCTTTTTTCTTTTTTTCCTTACTCATTTCAGGGCATTCCAGGAGCTCCAGGTGCTCCAGGCTTTCCTGGATCTAAAGGTGAACCTGGTGATATCCTCACTTTTCCAGGAATGAAGGGTGACAAAGGAGAGTTGGGTTCCCCTGGAGCTCCAGGGCTTCCTGGTTTACCTGGCACTCCTGGACAGGATGGATTGCCAGGGCTTCCTGGCCCGAAAGGAGAGCCTGTGAGTTGGTTTGATATTTTTGGTTTTGTGATGTTAAATTTTCACTTAGAAATGTTTTCTAAGTTAATTCAAAGGATGGGACTGATGCTGAGATAAACACCCAATCAATGCTTAAAACAATGTGACCATACAGTAATGGCACATTGTTACTGACTACGTAGGGTTTCTGCACTACTCTTTTCTTTCACTTGTTTTGTAAACTTATTTTTCTTAACCCATTAATATTGAATACTATTTTCTATGAATAGGTGGGCAGGAGGTTAAGATGTTTATGAGACAGTATAAGGTTCCCCATCTCTTAACCCCCACATATCTTTCCTTGGGTTTACTTAAACCTCATGACTGGGCATGGTGGCTCACACCTGTAATCCCAGCACTTTGCGAGGCTGAGGTGGGCGGATCACCTGAGGTCAGGAGTTCGAGACCAGCCTGGCCAACATGGTGAAACCCTGTCTCTACTAAAAACACAAAAATTAGCCGGGCATGGTGGTGGGCGCCTGTAATCCCAGCTACTCGGGAGGCTGAGGCAGGAGAATCACTTGAACCCGGGAGGCGGAGGTTGCAGTGAGCCGAGATTGCACCACTGCACTCCACCCTGGGCAACAAGAGCAAAACTCCATCACAATAAATTAAATAAATAAATAAATAAATAAACCTCATAACCAGCAGTTTAACTTGTTTCTATATATATAGTAAGCTTAGAGAATAGTACAAGTAGATAGCCATGTTCAATGTGCCACAGAACTGAAAGATTTAACATAAATGAACAATCTTATTTTGTACATAACACACAGCCCAGGATATTTAGGTAGGAAGTGATATTTTATAATGTTATCTAGACTATAACCTTTCTGACTTACACTAAAATGTAAGCTGCATAAAGTCAGAGATTTTTGTGTATTTTTGTTTTCTGTTGTATCACCAGCACTTGACACATAGTAGGAGCCCAAAAATATTTGTTGGAGGAATGAGTAAGTGGAATGATCACACATACCATCTCATAATACCACTCACTTATATAGCTTTTAAGAAGAACTATTTATGGCTATATCCTTTCCCCAGTTGTATTCAGTACCAACCTACAGATAGTTGTTGTATCTATATGTTTCTGTATTAAACTTTTCCCTTTTTAGGGTGGAATTACTTTTAAGGGTGAAAGAGGTCCCCCTGGGAACCCAGGTTTACCAGGCCTCCCAGGGAATATAGGGCCTATGGGTCCCCCTGGTTTCGGCCCTCCAGGCCCAGTAGGTGAAAAAGGCATACAAGGTGTGGCAGGAAATCCAGGCCAGCCAGGAATACCAGGTAAGTTTACTGTGTTTTGTTTTAAACTTGGTGCTTAAAAACAGAAATTTATTATGTTTTGGCTACTCATGGCTTCCTTTCCCGAGAGGTGTGTTTCCCTGGCCGTTTATATTTGAACTCTTCAGAGCATCTTAGCAAGGGATCACAATGGTTTTTATAAGGGGGTTTCTTTTTAAATCTTTTCTAACTGTTTCATTGTTACTGTTAATTTTGCTCTTTTTAAGTACATGATACATAATGCAAAGTTTAATAAATAGTTATAACAGAAGCACACAGGTAGCTACCACACACATCAAAAAATAGAATGTTACCAGCATCCTAGAAACCCCTAACCTTTTCTCCCTGTCATTTCCTAATCACAATCCCCTTCCTCCTGTCTGCTGTCTTGACTTTTACATAGTTTTCTTCCATTACCCCTCTGTTTTATGACCTCTGTATGCATTTTTAAACAGAGTATTTTAATTTTGTTTCTTTTTGAACTTCATGTTAAAGGAATCATAGGGTAAGTGTTTTTTATATTAACTTTTCGTGTGGCTATAGTGTATTCATTTTTATTGCTATATAGTATTTCATTGTATGTATGTTTATGTGTGTGTGTGTGTGTGTGTTACAGTTGATTGATCCATTCTATGGTTAATGGTTAATTGGGTTATTTACAGTTCAGGTCTATTATGAATAATGCTTCTGTTTACAGTCATATAGATAGATAGCTAGGTAGATAGATAGATCCCTATATCTCCTTGTGTTCATGTGCTCACACTTCTCTAGGGCAAGAGTTGGCACACTACAGAACTACAGTCCATGGACCACATCCAGCCTACCACCTGTTATAAATAAAAGTTTTATGTGAACACTTCCACAACCATTCACTTTTGTCTGTGGTTGTTTTTGCACTACAACTGAAGAGTTGAGTAGTTGCTACAGAGACTGGATGGTCCACAAAGCCTAAAGTATTTACTCTGGTCCTTTACACAAAAGGCTTACCAATACCTGGGCTAGGGTATGTATTTAAGATTAGCATTTTCAAAGCATAGGATAAGTGCATCTTCCACTTGACTGGATAATTACAAACTCTATCCAGACCAATTGTACCAATTTTTACTACCACAAGCAGTGTTGAATATTTTATGTTGATTTACATCCTTGGAAACAATTTGTATTGTCGGACTTTTACACTTTTGCCAATCTGTTGAGTGTGATATTTTGCATTTCTCTGATTAAAGTTTAGCACCTTTTCATGTGTTTATTGGTCATTTGAATTTGCTTTTGTGAAATGCCTAATCAAGTACTTTGACCAATTTTATATTGGATTATTTCTTTTTTTATTGATTTAGAGGAGTTCTTTATATATTCTGTGCATTAGTTCTTAGTTACCTATGTATTTTGCGAAAAGAAATCTTTACCTACTGTGGCTTGCCATTTTTACTCTTTGTTTGGTGTCTTCAATGAGCAGAAAACAACTTTCACATCATCAAAATTATCAATCTTTTCTCTCATGGTTAGTGCTTTTTGTGTCATGTTTAGGAAATCTTTTTTTTCTTGAGCCAATTTCAAGTTCATGTTTCCATTAATAAGAAGTAGATATACTTGAACTTTGCACATGTAAAACCTAAATGTACCTATTAGCCAAAAAAATATTTTCCTTGTTTACTACAGTTTGATTTTTAATGCTCTTTTGGCCTACATTTTAAAAATACTTATATAGGTAACACCCTGTTTTAGGGGTTTCCAGAGAAACAGAACCAATAAAAAGGATGGACAGATGGGTAGATTAGATAGATAGATAGATAGATAGATAGATAGATAGATAGATAGATAGATGAGAGGTGATTTATTATGGGAATTGACTTACATGATTATGGAGGCTGAGAAATCCCACAGTAGGCCACCTGTAAGTTGAAGAACTAGGGAAGCCAGTAGCTTGGCTCAGTCCTAGTCTGAATGCCTGAGAACCTGAGTGGCTGCTTAGTACAAGTCCCAGAGTCTGAAAGCCAGAGAACCTGGAGTTGTGATGTCCAAGGGTAGGAGAGGATGGGTGTACCAGTTTCAAAAGAGAGAGAGCAGAGAATTCACCTTTTTTTCTGCCTTTTTGTTGTATCCGGTCCCTCAGCTGATTGGATGGTACCCACACACATTGGGTGAGGGTGGATCATCCTTATTCGTTTCACTGATTCAAATGTCAGTTTCTTTCGGAAACAGCCTCACAGACATATCTAGAAATAATGCTTTACCAGCGATCTCAGTATCTCTTAATCTAGTCATGTTGAAACCTAAAATTAACCATTATACATCTTGAATCATGGAAGTCCTTAAGGCTGTCATATCCTTTTTCTTTTTGAAATTCTATCCTTCTGTTTTATATATTTCTTGAATATATAGTGGAAGATTGTTTTTCTTGTGAATTTTTGTTAGTTTACATTTTCAAAAGATTGCTGATAATTTTCTTTTTTGTTTTTAATTAAAAAGAGACCTTTAGTTGAGTAAATACTTCTCATTTACCATTGATTTACTCTTGCTTTCAGGTCCTAAAGGGGATCCAGGTCAGACTATAACCCAGCCGGGGAAGCCTGGCTTGCCTGGTAACCCAGGCAGAGATGGTGATGTAGGTCTTCCAGGTATGTGAGGAATTTATTTCAAAGTAACTTCAACACCGATGGCTTTTTTTTTTTTTTTTTTGACAGAGTTTCGCTCTGTCACCCATGCTGGAGTACAGTGGCGTGATGTTGGCTTGCTGCAGCAACCTCCTACTTCTGGGTTCAAGCAGTTCTCCCTGCCTCAGCCTCCCAAGTAGCTGGGATTACAGGCGCCCACCACCACGCCCAGTTAATTTTTGTATTTTTAGTAGAGACGGAGTTTCTCCACGTTGGCCAGGCTGGTCTCGAACTCCTGACCTCAGGTGACCCATTGCCTCAGCCTCCCAAAGTGCTGGGATTACAAGAGTGAGCCACTGCACCTGGCCCTGATGGCTTCTTTCTTTGAACGTTTTCCTTTCAATAACTGCTGTTTCTCCATAGGTGACCCTGGACTTCCAGGGCAACCAGGCTTGCCAGGGATACCTGGTAGCAAAGGAGAACCAGGTATCCCTGGAATTGGGCTTCCTGGACCACCTGGTCCCAAAGGTATGTTGGAATGGGTAGCAGGCAGAGTAGGTTAGAAGTTTAGCATGATGTTATTCTCTCATAAAATTCATTCAACAAATAAAATATATTAATTGCACCTTTTTTCTCTGTGCTATAAAGAATGTAAATAAAAAATCACAGTGTATTTTCACTGTAAGTTCATTATCTTTATCTAAAACAGTCCAGACAAGAAAATATCTACATTTTAGATATGCAAAAGTGATATATAAGCTTAAAAATCACAGGAATTATTGTGTTTTGTGTTCACCATAGTATTTTCAGGGTTTAGAACAGTTCCTAACACATAGTGTGCACTTGATGTTTATTGAGTTAAAGGATTTTTTAAACAGAAAACAGACTTATTGCAGATGTGTAGCCAAGTAATGTTTTATGCTAAATAATATTTTCTTGATTTATTGAAATTTTTAGGGCTTATGCTTCAGTTCTGCTTTATTCCTCACAGAATTTATTCTCACAAATGGCAAGAGCACACAGTGGTCTGAGGACAGTTCTTAAATATATCTTTACTCATTTATACAAAATGCTTTCAAAAGTATCAGGTTTGATTTTATGTGTGTATGTATCTATAATATCTGCAGTTATTTTTAGATCATTTCCAAAATTATATGGTAGGCCCTTTGTCATACTACATCCAGATATAAGCAGAAGAAAAGTTCTTGGGCATTTTTGTGTGGGATTCATTCCTTACAATTTAGTTCTATCTTATTATATAATAGCCCTCATTTTCTTCAGAAAAGCATATGTTCCACATACATTAGCTCTATGTGAAAATAAAAGGAATGTAAGATGATTGAGAGGATTGTAAGGCTTAATCCTAAGTAGTAGAATGTCATTGTGCTTTTGACATCTTACTGTTGTCACTAAGCATGAGTAGAATGTGGGTTTGGGAATTTGAATATCTTTCTTAAAGTGCCTTTCCTTTGGTGGTTAAAAAATGACTTATCATTTTACAGGCTTTCCTGGAATTCCAGGACCTCCAGGAGCACCTGGGACACCTGGAAGAATTGGTCTAGAAGGCCCTCCTGGGCCACCCGGCTTTCCAGGACCAAAGGTCTGGGACATTTTTCTTTATTCCTTCTCATTTTCTTATCTTTCCCACCTTCCTTATTTCTAGCTCTCTATTTTGACTCAGATATCATCCCAAGCCCCAAGTCTTTACTATAAATATACAGATAACTTATTATATTTCCATTAAAAAAATATTTAACCCCAAATCATCTTTAATAGTCCAAGGTCACATTTGGAGCAAAAAAAAAAAAAAAAAAAACCTAATTTCTGTACCTACTTTTGAATGCCCAGTTCTTTGATTAGAGAATACAGGCATACCTTGGAGATATTGCAGGTTTAGTTCCAGACCACCACAATAAAGTGAATATCAAAATAAAGTGAATCACACAACTTTTTTTGTTTCCCACTACATATAAAGGTTATGTTTACACTATACTGTAGTCTTTAAAGTGTGCGATAGCATTAGGTCTAAAAAAAACCATATGCATACCTTAATTAAAAATACTTTATTGCTAAAAAATTTTAGCAATCATCTAAGCTTGCAGCAAGTTATAATCTTTATGCTGGGGGAGGGTTTTGACTCAATATTGATGGCTGCCCACTGATCAGGGTGATGGTTGCTGAAGGTTGGGTGGCTGTGGCCATTTTTTTAAATAAGACAACAATGAAGTTTGCCACATCAATTGACTCTTCCTTTCAGAAAAGATTTCTCTGCAGCATGTGGTGCTGTTTGATGGTATTTTACCCACAGTAGAACCTCTTTCAAAATTGGAGTGAGTCTTCTCAGACCCTGCTGCTGCTTTATCAACTAAGTTTATATAATATTCTAAGTCCTTTAGTGTCATTTCAACACTGTTCCCAGCATCTTCACCAGGGTAGATTCCATCTCTAGAAATCACTTTTGCTCATAAGAAGCAACTGCTCATCTGTTCTACTTTTATTATAAGATTGCAGCAATTCATTCACATCTTCATTCTCTACTTATAATTGTTGTTCTCTTGCTACTTCCACCATATTTGCAGTTACTTACTCCATTGAAGTCTTGAAACCCTCAAAGTCATCTGTGAGAGTTAGAATTAACTTCTTCCAAACTCCTGTTAATATTGATGTTTTGACCTCTTCTAATGAATCCTGAATTTTCTTCATGACATCTAGAATGAAACCCTTTTCAGAAGGTTTCCAATTTGTTTTGCCAGATCCATAAGAAGAATCACTATTTATGACAGCTATACATTACACAATGTGTTTCTTAAATAATAAGACTTGAAAATTAAAAGCACTCTTTGATCCATGGGCTGCAGAATGGGTATTGTGTTAGCAGCCATGAAAAGAACATTCATCTCTTTGTACATCACCATCAGAGCTCTTGGGTGACTAGGTGCATTGTAAATGAGCAGTAAAATTTTGAAAGGAATCTTTTCTTCTGAGGAGTAGGTCTCAACAGTGGGCTTAAAATAGCCAGTACACTATGCTTTAAATACATCTGCTGTCATCCAGGCTTTATTGTTCCACTTATAGAGCACAGGCAGAGTAGATATACCATAATTCGTAAGGCCCTAGAATTTTTAGAATGGTACATAAGCATTGGTTTCAACTTAAAGTCAGCAGCTGCATTAGTCCCTAAAAATAGAGTCAGCCTGCCTTTTGAAGCTTTGAAACCAGTAATTTACTTATCTTCTCTAGCTATGAAAGTCCTATGAGCATTTTATTCCAATAGAAGGCTGTTTCATCAACATGGAAAATCTGTTGTTTAGTGTAGTCACTTTCATCAATGATCTTAGCTAGAACTTGCTGCAGCTTCTATATCAAAACTTGCTGCTTCACCTTGCACTTTTATGATGTGGAGACAGCTTCTTCCCTTAAACCTCACGAACCAGCTTCTGCTAGCTTCCAACTTTTCTTCTGCAGCTTCTTCACCTCTCAGTCTTCAGATAATTGAAGTTAGGGCCTTGCTCTGGATTAGGTTTTTGCTTAAGGGAATGTTATGGCTGGTTTGATCTTCTGTCCAGATCACTCAAACTTTCTCCATATCAGCAATAGGGCTGTTTTACTTTCTTCTCATTCGTGTGTTCACTGGAGTAGCACTTTTAATTTCCTTAAATAACTTTTCCTTCACATTCACAACTTGGCTAACTGTTTAGTGCAAGAGACCTAGCCTTCAACCTACCTTAGCTTTTGACATGCCTTCCTCACTAAGTTTAATTATTTCCAGCTTTTGATTTTAAGTGAGAGACATGTGACTCTTTCTTTCACTTGAACACTTAGAGGCCATTGTTGTGTTATTAATTGGCCTAATTTCAATATTGTTATGTCTCAAGGAATAGAAAGACCTGTGGAGAGGGAGAGAGATGCGGGGAAAATGGCTGATCAGTGGAGCAGTCAGACATTTACAACATTTTTTTATTAAGTTCACCATCTTATACAGGCACAGTTTATGGTACCCCAAAACAATTATGTGGTAACATCAGTGATCACATATCACCATAACAGATATAATAATAATTAAAAAGTTTGGAATATTGTGACAATTACCAAAATGTGACACAGAGACAAAAAGTGAGCACATGCTATAGGAAAAATTGCGCTGATAGACCTGCTCAATGTAGGGTTGCCACATACCTTCAATTTGTAAAAAGTGCAGTGTCTGCACAGCACAACAAAATGATGCACAATAAAATAAGGTATGCCTGTACGATGGTCTGCTCCCTCTGTGCATCTCTATAGAGTCATCATCCCATGTCATCTCTGTTCATGCCTGTGTGATGATTGGTTGAAATGGTGTTGAATATCATTTCCAGACCTTGTATACTGTTGTTCTCTGTCCCAATTCCATTACAGATACATAATGCAAATCACTGCAATTGACTTAGTAATACTAATAATAAATAATACTGTGTTTGAGTTACTTTTCATTCCTTTTATTATTTCTTATCTAATGTTAAGCTTTCCTGAGTCAACCTTCAGCAAAGAGCTGCTGTGGCATGTAATTATCGTGACTATTTTTATATATTTTATCTCTGCGTCATTGATTTAAACCTCCTGTGTTTTGTAATTATTACTTATTTTTCATGGGAAAAACAGTTAACCCGTGACACCAGTTCTCATGAGAAAACCACTTCTCTATTGGTTGATTCTCTTTATTATGAACATTTTCAAATGAAAATAAAAGTAAAATGAATAATACAATGAGCTTTCACATATCCATCACCCAGATTCAAAATTATTATGATTTTATAACATTTGCTTCATCTAGTCCTTTTTACTTTGCTTAAATATTTTACCCAAATCTCAACACAGTATCATTTCACTTATAAATGCATCAGCACTCATCTCTAAATAAATTGACATTTTATACAAAAACCACAATGTTGTTATCATACTTAGTAAAATTAAAAATAATTGTTTAGTATTATCTAATACTCAGCCTATAATCATATTTCCCTACAAGGGTAGTCTGTTCTTTAATCTCATGCTCTCTCAGTTTTTTTTTTTTATCCTGAAACCAGTCCAAATCATCTAATTTGTTTTACTAAACCCTGTTTCCAATCCTTCCATATGTTTTCTCCAACATACCAATTACTTTTTATTTAATTATCTTCTCCTCTCCCCCCATGGAAGGAAAAGTATTGTCTTGTATTTTCGGCATTAAATTCTCTGTGGCAAACAATAAGGACAGAAAAGTCATGGGAGTTTTTGTTGTGTTTTGTCATGTGTATGCTCAAGGGTGAACCAGGATTTGCATTACCTGGGCCACCTGGGCCACCAGGACTTCCAGGTTTCAAAGGAGCACTTGGTCCAAAAGGTGATCGTGGTTTCCCAGGACCTCCGGGTCCTCCAGGACGCACTGGCTTAGATGGGCTCCCTGGACCAAAAGGTATGGAGGCTGTCACTGCATCTCAACTTGCTTTTAACTTTTATAGAAATTGACACCTTTGGGAAAGTTTATGGGTGATAAGCCCAATTAACTGGAAACCCTATGCTGCCATTCTGTTACTGCTACACATTTTTTTCAATCCTTCATTGATTATTTTTGTCTTTTATTTCATTGAATAGATAATAAAATCATGGCCCGGCACGGTGGCTCACTCCTGTAATCCCAGCACTTTGGGAGGCCAAGGTGGGCGGATCACCTGAGGTCTGGAATTCAAGACCATCCTGGCCAACATGGCGAAACCCCGTCTCTACCAAAAATAGAAAAATTAGCCGGGCATGGTGGCACATGTTTGTAATCCCAGCTACTTGGGAGGCTGAGGCAGGAGAATCACTTGAACTTGGGAGGTGAAGGTTGCAGTAAGCCACTCCAGCCTGGGTGACAGAGTGAGACTTTGTCTCAAAAAAAAAAAAAAAAACAATCATATATGTTATAAAAGTAACACTGAGAAGTCTTCCTTCCAACCCATCTTCATCCACTTTGTTCCTCTCCATCCTCCTGCTTAACTATTTTTTATTCTCCTTTCTTCCCCCCACCCTCCCCCCATACCCCAAGACAGAGTCTTGCTCTGTCTCCCAGGCTGGAGTGCAATGGCGTGATCTTGGCTCACTGCAACCTCCACCTCCCAGGTTCAAGCAACTCTCCTGCCTCAGCCTCCTCAGTAGCTAGGATTACAGATGCATGCCACCAGGCCCAGCTAATTTTTGTATTTTTAGTAGAGACAGGGTTTCACCATGTTGGCCAGGCTGGTCTCGAACTCCTAACTTCGTGATCCGCCCGCCTCGGCCTCTCAAAGTGTTGGGATCCTTCTGGTGTTTCTTATATAAATACCAGCCAAGAATTTGTTTTATTTTCTCTGTTCTTAAAGGAGAAGGTATTTTCTTTTGACTTTATTTGCACTTTATTTTTTTACTGAAATTTGTATCCTGAAGATCACTCCATATCAGTAGATGGAGATCTTAACTTTTTGAAAATAGGTGCCTAGTGTTAAATTGCGTGGATATACCATAGTTCATCCCAGTTGCTAGTTGCTAGATTGGATTTTTGCCAATCATTTATTACAAATAATGCCATAGTGAATAATCTTTCATGCATATTATTTCAGATGTGTTCAGGTATAATAGTAAAATAAAGTGATGAAAAAGGATTTTCTGAATTAAAGGGTAAATGCATCTCTGGATATTGTCAGATTCCTCTCAATTTGCACCATTTACACTCCACCCACAATGTATGAGTGTGTTTCCCCACAGCCTTGATAAGTGAGTATGCTGACAAACTCTTGGATTTTTGCTAACCTGATGAAGTAAGTAGGTTTCTAAGTATATTTTTAAACATTTTATTGTTAAAAAATTTTAAGTACTGTGAAAAATAATAGTACAGTTAACAGCTGTATATCTACCACCCAGATTCTACAATGAACCTTTTATCTCCCTGCCAACGTTTTGTTTTTTAAAATTTTAAATATAACAAAGTAGACAGAACTTTATTGGGACTACTATATACCCATCACTGATATTTTACTGTCAACATTTTACTATATGTTGACAAATACTATATACTATTTGTCACATATCTATCCATCCCTGTCTCCATCCATTCATCTATTTTTGATGCATATCAAAATAAATTACAACAACAATATACTTCTCTCTAAATACTTCAGCATGCATACCATAACTAAAATTCCATAGCTGTATATTACTTTTCTTCTGATATGTAATTCACATTAAATGAGATACATAAATCTTAAGGGTACATTTACTGGATTTTGACAAATGCATACACTTGTATAACACAAAATCTTTATCAAGATATTGTTTTAGAAATTTTCCTTATGCCCCTTTCCAGTCAGTCCCTATCCCATCATCCACAGTGGCAACTATACTGTTGATTTTTTCATCATAAGTTATTTCGCCTGTTAACTCCTTATAAATGGAACTCCTTATAAATGGAAACATACGGTATGTACTTTCTTTCTGAGGCTTCTTTCACTCAACATAATGTTTTGGAGATCCATCCATGTTGTTGTGTTTATCAATAGTTCTTTTCTTTCAGTGAAATCATTGAGTATTTTATTATGTGACTGTATCATGGATACCTGGGTTGTGTCAAGTTTTTGGCTACTATGAGTGAAGCTGTTAAAGACATTTTTTACAATTCTTTTTTATGGATATGTGATTTCATTTTGCTTCAGTAAACAACTAAGAGCAGATTTGTTGGATCATAAGTGGATGCTTAGTTGTACTAGAAACTACTAGACCTTTTTCCAAAATGGTGATACCATTTTAAATTTACACCAAAGTGGTTCAGAAATTTGCATTGTTCCACATTTTCTCAAAGTTTGGAATGTTGGTAGGTGTGTGGTAGCATCATATTGTGATTTTAATTTACGTTTCCCTGATGACTAATGATGTTGAGTTCTTTTTTATGTACTTGTGAGCTACTTACATATTCAAATATTTTGTCTATTTTGAAAGATGGTTTGTTTCTCACTTTATTATTAAGTTGGAAGTGTTATTTCTATGTCCTGCATACTGGCCCTTTCCTAGATATATGTTTATTAGCATTTTAGCCCTGGCTGGCTGACCTGTTCATTTCCTTACTGTATTTTGATGGATAAAAGTTTTAATTTTATTGAAGTTTCATTTATCAATTTTTTCTTATATGATTATAATTTTCTGTGTCTTGTCTAAGAAACATTTGCCTGCCCCAAAGTTGCCAAGGTATTCTATGTTTTATTTTATAAGCTTTATAGTTTTAGTTTCTATGTTTAAAACTATTACACATGTCAAATAATTTTTGTTCAGCATCATTTGTTTAAAATAATCCCCTCTCTATTGGATTACTTTGGGATCTGTGTCAGATCAAATAATAATATATGTGTTGATCTACTTCTGTGCTGTCAATCCTGTTTTATTTATTTATTTTGCTGTCATTAAGCCAGTACCACACTGTTTATATTACTGTAGCTTTATAGTAAGACTCGAAGTCAGGTAATGTAACCCACCAACTTTATTCTTAAAAAAAAAAAAAACACATTTCTTTGGCTATATTAGGTCCTTTGCCTTTACTCTCAGAGTGGTTTAAATTGTATGTCTCTTACTGTGAGTGAGATTGGCCATCCTTTTATGTGTTAAGGGCCATATTTTTTTTTCTTGTTAACTGCCAATATCCTTTACCCACTTCTCTGTTGTTTCTTCTACTCCCTTGATTTTGAGTTATCTAATAATGAGAAGGAATAGAATTAGTAAAGCTGACTTGCATTTTTTTTCCTTTGATTTGGAAGGAACCCGACTTCCCTCGTCAATGTTTTGGCTCCTAGTGAGTAATCTGAACAGGGCCATGCTTCTGGAACATGTTGGATTGATTTCTATTAAAGCAGTAAGACAGCCCAATCCAATTTTAACCAGGCTAGATTGTATTCTGCCAGCAAAAGCCCCAGACTAGCTCAATACAAACTCTTCTTAGATAAGCTCTTAAAAAAATACCTTTCTGTTTTTGACTAAACAATTCAGGCCAGCTGTAAACTGTAACACTCAAAGTTACAAGTTGTGTTTCCCACCAGTTATCTCCCCTAGCTGTAGACCTGTAGCAACAAAAATTGCAGATAAAGATATTTGAAATATGTGGCAAACAGTCTTCCTGTGGAAGTTACCCACTTACTGTATTTTGTTTGTATATATTCTTGAGACACAGTGGTAGTGAAGAAATGCATTGAAGGCTATTTAAACATGAATTTAACAGGTATTTGCCTAATCTTTGGAAGGAAATTAGGATATGGCATTCCCATATCCTCACAGGAGTAATTCTCAATTATTAAAAGCCGAGTACAGTTCTTTAGGTGCTAGAAAAATAAGTGTTTGGGATATTCTGCCATGTAACTCCTTCATTCTTCAAACATTTATTATGTTCTATGCCAGCTAGTACCTGAATCAGTAGAAGCTCAAATGCATAGTTTCTGATCTTGAAGATCTCAAGGATTGCTCTCTACTGTGAGAAAATCTAGGTAGCATCACCATGAAAGTGATTATCTCAATGGGAACTTCTATGAAAATGTATCACTAATATTTTGGATCAGTAGACTACACTCAAAACTCAGCAAGCAGATCACAATAAAAGTTCACCTACCAAACACACACAACACACCAATGAATGGGTATTAGAACTCAGTTACTAAACTGTAGGAAAGGTTGATGCAACACTTTCAAAACAATGTAGTGACCAATAATAAATTAATAAGGCTAATACTCATCATGATATATCTATATGAGGAAGAAAATGTGCTTAAGGTTGAACGTTAGAATCAGATTATACAAAAGAGAAAAAAAGATGATTTTGGAAGCATTCAGTTTACCTCATATATTACTTTTGTTCAGGGCCTTATCTAAGGTACCTGGAGAGGTTTTATATAGATGGTGACAGTTGAATTTAGACTTAAGGGAAAGGTGTTCCGGGCAGCAAGAATAACATCCAAAGGTATTATTGTGACAAATATTGTGTGCTTGGAAATGTTGAAAGAAATACAAAAGTATATAATTTATGCTAACAACAAATCTATATCAAACAAATATGACAAACAACTGCATGCCCATACATTTGACAACTTAGATTAAATGGACTAATTTCTTGAAAGACATAAATTGTTGAAGCTCACTAAAGAAGAAATAGGCAATCCAGGAATCTATTTTTTTAAAAATTGAGTTGTAGTTAGAAACCCACCAACAAAGAAAACTACAAATCCAGATGGCATCACTGGTAAATTCTAACAAACATTTAAAGAAGCAGTAACACCAATTCTACACAATCTCTTCCCAAAAACAGAAGTAGAGGGATCACTTTCCAACCATTACATGAGGCCAGCATTATTTTGATATCAAAGCCAAGCAAAGACATATGAGAAAAGAAAGCTGTAGACCAATATCTCTCATGAACATAGACATAAAAATCCTCAAGAAAATATTGGCAAGTCAAATCTAGCAATATATGAAAAGGATAATACACTACAATCAAGTGAGGCTTATCCTTAGAATACGGGCTGGTTTGACATTTTAAAATCAATGTAATTTGCCATATCAACAGAGTAAAGAAGAAAAACTGTATTATAATCTCAGTAAATCCTGAAAATTATTTGATAAGTTTCAATATTCATTCCTGGAAAAATAGTCTCAGAAAATTAGGAATAAAAGGGAACTTCCTTAGCATGATAAAGACATTTACAAAATCTTGATCCATTATGTTTAGTGGTGAAAGACTGAATACTTTTCCCCAAAGTTATGTAACACAAAGATGTTATTTGTTACCATATTTGATGGTATGAAAAGGTTCAATATTGTATTGGAAGTCCTAGCCAATGTTATAAGACAAGCAAAATAAATGAAGGGCATACAGATTGGAAAGGAAGAAATAAAACTCCCTATATTCATAGATGACATGGTTTTATACTTAGAAAACCCTAATAAATCTACAAAAATTTACTAGAACTAAAAGGTGAATTTCGTAGGATCATAGGACAAAGCAAATATCTAAAAATAAATTATGTTTTTATATACTATCAATGAACAACTAGAAATAAAAATTAAACAAAAACAGTATAATTTACAATAGCATCAAATGACATGAAGTGCTTAGGTATGCATAGGTCCAACAAAAATGTGCAGGCTTTGTATGTGGAAAATTACAAAACACTGTTGACAGAAATCAGATACCTAAATAAATGGAATGGTATATTGTGTTCATGGATATTGTTAAGATATCAGTTTTCTCCAAATCAATCCATAGATTGAAAATATTCTCAAGGAGAACACACAATTTTTCTTCTAAAATTTATATGGAAAAACAAATGGCCTAGAATAGCCAAAACAATTTTGAGAAAGAAGTACAAAGTTGGACAATTCATAGTACTTGATGTTAAGACTTAAAATAAAGCTACAATAGTTAAAATAGTGTGGTATGTGTGAAATACAGACTAATAGATCATTGTAACATAATAGAGAGTCTAGAAATACACCCACATATTTAATTTTTGACAAAGTTGCTAAGGCAATCTCAACAGAAAGGTAAGTCTTTTCAACAAATGTTGCTAAAATATAAAGCAATTGGACATCCATATGCAAAAAAAAATATAAACAAACCAACATAACAAACCTCTACCTGCACTTCCTACCTTGCACAAAATTTAACTCCCAATGGATCACAGACCTAAATGTAAAACCTAACATTATCAAACTTCTGGAACAGAAGCAGGCAAACTTTTTCTGCAAAGAGCTAGAGAGTAAATATTTTAGTCTTTATGGGCTACATATATGGTCTCTGTCACATATTCTTTTTTAAACAACCCTCTAAAAATGTAAAAACCATTCTTAGCATGTAGGCAGCACAAAAAGAGGCCTATAGGCCATATTTAGCCATGGGAAGTACTTTGTCATCCCTTGTTTTAGATGAAGAAGCATAAGAGAAAACTCTGTGATCAGATGTTAGGCAAAAACTTGTTAGAATACCAAAAAGACAATTCATAAAAGAAAAATTGGATATATTGGACTTTATTAAAATTAACTGTATTTTCATATCATATATCTGACAAAGGACTTATAAGCAGAATATATAATGAACTCTCAAAACTCAATAAGAAAACAAACAACCAACTTTTAAAATATAGTTGGAAAAATGAGCAAACAATTTGAGTAGATACCTTACCAAAGAAGACACCCAAATGTCTAATAAGCACATGTAAAGATGCTCAGTATAATTTATCATCTGGGAAATGCAAGTTAAAACCACAATGGGATACCACTTCATAAATATTAGAATTGGCCTTTTTTCAAAAAGGATAACTGACAATAAGTGCTGCTAAGGATGCAGAGTAACTCGAACTCTCATACATTGCTAGTTAATACACAGAATGGTGCAGCCACTTTGAAAAACAGTTTGACAATTTCTTATATAGTTAAACATTGTCTTTGCACATGACACAGCAATTCTACTCCCAAGAAAAATGTGAAGCTTCACATAGAAACCCGTAGAACAGTGTTCATAGCAGCTTAATTCATAATCACCAATAATTGTAAACACCCCAAATGTGCCTCAAATTGCAAAAAGATTAACAAAATGTACATATTCATCTGATAGACTAATAACCAGCAGTAAAAAGTAACTACTGATACACATAACAACATGGGTGAATCTCAAATGCATTGTATTAAGTGAAAGAAGACATATTCAAAAGGCTACATACTATATGATTGCATTTGTATGACATTCTGGGAAAGAAAAATCTGTAAGACATAAAATAAATCAGTGGTTGCCAGGTAATTGGGATGTGGGGACGAGTTGACTACAGCGCACAGGGGCTTTTTTGGGTTTATGAAAATGTTCTATGTCTTGATTTTAGTGGTGGTTATATGACTACATACCTTTGTCAAAACTCATCAAAGTGTACACTAAAAAGACAGAATTTTAGTACATGTAAAAATTGTTTAAAGTGGGAGTGACAGAGGGACAGACAGAAGATGGAGAGATGGACAGTTAAGTTTCTAATGTCAAAGAGATGTTTTACTAATGAAGGGAGAAGCTTGAACATGTTTATAAGCCATGGCCCTGAGTTAGTAAAAAGGAAAATGTTGAAGTTATCTATCTTAAAATATAGGTAACTTGAAAATATATTTTAAACTTATGAATATATAACTGTCCACAATGAGTTACAAGTAGAAGGAATATGTGGTTTGTAATCTTTTGTACTTTCTTGTGAAGTTGATTTAAGTATTGAAGTAGTGATCAGCATATGTTAAATTATAAGGCTGTAACTATTAATAGATTCCCTATCCTTTGCTCTTGATACTTATGTGTACTTTTCTTGCTGAATGAATGCCCAGTTTTTCAAGATTCTTGCTTAATATGATATGGTTCCCAAGGACTAGTGACTCAGGTGTTGCTTTTAATATTTAAACTGTATTTATTTCTTAAAGGTGATGTTGGACCAAATGGACAACCTGGACCAATGGGACCTCCTGGGCTGCCAGGAATAGGTGTTCAGGGACCACCAGGACCACCAGGGATTCCTGGGCCAATAGGTCAACCTGGTAAGATTAGAGTAAATGTGCATTTTGTAGCACTCATAATATATACATTTGTTAGCTCATCAATAAAGTGAAACCTACAAAACAGTCTTCCAGAAGCAGACTTAAAAGGCAATCTATCTATGTGTATGATTTTATAAAAGTGGATAAGTACAAGCCACAGCATAAAAGCTACTTTAATCCCTGATATTTCCCTTCTGAGTTCATCTAAAATTGATGTATTTCCAATAATACAATTGCAGTGTATTATTGATATGTAATTGTTGAGTTAGACATGGTTTTGGAAGCAGAGGCCTAGAAACTTCTAGTGCTGATCATTTCAGATCTGAGTAGCGGTACAGCATTCATAGACCTTTGTGGAACCTCCTAACATTTCTTAGCACATGACAACTAGAATTAGGGTTCAGCAAAACTTTCTGTAAAAGTGTATTTTAGGCATTCCCATTTTCTTTTTTTTTCAGTGAGTTATTTTCCCTTTTTGCCCCTAAAATAGCAGTCATTTTGCAATTCATCAGCACTCCAAATCTTTACTTTTAATATTTTATATTGGATACTCAAAAAGGTCTTTTGTCAACACGTAACCTAATGGGTTTGCCTCTATAGATAGGAAATCATATGGTTCCTCTAAATTTGTGTGAAAGCATATTGAGTTTCTGGATTCTGAGCTGTCTGGTGATGTGAATTCTCGTTATGTTAATCTAGGTAAGTACAGTAAAGGCCACCTTGGGGCCATCATTATGTTATTGCAAAATACCATAATAATTTATGAAATTAAAACAAATATGAAATATTTAATTGTTCCTTAATTCACATGAATACATCTGAAGGCTTAAACACAGAGTTCAGATGTGCATACATTTATCTGAAGCAATGGCTATATGTTTCCTGACCTTAAATGGCAGTAGATATTTTGTTATTATTCTAAAAATTTAGAAACTCAGGTTAACAATATAAAAAGCTTGTAAATGTTATTTTCATTATGTACTATTTACAATTGATTATATGGCACATTATACCTTTTTATGGTCCCTGACATGTCACTACTGATTTAAAACTAAGAAAACTTAGAGTGTTGCTTTGAACCAGGTTGTTACAAAATAGCTGCTTTATCACTTATGGAAAAAACATTCTGTCCAACTAACAAAGCAGAGGGATCTTCAGGAAAAAGCACTTATTTTTAGGTTTGACCTGCTGTTTTTTTTTTGTTGTTGTTGTTGTTTTTGTTTTGTTTTGTTTTGAGACAGAGTTTCACTCTTGTTGCCCAGGCTGGAGTGCAATGCTGCAGTCTCAGCTCACTGCAACCTCCTGGGCTCAAACGATTCTCCTGCCTCAGCCTCCGGAGTAGCCAGGATTACATGCATGCACCACCACGCCCGGCTAATTTTTGTATTTTTAGTAGAGACAGGGTTTCACCATGTTGACCAGGCTGGTCTCGAACTCCTGACCTCAGGTGATTCGCCCGCCTCGGCCTCCCAGAGTGCTGGGATTACAAGAGTGAGCCACTGCGCCCGGCCCCTGCTGTTTTACAGAGGTGGATAAAATGAACTTATCACTCCTATGGTGTTTTGTCATTTGTTTCAGTTCCAAAAAGTGCATGAGTCTTTAGAAGCATTTTGAATTCTTAAGTCACAGCTGAGTGCGAATAAAAAAAGGAACACCATTAATATGAATCTAAACAAAATACAAATATGTTAACACGTGTCACGCTTTTTCAGATTTACCTGATACCTTGTAATGTTTTATTAATCTAATGTTCTCTCTTTCTTTCTCCCTCTGTTATATGATATATCTGACAAAGGACTTATAACCAGATATAAATATAATATATAGATAAATATATAGATATAAATATAATATAGATATAGAGATATTGATTTATAAAGTATAAATAGGATGGGCAGGAAGAAAAGTAATAATGCTGAATTAAACTTCATCTATTTCTTTTGTAAATATATGTATAGCCATAGAATTCAAGATATTAATATGATTCAACAAATAAATGAAATTAACAGGAACTAGCATGAAAATTTATTGAATTCACTCTTAATATAGAAATGTTCTCAAATCACAGTACTTTTCATTTTACTATGAGATGGACCACATTTCATATTTATACAAGGCACAGATACTCACTTTCTAAGTAAATTTTACTTACATCACCAAAATAGAATATTATCTTAGTTCATTTAAAAAACATCCTGATTTATGTCCATAAATCTCAATAATAAGGTAATCGGAAAGATTCTTATATCTTGATAAACCTACTTATGTTGCATGGCTGAAACTCTATCAATGTTTTTGTAATAAGCTTATTTAATATACTTGTATTTCATTTTGCGATAGGAAAAATGCAAAATATTCTATACTGTTATCTCTCTACTGTAGAATGTTTACATTATGCTTTTTAGGCTTTCCTTTGAACTCCAGTTTTCTATTATTTAATTAAGCTTTTACTATTTACCTTTCTCTTTTCTAAACCAGGCTATACAGTTTAACACGGTTATAAGATAAGGTCCCATTGAATATCAGTTTCCCATTCCATAGCAGGGAAATAAAAGAAAAATTGCCAAAGGACTAGAAACAAAATATTTTTCATCTCATGACCTGCTAACCCAGGCAGAAATGGAGGTTGTTGATTCTTGTTATTTTCTTTGGCCATTACCTGTACAATTACTGTCTTACTGAATTTTTTTAGAGATCAGTTAAATATACTCTATTTCATGTTCACAGATCATATCATAACCAGAACCAAACGTGTTATAGTGTGTGTCCAGTCTTAGGACAAAGCATATGGCTAAATCAGCTAAAGAGGAAAAAAAAATTCATCACCACTAATGTGAATCAAAACAAACAAAACAACAACAGCAAAACCCTAGGAATTGTTTATGAATTATTCATGTCATTTTCATAGATGAAGGAGAAAATAGTTTTCTAACACTTCAGGAGGCTACAAAACCCTTGGGTAGGGGGAGGGTGTGTGTATGTGTGTGTATGGAAAGTTCTCACGAATAATACATGTTTTTGAAATTTTCCTTTTTTTATAAACTGGTTCCATTCGGCTGCCAATAAATTTAGAACATCAGTATATCCCTATATCACATCTGTAGACATATCCATACAATTCTTGTTATTGTGGGGAAATTTAGCGGAACTTTGGGATTTATATTGACTTCTTCATCCTGGATCTTACCAGGATGTGTATTCCTGACAGTATTCATGGAAAAAATCTATGCTATGGGAGGAAGTATAGTATAATGTCTGTTATTACTACTACTAATAATAACGATGAAGAAAGAAATCCTTGCCTAGTGCATGCAAGTTGTTTCTCCATAATCATATGCTAATAATGATTGATTTATCTATACCCAACCTGTTGTAGTATAAAATTAAATTAATTTTTAAATTTGAACTAAACTTTAGGAGCTTAAATTCCAAAAAGATTATTTAAATCATTAAGTCAGAGATAAACAATTGAAAAGCTGACCTTTACCAAAAGGTAATACTTTTGTGAATGTAAATATTTTATTATGTCATTATTGGCAAATACATTTCATTTATAGAATAAGCTATATGAACATCTAAGCAAATGCCTAAAATAAGTTTTTTCACTCATTTCTAATATATGATAGCAGTGAATCGAGGTCTAATAACTTCTATTTGTAGAGTTTTATGTTCTAATTTTTAAATGCTTAGTTTTTTTTTCCCTAACCTAATGAAACTTTTTGCAACTTACTTCTGCTTGGGTGGCCCAACTTGCTGCTGAACTGTAATTCCCTGCCTCTTGAACATCAGGTGTACCAGGTACTGTAGTTCTTCCTCAAAAGCCATATCTTAAAGTAAAGCTTTAAACATGGAAAACAAACATTTCTCCAGATTTAAGTCTTTGGTTTATTTCCCTTATTTTATAGAACTGCTCTCTTGGAGCACGTTTCAAAAGATAAATTATTTATATTGAAAACCCAACTATTAAAAATCTTTGTGAGCTATAATATAACAATAGATAGTGATCCATATAAAGCTATAATCATGTTCACTGTTAGGCATCATATCATCTTTCACAAATATGATATAAAAATCTCTCTCTCCTTTTTATAGTCTTTTACTGTAAAATGGCAGCATTGGAACTATCGCTACTTTGCCAACTGAGTGTAATTCTCTAATCTTCAAAGTGGATTTTGTCAGTTTAGGGCCATGCTGAAATATGACATAAAACAGATCTTAAAACCCTAGCATCTTACTCTCTACAAAAATAATCACCACTGAGTCTTCAACAATAAATTTAGATCTTATTGTTGAAAGGAGACTTGGAATGATCATCTGGCTCAACCCCTAGTTTCCAATTGGTTATGGCATAATCCCCATTTAGCAGATGAGGATCAACATTAAGTGACTCACGTAAGTCGCACAGCTGGTAGGCTTTGGAGTGGGAAGTTACATAGTATTTTTAGTGTAATTCTTTTCCCATAAACATACTCTTTTTTAACCACCTTGCTTTTGGGGGAAAATCAGCCTTACAGAAACTTACTAAGGTTAAATATTTTTTGCTGTGTCATTTTTTTTCTGTAAAATCTTGGTTGGAGAAACAAAAGATGACAAAAAATACTAATAGTAACATATTATTAATGTATTATTAAAACAATGTGCAAAACAAAGGTAAAATACAATTTAAGAAGTCCACTTAAGTGACTTATTCAGTAATCAATAATTTTGGGAGCTCATAGAGATGTGTACTAATAATTTATAATACATTAGAACAATGCAAATGTAAGTGTGTTCAATAGACCAGTGTCAAATAATCTATCAGTCTGCAATAGGATTAATACAAATGTTGAGAATAAGCATTTAGAAACTTTTATAGCAATTTGATAGTGTAATTGTATCTGTTGAATATAATAACCAAAAAGGTAGGCTTTTATTTTGCATCTTTGGCTTTTTATTCAGTTTTAGTAATTTTCATTGTATTTTATAAAAAATATTAGTCTGTGATTAACTAGGAATTAAGAAAAGATTGGCCTTTTGCCAGAAATAATTTGAGAAGCACTGTCTTAGAGCAATCTGCTTGAAAATCCTAAAGCTTGATTGTTCAGTTATTTTGTGTGCATGATGTCAAAAGTATCTCTAACTCACTCTTAGGTCTGTTATCTACAGGGTTCTATCACTTGTTTACTAGAAATATAACCAGATACATCTTTTAAAACTGCTTCAGTACTTATTAATATTGATATTGTATTAACTAGGTTTACATGGAATACCAGGAGAGAAGGGGGATCCAGGACCTCCTGGACTTGATGTTCCAGGACCCCCAGGTGAAAGAGGCAGTCCAGGGATCCCCGGAGCACCTGGTCCTATAGGACCTCCAGGATCACCAGGGCTTCCAGGAAAAGCAGGTGCCTCTGGATTTCCAGGTAATTTGTTTAAAGTTTTCTCTGATTTGGATTAAGGAAATTAAAACTAATACGACTCTGGTAGATAATTCCCATGTTACACTTTTCTAGATTGACGTGATCCCTTAAGGATGAGCATTAAATATCTATGACTGCAGGAAGCTCACTTTGCTATTTTCACTGCACATTTTTCTCTGTGAGAGTTCCAGTTATATATTACTGTATAACAAACAACCCCAAAACTTAATGATTTTAACCAACCTTTTAATTTTGCTGAAGATTTTGCAGCTCTAGAATTAAGGGATGACTTGACTGGTTCATTTATCTCTAACCCACGTTGCCCCAGCTGGAGTGTTTGGGACTGAAAGGTCTACTTCTAAGATGGCACTTCTCTGACATCTGGGTGTTCATTAGCTCACATGTCATCTCATCGTCCATGGTACCTCTTCGCATGGCTTAGGCTCCTCACATTATGGTAGTATAAGGCTGGTTGCTCCCCTTCCATGGCAGCTGGCTTCCAACAGAGAGAATCCCACAAGAGAAAAGTGAGTGTTTCAGGAACTACAGGTAGAAGCGGCAAGATTTCTTTTCTTTCGCTCTCTCTCTCCCTTTTTTTCTTTCTTTTTCCCTTTCTTTCTCTTTCTTTCTCTTTTCTTTCTTTCTTTTCTTTCTTTCTCTCTTCTCTCTTTCTTTCTTTCCTTTTCTTCTTTCTTTCTTTCCTCTCTTTCTTTCTCTCTCTCCTTCCTTCCTTCTTTTTTTTTTTTTGAGACAGGGTCTCACTCTGTCACCCAGACTGGAGTGCAGTGGGACATGATCACAGCCCACTGCAGCCTCAAACCCCTGGGCTCAAGCCATCTTCCTGCCTCAGCCTCCTCCCAAGTAGCTGGGACTACAAGCACATACCACCACACACAGCTATTTTTTTTTTCTTTTTTTCTTTGTAGTGATGGAGTCTCACTATGTTGCCCAGGCTGCTCTCAAATTCCTGTCCTCGAGCAATCCTCCCACCTCAACCTCCCAAAGTGCTAGGATTATAGGCATGAGCCACTGTGACTGGCCTGTAAGACTTCTTTTGATCTAGGCTTGGGAGTCACACAATGTCATTTAGTCAAGTGTGAGGTACAGAATCAACCCTAGTTCCAGGTGAGGGTTTTATAGTAGATTGTACATACTGGGACATATGGTTCACTGGGGGGCCATCTTTAGAGATTAGCTACCAGACTGAGTCTCCTTATTCATGGGTATCAGCAGTAGTGGGCACTATGGTCAAAAAGTCTAAAACTTAACAGTGCCTTACGTCCAACCCTCAATAGTTTTCTGGTTGACATCTTAAAACTTACTTTTTATGTTCCCTAAGTCAAAGAAAGGCAAACATTACTTATTGATATTCTTCAAAGGTACCAAAGGTGAAATGGGTATGATGGGACCTCCAGGCCCACCAGGACCTTTGGGAATTCCTGGCAGGAGTGGTGTACCTGGTCTTAAAGGTAATAATCAAGGTTTGCTGCCAGACGTATGTGAGAGGGAAAATTAAATATAGCTTTATGTCAGTACAGAATATTTTTGTTGACTGTTTTAAAATGAGCAATGGTTACTTGTGTTTCTATGTAACATGGCATTTAAATAGGTCTTGTTTTCAATTTGGTTACGTGCTTAGTTTGGATACCATGATACATGGTAAATGCTTAGCTCAAAATAACAAAATATAAGGATTAAGCATTAATTTTTTTGTTTGTCTTTTGAGACGGAGTCTCGCTCTGTTGCCCAGGCTGGAGTGCAATGGTGCGATCTCAGCTCACTCCAAATTCCATCTCCTGGGTTCACACTATTCTCCTGCCTCAGCCTCCCAAGTAGCTGGGAGTACAGGCGCCTGCCACCACGCCCGGCTAATATTTTTTTGTATTTTTAATAGAGAAGGATTTTCACCATGTTAGCAAGGATGGTCTCGATCTCCTGACCTCGTGATCTGCCCACCTCAGCCTCCCAAAGTGCTGGGATTACAGGCTTGAGCCACCGTGCCCGTCTGGATTAAGCATTAATTTTTTTATAGTCGGCCTCTATCGTTGTCAAGGAATTCCAGATGGAGGGATTGTTATCTGAGTATAAAAATGTGTATGCACTCAAGTAATTCATAGAGTACATCCAAGGTGCATAAATGTTTTGAGTGGCCAGTGGCCTACTCAACTATGAAACATATCAATAATCTTTATATGCATTAATCTTTGATGGATAAAATTGATATATTGTGTTTTCACACACATTGATTTTAGGTGATGATGGCTTGCAGGGTCAGCCAGGACTTCCTGGCCCTACAGGAGAAAAAGGTAGTAAAGGAGAGCCTGGCCTTCCAGGCCCTCCTGGACCAATGGATCCAAATCTTCTGGGCTCAAAAGGAGAGAAGGGGGAACCTGGCTTACCAGGTGAGTGAATGAATTTATTTATGAATATTTTTCCTGATATATCTGAAGTTTAATTTTTAAATAGCATGAAAAGTGACTTATAATACAGAATTCACCAACAAAGGCACTTAAATGCATCAAATTTTGGTAACAAATATTAATTTTCACTTCATTCATACTGTTTCACCAGTCAACTTTTGTTTGAGTATTTTCTTTATAGTTTACCTATCACGAGCTTTACCTAACCACTAGTGAGGTTTTAAAATAGACTTAGGCAGTCAACTACTAGCTTTCTAAAAAGTAATACAGGAAAAGGATATATAGCCACAATTACTTGAAAAACAAATTTCAGTGTTTAGGAAATTTGCTAGTCCTTTCATTTTTTTCTCCTTGATACCAGATAAGGACGAATGGTACATTGCTGTACTGCAGTGTTTTGATATCCATATCATACTTGGCTTTCAAATACAGTTCACCGTTATTCTACTTTGGCAGAATAAACAAGTATTGGACTATGAACAGCCAAGTTCAGCCCGAGGGGAAGTCACTGAAAGTAGATCTAGGGAACAATTGTGTCCATATAGTTATTTTATTAGAAACAAATACAGCGTAAAATATTACGTGGGGTTTTCAATAAAAAAAAAACCTTTTTTATAGAAGTATAACATGTTCATAACAAAACATCATAAAATATGGATAAGCATAAATCATTATATAAAGCACTTGGCACCCAATCTATATAGAATAGCCTTTCAAGCAATATGGAATGTTAAAACTAGCTATATCTGTGTATCTGCAGCTTATAGTAAAGTTTGTGGCTCTTTGTACGTTCTATCCATCAATATTGTCAGTTCATGTGTATGTGTATGTGTATGTGAGTGTACACAGATGTTAACAGTTTCCCTATGAGCAGGATTTGGTGGGATTTTTCCTCAAAAAAGAATTAAAAATATTAATGCAGTGTTGTATATAGTCAAGAAAGAGGCAGGGTCACCTAATTTTTTATGGAATGACTTTCTTGGCTTACCCCTTGCAAGGCTTCTTTTCTGTTTCAATTATGCTTCCTGTATAATAGGGGCAGTAAACTATACTTGACCTCTACTATAGGCTTATTAAATATAGTCAGAATCTAAGAGATAACCTAGAGATTATCTGTCCTTATTCCTTATTTCTTCATTTCCATTGTAAGAAAATGAGGCCCAAAATAGGAAAGTGATTTCACTACTGAGTGCTCTGAATTTCTTGATGGTAGGTAACTAAAAAGTGAAGGATTTTCGTGTGAGTCCAGTGCTAATAGCTCATACTATATCAGAATATCACCAGTTCCTCTAATTCACTTATAGTTTAACACTTGAGTAGCTTGCTTTGCCAAAGTTATTTCATGGATGAATAATATCATCCTAACTTGCCTCTTCTACTCATTCTTGGAAGGTATACCTGGAGTTTCAGGGCCAAAAGGTTATCAGGGTTTGCCTGGAGACCCAGGGCAACCTGGACTGAGTGGACAACCTGGATTACCAGGACCACCAGGTAAGTGTGATAGGCCATTTGTAGCAATTGCTTAGCTGACACTGAATTCTGGATAAATAATTATGTGTTTGTCATGTTTGAAGATGCTGTGGATTTGATCATGGTAATAAGCTTGGGTAGCTACTGAAATATGGAGCTCACTTTCGGCAAAAATATTGCCCTTTGGCTCTAGTTTTAGCAGTCCAGATTTTATAGGATATTTTGCCTTGATTATTCAGTTTCTTCTTTTTGTGGCAGCAGGGTATACACAGAATCAGAAATGTGATCCAAATAAGGTGTTGTGTTTTGTTACATACATTGCAAAATATATAAATGAGACAATTATCTCATGAAGGCCTGAAGAATTCATCTTGTCCTGCTTTTTTTTCTTTCTGCCTTTAGACAAGTCAGTCATTAAACCATGTAAAACAGATGGCTATTGATTCTATTTTTTTAAATTTCTAGGCATGAAAATTTCACAAATTCTCTTGGTAGTCAGTTACAGCATTAATCACTCTTAGAGTCGACATTTTTTTAAATCCTACTAAAACTCTTTCTTGTTTCTTCTTCAGCCACTTTCTTTTAGTTTGTTTCCTAAGGAAATAAAGAGCAGCAGTCCCCATTCTTACAAAGTCCCTTAAGTTCAGTTATTTGCGCTAGACTCCATACTACATGGCCTTGATATAGTTGGGAAGAGAAACTCCCTTCCTATCTCTCCCTCACATCTTCTGCATTCTCTTTTCCAAGTTAGAAGTCATTGTAAAGGAAAAAAATAAAATAAAAAAAGTTTAAGGCAATACTGTGGTCCTAGGAAAAAACCCAGATGACATCACAGAGCTCAAGCACCTATGTGCTAGGAAAAATGTACAAACAGAGCAGCCATGCCTGTTCAGGTCACTGCCCAGTATCTGTCCACCACCTCTAATCTCTCCCTGGCCTAATGTACTAAACTATATCATAACAGGTTACCACCTTTTCTCTTTCTGATCTCATATAATCACGCTCTACATGAGAAGCCCATCTCTGAATCTTTTAAAAAACAGACTTATTATATTGGATTTATCTGTGAAAATACATTAAGGGTAGTTGTACACATACAGCAAATAGCACTTCAGGTGATTGGAATTGTTTTAGGGAAAGAAACAAGGTGTTCTGGTAACTTTTTAATTTTTTTTTAAAGTTATATTAGGAGACCTCTATTACTATGGTTATATTGTAATATGTTCCCAAGGAGATGTTTTATGTTGGGTTCTATCTGTGGACCTTAATCATATATTCAGATTTAATCCATCTAATCCCATGTTTGCATTTTAATGACTATCCATTCCCATGAAACCAGACAACCCCAATATTGCTACATTGTCTTAATTTTACCAATTTGACCTTTCTAGGTCCCAAAGGTAACCCTGGTCTCCCTGGACAGCCAGGTCTTATAGGACCTCCTGGACTTAAAGGAACCATCGGTGATATGGGTTTTCCAGGTGAGTGATGAAAATCTTCCAAATATTTAGTCCCATTAATGAAAGGTGGTTCAATATCTCTTTTTTTGTCAGAAAAGAGGCTGGTGTTGATAGAATCAGACTGAAACGATATCTGAGGTAATCAGTGGGTAGTGTTCTCTTGTTACACAAATATTTAAAATGGGAATTAAGGGACAAAATTGTAGAAACCTTAAAAGTTATAATTCACAAACATCTTTTCTCCAGCTATACCCCCTTTTATTTAAACTTCCTTTAAAAGTAGGCTTTTATATAATTGTGTTTGTGAGGCTCATTATTATCTAACTCAGAGTTTGCGGAGCTTTTTAAAAATCTTTTTGCTTTGTCATATGCATCTTAGATAATCCACAAGTAAAGCATATTTTGTAAAATATTATATATCACATATTTTCAACAGGGCCTCAGGGTGTGGAAGGGCCTCCTGGACCTTCTGGAGTTCCTGGACAACCTGGCTCCCCAGGATTACCTGGACAGAAAGGCGACAAAGGTGATCCTGGTATTTCAAGCATTGGTCTTCCAGGTCTTCCTGGTCCAAAGGTAATCTTTGGCATATAGTTTTAGGCACATACTTGAGCAGATATGAAATTTTTTAATACTATGCTCATTCCTAAGTTTTCATTAAACAAACTATAGAATGACATAGTATATTCTGGATAAGAGATTTATTCCTTTTCTTTTCTCTTAGATGATAAGAAGATATGTTTTAGGGTTTGTGGCCAGTCCAAAATAAAAAGGGAAAACTTTCTGGTTTCTTTGTTTTTCTTCTATCTTAATTTCTGGATATACTTCAATAATCTCAATGCCTAGATTTTTCTGGTCTTGTTAGTCCATCCCTTTTTAGTGATGGAGTTGTTGGCCTTTGTCCTAATGTTATTATTAACTAATTTGAAAAGACTTATAAACAAAGTGACAGTTAATGCTAATGTAGTAGTATTCTTAACTGCGTGTCTGAGATAGTCCTCTGAATACAGTTTTACAATTCCCTCTACTTCTCTCTTCAATGTGAAAACTTTGGTGGTGTTTCTCAAGTAATCAAATTTAGAATTTGTTTCAGAATCATTGGACTCAACAGGAATTTATTTGACAATTGTTTAGTTCCATGTCAAAAAGTAGTAACTCCTTAATCATGTAGTCAGACCACAGACCTAAAAAGTATTAGAAAAGGAATTTTGGTACTCAGTTTTCATGGAAATAGTGAAAGTTCCCAGTGATATAAGAATTTATTGAATTGTATGTAAGGATAATTTTTCTTTTAATATTATATAAAAATACTTTATTTTGATCATCTAATTGATCAATGTCTTATAAAGAGATAATCAAGAGAAGTTTCTGTATGTTCATTCCAGTTTAACAATGTAAAGTTTCTTGAAGTGAATTTTAATTTTCTCTGTTATATTTATATTTTACCAGTGACATTGAATATATGATTTTATTAAAAAATAATATAGACATATTAAGGGTAAGAGTGAAAATCTTCTTCATGCCCCATCCTCTTTTTACCATTCCTTTCCTCATAGAGGCCCACTGTCAATAGTTGATATATAAATTTGAATTCCTTGTTCTATACATTTATATATATGCATATAGAGTTTGGGGTTTTTTCTACACATTGTGTATATGTAGAATCATGGTATGCATGCTACTCTGTACCTTGCTTTATCACTTACCCCTTTTTATTTCTTTTTTCAATATATCTTAGACAATTTTCTTTGTCGTCATACATTATATCTGTGGACATATATGTAGTTATTTATACTGTATAGTTTCATAAAAGTGTAATTGTTGGATCAAAGGATAAGTGCATTTAATTTTTTGGCTTTTTAAAACACTTATAATAATGTAACATATGAACTTGATTTTAAAATACAACCAGTATGAAAAGATGTAAAATAAAAAGTCTCCTTTTTACATGTTTGCAAACCCCAAATCCCCAGTTCTTCTTCTCCAGGGTAACCACTTTTAGTAGTTTCTCTCATATTCTTCAAGAAAGGTTTTCTAAATGCATTTATATGCATGCATATATGGTATTTCATCAATTTTAATACTCATTTTTTACATCCAAAATATCTAATATTGGAATGCATCTTATTATGATGGAAAGCATATTACAATTAAAATTGTAAATATTTTTCCCCAATTATTGATACATGAAATGATGCTGGACCTTCCAAATGTAGATGTTTTCTCATATTTTAATTAATATATACAAAATTATACTATACATCTGCTCTGTACCTAGCTGTCATCACATAGTAAATCTTGACAAACTTTCTTTATCAGCCTATAAATGTATGCCTTATTATTTTTTATAATTATATAGTATTTTTATGGGGGTTCACTATAAATAATTTAACCTATTATGAATATGAAAATTATTTCTAGGTTCATGATTACAAACATATTTTGCACTGAAGATTCTTATCCATATTCTTACATACATATCTTAAGAATCTTTGGTAAATATCACCATAGAATAAATTCTGAGCAGTTGCTAGAACCCAGCATATATGTGCCTTTTTAATATCTATATTTACTGCCAAATTTTCCAATTAAGTAACTCTACACCTTTATACTTTCATGATTAGTATAAGTGATTTTCTCCTCATTCTACAGATATTGGGTGTTATCAATTTAAAAAATTTTACCAATCTAATGGGTGAAAAGTAGTGTATCATTATTGTTTATATTTGAATTTTCCTGATTACAAGTGGGGTTTCAGATGTTTTTAACTCTTTCGTAAATTGTCTATTTATACTCTTTGCCTCACTGTTTTACGAGAGGACTTGGTTATGTATTTCATACTGATTTGTAAAAGTACATTATAAATGTGAAGATGCATCCACTGTCTGTTATATTTGTTGCAAATATTTTCTCCCAGTCAGTTGTTTGTCTTATAGCATGTTTACTGTGCATTTCGTTATGTAGATGTTTGAAATTTTTACATAGGCAAATTATGTACTCATTTATTTATTCATTCACAAAATATCTGTTGAGTATGTATGATTTACCAGGTACTGTTTTAGGTGCTGGAGATACAGCCTGAACAAAACAGACAAACTTTTACTGCCTTCAAGGAGCTTATATTTAGTCAAGGAGTCATACAATAAACAAAATAAATAAGTCTGTATTATGTTAGAATGTGATAAATCTCATGATGAAAAGTAAAGCAAGACTTGATGATAGGAATTTCTGGAAATTGTTATATTTTGAAATAGGTTACTAAGGGAAAGTCTCTCTGATAAGATAGAGCAGTGACCACACTGCAGTAAGAGAGTAAGTCATACAAAAACCCTGAGGTGTGAGCATACCTGACATGTTTGAGAAACATAAATGAGTCCAGTGTGTTAAACAGAATGAGTGAGTTGAAACAAAGTAGGAGATGAGATTAGATTGGTAATGGGGGAAAGATTATATAGTGCCTTATAGGTCATCATAGTAGGGGCTTTTACTCCTGAGTGAATCGGGGAGCAAATGGAAAGAGTTAACATGATTGTACATTAATTTTAAGAACTATCACAGCACCTGTTTTGGAAACAGATCATAGAGGAGCAAGGATGGAAAGCAGGGAAACCAGTTATGGTGATATTTAAATAATGCAGGCTAATGATGTTGATGGCTTGGATCAAGATAGTGGCAGGGGAAGTGATAAGAAATGGGCAGATTTTGAATATATAATATATGTCAAGCCAGGAAGATTTGTGTATGGAATATGAGAGAGAGGAATCAAGAATGACTCCAGTTTTTATCCTGAGCAAATAGAGTGGAGTTGCTATATGCTGAAATACAAAAACTTTGAAAAAAGCAGGTTTAGTGAGAAAGATCAGGAGCATAGTTTTTTATTTTATTTATTTATTTATTTGTTTTATTATACTTTAAGTTCCAGGGTACATGTGCACAACGTGCAGGTTTGTTACATATGTATACATGTGCCGTATTGGTTTGTTGCACCCATTAACTCATCATTTACATTAGGTATTTCTCCTAATGCTATCCCTCCCCCATTCCCCCACCCCATGACAGGGTGTGTGATGTCCCCCGCCCTGTGTCCAAGTGTTCTCATTGTTCAATTCCCACCTATGAGTGAGAACATGCGGTGTTCGGTTTTCTCTCCTTGCGATAGTTTCCTCAGAATGATGGTTTCCAGCTTCATCCATGTCCCTACAAAGGACATGAGCTCATCTTTTTTATGGCTGCATAGTATTCCATGGTGTATATGTGCCACATTTTCTCAATCCAGTGTATCATGGATGGACATTTGGGTTGGTTCCAAGTCTTTGCTACTGTGAATAGTGCCACAATAAATATACATGTGCATGTGTCTTTATAGCAGCATGATTTATAATCCTTTGGGTATATACCCAGTAATGGGATGGCTGGGTCTAATGGTATTTCTAGTTCTAGATCCTTGAGGAATCACCACACTGTCTTCCACAATGGTTGAACTAGTTTACACTCCCACCAACAGTGTAAAAGCATTCCTATTTATCCACATCCTCTCCAGCACCTGTTGTTTCCTGACTTCTTAATGATCACCATTCTAACTGGTGTGAGATGGTATCTCATTGTGGTTTTGATTTGCATTTCTCTGATGGCCAGTGATGATGAGCATTTTTTCATGTATGTGTTGGCTGCATAAATGTCTTTTGAGAAGTGTCTGTTCATATCCTTTGCCCACATTTTGATGGGGTTGTTTGATTTTTTCTTGTAAATTTGTTTAAGTTCTTTGTAGATTCTGGATATTAGCCCTTTGTCAGATGAGTAGATTGCAAAAATTTTCTCCCATTCTGTGGGTTGCCTGTTCACTCTGATGGTAGTTTCTTTTGCTGTGCAGAAGCTCTTTAGTTTAATTAGATCCCATTTGTCTATTTTGGCTTTTGTTGCCATTGCTTTTGGTGTTTTAGTCATGAAGCCCTTGCCCATGCCTATGTCCTGAATGGTATTGCCTAAGTTTTCTTCTAGGGTTTTTATGGTTTTATGTTCAACATTTAAGTCTTAATCCATCTTGAATTAATTTTTGTATAAGGTGTGAGGAAGGGATCCAGTTTCAGCTTTCTACTTATGACTAGCCAGTTCTCCCAGCATCATTTATTAAATAGGAAATACTTTCTCCATTTCTTGTTTTGGTCAGGTTTGTCAAAGATCAGATGGTTGTAGATGTGTGGTGTTATCTCTGAGGCCTCTGTTCTGTTCCATTGGTCTACATCTCTGTTTTGGTACGAGTACCATGCTGTTTTGGTTACTGTAGCCTTGTAGTAGAGTTTGAAGTCAGGTAGCATGATGCCTCCAGCTTTGTTCTTTTGGCTTAGGATTATCTTGACAATGTGGGCTCTTTTTTGGTTCCATGTGAACTTTAAAATAGTTTTTTCCAATTCTGTGAAGAAAGTCATTGGTAGCTTGATGGGGATGGCATTGAATCTATAAATTACCTTGGGCAGAATGGCCATTTTCACGATATTGATTCTTCCTATCCATGAGCATGGAATGTTCTTCTATTTGTTTGTGTCCTCTTTCATTTCGTTGAGCAGTGGTTTGTAGTTCTCCTTGAAGAAGTCCTTCACATCCCTTATAAGTTGTATTCCTAGGTATTTTATTCTTTTTGAAGCAATTGTGAATGGGAGTTCACTCATTATTTGGCTCTCTGCTTGTCTGTTATTGGTGTATAAGAATGCTTATGATACATCTCTAGAACTCTTCACCCCAATCAACAGAATATACATTCCTCTCAGCACCACATTGCACTTATTCCAAAATTGAACACATAGTTGGAAGTAAAGCACTCCTCAGCAAATGTAAAAGAACAGAAATCATAACAAACTGTCTCTCACACCACAGTGCAATCAAATTAGAATTTAGGATTAAGAAACTCACTCAAAACCGCATGACTACATGGAAACTGAACAACCTGCTCCTAAATGACTACTGGGTACATAATGAAATTAAGGCAGAAATAAAGATTTTCTTTGAAATCAATGAAAAGAAAGACAACATTCCAGAATCTCTGGGACACATTTAAAGCAGTGTGTAGAGGGAAATTTATAGCACTAAATGCCCACAAGAGAAAGCAAGAAAGATCTAAAATCGACACCCTAACATCAATTAAAAGAACCAGAGAAGCAAGAGCAAACAAATTCAAAAGCTAGCAGAAGGCAGGAAATAACTAAGATCAGAGCAGAACTGAAGAAAATAGAGACACAAAAAACCCTTCAAAACATCAATGAATCCAGGAGCTGGCTTTTTGAAAACATCAACAACATTGATAGACCGCTAGCAAGACTAGTAAAGAAGAAAAGAGAGAAGAATCAAATCGACAAAATAAAAAATGATAAAAGGAATATCATCACCGATCCCACAGAAATACAAACTACCATCAGAGAATACTATAAACACCTCTATGCAAATAAACTAGAAAATCTAGGAAGAAATGGATAAATTCCTCGACACATAGACTCCCCCCAAGACTAAACCAGGAAGAAGTTGAATCTCTGAATAGGCCAATAACAGGCTCTGAAATTGAGGCAATAATTAATAGCCTACCACCCAAAAGAAGTCCAGGACCAGATGGATTCACAGCCGAATTCTACCAGAGATACAAAGAGGAGCTGGTACCATTCCTTCTGAAACTATTCCAATCCATAGAAAAAGAGGGAATCCTCCCTAACTCATTTTATGAGGCCGGCATCATCCTGATATCAAAGCCTGGCAGAGACACAACAAAAAAAAGAGAATTTTAGACCAATATCCCTGATGAACATCGATGCAAAAATCCTCAATAAAATACTGGCAAACTGAATCCAGCAGCAGATCAAAAAGCTTATCCACCAAGATCAAGTTGGCTTCATCCCTGGGATGCAAGGCTGGTTCAACATATGCAAATAAATAAACGTAATCCATCACATAAACAAAACCAAAGACAAAAACCACATGATTATCTCAATAGATGGAGAAAACACCTTCGACAAAATTCAACAGCCCTTCATGCTAAAAACTCAATAAACTAGGTATTGATGGAACGTATCTCAAAATAATAAGAGCTATTTATGACAAACCCACAGCCAGTATCATACTGAATGGGCAAAAACTGGAAGCATTCCCTTTGAAAACTGGCACAAGACAGGAATGCCCTCTCTCACTACTCCTGTTCAACATAGTGTTGGAAGTTCTGGCCAGGGCAATCAGGCAGGCGAAAGAAATAAAGGGTATTCAGTTAGGAAAAGAGGAAGTCAAATTGTCCCTGTTTGCAGATGACATGATTGTATATTTAGAAAACCCCACCGTCTCAGCCCCAAATCTCCTTAAGCTGATAAGTAACTTCAGCAAAGTCTCAGGAGCATAGTTTTTTGATTGTCAATATTTTGTTGCTGAAATAGGAAATTCATCAATTGAGGGGGAGAGAGAGGAAGAGGTAAGGAAGGCTTGAGGCCTGTCACATAGATTTTAGGATTTTTTGGAAAAAAAGTCTTCTACTTATGAAGACTTCTATATCCTGAGATTATAAAAATAGATTTATATATTTCTTACAGGATTTTCATGGTTTTTTTCTGTACATTTGCATTTTAATGCACCTGAGTATTTCTGTATGTTGTATGAGGTGAGAAACTAACTTTATTTTTTTTCCCAAATAAATATCCAGTTGACTGAGCCTCATTTGTTACAAACTCAATTCTTTATTCACTGATATAAAATTGTATTTAAATTTTTTTTCCAAATTTGTTCATGAATTTTTTTTTCTGGAATGAGTGAATTTTAACATTTTACTAATGGAATCAAAATTACCATAATAAATTGTCTCTACATTTTTAATGGGTGATAGCAGAAAAATATGTTTTAATTGGTAAATGTCCAAAGTATATTCAACTCTACAAGCAAGAGGTTAGCTTTTAGTTCTTCTGTGTGACCTACAAGTATATTTCAGTAAGCAAATTTTACACTAAATTTAGAAACTTAACAAAGATGATATTGTGGAAATAATGTAAAGTAGTCTGTTGTTTCTTTCAGATGGCATTATTATACCTTAAAATAGTGACATGTTGAAAAAATAAAAGTTTTTTTAGCTCAGTTCTATTAGGTACAGGTGATCTTTGCTTTTGCACAAATTTCAGTTATCATTACTTAACACCGATCCACAACAACATTGTTTAAATTTTAGTTGCTATGATATATTAACTCTTCCATTTATAAATCATCATCTAAATAAGAGATGTGCATTACAATCAGTGGACAGTAATTTCACTTCTTTCAAATTCTGTCACTAATTAGTAACCATGCATCTGTTCAGTTCCTGCACTGACAGCAAAGCATTTAGTTGTGTCACCTCCTTGTCTCCCAGTGATAAAGCAATGTGACATTTTACAAAAATGGATAATCAAAAGAGAAAATTAGCCAACAAAGAAGAAAGTGCAACAAAAAAAAAAAAAAAGGAAAGTGATAGCACTGGAAGTAAGGTTTGAATCTAAAGTAAATGGGGTTATAGAATTAATAGCCAACCATAGAATTGTAGACACTGCCACCATTTGAGAGACTCTAGATATGCAGCTAAGGAACTTAGTGAAGGCAAACTTATCAACATTAATGAGGAAAGGAGCACTGATGAAAAGGATGAAGATGTCACAGAGGAAGTGTTGCCATCACAAATTTCACATTAAAGGAACTCTTGGAGATATTTTACAAGTTTGAAAGTATAAAGGTTAACATGCTGGAAGCTGATCTCAGTTTAGAAACAGTGAGACAATTTCTGTGCCAAGGCATAGAAAAGATGTGTGCTCTGTATTGTAAGTTATACGAGAAGAAGGGAGACACTGTTCAAATTACTCTTGGTAACTTTTTTACAATGAAATAAATCACTTTATTTTTCAATGTTTCTAATGTTTAAATTAGCATTTACCAAATAAATATTGGATTTACTATTTTTTATTTCTTTATACATGTGTATCTGACATTAAAACATATTTTAATGTTTTGATAACATTTTTAAAGGTCATAGAATAATTACATTTTCCCCCATTGATTATTAAGATCACTTTACATGATTTTGGTTTGCAGTTTCATTTTTCCAGTTCCACACTACCACGTGAAACAAAGAGTACCCATATTATAAAGGAAGAGAAGAAGAACAGTTTTAGGAAATATAATGGTATGATTGAGGGAAAACAAGCATAAGACAAATTTCTGTAATTACTGAGTTGTTAAGAAATAGGAATAGTGGTAAAATATCAGATAGGTAGTTTGTTTTATGGATGTCACTGTTTATGAAACAGCAGCTCTGTTAGTCAAAAAGCATGATTAATAAAGTATACTGAAAACCCCAGACAAGGAGTCAGTAGGCAGAAATTTGAGTCCTGGGTTTGTGTACATGACCTTGATAAGTCACTTAATTCTTCAGTGTCTTCAGTACCTTGTCCATAAAAAGTGGGAGAAAAAAAATCCTACTTTTTGTAGTTATTGTGAGGTTTCAATGAGATTAAAACATGCTTCATAAAAAAGAAAAAAAAGGAAAAGGAATGAAACACTTTGTAAATTATAAAGCATTCTATACATAGTATTTCTTTTTATCTAAAATGAAAGGGCTGGAGTAGAGGGTGTCTAAGATATCTGGAATTCTCAAATATAATGACTCTATGGAACTATATGAATCTGTAATGCTCTTTTAATATAGTGTAATTGTTCTAACCTTCATAACTCCTTTTTAAAATCTAATCATACTACAGATTCATCCCTTTCATAATCCCAGATGGCTTTTATGCTGAAATTGACAAGTGTATCCTAAAATTCATATGGAAGTGCAAGGAACCCAGAATAGTCAAAGAAATCTTGAGAAGAACAGATTTGGAGGACTCACTCTTCTGGATTTCAAAACTTACTACAACTATGATACCAGCACTGGGTAGACATAGAGACTGATGGAATAGATAGAGTCCAGAAATACCCATACATTTTTGGTCAACTGATTTTCAACGTAGGTACCAAAACAATTTAAAGGGAGTTAAGGATAGTCTTTTCAACAAATGATGCTGGAACATGGATGCAGCTGGAGGCTACTATCTATCCTAAGCAAATTAATGCAGAAGCAGAAAACCAAATAGCACATGTTCTCACTTAAAGTTTGGAGGTAAGTATTGGGTATACACAGATGCAAAGATGGGACAATAAATTCTGGGTATTCCCAAAAGGGGTAAGGAGTGGGGGAAGTGTTGACAAACCTATGGAGTACTATGTTCACTACTTGGGCAATGGGAACATTAGAAGCCCAAACATCAACATCACATAATATACCCATGTAACACACCTGCATACATAACCCCTGGATCTAAAATAAAAAACAAAACAAAAATCAAATCATGCTGGGAAAAGAGGATACCTGTCTGCAAAAGAATGAATCTGGACCCCTATCTCATACTGTATACAAATATTAACTCCAACTGGATTACTGACCTAAATATAAGAACTAAACCATAAACATATTAGGATAAAAGATGACTAAATTCTTGTGACCTTGCATTAGGTAATGGTTTCTTAGCTATGACACTAAAAGCACAAACAACTAAAGGAAAAATAAATTGGGCTATATTAAAATTCATTAGGTAATGGTTTCTTAGCTATGACACTAAAAGCACAAACAACTAAAGAAAAAATAAATGGGGCTTTATTAAAATTTAATGTGTTTTCTGTTGCAAATGATACCATCAAGAAAGTGAAAAGACAGCTCACGAGATGAAAGAAAATATTTGCAAATCATATATGAGATAAAGGATTTGTATACAGAATATATAAAGAATTCTTATAATTCAACGGAAAGCAAATAACTCAGTTTTTAAAAGTGCACAAAGTGAATTGGACCTAACAAACATATACAAAATATTCTATCCAAGAAAAATGCAGAATATACATTTTTGCAACTGCACATGGAACATTCTCCAGAATAGACAATATATTAGAGCACAAAGTAAGTCTTCATACACTTAAAAAGATTAAAACCACACAGCATATATTTTTTAATCATGATGGAGTGAAATTAGAAATCAATGGCAGAAAGTAAACTGGAAAATCTACTAATGCATGTAAATTAAACAAGACGCTCTTAACCAATGAGGCAAAGAAGAAATCACGAGGGTAGTTAGAAAATGTAATGTCTTTTTTTTTTTTTTTTTTTTTTTGACAGAGTCTTATTCTGTTACCCAGGTTGGAGTGCAGTGGCGTGATTGTGGCTCACTGCAACCTCTGCCTTCCAGGCTCAAGCAATTCTCATGCCTCAGCCTCCTGAGTAGCTGGGATTACAGATACGCACCACCATGCTTAGCTAATTTTTTGTAGAGATGGGGTTTTGCCATGTTGGACAGTTGGTCTTGAACTCCTGACCTCAAGCAATCCACCCTCCTTGGCCTCCCGAAGTGCTGGGATTACAGGCATGAGCCACCATGTCTGGCAGAAAATATAATGAGACAAATGAAAATGAAACCACAACATACCAAAACGTACAGGATGTAGTGAAAGCAATGCTAAATGGGAAATTAATAGCTGTAAATACTTACATTAGAGAAGAAACATCTCAAATCAAAAACCTAACTTTACATCTTAAAGAACTAGAAAAAGAAAAACTAAATCCAAAACTAGCAGAAAGAAAGAAATAATAAAGATTAGAGCAGAGATAAATAAAATACAGAACTAAAAAAATCATAGATGAAGTCAACAAAACTAAAAGTTGTTTCTTCAAAAAGATAACAAAATAGAAAAAGTTTTAGCTAGCTTGACTACAAGAAAAAGAGAGAAGACTCAACTAAAATCAGAAATAAAAGAGGAGACATTACTACCAATCTTACAGAACTAAAAATATATGAGACTGCTATGAACAGGTGTTTGCTAACAAATTAGATAACCTGGATGAAATGGGCAAATTCCTAGAAAGACACAATCTACCAAGACTGAATCATAGAAGTAGATTATATGAATAGACCTAAAGTGAGTAAGAAGATTGACTCAGTAATCAAAAACCTTCCAATAAAGAAAAGCTCAGGACCAGATGGCTACACTGGTGAATTCTACCAATCTTTTTTTTTTTTTTTGAGACAGGGTCTCGCTATGTTGCCCATGCTGGATGGAGTGCAGTGGTGCAGTTACGGCTCACTGCAGCCTTGTCCTTGTGGGCTCAAGTGATCTTCAGCCTCCCAAATATTTTCCAAACAATTAAAGAAGGATTAACAGCATTTGTTTTCAAGGTCTTCCAAAAAAATTGAAGAGGAGGGAACACTTCCAAACTCATTATATTATACCTGGATTACCCTGATACCAAATCCAGACAAAGACACTACAATAAAAGAAAGCTACAGACCAAAATCCCTTATGAATATTGATGCAAAAAATCCTTAACAAAATACTAGCATACTGAATTCAACAGCATATTAAAAGGATTATATGCCATGGTCAAGTGAGATTTTTTCCTGGGATGCAAGGATAGTTCAGCATACAAAAATCATTAGTGTAATACACCATCACACTAACAGAATGAAGGAGAAATCCCACATGATCACTTAATTAATGCAAAAAAAAGCATTTGACAAAATTCAACACTGTTTCATGATTAAAAAAACACACCACAAGCTAGGAATAGAAGCGAACTATCTACTTATTATAAAGGTCATATATGAAAAAACCCACAGCTAACAATGGTAAAAGTCTGAATGCTTTTCCTCTAAGACCAAGAAGAAGTTAAGGATTCTTAATTTTACTACTTCCTTTCAACATAGTACTGGAATTCCTAGCCAGACCAATTAGGCAAGAAAAAGAAATAAAAGTCATCTTAATTGGAATGGAAGAAGTAAAATTATCTTTGTTCAGAGATGATATAATGCTATGTAGAAAACTCTACAAAGATACCATATATGCGGAAAATAGGTAGAACTAATAAACAAATTCAGCAAAGATTCAGGATAAAAAATCAACACACAGCAGTCAGTTTTGAATGTTTTGATGCATCAACAATGAACATTCCAAAAAGGAAATTAAGAAAATTAAATTTACAGTTGCATCAAAAAGAATAAAATACTTAAGAATAAACCTAACCAAGAAGGTGGAAGACTTGTGCTCTGAAGACTACAAAATATTGCTAAAAGGAATTAAAGAAGACAGAAATAAATGGAAGATTTAATACTGTTAAAATGTCCATACTACCCAAAGCAATACACAGATTCAATGCAACGCCTATCAAAACTCCAATGGCATTTTTTTTTCCAGAAACGAAAAACTTAGTCTAATTCACAAGGAAATCTCAAGGGACCCCAACTAGCCAAAACAATTCTAAAAAAGAACCAGGTTGGAGGACTCATAATAATTTTTTATTAGAAAACATATTACAAAGTTATAGTAATCAAAGCGGTGTGGTGCTGACATAAAGACAGCAAATAGACCAATGTAATAGATAGACCAGAGATAAAATCTCTGGTCTGTAGTTGAATGATCTTTGACAAGGGTGCTCAATGGGGAAAGGCGTTCAACAAATGCATGCTGGGTAAAATGAATGTCCATATGCAGAAGAATGGAGTTGAACCATTTTCTTACATCATATATAAAATTAATTCAAAAAAGAATGAAGACCTAAATGTAAGACCTAAAACTATAAAACTCTTAGAAGAAAACATGGGACAACATGCCTCATGACATTAGATTTTTTTCAATGATTTCTTGGATATGACACCGAAATCACAGGCAACAAAAGAAAAAATAGATTAATTGGACAACATCAAAATGTTAAGCTTTTGTGCATCCAAGAACACTACTAATAGAGTGAAAAGGCAACTCATGGGATGGAAGAAAATATTTGTAAATTGTATATCTGGTAAAAGATTAATTTCCAGAATTTTAAAAAGAACTCCTACAAGTCAATAACAAAAGCCATCAAACAACCCAATTCAGAAATAAGCAAATGACTTGAATAGACCTTTCTTCAAAGATGATATACAAATGGCAAATTAGTACATGAAAAGATGGTCAACATCACTAATCATTAGGGAAATGCAGTCAATTCTACAGTGAGATAACACTTCATACCCATTAAGAAGGCTATTATATAAAAAACAGTAAATAACAAGTGTTGGTGAGGATGTGGAGAAGTTGGAACTCTCCTGTATTGCTAGTAGGAATGTAAAATTGTGCAGCCACTATGGAAAACATTATGGCAGTTCTTCAAAAGTAAACACAGAATTATCATATGATCTAGCAATTTCACTTCTGGAGACACATCTAACATAATTGAAAACAAAAATGGGACCTCAAAGAGATGTTTTTGTAGCCATGCTTCTAGCAACATTATTCACAAGTCACAAGGTGGAAGCATCCCAAATGTCCATTGATAGAGGAATGTGTAATAAAATGTGGTATGCACACACAATAGATATTTTTTGACCTTAAAATGGAATAATATTCTGATACATACTACAATATGGATTAACTTTGAAGCCGTTATGCTAAGTGAAATAAGCCAGTTATAAAAAGACAAATATTACATGACCCCAGTTACATAAGGTACCTAGAACAGTCAATTTCATAGAGACAGAAGGTAGAATGGTAATTGCTCAGGGTTGGGGGAGGGGAAAATAAGGAGATATTGGCCAAAGGGTACAAACATTTAGTTAGTTATAAGATGAATAAACTCTAGGGATCAAATGTACAGCATGGGCACTATAGTTTAAAATATTGTGTTGTATACTTGAAATTTGTTGAGAGTAGATCTTAATTGCTTTCACCACACACTGAAAAAAAAATTGTAACTCGGTGAAGTGCTAGATGTGTTAACTAATTTCATTGTGGATATGAGTATAAGGTTTCCGTTTGGGTTGATAAAAAAAATTCTGGAGATATATGGTGGTGATGGTTGCAAAAAGTGTGAATGTTGTTTATGCCACAGGACTATACCCTTAAAAATAATTAAAATGGTAAGATTTATGTTTTGTATATTTTGATACTCTAAAAAGCCACATAAAATGAAAATATTAATTAGCTTGATTTAATCATTTCACAATGTATACATGTATCATAACATCACATCATACTCTATAAATGTATATAGTTTTTATCAGTTAAAAATAAAATATTTTTAAGTGAAAAAATGAACAAAGGAATTGAATAGCTATTTCTCTAAGAAAGATGTACAAATGGCCAGTATGTACATGAAAAGGTGTTTAACCTCATTAGTCATTATGAAAATGCAAATCAAAACCACATTGAGATACCACTTCACACTTACTTGAGTAGGCATAATAAAGAGAGAAAATAACAAATGTTGGCAAGGATGTGAAGAAATTAGAACCCTTTTGCATTGCCAGTGGGAATGTAAAATGATGCAGCTGCTGTGAAAAAATATTTGACAGTGCCTCAAAAAGTTAAATAAAGAGTTATCATATGGCTCAGCAATTCCACTCCTAGGTATTTTCCCAAGAGAAATGAAGCTGTATTTCTGCACAGAAACTTGTACTTGAATACTCACAGCAGCCAAAAGTGAAGAAAACCCAAATCACAAGAATGGCTAAACAAAATGTGCTATCCCAGAGAAAATTGAGGAGAGTGAGGATCATCATGGTGGACGGGAGACAGGACTGGATTACAGCTCCAACTCGGACAGACAGAGCAGCATACAGAGGTACGCATTGTGAATTTAGTTCCAGATCAACTGCAACAACAAACCAGTAATCACAAGAGGATGCACAGACCCTCTGAAGGAAGTGGACTTCTCTTGCAGGACCCAGGAGACACCCCAAATACTGTGAGTGCCCCAAATATAGAAGTGGAAAGTGGAGATCCTTCTCTCCCAAATACACACCGCCACTGGAGAAACTGGAGGTCTGTTTGTGGGAGAAGTTTCTGACCTTACCTGGAGCTGAGTCCATTTAGAGAGCCAAGTGAAATACAGGGGTAGAGGAAGCAGCAGGAAAGGCCCTGGGGGCTTGCTGGGTCACCAAGCAGGCCATTCCTGCCTGGCACCACAGGGATCCATCGGGAGGGCAGCCAGAGGAGTGGAGGAAAGCACCACAGGGAGAAGGAAGCCTCCAGCTGAACTTTGTAACAATTTGAACCAGGCGAGAAGCCTCCTGGCCAGAACTCGGGGGAGGGCATGAATCCAGTGTGCAGACTCCACAGATGGGGGAAGAACCAAGCCCTTTTCTTTTGCAGCTTGGTGGCAGGTAGCCTGCGGCAAGTTCTCAAGCCCTGCTCACCCACCACCTGGAAACAGACTTGGGGCTGTTAATAGGGGCACAGTGGGAGTAAGATCGGCCCTTTGATTTGTGTGGGAGTTGGGTGAGGCCTGTGACTGCTGGTTTTCCCCCACTTCTCTGACAATCTGCATGACTCAGCAGAGGCACCCATAATCCTCCTAGGTACACAACCCCATTGATCTGGGAACCTCACCTCCATCCCCCACAGCAGCCACAATAAGACCTGCCCAAGGAGGGTCTGAGCTCAGAGGTCCCTAGCCCTGCCCCCACCTGATGAGCCTTTCCTATCCACCCTAGTAGCTGAAAACAAAGGGCATATAATCTTGAGATTTCTAGGGCCCCACCTACCACTGGTTCCTCTCCATACTACCACAGCTGATGCTTTCTGGAAAGTGCCACCTCCTGGCAGGAAGCCAACCAGCCCCAAAATAGAGCATTAAACCACCAAAGATAAGAACCCTCACAGAGTACATTTCACCCCCTGCCACCTCCACTGGAAGAGGTGCTCGTACCCATGGCTGAGAGACCATAGACAGTTCACATCACAGGACTTTGTGCAGACAATTCTCAGTAGCAGCTGAGAGCTGGGTAGACTTTCTGGGTGGCTAAACCAAGAAGAGAGACAATAATCACTGCAGTGCCCCTCACAGGAAGCCACATCCATAGGAAAAGGGGGAGAGTACTACATCAAGGGAACATCCCATGGGACAAAGGGATCAGAAAAACAGACTTCAGCCCTAGACCTACCCTGTGACAAAGCCTACCCAAATGAGAAGGAACCAGAAAACCAACTCTGGTAATATGAAAAAACAAGGCTCTTTAACACTCCCCCTCTCCAAAAAAAAAAAAAAAAAAAAAGTCACACTAGTTCACCAGCAATGGATCCAAACCAAGAAGAAATCCCTGATTTACCTGAAAAAGAATTCAGGAGGTTACTTATTAAGCTAATCAAGGAGGCACCAGAGAAAGGTGAAGCCCAATGTAAGGAAATCCAAAATATGATACAACAATTGGATGGAGAAATATTAAAGGAAATAGATAGCATAAATAAAAACAATCAAAACTTCAGGAAACAATGAACACACTTATAGAAATGCAAAATGCTCTGGAAAGTCTCAGCAATAGAATTGAACAAGTAGAAGAAAGAAATTCAGAGCTCAAAGAATAAGAAAATATAAACAAAGCCTCCAAGAAGTCTAAGATTATGTTAAACAACCAAACCTAAGAATAATCGGTGTTTCTGAGGAAGAAGAGAAATCTAAAAGTTTGGAAAACATATTTGGGGAATAATTAAGGAAAACTTCCCCAGCCTTGCTAGAGACCTAGACATCCAAATACAAGAAGCACAAAGAACACCTGGGAAATTCATCACAAATCGATCATTGCCTAGGGACATCGTCATCAGGTTATCTAAAGATAAGATGAAGGAAAGAATCTTAAGAGCTGTGAGGCAAAAGCACCAGGTAACCTATAAAGGAAAACCTGTCAGATCAACAGCAGAATTCTCAGCAGAAACCCTACAAGCTTGAAGGGATTGGGGCCCTATCTTCAGCCTCCTCAAACAAAACAATTATCAGCCAAGAATTTTGTATCCAGTGAAACTAAGCATCATATATTAAGGAAAGATACAGTTGTTTTCGCACAAACAAATGCTGAGAGAATTCGCCACTACCAAGCCACCACAACAAGAACTGAGGAAAGGAGCTCTAAAACTTGAAACAAATCCTGGAAACACATAAAAACAGAACCTCTTTAAAGCATAAATCACATAGGACCTACAAAACAAAACTACAAGTTAAAAGGCAAAAATAAAAACCCCAAAATACCAAGGTACGCAGGCAACAAATAGCATGATGAATGCAATGGTACCTCACATCTGAATGCTAACATTGAGTGTAAATGGCCTAAATGCTCCACTTAAAAGATATAGAACTACAGAATGGATAAGAACTCACCAACCAATGATCTGCTGCCTTCAGGAGACTCACCTAACACATAAGGACTCACATAAACTTAAAGGAGTGGAAAAAAGCCTTTCATGCAAATAGACACCAAAAGCGAGCAAGAGTAGCTATTGTTCTATCAGACAAAATAAACTTTAAAGCAACAACAGTTAAAAGAGACAAAGAGGGACATTCTATAATGCTAAAGGGCCTTGTCCAACAGGAAAATATCACAATCCTAAATATATATGCACCTAACACTGGAGTTCCCAAATTTATAAAACAATTACTAATAGACCTAAGAAATGAGATAGACAGCAACACAATAATACTGAGGAACTTCAATCCTCTACTGACAGCACTAGACAGGTCATCAAAACAGAAAGTCAACAAAGAAACAATAGATTTAAACTATACCTTGGAACAAATGGACTTAACAGATATATACAGAACATTCCATCCAACAACCACAGAATACACATTCTATTCAAAAGCCCACGAACTTTCTCCAAGATAGACCATATGATAGGCCATAAAAGAAGCCTCAATAAATTTAAGAACATTGAAATCATGTCAAGCACTCTCAGACCACAGTGGAATAAAACTGGAAATCAAATCCAAAAGGAATCTGCAAATACATGGAATTTAAACAACTTCCTCTCGGGCCGGGCATGGTGGCTCACGCCTGTAATCCCAGCACTTTGAGAGGCCAGTTTGGGCAGATCACCTGAGGTCAGGAGTTTGAGACTAGCCTGGCCAACATGGTGAAACCTTATGTCTACTAAAATTACAAAAAATAGCTGGGGATGGTGGCAGGCACCTGTAATCCCAGCTACTCAGGAGGCCAAGGCAGGAGAATCACTTGAACCCGGGAGGCGGAGGTTGCAGTGAGCCGAGATTATGCCACTGCACTCCAGCCTGGGTGACAGAACAAGACTCCGTCTCCAAACAACAACAACAACAACAAAAAAAAAAAAAAAAAAGAAAGCAAAGAAAAGAAACATGCTCCTAAATGAGCATTGGGTCAAAAATGAAATCAAGATGAAAATTAAAAAATTGTTTGAACTGAACGATAATAATGATATAACCTATCAAAGCCTTTGGGATACAGCAAAGGTGGTGCAAAGAGGAAAGTTCTTAGCCCTAAATGCCTACATCAAAAAGACGAAAAGAGCACAAACTGACATTCCAAGGTCACACCTCAAGGAACTAGAGAATCAAGAACAAATCAAACCCAAACCCAGCAGAAGAAAGGAAGTCACCAAGATCAGGGCAGAACTAAATGAAATTGAAACAAAAAAGAATTGCAAAAGATAAATGAAACAAATAGCTGCTTCTTCAAAAACATAAATAAAATTGGTAGACCATTACCAAGATTAAGAAAAGAAGAGAGAAAATCCAAAGAACATCATTAAGAAATGACACAGGAGATATTACAACTGACACCACTGAAATAAAAAAGATTATTCAAGGCTACTATGAACACCTTTATGTACATAAACTAGAAAACCTAGAAGAGATGGCTAAATTCCTGGAAAAATAAAACCCTCCCATCTTTTTTTTTTTTTACAATTAGTATTAAAATGGGAAGCATATCTAGCTCCCAGATCTTGGTTACTTTTTTTTAAAATTATTATTATTATACTTTAAGCTTTAGGGTACATGTGCACAATGTGCAGGTTTGTTACATATGTATACATGTGCCATGTTGGTGTGCTGCACCCATTAACTCGTCATTTAGCATTAGGTATATCTCCTAATGCTCTCCTTCCCCCCTCCCCCGACCCCACAACAGTCCCTGATGTGTGATGTTCCCCTTCCTGTGTCCATGTGTTCTCACTGTTCAACTCCCACCCATGAATGAGAACATGCGGTGTTTGGTTTTTTGTCCTTGCGATAGTTTGCTGAGAATGGTAGTCTCCAGCTTCATCCATGTCCCTACAAAGGACATGAACTCATCATTTTTAATGGCTGCATAGTATTCCATGGTGTATATGTGCCACATTTTCTTAATCCAGTCTATCATTGTTGGACATTTGAGTTGGTTCCAAGTCTTTGCTATTGTGAATAGTGCCACAATAAATATACATGTGCATGTGTCTTTATAGCAGCATGATTTATAATCCTTTGGTATATACCCAGTAATGGGATGGCTGGGTCTAATGGTATTTCTAGTTCTAGAACCCTGAGGAATTGCCACACTGACTTCCACAATGGTTGAACTAGTTTACAGTCCCACCTACAGTGTAAAAGTGTTCGTATTTCTCCACATCCTCTCCAGCACCTGTTGTTTCCTGATTTTTTAATGATCGCCATTCTAACTGGTGTGAGATGGTATCTCATTGTGGTTTTGATTTGCATTTCTCTGATGGCCAGTGAGGATAAGCATTTTTTCATGTGTTTTTTGGCTGCATAAATGTCTTCTTTTGAGAAGTGTCTGTTCATATACTTTGCCCACTTTTTGATGGGGTTGTTTGTTTTTTTCTTGTAAATTTGTTTGAGTTCATTGTAGATTCTGGATATTAGCCCTTTGTCAGATGAGTAGATTGCAAAAATTTTCTCCCATTCTGTAGGTTGCCTGTTCACTCTGATAGTAGTTTCTTTTGCTGTGCAGAAGCTCTGTAGTTTAATTAGATCCCATTTGTCAATTTTGGCTTTTGTTGTCATTGCTTTTGGTGTTTTAGACATGAAGTCCTTGCCCATGCCTGTGTCCTGAACAGTATTGCCTAGGTTTTCTTCTAGGGTTTTTATGGTTTTACGTCTAACATTTAAGTCTTTAATCCATCTTGAATTAATTTTTGTATAACGTGTAAGGAAGGTATCCAGTTTCAGCTTTCTACATATGGCTAGCCAGTTTTCCCAGCACCATTTATTAAATAGGGAATCCTTTCCCCATTGCTTGTTTTTGTCAGGTTTGTCAAAGATCAGATAGTTGTAGATATGCGGCATTATTTCTGAGGGCTCTGTTCTGTTCCATTGATCTATATCTCTGTTTTGGTACCAGTACCATGCTGTTTTGGTGACTGTAGCCTTGTAGTATAGTTTGAAGTCAGGTAGCGTGATGCCTCCATCTTTGTTCTTTTGGCTTAGGACTGACTTGGTGATGCAGGCTCTTTTTTGGTTCCATATGAACTTTAAAGTAGTTTTTTCCCATTCTGTGAAGAAAGTCATTGGTAGCTTGATGGGGATGGCATTGAATCTATAAATTACCTTGGGCAGTATGGCCATTTTCACAATATTGATTCTTCCTACCCATGAGCATGGAATGTTCTTCCATTTGTTTGTATGCTCTTTTATTTCATTGAGCAGTGGTTTGTAGTTCTCCTTGAAGAGGTCCTTCACATCCCTTGTAAGTTGGATTCCTAGGTATTTTATTCTCTTTGAAGCAATTGTGAATGGGTCTTCACTCATGATTTGGCTCTCTGTTTGTCTGTTATTGGTGTATAAGAATGCTTGTGATTTTTGCACATCGATTTTGTATCCTGAGACTTTGCTGAAGTTGCTTATCAGCTTAAGGAGATTTGGGGCTGAGACGATGGGGTTTTCTAGATATACAATCCTGTCATCTGCAAATAGGGACAATTTGACTTCCTCTTGTCCTAATTGAATACCCTTTATTTTCTTCTCCTGCCTGATTGCCCTGGACAGAACTTCCAACACTAAGTTGAATAGGAGTGGTGAGAGAGGGCATCCCTGTCTTGTGCCAGTTTTCAAAGGGAATGCTTCCAGTTTTTGCCCATTAAGTATGATATTGGCTGTGAGTTTGTCATAGATAGCTCTTATTATTTTGAGATACATCCCATCAATACCTAATTTATTGAGAGTTTTTAGCATGAAGGTTGTTGAATTTTGTCAAAGGCCTTTTCTGCATCTATTGAGATAATCATGTGGTTTTTGTCTTTGGTTCTGTTTATATGCTGGATTACGTTTATTGATTTGCGAATGTTGAACCAGCCTTGCATCCCAGGGATGAAGCCCACTTGATCATGGTGGATAAGCTTTTTGATGTGTTGCTGGATTTGGTTTGCCAGTATTTTATTGAGGATTTTTGCATCAATGTTCATCAAGGATATTGGTCTAAAATTCTCTTTTTTTGTTGTGTCTCTACCAGGCTTTGGTATCAGGATGATGCTGGCCTCATAAAATGAGTTAGGGAGGATTCCCTCTTTTTCTATTGATTGGAATAATTTCAGAAGGAATGGTGCCAGCTCCTCCTTGTACCTCTGAAAACCCTCCCATCTTAAATCAGGAAGAATTAGATACCCTGAACAGACCAACAACAAGCAGCAAGCTTGAAATGGTAATTAAAAAATTACCAACAAAAAAAAGTCTAGGACCAGATGAATTCACAACAGAATTCTGCCAGACATTCAAAGAAGAATTGGCACCAGTACTTTTGACACTATTCCACAAGACAGAGAAAGAAGGAGCCCTCCCTAATTCATTTTAGGAGGCCAGCATCAGCCTAATACCGAGACCAAAAAAGAAAACTGCAGACTGATATCCTTGATTAACATCGATGCTAAGATCCTTGACAAAATACCAGTTAACTGAATCCAACAGCGTATCAAAAAGATAATCCACCATGATCAGGTGGGTTTCATACCAAGGATGCAGTGATGGTTTAACATAGGTAAGTCAACAAATGTGATACACCACATAAACAGAATTAAAAACAAAAGTCACACGATCATTTCTATAGATGCAGAAAAAAAACATTCAACAAAATCCAGCATCACTTTACAATTAAAACTCTCAGCGAAGTCAGCATACAAGGGACATACCTCAATGTAATAAAAGCTATCTATGACAAACCCACAGCCAACATAGTACTGAATGGGGAAAAGTTGAAAGCTTTCCCTCTGAGAACTGGAACAAGACAAGGATGCCCACTCTCACCACTCCTCTTCAACATAGTACTGGAAGTCCTAGCTAGAACAATCAGACAAGAGAAAGAAAAAAAGAACATCCAAATCGGTAAAGAGGAAGTCAAACTGTCACTGTTTGCTGACAATATGATCGTTTACCTCAAAAACCCTAAATACTCCTCCAGAAAGCTGCTAGAACTGATAAAAGAATTCAACAAAGTTTCTGGATACAAGATTAATGTACACAAATCAGTAGCTCTTCTTTACACCAACAGTGACCAAGCAGAGAATCAAATCAAGAACTCAACCCCTTTTACAATAGCTGCAAAAAATAAAATAAAATAAAATAAAATACTTGGGAATAGACCTAACCAAGGAGACGAAAGACCTCTCTACAAGGAAGACTACAAAACACTGCTGAAAGAAATCATAGACGACACAAACAAATGGAAACACATCCCATGCTCATGGATGGGTAGAATCAATATTGTGAAAATGACCATACTGCCAAAAGCAGTCTACAAATTTGACACAATCCCCATCAACATACCACCGTCATTCTTCACAGAATTAGAAAAGACAATTCTAAACTTCATTTGGAACCAAAAAAGTGCCTGCATAGCCAAAGCAAGACTAAACAAAAAGAACAAATCTGGAGGCATCACACTACCTGAGTTCAAACTATACTGTTAAGGCCATAGTCACCAAAACAGCATGGTACTGGTATAAAAATAGGCACATAGACCGATGGAACAGAATAGATAACCCAGAAATGAACCCAAATGCTTACAGCCAACGGATCTTAGATAAAGCAAACAAAAACATAAAATGGGGAAATGACACCCTTTTCAACAAATGGTGCTCAGTTAATTGGCTAGTCACATGTAGGAGAATGAAACTGGATTCTCATCTCTCACCTTATACAAAAATCAACTCAAGACGGATTAAGGACTTAAATCTAAGACCTGAAACTATAAAAAATCTAGAAGATATCATTGGAAAAATCCTTCCAGACATTGGCTTAGGCAGAGATTTTATGACCAAGAGCCCAAACACAAATGCAATAAAAACAAGATAAATAATTGGGACTTAATTAAACTAACGAGCTTTTGCACAGCAAAAGGAGCAGTCAGCAGAGTAAACAGACAATCCACAGACTGGGAGAAAATCTTCACAATCTGTACATCTGACGAAGGACGAATATCCAGACTCTACAACGAACTCAAACAAATCAGTAAGAAAAAAAAACAAAAAACAAAGAAACAATCCCATCTAAAAGTAGGCTAAGGACATGAATAGACAATTCTCAAAAGAAGATATACAAATGGCCAAAAAACATATGAAAAAAAATGCTCAACATCACTAATGATCAGGGAACTGCAAATCAAAACCGCAATGCAATACCACTTTACTCCTGCAATAATGGCCATAATCAAAAGATCAAAAAATAGGAGATCTTGGTGTGGATGCGGTGATCAGGGAACACTTCTACACTGCTGGTGGGAATGTAAACTAGTACAGCTACTCTCGAAAAGAGTGTGGAGATTCCTTAAAGAACTAAAAGTAGAACTACCATTTGATCCAGCAATCCCACTACTGGGTATCTACTCAGAGGAAAATAAGTCATTATACAAAAAAAAGATAATTGCACACGCATGTTTATAGCAACACAATTTGCAGTTGCAAAATTATGGAACCAACCCAAATGCCCATCAATCAAAGAACTGATAAGCTGTGGTATATATACATATATACAATGGAATTCTACTCGGCCATTAAAAGGAATAAATTAATGGCATTTGCAGCGACCCGGATGACATTGGAGACTATTATTCTAAGTGAAGTAACTCAGGAATGGAAAACCGAACATTGTATGCTCTCCCTGATATGTGGGAGCTAAGCTATGAGGACGCAAAGGCATAAGAATGATACAAGGGACTTTGGGGACTTGTGGGGAAGGGTGGGAGTGGGGCAAGGGATAAAAGACTGCAAATACGGCACAGTGTATACTGCTTGGGTGATGGGTGCACCAAAATCTCACAAATCACCACTAAAGAACTTACTCATGTAACCAACTACCACCTGTACCCCAATAACTTATGGAAAAATTAAAAAAAACAAGCAAACAAAAACCAAAGTGTGCTATCCCATACACTGGAATATCATTTGACAATTTTAAAAAATGATGTACTGATACATGGTGTAAAATGGATGAACCTTGAAAACATTATGCTAAGTGAAATAAGCAAGGCACAAAATAGCCACATATCATATGATTTCATTTATATGAAATGTCCAGAATAGGCAAATCTGTACAAAGAGAAGGCAGATTAGGTTTTGCTACGGCTTGGAGGGAGTGAGAATGAGAAATGACTGCTAATGTGTACAGTTTCTTTTAGGGGGAAATGGAAAATTTTCTAAAATTAGATTGTGATGATGGTTGTACAATCCTATGAAGATACTGAAAACATTGAATTGTACACTTTAAGTGGATGAATTGTACGGTATATAAATTATATCTCAATAAAGTTATTTTAAAACAATGCACATTATAGAAAATCTACAAAGTTTCTGCTAATAACATGTAATGTTTTTAGTTGTCTTTAAATTACTATCTTTATTTTAGGATGTTTTTAGTTCTAGAATCCTGAGATTTGATGAACAAATGGGTGTGATTTTCCCCACAATTAACTTTGGGCACATTTTAAGTAATTGTATGTGCTGTGATTACTAGAACTACACATGCTGTGCTAGTATGGAATAGCATGATTTATGAATCATATTTTTTCTTTAATATTTCTTTAGTATTTTGAGCCACCTGTAGGCTCATTGAGCTGATGTTTGGAGCAATTTGCTATTATGCCTATCTTGCATGGTAAAGGGTAGTATAGAGCTCATTATCTTTTAAGTTTAGTTCATATTCTTTTTCTCTAAGTTCATCATTACCTTAGACATACTACTATTGAATTTCATGTGGCAGCTTTGGCCTGCTCAGGCAGCCTTGAGCCATTATTTATCAGTTTGTTACTGTTAGCTTAACATTTCACTACTGGGAAGAGCTAAATAACATGCAAATTTGAAGGTCTTATTGTATAATTCCTTTTCTAGATAATTAAAATGTTAATGGTTGCTCAATGGATATAAAGCTTCAGTTATGCAAGATGAGTAAGTTTTACAGATCTGTTATACAATATGGTGCCTACAGTTGACAGTACAGTATTGTTCACCTTAAAATATGTTAAGAGGATAGATTTCATGTTAAGTGCTCTTACCACAACCCCCCGACACAAGAACATGAAGAAATTTTTGGAGGTGATGGATATGTGTAGTACTTTGATTGTGCTTATGGTATCATGGGTATATGCATATATCCAAACTCATAAGTATGTATGCATTATGTGCAGTTTTATATATAAATTAATAAAGCTTTAAAAAAGTATCTCTGCATGCACTTTTAAATTTCCCTCTGTTAATATTCTGGGTCTAAAATAGAACCTATTTATGGTTTTGTTCATGGTCTTTAATCTCCAAATACAGATAAGGTTGTAAAAACATTAACAATTATGTGGGAACCACAACTTCCAACTGATGGTCTACTCTTGTAATATTCTTCTTGCATAAAGCAAGATATGATGTTTACTCTTTCTCCTCAAATATTTTCCTTTTGTTGTCTTTGTTTCCCCCAGTGGCAATGCTTCTCTAGTTTTACAGTGGAATGCAAGAACAAAAGTGATTAGCTTTTTTACCAATAGATGTCTTCTGTTCTGTAAAATGGGGCAAGCCTGTAAGTTTATTCTGAATTTTGGGTTATAGTATGGAATGGAGGAGAAGATGCTATTACTAGGACATAGTAGAGATTGGCTATGATCCAAATACCATTACATTACAATTTGAATCTTAACAACAAAGAAGATATCAAATTGACTCCTTTTTCTACGTGATACAACACAGTGACCTTGAAAGCAGTTCTAATTTCAGGCTTGTCTTTCAGTGTTACTATAGTCATTAGATAGTTTCACAATGGTAAATGTGACTTATTAGGTATGAGATATTTCATTTTCAGAATTATATCAAAGCTTGACATTAGAACAGATGTAGATATTTGCAGCTGTGTGTCCGAGTCATTCAAATCGCTTCTACCTAGAAGTGCAAATAGATTTGAATTTTCCTTTCTCAGAGTGATTTGTGTCCAGTTTGTAGATTTTCTGAGCACTGTCTTCTTTATCTCTTCTTGCTTTCCTTTTTTGAAATTCATTGTTTTCAATGAGTTTGTGTGTGAATAATAAAAGGCTAGATAAAGCTTAAGCTAGCAAATTTCAGTGTTTTTTTCAGAAGCCCTAATAAAATATTTACTTTATTTTTAAAAGGTACTTGGTTTGAAGGAGTAGGGCCATAAGAGTGATTACAGAAACGGTATTGAGGGCAAGTGCTGGCTGAACTTAGAGACTGGGCTTACAGTAGTCCCCCCTTACCAAGGGGGATACATTCCAAGACCCCCCGTTGGATGCCTGAACCTGTGGATAATACCTAACCTTTTATATACTGTGTGGTTTTTTTTTTCCATCTGGTAACAGAGACAGCTACTAAGTGACTCATAGACAGGTAGTGTTTATAGCATGGATATGCTGGGGAAAGGAGTAGTTCAGGTTTCGAGAGGGATGGAATGGGACAACATGACATTTTATCATGCTACACAAAATGGCGTGCAATTAAAAACATAAATTATTTATTTCTGGAATTTTCAATATTTTCAGAACACAGGTGACTGAAACCATGGATAGCAAAACCATGGATAAGGAAGAATTTCTGTACTTTTAGAATTTAATGTCCTTTAGTATCATAAATAATCCAGAGTTTGCCTTCTGCCTTTCAGATTTACCACTAGCAGAATAGTGGAATTTTTTTCTTGTTTTTTATTTTGGTATATACATTTAATTTTTTCATGAATAACAAAAAGAATCATGATAGTTTATTCAAAGGTTTCCCATGTAAACACCTAAGATGGGACCAATTCAATCCAAAATTTAATTGTATACCTATTATGTGCCTCAAAATGAACTAGATATTTGATTTACAAGGTTCAGAAAAAATGTATATATTCCCAGCCCAAGATTCTTAATTTTTTTAAATAATAGGATGTAAGGAAAAAGAGACTTTAGTTTAAAGAGCTATTACCATAATGCAGAAACATGAGTCAAAAATAGATCTTACTCACCTGCAAGTGTATGTACTAAGTGAGGAAGGAAGTATTCAGTAGGTGATGTTGAACACTAGCACCTTATTGTAAAGGTCCTGATCTTCATGCGCAGAGCAGCAAGCCCTGCAGTAGAGATTTAGTGTTAAGGTATATGTTGCCATTGTTATTGGGAAAAACTTGTTTTAATTGTGAAAGTGGGTATGAATTCTTCTAAGGCTCTATTGGAAAAAACCTTAATGCAAATATTCATTGAGCAAAAACGGTTATACATATGTGAATTATCTCTTACCCAAAATAAACTTTCAATGTAATTAAGGAGTTAAGACTGCATATATGAAGCCATTGTAGACATGACAGAGTAAGAACCTACCCTAACCTCTTGGGGTAAACTCTCTTTGCCCAGGAATGCTTCATGGAAGAAGTAGGATTTTTCTTTTCTTGTTAAGAGGCAGGGCTCCCTCTGTCATCCAGGCTGGCCTGTAGTGGCATGATCACGGCTCAATATAGCCTTGACCTCATAGGCTGAAGCCATCCTCCCACCTCAGCCTCCTGAGTAGCTGGGACTACAGGCATGCACCACTACGCCCAGCTGATCTTTTTTATTTTTTGTAGAGACAGAGTCTCCCTTTGTTGCCCAGGCTGGTCTTAAACTCCTGGGCTCAAGCAATCCTCCAGCCTTGGCTTCCCAAAGTGCTACAGCCACAACACTCAGCCAGAAGTGGGATTTTAGATGCCCACTGAAGAATTGATAGACTTCCTTATGTTACAGTGAAAATCACCTTTTTCAGTAGAACGTACTATAGCTTTTGGTTGACATGTGTACTGGAAGCAATGAATTGCATTATGGCACAGTAGGAATGATAAACACAGGTTCTGAAGTCAGACTGTTTGAATCCAAATTCGGATTTCATCACTTACTAGCTCCATCACTATAACATGGGAATAATAACAGTATCTTTCTAATAGGGTTGTTAAGGATTAATGAGAATAATACATCTACATACTGTGAGAATAGTATGGGCTATGTAGTCTGATTGGCTACATAGCTGATTGTAGTCTGGTTCAAATCCCAGTTCTGCCACTTACAAAAACCTTAGGCACTTGGCTTCTCAAGATTCAGTTTTCTCATTTATAAATGGAGATAATGAAGCCTAACTCACAGAACTGTTGTGATGATTAAATGAAGCAATTTACATCAAGTACTTACTGGAGTGCCTGACATATAATAAAAGCTCTATAAATAATGTTATGTTCTTATACAATCTAAGTCGTGTAGAGACTTCAGTATTATCTTTTTATTCGTGTTTTCAGGGTGAGCCTGGTCTGCCTGGATACCCAGGGAACCCTGGTATCAAAGGTTCTGTGGGAGATCCTGGTTTGCCCGGATTACCAGGAACCCCTGGAGCAAAAGGACAACCAGGCCTTCCTGGATTCCCAGGTAAAATTTCTTCTCTTAAATGCTTCCTTCTTTCCTTCCTTATCTACTCCAACCAGTATCACAGAGCAGCTTCTTATTTGGCAGACTTATATTTTATTTCCCAATCAGATACTGACTAGCAACATAATCTCAAACTATCTCTTTACCTTTTCTTTGCCCAAATTTATTTCTGTATAAAATGAGAATGAATATTACTGACTCAGCAGGACAATATCCTGTGGACAGAGAGACTGTTTGGTGGAGCATTTTTCAATCTTTGACTGCTAGCCACAAATCACTTAAGAAGCCTTGCTATTTTTGTAGGTAATAATATATACTTCCAAGCCTCTGCCTGCAGCTGATTATCTTAGAAAGGTATGCCCAGGCACACCGCTGGTAGCGGTTGGTAGAACAATCATACAGTTCCTTCAAATGGCAAGGATTGAGCCATTCAAGTAAGAGATTAGCACTATAGTCAATTATGTAGCCTGAACTAGATTATTATAGTACCTACTTGTTTAGGGTTGAATTTATTTTTTGCTTGTTTTGAATTACACAGTGGCATGGATGAATGAACCTTTCCTTTTTATTGAAGTGAAGCATACATGTAGTAAAGTACACTTAAGACTATAGATGAGTTTTTACCTAAGTACATATATGTCTTTGAATTGACCATATGTATCAAGATATAAAATAGTTTCTTCATCCCACGAAGTTTACCCATGCCCCTACGCCCCCCAACCCCGAGGTGACCACTACTATGACTTCCATTACCATCAGTTAATTTTGCATGTTATTGAAATTCATATAAATGAAATCATACAGTGATCCTTGTATCTGGCTTTTTTCAGTCATCATTATGTGTAAAAGATTCATTTATTTTGTTACACGTGTCAGTAGTTTGTTCTTTATCATTGCTATGCAATATTACATTGAAGAATGTACCACAGTCAATTACACATTCCCCTGTTGATGGACTTTTGGGTTGTTTCCAGTTTGGGACTATTATTTTTAAAAATGCTATTAACATTCTTTTACATATCTTTTGATAAACATATACATTGATTTCTCTTAGACAAAAACTTAGTAGTAGAAATACTGAATCACAGGGTAGGTGTACATTGAACTTTAGTAGATGCTGCCAAACAGTTTTCCAACATGGTTTGTAAATTAGTTTCAACAGCCATGTATGAAATATCCAGTTCTCCAATTGCCCATGTCCTCACCATCACTGGGCAGTGTCGGTCTTAATTTTATCTGTTTTGATGAGTATGTAGAAGCATCTAATTGAGGTTTGAATTTACATATTCCTAATGAATAATAGTATTAATCATCTTTTTATTATACTATTGGCCATTTGGATAGCATCTTTTTGAAGTTTCTTCTTAAGTACTTTTGTTCATTTTTTATTGAATTGTCTGTCCTTTTTCAAATAGATTCAGAGTAGTTCTTTATATACTCAAGATATGAGTCCTTTGTCAGATACATATATTGCAAATCTATTCTCTGTGCCTCAGATTTGCCTTTCCTAATGCTGTTGTGTAATGAACAAAAGTTGTTAATTTTAATAAAATCCAGTGTATCAATCTTTCCTTTCATGAATAGTGATTTTTTTATCCAATTCAATAAATATTTGTCTATTTGAGGTTATGGAAATAATCTTCTAATTTTTATAACATGTTTCATGTTTAAACTTTCATATTTGGCTTATGAGCTATCTCAAATAAAAATATTTTTACAGTGTGAGGTAGGGGTCAAGGTTCATTTTTTTTCCAGCACAGTTATCCAATTGCTCCCTACACTATTTTTTTTTTAAAGAACCTAAACGCATCCAATAAATTACAGTCACACCTTTGTAAGAAAGCCAAATGACTGTACATGTGGTGGGCTATTTCCAGACTCTGTGTACTGTTCCAATGGTTTATTTTCTATTGCTGCTTTAACACAACACTGAATTACTGTAAATTTATATTAAGCCTTGAAAAATGGTGGGTAAGTACTAGAAATTTGTTTCAGTTTTTTAAAGCTTGTCTTGGCTATTCTAATTTTTTTGCAGGGGAAATCAGTTTATCAATTTCCATTTAAAGTATCTGTAGGGATTTTTAAGTTTGCAATAACTCTCTAGGTAAGGTAGAGGAGAATTGATATTTTGACAGTATTCAACCTTCCAATGAAATGAACATGTTATCTCTCCATTTATGTAGGTATTGAGTTTGATTTAACAATATGCTGCACTTTTTGTTTTGTAAATCTTGAACATATTTTATTAAATTTATCTCTGGAAATTTGATGCTTTCTGGTGACATTTAAATCATATTGCTTTTCCCAGTTCATCTTCCAGTTGTTTCTTGGAAGTATATGGAAATAATTGACCTAGGAATATTGAAATAATATATGAGAAAATTGCCAATTTCACTTTTTAAAATTCTGAGTTTGTATAATTTTTTGTTTTATAAAATATCACCTTAGATATTTTTATTTCTTCTTTTTCATTTCTTTATACCTTTTATTTCTTTTTCATGCTTAATTGCACCAGTTAGGACCTGTAGTGCAGTGTTTAATAGAAGTGGTTATAGTCAACATCATTATCTTTTTTCTAAACTCAGAGGGACAATGATTGCTATTTTTCCATTAAATGTAATGTTAGTGCCAGGGTTTTGGCACATATATTTTACTAAATTAAGGAAATCCCTTTCTAGTCATACTATAATGGGAATTTTTATAAAGAATGGATGCGAGTTTTATCAAATTCTTTTTCTGAATCTACAGAGATGATAATTGTTTTTTCTCCTTTACTCTTGATATAATGAATTACACTGATTGATATTTTATGTAAAAATAACCCTGTATTCTTGGGATAAACTCCAAGATGGTCATACTGTACACATTATCTTTAAGTATTGTTGGACTGGATTTGCTGTTTTTTAAAAAATTATACATGGCCATGAGAGAGATTGGCCTACGATTTTCTTTTCTCATAGTGTCCTTGTCAATGTTTTAGTATAGGGATTTGCTGGCCTTATGAGCTGGGAAGTATTCCCTCCTTCTCTATTTTTTCTTTAAATGTTTCATAGAATTCACCAGTTAAGGAATCTGGATCTGTAGTTTTCTTTGTAGAAACCTTTTTAAATTACAGATTAAAAGTCTTTAACAGTTATATTACTATTCAGATGATTTATTTTTATGTCAGTTTAAATACATTGTGTTTTTCAAGGAAATTGACCATTTCATCTAAATTGTCAAATTCATTGGCAGAAAGTTGTTGATAATATCCTTGTTTTGTCCCTTTAATTTCTGCAGAATGTGTACTGAAGTCTGCATTTTAATAATGTTTTGATATAAGTAATTTTATTTCTTTATTTTGATCAAGCCTCTGAGGCATTCATTAAGCTTTATTAATTGTTAAAAATTAACTTTCGTAAGTGATTTTCTCTACCATTTGTTTTCTATTCCATTGATTTCTGCTTATATCTGTATTATTTCCTACCTTCTACCTTCTATGGATTTAATCTTGCTGTTCTTTTTCTAGCTTCTTTACCTGGAAGCTTAAATCATAGATTTTTCAGCTTTGTCTTTTCTAATAGATGTATTTAAAAACTTAAATTTCCATCTAAGGAGTGCTCAAACCATATCCCAGAAATTTTGTTCTTTTGCGTTTTTCCTTTGATCATTCGGTTTAAGATATTTTCTAATTTTCCTGTTGATTTCTGTTTTTCTCCATAGATTATTTAGAATTGTGTTGCTCAACTTACAAATATTTGGGGGCTTCCCAGATATCTTTATGTTATTGATTTTTAATTTGATTCTATTGTGGCCAGAATACATATTTTGTATGATTTAACTATTAATACTTATTGAGACTTATCATATGGCCAAATTTAGGGTTTATCTGGGTGAATTTTCCTTGTACCCTTGAAAATAATTTGTATTCTGCAATTTGTGTATTGCATTATAAATGTCCATTAGGTCAGGTTTGTTGGTAGAGTTGTTAAAATCTTGTGTATTCTTACCAACTTCTTGCCTAATTGTTTTATCAATTACTGAGAGGTAGGTGTTAAAATTTCCATTATGATTGTAGAGTTTTCTATTTCTCCTTTTCTCTCTGTCAATTTTTTGCTGTATGTCTTTTGAGATATTTTTATTAGGTATATATAAATTCAGGAAACGTATGTCTTCTTGAAGAGTTGACCTTTTTATCATTATGTAAAGACCCTCTTTATTTTCATAATACTCTTTTCTTTGGATTTTTCTTTGTCTGATATCAGTATAGATACATCAGATTCTTTATACTTAGTACAGTATAACTTTTTCTATATAATTTTTATTTTTACCTGTCTGTACATTTAAAATATGTTTTTTAGGAATAAAATGCATTCATATCTTGCTTCTTTTCGAGTCCAACAATCTTTCCCGTTTATTTGGAGTGTTTAGTTGATTTATATTTAATGTATATTGTTATGTTTGGATTTTAGTCTTCCACATTGCTATTTGTTTTATGCTCCTCCTTTGTCCCTGGTTTCCTGTTCTGTTTGGGTTCATCAGATATGCTGTGGTATTCCATTCTATCTCCTCTATTGGCTTTTAAGCTCTCCCTCTTTCTACTATTTTTAAATGATTGCTCCAAAGATTTCAGTGTGCACTCATAATTTACCACATTCTGCATTAAATTAATATTATGTGACTTCACATATAATGTAAGATTCTTACAACAGTGTAATTTTATTTACATATAATGTTCTTTTGTGTGATTGTGTTTATATATTTCAGATGATTATTATATAGGTAATAAATTTTACAATTAATTGCTATTACTATTGCTTTAAACAGCTTCTTCTAAATAATTTAGCATGAGAAACAAAACCAATTTTCATATTTACCAACATATTTACATTTCTACTCTTCTACCCTCCTGTGCAGCAGACTTCTAGTTGGTATCATTCCCTAAAGCCTGACGTTCTTCCACCGTCATTTATTGTAAAATGATTTTGCTGGTGACAAATTCTCTCACCGTTAATTTATCTGCAAATGTCTTTGTTTTAGTTCCATTTTAAATAAATTTTTCACTGGATATAGAAATCCCTTTTTGATATTTGTTGCTTTCAGCACTTTAAATATTTCTTCCACTGTCTTTTCGTCTCCATTTTTCCTGATAATAACACATCAATTATTTTTAATATTTTGCTCCTTTATATTATGTCTGGTTTTTCTCTGGATGTATTTGAGATTTTCTCTCTGTAATTGGTTTTCAATAGTTTCTTTTTGTTGTGGTTAGTTATGGTTGTATTTATTTTGCCCTCTATTCATTAATATTCCTGGATCTGTAGGGTTGTTATTTTTTAATAACTTTGGAAAATCTCAGCTATCTTTTCCTCATATATAGTCGTGTGTCACATAACAACATTTTGGTCAACAACAAACCACGTATATGGTGGTGGTCTCATATGATTATCATGGAACTGAAAATTTCCTATCACCACGTGATGTCATAGCTGTAGTAACATTGTATCACATTTATAATGTATTTTTACTGTACCTTTTCTAGGTTTAGTTATACAAATACTTACCATTGTGCTATAATTGCCTACAGGATGCAGTACAGTTACATGCTATGTAGGTTTGTAGCTTGGGAGCAATAGGCTCTGCTATACGGCCTAAATGTATAATAGGCCATACCATCTAAGTTTGTGTAAATACACTTTATATGTTCACACGATGACAAAATCGCCCAACAACTCATTTCTTAAAACATACCCAGTTGTTAAGTGACACATAACTGTATTTCTTCTGTCGTATTTTCTCCTCTTCTTTTGGAGTGCATATTAGATCACTTGATACTGTATCACAGGTCACTGAGGGTCTAGGTATGTTTTCAATTTTTATTCTCTCTGAGTTTAATTTGGATGGTTTTTATTCACTGCCTTCAAATTTACTGATTTTTTGATGTGTTCAATATTCTGTTAATCGCCACAAAAATTTTAATTTCCATTTGGTTCTTTTAAGAGTTATCATATTTTTCCAGAAATTCCCTATTTTTTACTCATTATATACATGTTTGCCTATAGATTCTTTAACATATTTATTATAGCTATTTTAAAGATCTTTTCAGCTTATTCCAAATTTTCAGATAACCATGTGTCTATTTCTATTGGTAGTTTTGTTTTTCTTGAATAAGCACCACATATTCAAGTTTCTTCCAATCTGCTAATTTTTATTGTATACTAAATGATATGGATAGTATGGTATAAAGATTCTGGATTCTATTAAATTTCTTGAAGAATGCTGAATATTGTTCTACCTGGCAGTTCAATTCCTGGTATCAACTTGATCCTGCAGTGATGGAGTTTTAGATTTTGTTATAGCAGGGCTATTTCCAATGCCCTTTGTCTTACGTGTATCCCTTGGACTTGGCATACGGGCTTTATTGTTAATGTGTGGGTTTTCTGGGGTAATTTTATTTAAAAAATTTCATTTAGTATTTCTTTTTTTTAAGTTTATTATTATTATACTTTAAGTTTTAGGGTACATGTGCACAATGTGCAGGTTTGTTACATATGTATACATGTGCCATGTTGGTGTGCTGCACCCATTAACTGGTCAGTTAGCGTTAGGTATATCTCCTAACGCTATCCCTCCCCCCTCCCCCCACCCCACAACAGTCCCCAGTGTGTGATGTTCCCCTTCCTGTGTCCATGTGTTCTCATTGTTCAATTCCCACCGATAGACTAGATTAAGAAAATGTGGCACATATTCACCATGGAATACTATGCAGCCATAAAAAATGATGAGTTCATGTCCTTTGTAGGGACATGGATGAAACTGGAAACCATCATTCTCAGCAAACTATCGCAAGGACAAAAAATCAACACCGCATGTTCTCATTTAGTGTTTCTTATAGTGAAGTCTGTTGGCAACAAATTGTCTTAGCTGTCATTCATTAGAAAACATTTCCATTGTGCTTTCACTTGTTATTGAGTTACATAGTAGACAGAATTCTACCATCTCCACCCCAAGATTTCTGGCCCCTGGTTATTTAGTAAAAAACCAATCTCCTTAAAGCTGGTAAGCAACTTCAGCAAAGTCTCAGGATACAAAATCAGTGTGCAAAAATCACAAGCATTCCTATACACCAATAATAGACAAACAGAGAGCCAAATTATGAGTGAACTCCCATTCACAATTGCTACAAAGAGAATAAAATACCTAGGAATACAACTTACAAGGGATGTCAAGGACTTCTTCAAAGGGAACTACAAACCATTCCTCAAGGAAATAAGGACACAAACAAATGGAAAACATTCCATGCTCATGGATAGAAAGAATCAATATCATGAAAATGGCCATACTGCCCAAAGTAATTTATAGATTCAATGGTATTCCCATCAAGCTACCACTGACTTTCTTCGCAGAATTAGAAAAAAACTGCTTTAAATTTCATATGGAACCAATAAAGAGCCCGCATTGCCAAGACAATCCTAAGCAAAAAGAACAAAGCTGGTTGCATCACGCTACCTAACTTCAAACTATACTACAAGGCTTTTATCACCTAGTGATATCATAGCCATAGTAACATTGCTAAGGAGAGAATCCAGCTCAGCTGTGCCCAGAATATTACCTACAGAAATGGTGAGATAATAAATGGGTATTGTTTTAAGTCATTAACTTTGTGGTAATTTGTTACATAGCAAGAGAAAACTAATGCACTATCCTTTTGTTCATTATTTAAGTTTTTACTTCCCTCCTAAATATGCTTGTTAGTATTTATTTTAGGGTCTTTGAATAGTTGCTTTTTGTATTCTGTCAAGTTTTAAATTATAATCAGTGAGAAAAAAAGGCTGTAGTGGGCTTATTCTATCTTGGCTTGCCTCAGAAGTGTTTAGGGGTAAATTTAAGAAAATATTTGCATGGTATATTCACTGAAAACTATAAAACCTGCTATGTTAGACTTTTAAATACCAAAATAAATGAAGAGATAGATCATACTTATGGAATGGAAGATCAAAATTGTTTGGAAGCCATTATCCTTAGTAAACTAATTCAGGAACAGAAAACCAAACACTGCATGTTCTCACTGACATGTGGGAGCTGAACAATGAGAATACATGGACACAGGAAGGGGAACAACACACACTGTGGCCTGTGGAGCAGGGTGTTTGGGTCAGGGGGATGGAGAGCATCAGGAAAAATAGCTAAGGCATGCTGGGCTTAATTCTTAGGTGATGGTTTGATAGGTACAGCAAACCACCATGACACACGTTTACCTGTGTAACAAACCTGCACATCCTGCATACGTACCCCAGAACTTAAAATAAAAAAAAAAAAGATGCCAGTTGCCTCTAAAGTCATTCATAGATTCAAAGTGATTCCAGTTTAACCCAACAACCTTTATTTGGTAACAGTTGACAAATGGATTCTAAAATGTGTATGGAAATGAAAGGGACATAGAATATCCAAAACAATATTGAAAACGAGGCCGGGCGCAGTGGCTCACCCCTGTAATCCCAGCACTTTGTGAGGCTGAGGCGGGCAGATCACGAGGTCAGGAGTTTGAGACTGGCCTGGCCAATATGGTGAAACCCTGTCTCTACTAAAATTACAGAAATTAGCCGGGCATGGTGGCATGCACCTGTATTCCTAGCTACTCGGGAGGCTGAGGCAAGAGAATTGCTTGAACCCGGGAGGTGGAGGTTGCAGTGAGCCGTGATCGCGCCACCGCAATCCAGCCTGGGCAACAGAGTGAGACTCCATTACAAAAAGAAAAAAAATGTGTGGTACTTGATAAGGATTGAGAAATAGATCAATGAAACAGAATTTGGAGGATAAAAAAGACTAATATACAATAAATTGACTTTTGATAAAGGTATCAAATAAATTTTTTAGAGAAAGCAAATTCTTTTCAACAAATGGCCCTGAAACATCTAGATATTCGTATGGGGAAAAAACAAAACTTAATTCATACATTACATCATACAGAAAAAAAAATGTTTTTAATTAGATCTTAGTCTGAACATAAAAGCTAAAACCATAATGCTTTTAGAGGAAAACATAGATAGATATTTCCGTGACTTGGCATAGGCAGATTTTCTTAGGATACAAAAAGCAGTAACTGTAAAAGAAAAAAATTGATAGATTAGATTTAAATTTTTAAACTACTTTTATCAGAAAACACCGCTAGGAAAATGAATAGGAAAGCCACAGACAAGGAGAAAATATTTGCAAAACATAACTGACAAATTACTGATATCTAGGATATGTAAAAAACTTCAATAACTCAATAATAACAAGATGTATTATCCAATTTTGAAAAATGGAGAAAACTTTGAATAGATACTTCACGAAAGAAGATATACAAGTGGCCAATAATCACATGAAAAGGTGATCGATGTCGTTAGCCATCAGAGAAATGCAAATTAAAACCACAATGAGGTAGCTCCATATACCCACCAGAATGTCTGTTATTACAGCAACTGATATCATCACAAAGGTTGTGCAAGGATCTGGAACAATTGGAATTTCCACACATTGTTCTGAGTGTGAAATGGTTTGGCAGTTTTTAAATAAAACACAACATATACCTACTTTTTGACCCAGCAATTCCACTTCTTGTTATATACCTAAGATAAATTAAGGCAGTGGTCTACAAAAAGACCTGTGCAGAAATACTCATAGCAGCTTTATTTATAATAGATAAAAGCTGGAAATAAAACAGGTTTTTATAAATAGGAAAGTGGATATTTGTAATAACTAAAACCTGTCAATAAACCAAAAGTCCAGCAAGAGGAATGGATTTTTTAAGTTATGGTATATTCATATAATGGAGTCCTACAAATCCTACCAGTATAATATGGTGGTAGTTATTTTTATGTTTATGAATATATAATAATGCCAACTTCAGGATAAATGGTTAAAAACATAAAATTATTATTAAAAATAGCCAACAAACACCAGCATCTTTTGGGTTTCTTTTTGTTCTTCACTGTTTCTATGCTAGCACTATAAATTGTAAGTTTGAATTGTAGCTCTTAAAGCAATGCAGTTTTTCTTTCATTTTTAAATTGAGCTCTTTACTCTAGGAACCCCAGGCCCTCCTGGACCAAAAGGTATTAGTGGCCCTCCTGGGAACCCCGGCCTTCCAGGAGAACCTGGTCCTGTAGGTAAGCATGAAAAATAACAGTTTGCTGTTTTATAAAACTAATGTTTATCATATTAAGTTTGGGAAAGTCAAATCATGTTCAGCTGTGAACATTTTCAACACAAGGAAATATAGTGTTCATTCACTTAACACTGCATGTGAGGTACAGAATGAATAACTTTTAATAAAAAGTGCTTAAAATTGGCTGGGCACAGTGGCTCACGCCTGTAATCCCAACATTTTGGGAGGCCGAGGTGGGAGGATCACTTGAGGTCAGGAGCTCGAGACTAGCTTGGTCAACATGGTGATACGCCATTTCTATTAAAAATACAAAATATTAGCTGAGCATGGGGATGGGCTCCTGTAATCCCAGCTACTTCGGAGGTTAAGGCACGAGAAGTGCTTGAACCCAAGGGGTGGAGGTTGCAGTGAGCCAAGATCGTGCCACTGCACTCCAGCCTGGGTGACAAAGCAAGACCCTCGAAAAAAAAAAAAGGACTTAAAATGATCATATGTGACCTTATTTTCTAGGCCCACTTTTTCCAGGGAGAGTTAATTCAAGTGTCCTAGAATAGAAGCTTTGATTTTTTTAGAATGGCAGGCTGTAGTAAGTAAGTTTGTTTATTGATTTCTAAAGTAAATAACTTCTCTTGGCCCCATATGAGGCCTATAATTCTCCCCACCACCCTTCGCACCTTACTCTCTTAGATATTCTGAAACTATATTAAAATGAAGAACTGAAAGGTTTTAGATGCTGAATGACTATTCCTTATTTTCATTATCCTCCTTCATATTTTTATAACATTTTGTGATCCAAAGGAGTGTCTCAAAAGCACCTTGTTTCTTTTGGATAAAGAAGGGAGCATATGGAAGTAAAAGGGAGTTGGAAATTGGAAAACTGGGTGTAACCTGCTGTACTCAATTTTTTAGGTGGTGGAGGTCATCCTGGGCAACCAGGGCCTCCAGGCGAAAAAGGCAAACCCGGTCAAGATGGTATTCCTGGACCAGCTGGACAGAAGGGTGAACCAGGTGCTGTAGTTTTTCATTTTTCCTATTTTTCTAATTTTCTCTGTGTTGAATTTAACTTGCCTTTTTATTACCCACAGTGAAATTGTATCTTCTTTCTTACTAAGCTACCACACACTTTCCCCTTTTCCTAGTTACCGTCTTCCTCTTCATCCTGAGACTATTAGCTCATGTATCTTGATCAAGTTGCCTCTTACAAAAAACCCCATATCTTTTCTTGTCTAATTTTTTATATCAAAAAGAAGTTACCTAGCCTTTGCAAATTTCTCTGTGGTTTACTATGCAATCTATATTTCATTTATATTTTTTTCTTATAAGCATATAGATATATTTAACATTCATCGGAAATAGAATATATGTTTAGATCATTTTCTCATGTTAGAATTGCAGTTCTGTGTTGGAAATAAATCTTCTGCATGTTTCATATAATATACATTGCTGCACCTAATGAAAACCTCAATGATCTAAAAATAATTTGGCCTTGTTTCAGTTTGTATTATCCACTTGAGTTTTTGTTTTGTTTTGTTTTGTACTCTGACAGGTCAACCAGGCTTTGGAAACCCAGGACCCCCTGGACTTCCAGGACTTTCTGGTAAACCTTAATAAAACATGCTAAATCAATCTATAATAAAATGAGATTATTTCCAAATACATCTATTTTTCCATCTCCACCTTTTACTATCATAAAATGCATGTAAGAACCCAGAAAACTCAAACCTAGTGTTAACGTTAAAACATTTATTATTTAGCAACTTAGTTTAAGGAGTTGTGTTAAATAAAAATGTATCCTTACGGAAATTTACATGTAGAGATCTCTTCACTAAATTCATAAATAAGTGCTGAGGAAATAAGAAAGAAGGCAAAATTGCAGGAAGATAAGAAAAGTCTGTAGAAATAAGAAAAGTCTGTAGAAATATACGCCAATAATAAAAATGTTTCTGGAAATTTCAGTCTTAATATATGTTTTGCATATTTGGGTAGATGTGTGTGTGCACACACACATCTACCCTCCCTCTTTTGTGCTTACTCTTACTGTGAGCACCAAATAGTAGAAGGACTGAATGTACATACAGACATGTATGTTTATGTTCTGAAATGACGACTGGCCATTTTATGGAGACTTTTCTCAAACCATACACATATCTCCTGTAAAGTCAAATAGATATCCTTCCCATGATACCAACATGGAAATTATTACTTTAATGTGCCACTGTTACATTGCTCTTAAAAGTGTCAGAGGTAGAGAAAAAATGTTGAGAACAATTTTGCTAGACGGTGATTATAAATATTGGGTAGAATGGTCTTCGGGGACACATGACAACCATTGAAGAGCCATATCTTTCATTAGTCTCAAAATTAGACTCAAAATATTTGTTTTAGAAATTTCCTCCAGCCATCTTGAAACTATTTTTGAAGATACTTTATACTTTTTTTCCTCACAGCTATTGGTGATGTATCATTGCTCTGTCTTAACACAAAGGATACCTTTTAGGATGAAAGCTATTATTATTTCTACATTTCTATATATACTCTAATAAATACTTCTGCTAACAAATGCATATATTTAATAGGAAGGATGGTTTTCTGGGTAGATTTGGGATTTGGTAGGAGATAGAAATGACTCTTGTGAATTCCATTAATTGCCCTAATGTATGTGAATAGCTAACCTTATAAGCAAGCTTGTAACTCGGTATTATTTATCTTCTAATTATACTTTACTTTCATAGGCCAAAAGGGTGATGGAGGATTACCTGGGATTCCAGGAAATCCTGGCCTTCCAGGTCCAAAGGGCGAACCAGGCTTTCACGGTTTCCCTGGTGTGCAGGGTCCCCCAGGCCCTCCTGGTTCTCCGGGTCCAGCTCTGGAAGGACCTAAAGGCAACCCTGGGCCCCAAGGTCCTCCTGGGAGACCAGGTATGTCCGTGAGTGGTAGGAGAATGGTCTATTTATTAGTCCATGTATTTCGTTTTGCTGGCAGGTTATTCAGTCTTTAAGACTTTAGAATTTTTCCGGTGCATTGGAGGATGTTAAAAAAAAGACTTTAAAATTTGTGATATAACTTCTTACAAGTAAATAGCTTGGTTCATAGCTAACTCCATCTATTTCCATGGTTCTAATAATTTGCTTTAGTAATGCATTTTATCATTTATATAGAGGAAGTAAAACAATTTGGAGGAATAAAGGAAATGGTAGTTTTATTAGTCTTGTTACTAAAAGGTAAAACTATACTGTTAACCTGTCAGCAAAATGCCATCTGCATTTTTAAATGTGAGCTTCTCAGCATGTCATCACAGAAATCATTTTAGTGATCACCCAATAGATGCTTGTGGTCCATACCAGAAGTATTGCTTTGGTTCTGTCATATGATCAGCAAATCTCACCAGGCACAATTAAAAAAATTATCTTCTATAGGAACTGGGCAATCAAATTTATCTCCAACATCACAGCATGATCAAATTGACTAGTGATCTCTTCATACCAACCTCATGTCTATACCTCATTTGTCTTGTGTTCACTGCTCTAGTAGTCTCAGTTTTGCATCCAATGTTCACCTTTTCATTTTGTATCTGTGCTGTGTCATTTCATTTTACTAATTTTGGAAATGCTCGTTTTCATCCTTGATTAATGTCACTGAGCCTAGTCACTGGTGATAGGTTATGAACAGATTTTGAGACTTGATATTCAAATTTTATATTTCTGGTCACTGAAAACTTGGAAGTAAATGTCCTTTTATTCTTTGAAAGTCTCTGACATTATATAAGTGCATTTCAAAATGAAAAATGTTATTTATATTACAGTAAAATCTAAAGTGATTGGAATTCATTTTAATAAGATGTTCTAAACACATGAATTAAATGGGATCACATACTGTGTTCAGAGGATCATTTTCAAAACCAAATTTTATCTGATCTGACATAATCTGATGGAAAGTATTGTTTAAGGTTTTATGTTTGTATACTACTGAAGAAAACCAGTGAAAATCTCCTCAGCCATGTTAACTCTCTTGCATGTAATGTAAAGAACTGAAGCAAGTATCTTGCTTGGTTTTGCATGCAGTAATTCAAATAAACCAAACTATTATCTTTTTTATATTTTAATCATCACTGTGGTTATTCGTTCTTACTAGTAATGAATGAGTAATGAGCTCACTGTTGAACCTTACTTTGAAATTTGTCGGTATGAAGCCATTAGTCACAAAGATGTCCTAAAAATTACATTTTTAAAGAAATAATAACAAAAGTAGTTAGAAGAATGCACACCTGATGAGTGTTTGTGACTTCTCAAATTATTTCATAAACTATAAATTAAAACTGAGTTGTAAACCCCATTGCTCTTAGAATTGATTGTTCTTAGTCTGAGCTCATAGTAATGATTATGATAGCAATGACTTTTGGCCTTTAAAAATACGCCACAGTGTGCTGTTTTCATTTTAGTTTTGTCACTAAGTGGTGATAATTTGGTTTATATACAGATGCATGGATATGAACTTTCAGAGTATTCTTTTATTGAAATGAATTTTAACTTGAAAGTATTTAGTGTAATGCTTTTTAGTTTCTTGATATTTCTAACAGTTTTGATATTTTTCCTTTTTGTTAATGATGACATTGGGCCTTGGTGAACTTTGATCCCTATCCAGGTCCTACAGGTTAGCTCCTTAACTCCAAAGTAGTAACTGCATGAAGTTTGAAACTTATATACCTGTACCAAATGTTTTCAAGTGTTTGAATGTATTTTAAGAGCATATGTGCCAATTCAATTCTTACATAGTGGCTTATCTCTTTAAGTTTTTAGGAACTTGTAGAACCCAGTGTTTCTGTCTATTGGAAAGACCCAAAATTACCTAACTAGGAAAACTAATTTAACATTTAAAAATTCATATATTTGTGTCATTTTCAGTTGAAAATCTGTAGTACCGAAAACAGCCTTACATATTCTACCTTTCTTTGGAGTCTGTTTCTTATGTTTAATTTATATCTGTTAATGCAAACGAATTGAACTATCCTTCAAAAGGACATTCTTTTTTTAAACAATAATATGTATTATCAGATCTTGAAAATATGTAATTCTTAACTTGCCATATCTTTTGCAGGTTTTCAAACTATCCCACCTTCACATTTTGGGTTGTCACAAAGTTCTCAATTCTACTGCTGTTAAAAATGGACTAATAGGGCCGGGCACCATGGCTCATGACTGTAATCCCAGCACTTTGGGAGGCCAAGGCGGGTGGATCACCTGAGATCAGGAGTTCAAGACTCGCCTGACCAATATAGTGAAACCCCATCTCTACTAAAAATATAAAAATTATCCAGGCGTGTTGGTGTGCGCCTGTAGTCCCAGCTACTAGGGAGGCTGAGAAAGGAGAATTGCTTGAACCTGGGAGGTGGAGGTTGCAGTGAGCTGAGATTGCACCACTGCACCGCAGCCAGGGCGAGACTAATAGGCACAGAGAAAAAAAAAATCAATGCAACCAGCACAGATTACGAGGTTCTTAATCTTATTTTCATTATACATGTGTAAACAGTACACACCAAAGAACAATTACCAAGAGCTACCTAATGGAAAATTGCTGATTCTTAGTGAAAGATGTTTGTTTACCTAATTAGCAGTAAAAAAAGCCACAAATATTTGAATGTATTTATTGTTATTCAAAATAAATAGTCCTTTTCAAATTGTTAAGAAAGAATCAAAAGAGGTAATAGTATACCCCATGATATCTGGCTGTTGAGAATGGCAGGACATTTTTTCATCTTATAAAATTAAAAAAAATAATTTTTCAAGATTATTTTTAGGGAGCCATTTGTTTCTACCTGAATTGATTCTCTAGTTTCTTACTCCACTGCAAACTCATTATTTCATAGAACCATAGAATGTCAGATCTAGAAGGGACCTAAGTTTTACCTATGTCGAGGAGAAATTATCCACAAGACAGATTTTATTCAGGACTATTGCAGTAGAGTAGAAACTATTGCAGTAGGAGAGAGACTGAGCTCAACTTCAAATACAACAAAGAAAAGTGATTATTTACAGCCAAGGAGCAGAGTGAGAGGGCCAGTAATGGAAAATTACTAAGAGGAGACATCAAGGGTAGAGAGGGGTGGGTTCTTGTTAAACTGGCCCAACAGGATTTTTGCCAGAAACAGGCCAAGGATTTAGACATCAAAGGTGGGAGATCAGGAACTTGATCAGATATCGGGGTGAAGGGACTCTCTCTAAACCGATTTAGCAGGATTATTGATGTAAATGGATTTGGAAGGCCAAAAAGTAGGCCCAAGGATGAGGCCTAATTGAGAGGAGGGCTCAGAGGAGCCTGTCTAAAGTTTGATCAAGGAATCTTTGTCACATATGAAAAAATGGAGGCCCAAAGAGGTTAAGAAACTTGCTCAGGGTAATACTGTTAGTTAGTGGCATAACTGGGACTCTGACTTAAGGCTCCCCAGTGATCAATTAGGTGTCTATTCTACAGGGAGCAGACTGTTCGCTGCATCCACTTTCTTGTTTTCTGTTACCTCAAAAGCTCCGTCAACACCTCCATCAACCAGATTGCTTCTTGTGTTCTTCTTAAATGATGTCATCAAAAAGATTAAGACAGTGCATACTATTTAACTATCACTAAGATAAAGCAAAGACTAGGGGGTTACTTTGAAGTAATGTTGAGTCCCACCTTATCTGACCTACATAGAATTTTGCCACTTTGATTACTGCTAAACTCTACTGTTAGCTAGGAGATTTCTATCTTCTGAGTTACTATAATATATTCAAAGAAGAAAAAGAAAAGTAGCCACATTCCTTTAAAAGAAATTTAACAATTTATTATTTACAAAATGTGCTCTAAATTGCATAGTTGTTGGAACTTGGTCTCTGTGATGTTTTCTTCTTTGCAAGACTACAACCTTAAGTGGAAACTGAATTTAAAATATACCAGTCAATTCATCAGTATACCTTTAGTAATTACTACTTATGGACAATATTTTAGGTTTTTGTTTTGTTTTCTTTTTCAGTTTAACTTTGTTACACAGTTGAAAAATAATGGATTGTGGACCTCATACAAAAAAAAATTGACTTGGCATATAGCTCATTAAAATGTTGCTTTTTAAAATAGAGTCTTAGAAGTTTTGCTATGATATGATCCACAGTTTTCCTTGCTAATTACTCAGGCTGAAATGTCATATTTCAATGAAATATTTTGCTGAGAGTTCTTGTTATTGGTCCCTCTATATCAAACACATATATAAAATGTCTTTACTCAAACCTTGAGTTGTCTTAGTTGGGAATTCTAATTTATTTAACTAATTTTGTGGCCAGACTCTGCTCTAAGTATTGTCTTGAGTTAATTTGCTGTCTGTGATTTAGAAACAATTTAAATAAACAGAAGCCAATATTTAGCTTTCTGAATTTCAAAGTATCAAATGCTTTGAAAGTTTTATTAGGAGATAATGATAATGTTTTCTATTTATATGACATGCCACAATTTACATCATATAATGTACTTTTATTGTAAGCATCTTAAGGGCAGAGTTTGAGTCTTGCTCATCTTTGTGTTTCCTGTAGCACCTTGCACATGGCAGACATTAGGCCAGTATTTTACAACTTGAATTTGATCTTTAAAACATTCCTGTGAGGGAGGTTAGGGCAGATACCAGTATTCCCATTTTACAGGTAAAAAACCATACTCAGAAAGATTGAATTGCCCAAAGTCATATAGTTATTAAGTAGCAGAGTCAAAAATAGATCCTAGGTCTTCCAACTCCTAGGATTCATTGCTCTAGCACAATTTATTCTCTCTGCTAACATTTGGTGCTTATAAATCATAGCAAAACTTGTAAGAAAAGAAAATTGTGTTTTTAGTCAATTAACACTAACCAAGGGGTGCTCTATTTGTAGGCTTTTAATCTTTTTATTTAATGATCCTTCTTTTAATAGTGAATAGCCTGTCTTAATATGTGCATTGAATAATAATAGAGTAAATATGATATTTTCTGTGGTTCGGGGTGGGATATTGCATGCCAAAACATTTTCAAGTACCCTTTCACTGATAGGCTTCATATCTTGGAAAAGTTGAATCTTTATTTTTGTGTTCAATGTTGTACAAATATATATTGGCTTTTTCTCCTTAAGTAACTTATTGCAAGTACTATAATAATAATATAATAATAATAATAATAATAATAGGCCAGGCATGGTGGCTCACGCCTGTAATCCCAGCACTTTGGGAGGCCGAGGTGGGTGGATCACCTGAGGTCAGGAATTCAAGACCAGCCTGGCCAACATGGTAACACCCCGTTTCTACTAAAAATATGAAAATTAGCCAGGCGTGGTGGTGGGTGCCTGTAATCACAGCTGCTCGGGAGGCTGAGCCAGGAGAATCCCTAGAACCCAGAAGGTGGAGGTTGCAGTGAGCTGAGATCACACCATTGCACTCCAGCCTGGGCGACAGAGTGAGACTCTGTCCAAATAATAATAATAATAATAATTCAATAAATAGTAATAGGAAAGCCTCCTGGTGAATTATGAAAAAAATCAGAATGTGGCTTCATGAAATGCTTTTCAAATACAAGCAAAAGTACAGTTGGTAATGGCCATCGTATATTCATGTTTTGATTTTTCTATTCTGTCACCCATGATCTTTATATTTATTGCCAATGAGGCCTTTAAAGTCAACTGTATCTTCTTGAAGCAGTCTGAGCATATCAAGAAATTGGCACCTGGTGTTTTTATTAAAAGATAACACAAGCCAAGATAAACTTCAGCATTAATCCAAAAATACCCCTTTACTAAAGGAATTTGAAGGCTGTTGGTGAAATGGTACTATCTAGCCAACTTTAATGTTTTGAGAAGCTAATTTTTGGAAAGCCACAGTAGCAGTGTTAACATGATGTCTTCAGTAGAGTTTTCTATTTTCTGGATTAACGAAGACCAACAGCTTATCCTTTAGAATAAGCTCTATTTGAAAAAGTTTGGCTCTCTATACTTCTGTATGGTTCTGTTTGCATACTGATTATGCTGTAAGTATAAGAAATGCTGGCAAAGAACATTATTGTTTTAACTTGTACTATAATGTGAACCACTTCTAACTCATAATCTTATTTTGTACTGTGTGATGTCTGATACTGCTAACATCGATCTTTGGGCTTTGGTGAACTCTGATCTTCCCAGGTTTTCAAGGTTAGACTCTTCACTGGTCAATTCTTTTTTTTTTTTTTTTTTAATGCTTTGTGTGTGTGATAAGAGAAATGCAATTTTTTGCTATAATTCAGAAGTCATTGGAGAGTGCTGTTATCCTCAAGCTGGGGTTTTAACATTTTGATGAAGGTAATGTGACTTGATTATAATTAAGTTTCAAATGACGTTAGGGTCTTTGTGTTTGCAATTGTTTATAATAAGTAATCAATACATAAAGACATGTTGAATTTTAAACGGAAATACACTTATTTTTACCTTCAAGACTGCATTAAAATATTTAGGCAAGCATATGACCTATTTGTAATCTCTGAATGTTGATTTTATTTTCTCAAAATTTTGTTTTCTCAGATTGCCCTGATCTGTGTATTTATGGCTATTTTCAGTGATGGCAGAGATATACTATTGAATACTGTTAAAAATAAAACTTATATGTTCTTTATGTAATTAATAACTCATAATTTGAAGGACTCTAAACATCAGGTCTGAATTAACATGCAAGTTTCCCATTTTTTTTTAATTTCGAAAAGTGCAGTGCCTTAGGTTATTTCAGATGATACAGTGTTCTGATAACTTTTAAAATGGAGTAGAGGGTCATAAAAGGTTTCTTTTTTTCCCATCTTACTTTGTTATTGTTATCAGGTTGATTCACAGTTTATTTATTTTTCATAATTAGCTGATTTGCTACTTAATTTCTAGTGCAAATCATACATTGTGGATTAAATTGACAAGTTTGCTTAGAACACTGAAGTTCTGTTTTTTTATTCAAATGTACAATGTACTAAACCTTTTCGTTATGATTGAGAAGGGAATTTCTGTGTTGACTGGTTGCCAGCCTAGGGTGACTATATGAGTTAAATTGTTTAAATGTAAAACAATTGTTGTACTATTGTAAATCTCCTTCCTCTTTCTCATATGCCAGATAGAGTCATGTTATATTATGAAATTACATAGAAATACCTGAAAGATTAAAAAGATGCTCATATTTTAAGATTTGTTTTTATCTTCAATTTTACTAATAAAGAAAATAATAATAATTTTAAAAAGTCCTTCCATAGCTTCTACTATATACCAGGCACTGTGCTAAGTAATTTTTACATTGTATCTCATTTAATCCTTGGAACAACCTGCTAAAGTAGGTGCTATTCTTAATTCCATTTTATAGAAGAAGAAATTGAAGCCAAGGAGATTAATAATCTTACTGAAGTCAAACAGCTAATAACTAATGGAGCTGTATTTGTAACCCAGCATTCTAGCTCCAAAGTCCTGTGTTCTTAATCACAGTGTCATTCTGCCTTGTTAGTATTTTGCCATTGATTCTGAATCTTAAGAGTATTGGAAAGGGAACTAAAGTCTGAATTTTATTTTAGGTTAAAAAGACAACCCTTTGTCCATAAGAATGAACTCTATTCTAAATTCATAACAAGTGCCTATTATAGTTCCTCAAAAAATAATCCCTACATATCTTCATTTTTTGTTGAAATCAATAAAATTTGAAATGACCAGAGGAGAGAAGGTGTAAATGCTAACTATTGGCTGTTCATTATTTAGGGTTTTGTAATTATTTTCTTAAGGCAGGATTACTTAGTCTCAGCCTCAGCCACTGAACACTCTGCAAGCAAGTAACACCTATTTGCCACCTGGTGACAAAAGACTTGGCCAATGATAAGATCTCCCTGGTTGCTTAATGGACCTCATACCTTTATTCAGAAAAAGAAATTAAAAACACAGCAAAAGTAAAAATGCTAAGCAAAATCCAGTTTTAAATTATTTTGTTTATTCACAAGATACATACAGAATTCTTTATTTTTCTTGAAAAATATTTAAAATGTAAAGAATATGAAAACATTTTAAAAATGAATTTTAAAGTACTTTATTGATTCAATAAATTTCTAACATTTAAAAAAATTCCTATGTATCAAGCATATCACTAAAATGAAATTAGTTTGCTTAAATTGCTATCTGTATTGCATAGTAATAAAAGCTGAATAAATGTAACTACTTACAAATAAAGCAATTTGATCTTAATCACAATGAGACATGGCTTGAATTTCTGATTGCCCTACAGCAGTGATGCTTAAAGTGTGGTCCTGGAACTAGCAGCTTTAGCTTCCACAAAGCACTTGTTAGAATGCAAATTATTGGGCCTCTCCTAAGTCTCTTTTTTCTAAATTATTTATTCTTAAGACTGGTCAAGTGCAGTAACGAGAAGGGAGGAAAGAGTTGAACAAGGAGTTCAATCTATAACTGAACAATCAATTGAGATAACTCACTACCTTCAGACCAGTCTCCTCAGTCTTACGGAATCCAAAACTCTTGGGGTGGGCCCAGGAATCTGTTTTAACAAGCCCTCTAGTTGATTCTGATGCATGCTCCAATTTGAGAAAATACCCTACAGTTTCTGTTTAATTTAACTTTAAGTCAAACTCTTTGTTAAGAATTACAGAGCCACACATTGTTAAGCCATGAGTCTTTTTCTTTAGATGTTATTTTATTGAATTTAATATATAATAAAATGTAAACTAAAAGAGTCTGCAAATCAGTGTTCATAACAAAAAGAATCCAGTTCAATTTATATTAGAAAGGGAATCAGCATAGGTCTAGATATTTTAATGTTGTGTGGGTTTTATTCTGCAAACTAATAGGAAGATGACTGATATTTTAAAAGCCTGACTTTTATGCTACTCTTAACACTATACTGAAATGTCGTCATTTGCTGTGGATTATTAAGGTCTACCAGGTCCAGAAGGTCCTCCAGGTCTCCCTGGAAATGGAGGTATTAAAGGAGAGAAGGGAAATCCAGGCCAACCTGGGCTACCTGGCTTGCCTGGTTTGAAAGGAGATCAAGGACCACCAGGACTCCAGGTAGGAAATGGAAGTAGATATCTGATGAGAGAAGAATGTGGGTGTTTGTATTCAAAATGTGAATTCTAAGCTGCATCATTTTAATTAACACTCACTAGACAAGGTTCTATGTGTGGCTCACTGGCGAATTAAAAAGACAGTAGAAGGCAAGTTTCCTATAGTCTCCTAAAGGGACTTTGTTGTATTATAGTCAGAGTTCCTGAAAAGATACTTCACCTGGAGTCTTTGGTATGCATATTTGGATTTGAGTAGCCTTCATTTCAGTGAAAGCAAATTTATGCAAAGGAGACATGCATATTAGAGCATTGCATATAGATGAATCCACCCATAGAGAAGTAATTATGGTGAATAGAGGCATCTTTTAGGCTTTGAAATTAGATAAAGTTAGGGTCAAATGTCAGCTCCCCTGCACACTTCTGCTTTGTATCTATGAGGAAAACAGACACTGGGTTTCTGTCTTCACCTATAAAAAGAGAATAATAACATATCCACTCATGTGCTTTCTATGTTGGTTTGAGTGACCCAGAGCAGAGAGTCACATTCCTCTTTATGGGTTCTCAAAACTGCCTCCATTCGGTCAAGATGATTGCTGGTGGATTTGGCAGTCAACACAATCTGGACTGTCTTTTAATTCTGAAGACTGCTTTATGGCAGAAAAAAAGTATTTAAAGTAGTGATCCTTAAAGCTTTTCAAAATCTAATCTTTTTCCCCATGCCATCACTATTCTTCCAGTTACCTAGACTTAAAAATTTACTTCTGTTTACTCATTCTCTACTCACTCCCTATAAATATGCATATTTCCAGAAACAATTAAGAGTAAGTTTCACCTGCTATACCCCTTTACCACTAAATATTTTAATGCAGATTTCTTAAGATTAAAAATATTCTCATGTTTTATTATAAGATGACAATAAAAAGCTATGGGATTGTTTATATTTTATAAAATTCTTACCAAATGTCTTGGCTGCAGCCTGTAATCCTAGCAACTTGAGAGGCTGGGGCAGGAGGGTTGCTTGAGGCCAGGAATTTGAGACGAGCCTGGACAACATAGCAAGACCCTGTCTCTAAATTTTTTTTAATTATATAACCACAGTACACTTATTAACTTCAGAAAATTTAACATAGATATACATTAATTTCTATCTTTCATATTCCAGTTGGGTCCAATGACCTAATAATGTTCTTAGCATTTCTTCTTCCAGTACAGGATCCAGGCCAAGTCATGTTTTGCATTTAATTGTCATATCTCTTTAGCCTTCTTTAATCTGAAACAGTTCCTAAGTTTATTTTCTTTTTTTCATGACCTCGACATTTTTAAGAAATTGTACCACCACCCCCATTTTTAAATAGAATATTCCTTTTTTGCCTGATGTTTATTCATAATTAGATTCAGGTTATGCATCCCCAGCTGGAATACTACATGAGTGGTTCTGTGTCCTTCTCAGGCTAACCGATAAGGAGGTCCATGATGTCTATCTGCTTCTCATTTGTGGTTTTAGTTTTAATCATCCAGTCAAGTTGTTGCTCAGTTTCTCCACTGCATCATTAGGTTTTTCCTTGCAACTAATAAAACTGTAGGAAGGCACATTAAGATAGTGCAAATATACCAATACTCATCAAAAATTTCCCTTAGATTTAACATCTATTAATGATTTTGCCTCAACCAGTCTCTAGTGGGATAGTGGCAAAATGATGTTGTTTCAACTCTAGCACTACCTCCACATATACTAGTCAGTCCTACTGTAAGCAAGAGCCCTCCCTTCTCTCTGGTTTACCTATGCATTTCTTATCATTTTTGACTCATTTTTTCTCATGTTTTCCACTAATTTACAATTTCTAAACTATCATTACTTATTTCGATGCTCTCATTGTTCCAGATTTGGAAGCCCCTTCAAGCTGGATTTGATGTTTTTCTGATATGTACTTCCCTCCAACTATTTTTTTAGCACTTTTTAATATTATTTCATAATAAGATGCTCCAGGCTTGTTCCTCTTTCATTCTTACTAACATAAGCTTCGTTGTCCTGCACTTGAAGTAGAGCAATAGCCTCCTATATGATCTTGCTATTCTATATTCTTCCTGTAGTTGGGTGGCTGAGGGGGGATGATTGTTTGAGCCTAGGAGTTTGAGGCCAGCCTGGGCATCATAGTGAGATCCTATCTCTATAGAAAAGAAAGAAAAAACAAAGAATAAAATAATAGTTACCTTTCATTAAGTACACACCACACACCAGTCTTCTAAGCACTTAATATTGTCAGCAAAAGACAATGAGATCTAGAGGAGAAAAAGGAAGAGCTTTATTTTCTGTAAAAAGTAATCTGCGGATTGGGAAGGCACAGCTTTCTGTACAAGCGAAAGTGTGATCTCTGAAGAACAAAGGGAGGGTTTGGCTTAAGTAGGGAAAGTTCTCACCCATGTTCTCAACCAGGTCCATTTATGCAAATGAAGGATTCAGACTTATCAGTTCTGATTGATTGAAATACTTGAGCCCTGATCAGGTGATTTCCAAAACCAAAGCCAGAAGTCTGCCAGATGTTTCTTTCAAATGGCCAATGGGCAGGGGGTGTGTTCAAGCCACAGTTTATCTTCGCAGTGGTTTGACTTGATTGTACAAAGGGAGATCCTGTGACACTTTTACAACATCTTTCCAAGAACACAAGGTATGTGACATTTCCCTTACCCAACCACGGCCAGTTGGTTGTGTTTTAACTTTGCGCACCTCAGTTAGCCATGGGAAGTTCATTTTGTCTGTCAGCCAGGGGTATATTTTAACAATATGAACTGTCTCATTTAATTCTCACCACAACCCTATGAAGTAAATACTGTTATTTTCTCCAAATTTGAGGTGAGAAAACTATGAATCAAGGAGGTTAAATAATCAACTCAATTCACACAAGATAATATAAGGCAAAATTGAGATTACAGTCTTGGAAGTTTGACTCTAGAAATAGTGCTATATGCCACTATGTAATTCTTATGCCCTCAATCACCTTCCTCCCCTCGCTGCAATTTTTTTGTAACATTAATGATTTTATTTATTCAGGGTAATCCTGGCCGGCCGGGTCTCAATGGAATGAAAGGAGATCCTGGTCTCCCTGGTGTTCCAGGATTCCCAGGTATTTGAAGGGATTTTTGTGGTTTCCCTTTATATTAAACTCCTCTGGGACAAGATAGCCATTTTCTGATTTGACTGGGTAAAGGTTGTAGCCCTGTTGCTTTGCCATAAAACTGTATGTACCTTCTGTGCAGGCATGAAAGGACCCAGTGGAGTACCTGGATCAGCTGGCCCTGAGGGGGAACCGGGACTTATTGGTCCTCCAGGTAAGACTTATTCCTGAAGATAGTTATACCTGATACTTAGATGCTTTAAAGAATTTGAAAGTTTTCATTCTGTCTTTCAGCCAGACCATCGGAGGCTAAGTCCCCAACAACTGAGGCAAAATAAACAAGGCTCTGCCTTTATTTACTAATCTCTTAAATTCTCTATTTTAGTAACATAATATTGATAGCAGACCTTTTAAAGTTAAGATAAATGCAGGATCAACAAAAATGCTTCCTTGACATTAGCTTCTATACTAACTTCCCCAAATTCAATTGAACAGATCACAAGAGCAAGTCACATATGAATTTTTTATAATATTTTCGATATTAAAATAGTTCTTTTTCCTAAGAGGCTTATAGAGGTTTCTTATAAATTGAGAAATAAGGAATCTGCTAAATTCCCCTACTAGATCAAAGGGTCCCTGGACAAGCACAGCAAGCAAAAACTGCAAATGATGTTGGAGTCAGAATGGATGTGTAAGGGAATAAAATTGTCTTCCCCTGACACCAGTGTTCACAGATTTGAACACAGATGGATGAGACTTTGTAGTAACTGAGTAAGATTCAAGGTTTGAAAATAGAGATGATATGCTTAATTTTTACACTGACCCTAAGAAACTTATTTTTCAATTGAAAATTATTTTTCAATTTTAAGTTTTCCTAAACAGATTTCTGTTAGATATGGCAGCAATTCAAAAACTGGTTTCTCTCACACCAATTTTTGTCCTGAACTTAGGTCACTTTGGCTTCCATTTCTTGTAACCTTTCTCTTTCCCTTCAAATTTGTGTGTTTTGTCTCATAGGTCCTCCTGGATTACCTGGTCCTTCAGGACAGAGTATCATAATTAAAGGAGATGCTGGTCCTCCAGGAATCCCTGGCCAGCCTGGGCTAAAGGGTCTACCAGGACCCCAAGGACCTCAAGGCTTACCAGGTACCAATGCAGATCATCTTTATTATCATTATTATACTTTTAATTTCTGGGATACATGTGCAGAATGTACAGGTTTGTTACATAGGTATACACTTGCCATGGTGGTTTGCTGCACCTATCAACCCATCATCTACGTTAGATATTTCTCCTAATGCTATCCCTCCTCTAGCCCCCCTACCCCTTGACAGGCCCTGGTGTGTGATGGGCCCCTCCCTGTGTCCATGTGTTCTCATTGTTCAACTCCCACTTATGAGTGAAAACATGTGGTGTTTGGTTTTCTGTTCCTGTATTAGTTTGCTGAGAATGATGGTTTTGTCCATGCAAAGGACATGAACTCATCAATTTTCATGGCTGCATAGTATTCCATGGTGTATATGTGCCACATTTTCTTTATCCAGCCTATCATTAATAGGCATTTGGATTGGTTCCAAGTCTTTGCTATTGTGAACAGTGCTGCAATAAACATACGTGGGCATGTGTCTTTATAGTAGAATAATTTATAATCCTTTGGGTATATACCAAAATGGGATGGTTGGGTCAAATGGTATTTCTAGTTCTAGATCCTTGAGGAATCGCCACACTGTCTTCCACAATGGTTGAACTAATTTACACTCCCACAAACAGTGGAAAAGCATTCCTATTTCTCCACATCCTCTCCAGCATCTGTTGTTTCCTGACTTTTTAATGATCACCATTCTAACTGGTGTGAGATAATATCTCACTGTGGCTTTGATTTGCATTTCTCTAGTGACCACAGATGATGAGCTTTTTTCATATGTTTGTTGGCCTCATAAATGTCTTTTTTTGAGAAGTGTCTGTTCATATCCTTTGCCCACTTTTTGATGGGATTGTGGTTGTTTTTTTCTTGTAAATTTGTTTAAGTTCCTTGTAGATTCTGGATATTAGCCCTTTGTCAGATGGATAGATTGCCAAAATTTTCTCCCATTCTGTAGGTTGCCTGTTCAAACTGATGATAGTTTCTTTTGCTGTGCAGAAGCTCCTTAGTTTAATTAGATCCCATTTGTCAATTTTGGCTTTTGTTGCCATTGCTTTTGGTGTTTTAGTCATGAAGTATTTGTCCATGCCTATGTCCTGAATGGTATTGCCTAGGTTTTCTTCTAGGATTTTTATGGTTTTAGGTCTTACATTTAAGTCTTTAACTTATCTTGAGTTAATTTTTGTATAAGGTGTAAGGAAGGGGTCCAGTTTCAGTTTTCCATGTATGGCTAGCCAGTTTTCCCAACACCATTTGAATATGAAATCCTTTCCCCATTGCTTGTTTTTGTCAGGTTTGCCAAATATCAGATGGTTGTAGATGGGTGGCATTATTTCTGAGGCCTCTGTTCTGTTCCATTGGTCTATATATCTGTTTCGGTACCAGTACCATGCTGTTTTGGTTACTGTAGCCTTGTAGTATAGTTTGAAGTCAGGTAGCGTGATGCCTCCAGCTTTATTCTTTTTGCTTATGATTGTCTTGTTTATATGGGCTCTTTTTTTAATTCCATATGAAATTTAAAGTAGTTTTTTTCTAATTCTGTAAAGAAAGTCAATAGTAGCTTGATGGGGATAGCATTGAATCTATAAATTACTTTGGGAAGTATGGCCATTTTCATGATATTGATTCTTCCTAACCATGAGCATGGAATATTTTTCCATTTGTTTGTGCCCTCTCTTACTTCCTTGAGCAGTGGTTTATAGTTTTGCCTGAAGAGGTCCTCCACATCCCTTGTAAATTGTATTCCTAGGTATTTTATTCTCTTTGTAGCAATTGTGAATGGGAGTTCACTCATGATTTGGCTCTCTGTTTGTCTATTATTGGTGTATAGGAATGCTTGTGATTTTTGCACATTGATTTTGTATCCTGAGACTTTGCTGAAGTCACTTATCAGCTTGAGATTTTGGGCTGAGACAATGAGGTTTTCTAAATATAGAATCATGTAATCTGCAAACAGAGACAACTTGGCTTACTCTTTTCCTAATTGAATACCCATTATTTCTTCATTTTGCCTGATTGCCCTGGCCAGAACTTCCAATACTATGTTGAATAGGAGTGAACTCAGGATTAAGAAACTCACTCAAAACCGCACAACTACATGGAAACTGTACCACATGCTCCTGAATGACTACTGGGTAAATAACGAAATTAAGGCAGAAGTAAATAAGTTCTTTGAAACCAATGAGAACAAAGACACAATGTACCAGAATCTCTGGGACACAGCTAAAGCGGTGTTTAGAGGGAAACTTATAGCACTAAATGCCCACAGGAGAAAGCAGGAAAGATCTAAAATCAATACCCTTATATCAAAATTAAAAGAACTAGAGAAGCAAGAACAAACAAATTAAAAAACTAGCAGAAGGCAAGAAATAACTAAGATCATAGCAGAAGTGAAGGAGATAGAGACACAAAAACCCTTCAAAAAATCAATGAATCCAGGAGCTGGTTTTTTGAAAAGATCAACAAAATTGATAGCAAGACTAATAAAGAAAAAAAGAGAGACTCAAATAGACACAATAAAAAATGATAAAGGGGATATCACCACCGATCCCACAGAAATACAAACTACCATCAGAGAATACTATAAACACCTCTACCCAAATAAACTAGAAAATCTAGAAGAAATGGATAAATTCCTGGACACGTACCCCCTCTCAAGACTAAACCAGGAAGAAGTCGAATCCTTGAATAGGCCAATAAAAAGTTCTGAAATTGAGGCAGTAATTAATAGCCTACCACCCAAAAAAAGTCCAGGACCAGACGGCTTCACAGCCAAATTCTGCCAGAGGTACAAAGTAGAGCTGATACCATTCCTTCTGAAACTATTCCAAATGATAGAAAAAGAGGGACTCCTCCCTAACTAATTTCATGAGGTCAGCGTCATCCTGATACCAAAACCTGGCAGAGACACAACAAAAAAAGAAAATTTCAGTCCAACGTCCCTGATGAACATCAATGCGAAAATCCTCAAGGAAATACTGGCAAACCAAATCCAGCAGCACATCAAAAAGCTTATCCACCACGATTAAGTCGGCTTCATTGCTGGGATGCAAAGCTGGTTCAACATACACAAATTAATAGACGTAACCCATCACATGAACATAACCAATAACAAAAAACACATGATTATCTCAATAGATGCAGAAAAGGCCTTCAACAAAATTCAACAGCCCTTCATGCTAAAAACTCTCAATAAAGTAGGTATTGATGGAACATATCTCAAAATAATAAGAGCTATTTATGACAAACCCACAGCCAATATCATACTGAATGGGCAAAAGCTGGAAGCATTCCCTTTGAAAACGGCACAAGACAAGGATGCCCTCTCTCACCACTCCTATGCAGATCATTCTTTTAAGGCTTATTCATTGGAGAACATTTCCCTAGTTCTCCTTTTACATGTCAGAGGTTGTCTCTGACAATAGGAGTCTAAGCAACTAGTAGAATACCAGACCACCACAAGTTCCATTTTCTTTTTTCTTGAAAGTGTTAATTTCCCATGGTTGAATTTCTCTTAGACTATGTCAGGTTACTGTTAGCCCCTCTGGCTGTTCCAATTTGAACAACTAATTAATGTTAGAAAAATTTATAATGAAATGAAAATGCATTTAAGATCTGGTGCTTTCTGTACATCATCCAGCAGAAAGATTGAAGGCTGATTTGGTGGGCTATCAGTTTCCCACTGTGAAGCCCCTTGTCTTTTAAACTAACTGGTGTCTAGCTGGCCATTTGACTCTACGTTTATAGCCAACTTTCATTAATCATTATAAAAGAAAACTAGAACTAACTTCAGTCTTTTGCTCTTATTAAGTGATCAAGTGACAGTCTTATCAAAAACAAAGTATACCTGGCAGTAACTTATGGTGGAATAGAAAACGAAAGTTGGGACTTACATTCTTGTCTGATTCTGAAGACAAAGAGAGCACAACTCCATTAAAAGCATCCCAGAAGCAAATGGATTGTTTAAAACTAAAGCTAAATCCTTGTTGGCTTCTTTGGTCCTGGACTTGAGTTATCTCTTCTTTTTTCTGGATTTAAGACAAAACCAAATTGTGAATTCAGTGTCTCGAGAACCTTATGTCTCCTAGATCTGTCCAGATGTGAAAATATTCTACTCATATTTGAATGCCTCATTCTTTTCCTGTAGGTCCAACTGGCCCTCCAGGAGATCCTGGACGCAATGGACTCCCTGGCTTTGATGGTGCAGGAGGGCGCAAAGGAGACCCAGGTCTGCCAGGACAGCCAGGTAAGACAAGTAAAACATGCTGTTGGTGGAGGGAAAGTCTTTGAGTCTGAGAGACCTCTGGACATAGGGCCTCCACTTAGAGCTGTGAGATCTTCTCTTGATGTTAGCATAGCTGACTGGTGAATGTGGACCTGAGGAAAATAGGAAAGCACATAATAAGGAGATTTGTCACTATCAGAGAAGCATACAAGATTGCTTTTATTTGTGTTTAGAGCAGTGGAAAACTCAGTTAAATTTTCCAAGCACTCACTGTACTTACTTGTTCAGCAAATTTTCAATATGTTGATTTAAATCCCTTGACCATATTGAAACTATTGTGAATATTTCCACATTTGAAAATATCGCAGTAGGCTGTAATTTCTTTCATAAAGAGCAGCAAATATAAATGAACAGTTTAAGTGATTGCCATAGACCTTTAAGAGTCATGGTGAAGTTTCATATTGAGATGATAAATTGATATTAGGAGCATTAATAGGTGCTCCTGATAATATTGAGTCTGGTATCTGTTAGATTTTCAATTTGTACTCAACCTACTTCCAAAAAGAATTTGAGTCAACTTGAAATAAAAAATACTTTAACGTTAAGGTTTCTAAAATAGAAATAGAGGATCATACATTATATATGTTAACAACTCTAGATTATATAAATATGACTAATAAATAAACATAAAGAGTTTGTATTTCAAATATCAGTGGCAACACAGCAGAGTGGTAATACCTATAGCCTTCCTAGAGTCAATGCCCTGACATTTCATTAATGCTATATTTCTAGGGAAATAACAAGTTAGTGTCATCTTCATCACAAGTGTTTCTGTGAAGTTTCCCTAAAATGAAAATTTATACACAGACTGTCCAAAGGCCTGTATATACAGAAAATTATTAAATGAACTCAAACCAAGAGGCTAAATCAGGAAGGGAAGCCAGTGGTGGATTGAAAATGGGCATTTTGAAAATACTTCTTTAGAATGCCCTGCCTGTTCTCTACACAAAAAGGTATGCCTGAGAATAATTCCCCCAGACGGATTCAAAGGAAAATGTTTTTCAGCAATGAAGCTGGCAGATTGATGGCAACCACACCCTTCCTTTCTCATTGATGAACAAAACAGCAGGCTGAAAATTGACCATGGGGTTCAGATTCTTTTAGTACAACAAGAGACTAAATAACATACAGACTCTCCAAATAAGCATATTTTATTTGTCTCCTAGCCCATGATATCTGACAATGCCTTTATAGACACTCTATAAATATCAAATAAATTAACTAGTCAAATGAGGTCATAATGTTTTGTCAATATCCATAAGAGTGGATCAGAGCTTACTTAATCTTGTATACTGATTATTTCGTGGAAATAGGTACCCGTGGTTTGGATGGTCCCCCTGGTCCAGATGGATTGCAAGGTCCCCCAGGTCCCCCTGGAACCTCCTCTGTTGCACATGGATTTCTTATTACACGCCACAGCCAGACAACGGATGCACCACAATGCCCACAGGGAACACTTCAGGTCTATGAAGGCTTTTCTCTCCTGTATGTACAAGGAAATAAAAGAGCCCACGGTCAAGACTTGGGTGAGATAATCAATATCTAATTTCCTACTGTGCCTTTTGTTTTTGTTTCAGAAATCCTGTTGGGTTCTAGAGTAGCCTTGGCCAAAGTGCCTCTCTCTATTCTTTTGGGGCTTCCGAATTGAAAACCATGTCAAAGGCAACTGAATATATTCACTATGATTTTTAAATAAATAATATTTAACCTTAAACTAAAAGCATTAATTAGCTCTTGTGAGGTACAATTCTTGGCCTAAAGCAGATCATTTCAAAAAGGCCACATTTACTTTTAGTTAGATTAGTTATTAAGGGAACAGTTTCCCTGGGCTCTTTGCAGTATAGCAGCTGCTTGAGTGTGCAGTGTTTATAATTCCTGGGAGATACTTACCTCATCTTTGAAACTGGTCTTCATCAAGTTCATAAGTTCTGAAGAGAATCTTGGTTCATAGATCAAAGAAAGTAAGGTCATTGCTTAATTATGCTAGTTTGTAGTTCCTAAAATAAGTGCCTTAGCTTTATAAAGTATTGCTGGAGTCATTTAAAGCTATATAAAGTATGACATTTCTGTACAAAATCCAGTTCATTTAAGGTGTTCCCATGTATCTTCTCTATACTGGGGTGGACAGCTAGGTTGATGGGATGAGGGGACTAAATCACTCTCAAGGACTCTTCCATCCCCATGAATTCTTTTCCTGGAATTCTGACTTTGGATGTTGAAGTCCCATTGTCTTACCTGGGGCTGCATTTTGTTGTTGTTGTTGTTGTTGTGTTGTTTTTTTTTTTGATACGGAGCCTCGCTCTGTCGCCCAGGCTGGAGTGCAATGGCGTGGTCTCAGCTCACTGCTACCTCTGCCTCCCAGGTTCAAGCAATTCTTCTGCCTCAGCCTCCGAAGTAGCTGGGAATTACAGGCGCCCGCCAGCATGCCTGGCTAATTTTTGTATTTTTAGTAGAGACGGGGTTTCACCATGTTGGCCAGGCTGGTCTCGAAATGTTGACCTCGTGATCTGCCCACCTCTGCCTCCCAAAGTGTTGGGATTACAGGCGTGAGCCACCGCACCTGGCAGGGCTGCCTATTTTAAGACTGACTATCCCCTTTGCCTCCATAAAGACATTTAAGAAGATAGTCTGGGCTCCCAGTTTCTGGGATCTCTATGATGAGAAGCTTCCTGAGATCTCATTGTCTGGGCCATTCATTCTGTGGAAATGTTTCTGCAGCAGCAGAGACCCCGGAGGTCAGCTTTACTCCCTATTTTTCCAAGGCATATGGCCACACCAGTTCTGGCCCACCAGGGTAAGGATATTCACTTACATGTAAGTCAGTGGTCATAGGCCATTTTATGAAACCAAATAATGTAAGGGTTTGCCCAATAGCTTTCTTTTCCATCTTCTTTTTTTCTTCCGTTTATATTTCCTTTTTCTCCTTTTCAACTTTCCTCTGCTACTTTTCTTTCTCCTTTTCACTTGGTTACATCTTTTTAAATTTTATAATTGACCAATCTTCATTAAATTAGTAATTAAATTATCTTTCCATAATTTAATCGAATAATAAATATCTAAATAATTAATTTAATTTAATATCTTCAGGTAATTTTCTCTAGTCTTTCTCCTATAAATTTCTTTTTTGTTCATTCTCTCTACACTGTCAGACTTATAATCAAACTTTAAACTTCAAATCCCTAACCTACCAGGTCAACAGAGGAACCATTATAAGTTTTGAGCACTACGAATTCAAAAATGTAATGCAGTTAGAAGATGGAATCTGCTATCAGCATGTAATTATAACTTTTCAGAATCCATGTATTTTCTCTAATAAGAACAATCAGATTTGGAATCTATAAACTGGCCCTGACTCTGGTACAGTTTAGGCCTCAGACACAGGAAGGCCATGACGGAGCCCAAGATCCTAGGAATGGTCCTGGATTGCAGAGGCTCTGCTGGGGCTCACACAAGGATCACATTGGAAGTATCTTGATGACTAAGCAAAGATACAGGCAGCTGTCACTTTGATGTTAAAGAAACAATTACCTCCTGATCGAATAAATGCAGTCTGTGTTGAATTAGTGGAAGGATTATAGGATGTAAGAAAGAAGACAGAGAAGATGGATTAAATACTAAAGCTTTTCTGTCTGGGAGAAAAGAAAAACATACTGAGAACCATTAGTCTATTAAAGTCTTATAACTATGGGGTATAGAGGGCATTGGGAGTATATGGGATCACTCTCTCTTCGAAAATTTGGAGACTATAACCCAGAATTCTGCATCATTGTGGGCAGCCACAGGTGCAACCAGATACTCCAGATACTTCCATCATTATGGGCCTTCCTTTTATTTACCTTTCTTTTCCTTACGAGACTGGATATTTTCAGCTCTGTCCCAAATTAGGCAGTAGAATAGGTTTTTTTAAATTACTTTATAATGTACAAAGCACTTTCATGTCCATTGTCTAATTTAATTTACACAACTATGATTAAGAAAAATGTATATAAATATTCTGCTTTTTCATTTTATACACAAAGAGACTGGCTAATAGGTTAAATAACTTACAGTTAGAAAGTGATGGAGGTAACACCTGCCAATTCTAAATCCATTTCTTTTTAAATTTTCCCATGTTGTTCACTCTTACATGACTGTGAGTCAGTCAGGTTTTTCTTAACGAGTTTTTGAAAGGGATAAATTAGACTAAATCAATGATTTTCAACCTAGGGAATTTTTTAAGACTCCTAGTCTTATGCCAAATCCATTGTATAAAAATTCCAAATAATTCTGATAATACAGGTTTAAGATCTATTGGTCTTTTATCAGTCATCTTCAGTCTGAGATAAGCATACCCCTTTGAATATATGAAGAATTTCCATGATGCACAGAGGCATTATTTTTTAAAAATCAAATTTCAACTCCTCGACTTTTATATGTATTTTCTCCTAAAGTCAATCTGACTTTAGCAGATGTGCTTTGGGCAATCTCCTTTCCCATGTCTCCTTTGTCTCCTTTCACTGTCATGCATTCCCCACTTTGTAAGAGTCATACTCTTGCACATTGCCTTGAAGTATGAAAACCTCTGACAGACAAATTCAAAGGGATAATTCAAAATAACAGCTTTGCTAAAGATACAATTACCGTTAGATCCAGCAATCCCATTACTGGATATTTACCCAAAGGAAAATAGTATATCAAAGAGATAGTTACACTGACATGTTTATTGTAGCACTATTCACAATAGCAAAGATATGGAATCAACCTAAGTATCCAACAAAGGATGAATGGATAAAGAAGATGTGGTATATATACACAATGGAATATTATTCAGCCATATAAAAAATGAAATCATGTCATTTGCAGCAACATGGTTGGAACTGGAAGTCATTATCTTAAGTGAAATAAGCCAGGCACAAAAAAAACAAGTATCACATGTTCTCACGTATATATGGGAGCTAAAAATTTGAACACATGGAGGCAGAGAGTGGAAAGACAGGTAGCAGAGACTTGGAAGGGTAAGTGTGGGGAATGGGGAGGATGAAGAGAAGTGGGTTAAGGGATACAAACATACAGTAAGATAGAAGGAATTAATTCCATATTTGATAGCAGAAGAGAATGACTATACTTAAAAAATATATTGTACATGAGTGATGGACACCCTAAATACCCTGACTTGATCACTATGGATTATATACATAAAAAAAATGTTCATGTGCCCCATAATTTTGCACAAATAAAAAATTAATGGTTTTGTTAAAGTCTCCATTAACTCAAGCTCTGTAATTCACTTTTAATCCAACCTTCTAAGAAATACGTTTCTAATAAAAGTTTTTTTGTAATAATTATATAAAAATTTATAATACATATATTTTTATCAGTTGTGAATTAATAATAACAATGACAGGTCAAAATAAAACATTTAACACGTAAAGTCTTATAGTCACAAAGTTTTAAAAAGGTATATTCAATATTAATTTTTGAGAAATATGATAGCATGATCAATAAAAAACTTTCAAAAATAAAAATATGTTACATTAGGAAAAAACTGTGTGAGAAAAGTGGAATGGAAATATAATTTTTAAATGTAGAAGGAACAATGTATAATTTCCAACTGCTAAAGACAAGTTTATATATTTTCTATAATGGTTAATGTTAGATCTCAGATCATTATATTGGATGCATTTAAAAGAGTGATATAAAAGTTTGTTCTTAGATATCAATATTCACAAAACACCATAAATGAAAACTGGCAAGGTAGAAATGTGGTTTGCAAATTCCCAGTCCCTGCTATTACAAAGTGGAATACCGAAGGGTGGGTGTGGAGCTGAGAGACAATAGCTAAAATCTTAATACTGGCACAGTATCAATTTAAACTTACGATGAAATTTAGATATCAAAACTTTAGATATGTTAACTTTCAAAAGTGTAAGAGAGTGCATTTTTCATCATTCTTTTGTGAGTAAATGAGAAAAGAAAGGCTTGATCACAAGTAAAGATAACCTCTCTTGTCCCTACTAGCTCTGAATTTCAAAGATTAGTTTCTTTCTTTTTTTGGTTTGTTTGTTTTCCCCTCACATCTTTCCTTCCTGTCTTATTTTTTTCCTTTTTACGTATTCTTCAAACCTGACTGTGGTGGCTGTGCACACTGGCCAGCATTACTATTGTCCCTAGGCCTAAGAAGATTGCAGATTCACACAAGATACATACTGAGGAAGTCTTAGAAGAAGAGAGGGCAGCCTGGAGCACGAAATATTGATAAGATATCGTAAGGACTCAGTATGTGTCCTTCACTTGTACACAATGAATTACTAAATATCCTCCATAAGACACCATTGTTTATAAGATGCATCACTAGTTTAAAAACAGCATTAGGGAATATATAATGAGCTACCACAATAAATATTAACATACTTTATTAAACACATCCTAATTTTATAAATGTTAAAATATGAGTAAATCTTAGACTTAAGAAATATAGTATATTTATTACCTATGAAAGGCTGGCAAGTTTCCTTGAAAGGCTGTTTGCTATTGTTTTAGAAGAAACCAAAGTATCATTATCACGCAGTCCTTTACTGTTTTCTCTCCAAATCTTTCTAGGGACGGCTGGCAGCTGCCTTCGTCGCTTTAGTACCATGCCTTTCATGTTCTGCAACATCAATAATGTTTGCAACTTTGCTTCAAGAAATGACTATTCTTACTGGCTCTCTACCCCAGAGCCCATGCCAATGAGCATGCAACCCCTAAAGGGCCAGAGCATCCAGCCATTCATTAGTCGGTAAGGCATTGATTTAGCTGTGACTTTTACCAATCCCCAGTTAGTTAGCTAGTCAGATTTGAGTCCAAAGCTAACAATCTGATGATATTCCTCCTAGGTTAGGTAGAACAGAGGTACCTCTTAATATTCAATTAAGTATTTAGTTTGACTCATATTTATTGGGGGTCTGCTTTTGACCAGGCCCCCATGATAGACATAGTGTAATAGCCAGATAATGCACAGTGTAGTAATTATTTATTACATAAATTTGTCTAATATATATCAGATTTGGGCTAAGTTCTATAATAGATATAATAAAAATGTTATGAAAACATAGGGAAAGAGATGTTTAGTTTCAACTGGAGAAATGTGGGATGGCCATATGGAAAAAATATGTCTTGAACTGGTCAGTCCTTGAATGACTAGAAGGACTTGAGGCACAGGCAGTTATAAAGGGGAAATATACACTAGGCAGATAAATGACAATGGGTAATAAAACAATGTGTCTAGGATGTAGTATGTAAAGGTTATGTTGGGAGAAAAGATTGTAAAGTTAGCTTGGGCCCAGATGGTAGAAGGCCTTCTGTACCAAATTGTAGTTTAAAGTTTATTTGATATGTAACAAGGAGCCCTGAAATATTTTAGAGCTACACTTCAGGTTAGATTATAGTGCCATCAATGTGTAACATGGATTACAAAAGGGATAGTCTCGAGGTAGAGAGACCAGTTGGATTGAAGGGTATTGCTATAGCCCTGATGTGAGTAAATTGGAACTCACAGTGGGGTACATGTATCACATTATTAGGCTAGATAGGATTTGACAGTTGATTAGCTATGGGAAGAAGGTGGTAGCTGAGATTTGGAGCATGAGTAACTAAGAGGAGGGTGATACCATTAATAGAAATCTCTTAGAGTTTTGCCATTTTGAAACCTAGTTTAACTCAATCTCTTAGGAATGTTGGTTATTGCCGTTTTTATTCTGATCATGACCCAGGATTTCAATAACCATAAAGGATGAATTGCTGGAAATTCTCGTTCCTTTGATAGTAAATATAAAGATTAAAGCTGGTTCAGCCTTAGTAGCAAATTCATGGTGCCCTTTTTAATACATTTTCCTGAATCCTTTGGGAATTTGGGTGTATGTGTGTGTGTGTGTGTGTGTGTGTGTGTACAATTTTGTCAGTCCCAACTCTTGGGAGTAAAAGCTTGTCTAAATGTATTAACTATTTTGTTAGGTAAACTGCAAAACTGGCCTCAGTAATATGTCAAGAGGTCCACTCATGTTTTTTATTAAAGATATGGAAGTCTCAGCTATATTCATTCTGTTGCTATCTTACTTGATTTTATAGATTTCAGCCACATCTCCAAGTGCCTGGGTACCTGCCCAGCATTCTGGATATGGTGTACTTCTCCAGATATAGTCAAATGTTTATAAATGTCCTTTGGACCAAGAATAATGAGTAGAGATTGAGAAAGCGTCCGTTTCTTATATTTTCCAGTCTTTCTGACATTGTTCTTACCACAGTTTCAGCATTACTAAATGTCTCCCCTCCAATTGAGTACTTTGACAACAAGTAGTATGTGCAATACACCAAACCAAACTCTTACGGCAATTGAGGCATTGACTATAGCAAGTATGAATAGACATTTAGGGCATAATGGAATATTAAAAGGCCATTGCACTGGTTCTGCAGTTTTTTGAAAAAAGTTTACAGTTTATTATGTATACTGGGAGACAATACTTAGCAAATGCAATCCTCAAAGTGCATTTTTTCACCTTTTGTGATCATTGAAAGAGACATTAATCGGCTTCCATACTAAGAAGGCTTCCAATGAAGCAGGATGGCTACTTCTCACATGCTCACTCTGTAGATTATGTTCCTTCTCCTTTTCCTTTACCAGATGTGCAGTATGTGAAGCTCCAGCTGTGGTGATCGCAGTTCACAGTCAGACGATCCAGATTCCCCATTGTCCTCAGGGATGGGATTCTCTGTGGATTGGTTATTCCTTCATGATGGTATTTTACACTCTTCCTTGCATTTGTCATCATAGCTGACTGTCCATTCCATCTACATTTCTTCCCAATATGAGGAATCCCTGTCATTTGCATAATAAGAAGCTTAAACTTCAAACAGCTTCTATCCAAGCACTGTGTTCCCCCTCACACATTTTTTGTAACATATTTTCATAATCTGCCTATTACTTTTTTTTGACTACCCTTGGTGTGGATACTATTGTCTTACCTCTGGGCCTGTTCCTTCACTAGATTTGAATTTGGCCAAGCTCAGCACACATCTTTGGATATTCACTAAGCTATTATGGCACATGGGTATTGCGGCACATTTTTCCTTGTCTTTTATAGCATACAAGTGCAGGGGCAGAAGGCTCAGGTCAAGCCCTAGCCTCCCCTGGTTCCTGCTTGGAAGAGTTTCGTTCAGCTCCCTTCATCGAATGTCATGGGAGGGGTACCTGTAACTACTATGCCAACTCCTACAGCTTTTGGCTGGCAACTGTAGATGTGTCAGACATGTTCAGGTAAAGTGCTTATAGCTTTAATTCAGGTCCAAAGCTTCCTTCAGAGATGCTAGGGAAGAAAGAGACAATTTATGGATGGTTTATCCTCAACAAATGTTAGGAATTTATTGGATTGTGTACTTTATTCTTGCTTGTTCTTCTCATATACATGACTCAGGTCAGAAAAACAGACTTGATTATTAATATTAGGTGAGTTTGGTTTGTGATAGCTTAGTAGTAATCCTTCAATAATGAAACAGAGATAAAGAAAGGTTATGTGACCTTCCTAATAAGTCAGCAGCTGTTCAACTAGATTGAGACCACCCCAGGAATTGAAGTTACAGTCTGTCTTTTCCCTCTCAGTCCAGTGGTCTCCTTTCCCAGGATATTTTAAAGATTCTCATTTAAGGGTTTGAATGAGCAAGACATACGTAATGTATGTACCTCAGGATACTTCATTCTGTTGATTTTTTTCAGTTTAAATTTATTTTTATGTGTTGCTTTTGGGTTATCACTACTTGGTATTTTTCTTATGGTCCTTGTTATCTATCATAACATCATCAGTTGCCCAGATTTCCCTCATCCTGTGAATATTAGAAAAATGTATGAGAGAAAGAGAAAAAGATAGAAAATGAGAGGGAAACACAAATATACAAAGATAATAGTGGTGGGGAGAATCGTTACAAAATATCTATGACCACTAATGGCTCTTAAACCATACTAGTCACTGCATTAGATCATATTGCTGAAAAGTAAACCATTAAGTCACCAAGAGAGCTACTTAACACACAAAAAATGTTTAGTTATAAATTTGAACCAGTAACAGAATTGAAATACCAGAAAATGTGGATCTGATTGTCTTATTTCTTATTTCCCAGTAAACCTCAGTCAGAAACGCTGAAAGCAGGAGACTTGAGGACACGAATTAGCCGATGTCAAGTGTGCATGAAGAGGACATAACATTTTGAAGAATTCCTTTTGTGTTTTAAAATGTGATATATATATATATAAAATTCCTAGGATGCAGTGTCTCATTGTCCCCAACTTTACTACTGCTGCCGTCAATGGTGCTACTATATATGATCAAGATAACATGCTGACTAGTAACCATGAAGATTCAGATGTACCTCAGCAATGCGCCAGAGCAAAGTCTCTATTATTTTTCTACTAAAGAAATAAGGAAGTGAATTTACTTTTTGGGTCCAGAATGACTTTCTCCAAGAATTATAAGATGAAAATTATATATTTTGCCCAGTTACTAAAATGGTACATTAAAAATTCAATTAAGAGAAGAGTCACATTGAGTAAAATAAAAGACTGCAGTTTGTGGGAAGAATTATTTTTCACGGTGCTACTAATCCTGCTGTATCCCGGGTTTTTAATATAAAGGTGTTAAGCTTATTTTGCTTTGTAAGTAAAGAATGTGTATATTGTGAACAGCCTTTTAGCTCAAAATGTTGAGTCATTTACATATGACATAGCATGAATCACTCTTTACAGAAAATGTAGGAAACCCTAGAATACAGACAGCAATATTTTATATTCATGTTTATCAAAGTGAGAGGACTTATATTCCTACATCAAGTTACTACTGAGAGTAAATTTATTTTGAGTTTTATCCCGTAAGTTCTGTTTTGATTTTTTTTAAAAAACAAACCCTTTTAGTCACTTTAATCAGAATTTTAAATGTTCATGTTACATACCAAATTATAATATCTAATGGAGCAATTTGTCTTTTGCTATATTCTCCAAGATTATCTCTTAAGACCATATGCCCCCTGTTTTAATGTTTCTTACATCTTGTTTTTACTCATTTCTGACTGGACAAAGTTCTTCCAAACAATTCTGAGAAACAAAAACACACACGCAGAATTAACAATTCTTTTCCCTGTGCTTCTTATGTAAGAATCCTCCTGTGGCCTCTGCTTGTACAGAACTGGGAAACAACACTTGGTTAGTCTCTTTTAAGTTACAAAAAGCCAATTGATGTTTCTTATTCTTTTTAAATTTTAAATATTTTGTTATAAATACTCACAGGATACCTTATTTCCCTAGCTATCATCTCCTGACTTAATGTTTTTTAAACCCACCAATATAAATTTAATTAAAGATATATGTTGTAAGGATGGTCTGTTGTGTATCTCTTCAGCCTGTGTGGAAAAAACCCCTGCTCATTTACAGATAGATTACCAATCTGCACATCAACAAGTCATCTCTTCCCAGGGAATCAGTTTCTCCACGCTTTGATCACTCTGTTAGTAGATAGAAAACATAGTAATGTAAACTTTTTCCAATGAAGAAAACTACCTATTGGAAGACATTTCCAAGATAATAAATTTCTTGACAACATTGTGTTAATGGCTAAGAAAGGAAACAACTGGCTTCTATTTGGGGAAGAATTCATTAATAATGTTTAAAGCAGGTTAGTGACCTAATATTCTTAATGATTAAGAATGAACACGCATAGTTCTCTAAAATAGTCAAGGACTGGTTAAAAATAAAATATTAAAAACTTCCATAGTAAAATTTGTGTTACAGCTAAAAGATAAAACAACCAAAACAATTTTGAGTATTCTAAATCCTAATATGGACCTATGTAAAATCTAAAGCTTAGAATCTCTGGTGGTAAAACTTAGGATCCAAACAATGATAACTATCTAATTATTTTATTGATTCTGGATAGCCACCAATCGCAAATTTTAGCTCTATTTTTTCATTTAGTCCCATGCATAAAGTCAGTAATGAGTAATTGTAACTGAAAACACCATATCACAGCCCCACAGATTCTTCTACATGGTGTACACTCAAAGGTGCCCCTTCTGTTATAGTCGCAAACACTAATTCCAGAGATTTTGCTTTTTGTAGCTTTCCCTCTCATTTATAGCTGGTTGAAAGCCTTGGCCCAAAAAGAACCTCCTTTGTTTGTTTGTTTGTTTTGTTTTGTTTTGTTTTGTTTTGTTTTGTTTTGAGACAGTCTCCTCTGTCACCCAGGCTGGAGTGCAATGGCGTGATCTCGGCTCACTGCAACATCCACCTCCTGGGTTCAAGGCGATTCTCCCACCTCAGCCTCCAGACTAGCTGGAACTACAGGTGCATACCACCACGCCCGGCTAATTTTTTGTATTTTTAGTAGAGACGGGGTTTCACCATGTTGCCCAGGCTGGTCTTGAACTCCTGAACTCAAGCGATCTGCCTGCCTCGGCCTCCCAGAGTGCTGAGATTACAGGTGTGAGACACCACGCCCATCCCAGAACCTCCTAATTTTTAAATTGTTGCATGTGCAGCTAGTCTATGTGTTTCTTAAATCTCCTAACTATTCCTAGCCCTGCTTTGTTGTTTGAAGTACACAAATTCATTCCAGGACATTAATATTGTTAACCCTCTCTTGCCATGAATTATTCAAAGATTAATCTAGCTGCTCTACTAGTTACCTATGGTGAGTTTTTTGTGTTTTGTTTTGTTTTGTTTTTGTTTTTGTTTTTTTTTGCTTTTTTATCATCTGTGAAATTTCCAGAAGTACTATGGTAAGTTTTACAGTCATACACAATTAATAGCTTTCTCACATTGGCAGGAAATGAATGAACTATTCTGCTTAATCAGATAGTTTGACTACCAAATATTTATGTGTACCAAATGTGGTTTTACCAGTTAATGAATCTTTCGTGATTCAGATGTTACTTAAGGACCAAATCCTAGTATTTTATAGCTGTGTATGTGTGTGTGTGTGTGTGTGTGTGTGTGTGTGTGTGTGTGTGTACCCACACACACGTGCACATGTATCTTCAGAAAAATTGAGGTCTACATGAATAACTTCCATTATATATATATTACGTAATATATATATACACACACACACATATGGATAAGTGTATACACACACATGTGTTGTGTAAGAAAGTAGACATTCCAATTATTTTTATAGCTTATTGGCCTGATCTTTGCTATGTTGGTGTCACACTCATTGCTTCCAAAGGAGGTTGTATTGGACACCTTGTGATTGTATGATGTTTTTTCCCACCCATCCAAATTTGAACAACACTTTTTCATTCTTGTAGTGGCAATAAGGTTCTTTGCCTCAATGTCATGCCAAGCCATCAAATGCTTATTCAGAAGTTAATCACAAGAGGGCACTATTGCCTATAAAAATGAATCAGCATGTGTAATGATTTGAGCTCATTGGTGGTGGTGGTAGGGTTGTCTAAAGTCCTGTCTCTAGATTCCCTGTTTTAAGTTTCATTTATTCTTTCAGCCTCATAAAAATCATTAGCAAGTACTTGAAGAGGTGGCCTAGTTTCCCAATGTCTGCATCCAAAACGAAGAGAACAGCTTTGCTGTCAAAGATTCTCTTTTGTTTTTTTGTTTGTTTGTTTTTGAGACGGAGTTTTGCTCTTGTTGCCCAGGCTGGAGTACAATGGCACGATCTCGGCTCACTGCAACCTCTGCCTCCTGGGTTCAGCGATTCTCCTGCCTCAGCCTCCAGAGTAGCTGGGATTACAGGCATGTGCCACCACACCTGGCTAATTTTGTATTTTTAGTAGAGACGGGGTTTCTTCATGTTGGTTAGATTCTCTTCTTAAGAGCCTGATTAACAGTTGGTTCTGGTAGCACTTCCCATGCCTCTCAACACAGAAGCAAGGAGCAATCACTTTTGTTTGGCCGGAACTTCAGTTGGTTTCCTTGGCAGAGAAACTCAGTTCTCAGGCTGGACTATACAAACACCTTCATCCCTAGGCAGCTCCAAAATAAATTGAATAATATTTTAAAATCATGTCATTTCCATTTTAGAGCAGTGGTTTTAGAGTATATTCAGGGAGCTTGGAAAGTTTGTTTGGTGGAAATACTCCTAAGTTGGAATTGAATCCAGAGAGGCCTGTCTCCTGAGTTCTATATCAACAAATATTGATTGGATGCTTGTTAGCTAAGGACACCATGAAGGATAGCAATCTAAAATGAACTCAACCTCAACCAGGAGAATAAGCAGTGACCATAATATAGTAAATCCTCACTTCACGTGGTCAATATATTTTTAGAAGCTGTGACTTTAAAGGAAACGATGTCCAATATTATTCAGTTATAATGTTGATGAAGAAAAAATGGATTTGTTATATGTCGTTTAGCTTTAAAGTCAAAGTTTCCAAGAACCTATGGACGTTAACTGAGGACTTACTGTATGTATACTGGAAAAGAGGTATGCTAGTCTGTCTTTGACTACCAAATCTTACTAATTCTAGGCCAGATAATGGGGATTTTTGTAAGAGTAGCTGTCTGGAGGAAGCTGGCTCACCAACCTGTTCCCCAAAACATGGGCTAAAATCACATTTATGTAATCTTAATCATCTATTTCTCTGTTAGTGGACTGCATACCCAACACCTGACCCTACAGGATAACAAATTGCTTACATAATACCAATTTATGCCAAATATCTTCTGTTTCCCCCTCTACCATCACATTTCATCCTGCTTTCTGCCCCAGAGGGTTCCTGAGCCCTCTGGCTTCTGATTGGGTTCAACCAGTTGGAAGTCCCAGCAGAATACCAGAGGAGGGGACAAGAGTTGGGTTAGGGTATTTATTTTCATGGCTCTTTCTCTATGAGGTTACCTCAGGTTGGTTTGTGACTCTCAATTGAATGTCCCTACTGCTCTCAAGATGACTTACTATTCCTAATTATCTTCCTTTCTGGTTCTACTAACCCCTTCTCATGTTTTCAGGTCTAGGTGTGATGGGTATGGTGACAAGTCTGCTGTTGCTGTGCTGCTAGACCTGGATTCCTGAACAACCATTTGTGATTCCCCCTCCACACCATCTATATATTTCTAATTAAACTCTCCTCAGATTATCCTAATTTAAGTGTGTTGTACTTTTGTTGTTGATACTCCAACGAATACTCAACACTTCTAGTTTCCAAAATCTAGAGAAAGTGCTTTATTTCCATATGTGACAAAATGAGGGTGAATTGATAAAACTGACATGCATGATTAAGCATGCATCTTTGACTTTGAACTAAGGGATGGGCCAGCAGAAATATGACTTAACACCACTTAATCTAAGACCTAGTTTATCAAGAGTTATTGGAAGCTGTGTTCCAGGGTACTTATGGTGAAATGAGGCAAAATATGTTCCTTATGATCCTAAATTATTTATCTTTTTCCAATTAGTGTCCCACTGGATCTCTAAAGAATGCACTTTTATTTCCCCCAGGTAGTCATTTGTCTTCCTACATCTTAACTTCAAATAATTAATTTGTTAACTCATTAGCAGACTAGATTACAAGTACCAATAACTCATCTCTGAAAGCTCCAAAGAGAAACTCCCGGTAGTATTACTTCAACCAGAGGAATCTGCTAAGCCAGATATACCTGCTTGCAGTCAGTGAAAAGCCCTGAAGTGTTACTAGCTGAGAAATGAGTAATTTATTAGTGGTTTTCTAGCCTCAAGAGCATCTGTAAAAGTAAGCCTGCAGAAGTTCTTCACATCTGCTTCCCTTCTGTTCAAGGGTACCAGAGTGAATGCTTATACTAGGGATTATGGAAGACAGGTCATGTTCTAAAGCCAAAGACAGCCTGAGAATACTGTACTTGGTAATTTCAACCAGTCCCACACCGAACCTACCAAGAAGCCAACATACTCTCTCTTCAAGCAAAATAGTTTCCTGGTTGATTTTCATAGGGCCAGCAAAGTGCTTGCTGTTGCCAGTCTATCATAAGCTACAATGGTAACCCCCGATGTCAGATCCTTGTGTCTCTCTGACACAATAATTTGACCTTTGCTTGGGCTGCAAGGAAGGCTACCTCTAACACCTCAGTAGTAATAAGACTAACACCTTATATGTATGTAGTTCTTATTAAAATATCATCCTTTACACATTTCATCTGAGTCTCAACAACTCTGATGTACTCAAGCAGTGCAAGGATTAGTCTCCAATATACAGATGTGGAAGCTGAGCCTTGGAATGGTTAACTGACCCCAAAAGTCACAAGTTACTAAGTTCTTTTCACTCCAAATCTAATCGTCACTTTTGAGCCATGAAGATGCCTATATCTAAAATCTTATAATCCTGTGTGGTAGACATTCATAGCAATATATATAGAGGTCTCTGCCTCATGAGAAGTGATAGGCTGTATGTTTTGGAAGTCTTGGTTCCCAGGTAAGGATGAATGCTTTCCTAGCACCTTTGCAGCACCTGAAACCCCTTGGAATTAACCTTTAGGCACAGGGGGCTTATAGTTAATCCATTGTACCTCAGGATACTCTGTCTGGTCTAAGCCTCTATAGCTAAAGAAAACTTTATGGGTGTGGCCTGGTGCCCTCATGTGAACTTCCTCAGGGCTTTTGAATCCAGATGAACTCCTGGAATTTAAATGCCCTGGCCTGCAGCCTCGTCAATGCTATTAGTGTCTAAGGAAGGGCCAGTTTTGTAAATCTGAGACCATCCTACTAATTTTATTATCTATTATAGACAATGCAGAAAGGACTCCATGGAGGGGAAAATTTCTTTAGCTCCAACAGTAAAGTTCGTTATATTTTGTTTACACTTAATATACATAAACTTATAGAAGCAATTTGAGTTTGCTAGCTGTAACCTCCATTGGTCACATTTTACATGCAGAAGTTTCCCTTATTTGACTCCCTTTAGCGGAAATTTACACTAGGAATCATATGAGCAAACATAAAGCCAGCTGGGCCAAGCAGTATGTGGCTATTTATCAGATTAGAGAGGCAGGAAAGGTTAAAGACAAGTTAGAGAACATGTGGGCTAAAATAGGGCTCTGCATAGCTTATTGTAATCAGAAATAAGCCTGGCTTTGAGGTTACTGGGTTTAAGTATGTTATTAAGTTGACTATGTACTTTCAGATGTGGAAATTGTTGCCCACCTTAAGGCCAGCAACAGCACAGAAAACTACTCCCCATGGAGTGTAAAGTGATAACAACCTGAAGCCATTTTTACAAACACTTCCTTCTCCTACTCAGAAAGCAGCATTTTCTTTTATTCTCTGAGCAGGCAGAAGCACCCATGGGTGCATGAAAGTGTGCTAGTGCTTTTCTTCTTGCAGCTCTGTTTTTCCTTCATCTATTTTGAAAATTTGCTTTTAGGTGCATAAATATTTATGATTGTTATATCCCCTTGATAAAATGATCTCTTTATTATTATTATAATGGTAATATAGTAAAGAAAATGTTAATATTATTTGCTCTGAAAACTACATTGATAGCAATATTGCCATCCAGCTTTCCTTGTGTTAGTGTTAACATATTTTTTCATTATTTTACTTTTAACCTAGTTCTGTCTTTCTATTTGAAGCGCATTTCCTGAGGGTCACATAGTTGGATCCTACTTTTTAATACAATATGACAATTTTTACTTTTTAATGGACTGCACTTAATGTGCTTATTGATATGGTTAAGTTCAACTCTGTTATCTTATTTGTTTTCTATTTGCCTCATTCGTAATGTGTTCACTTTTTATGCTTTGTTTTGGATTAATTGAATATTTTTTCTGATTCCCTTTTATCTCCTTTGTGGATATTAACTGTAACATTTTGTTTGGTTAATTTAGTGGCTGCTTTAGTTTTTATGGCACACATTTTTAACTTATCACAGTCTATATTCAAGTCACATAATACCACTTCATGTATGCTATAAGAATGTTACAATAGTATACTTTCAATTCTCCCCTCTTGATCTTCGCACCACTATTTTCATACACTATGTTTATTATGTTATAAATACCACACTACATTGCTGTTATTTTTGTTTAAACAGTATATTCTCTTTTATATTAGACATAATTCATATACAATAAAATTCACCCTGTTAAAGGGTACAGTGTAATGGTTTCTAGTATATTCACAAAATTTTTCAACCATCAATCCTGTCTAATTCCAGAACATTTTCATCACCCTGAAAATAATCCCATGCAATCAGACCCCATTTTCCTCATCCCTTCCTCCTCTCAGCCCTACGAAACCACCAGTCTGTTTTCTGTCTCTATAGATTTGCCTATTCTGGACATTTCGTATAAATGGAATCATACAACATATATGGGCTTTTGTGTCTGGCTTCTTTAACAAGGATCATCCATGTTGTTGCATGTGCTGGTACTTCATTTCTTTATTTTTTAAATTCAAGTGAAATCCAAGTAACTTAAAACTAACCATTTTAAAGCAAACAATTCGAGTGCCATTTAGTACATCCACAGTGTGCAGTGTGGTGCAACCACCTCCTTAATCTAGCTACAAAACAGCCTCATCACTCCAAAAGAAAACCCCGTATCCATTAAGGAGTCACTCTCCAGTCCCCACAGCCACTGGCAGGCACTAATCTACTTTCTGTCTCTATAGATTTACCTATTCTGAATGTTTTATATAAATGGAATCTTACAATATGTGACTTTTTTGGGTCTGCTTTTTTTTTCATTTAGCATAATGTTTTCAAGGTTCATCCATGTTACAGCATGTATGAGTACTTCATTCTTTTTATGTTGCATAATAATACATCGTAAGGTTATACCACATTTGTTTGTCCATTCATCCATTGACAAATATGTTGTTTCCACCTTTTGGTGAATTTGAATAGCGCTGCTATGAACATTCATGGACAAATATTTGTTTGAATACCTGTTTTCAAGTCTTTCAGGTATGCCTAGGAGTGAATTTGCTGAGTCATATAGTAATTCTGTTTAACTTCTTGAGGAAGTTAAGCCAAACTGTTTTCTACTGGACCAACACCATTTCACATTCCCACCAGCTGTGTGCAAAAGTCCAATTTTTCCACATCTTTACAAAAATATGTTATTTTTCCATTTTTAATTATTGCCATCCCAGTGAGTGTAAAGTGGTATCTCATTGTGGTGGTTTTTGGTGGTGGTGGTGTTGTTTTTATTTAGACAAGGCTCTGTCACCCAGGCTGGAGGGCAGTGGCAGAATGATACCTCACTGCAGCCTCAAAACCTGGACTCAAGGAATCCTCCTGCCTCAGCCTCCTGAGTAGCTGGGACTAAAGGCACATGCCATCATGTCTGGCTAATTTATTTTTATTTATTTTTTGTAGATATGGGGTGTTGATTTGTTGCCGAGGCTGGTCTCAAATTCCTGGGCTCAAGCTATCCTCCTGCTTTGGCCTCCTAAAGTACTGGAATTACAGGCATGGTGCCACCGCACAGGTCTCATTGTAGTTTTGATTTGCATTTCCCTACTGACTAATGATTCTGAGAGTCTTATGTGCTTGTTGGCCGTTTGTGTATCTTCTTTAGAGAAATGTCAATGTAAATGCTTTGCCCATTTTCAATTGGGTTATTTGTCTTTTCACTGGTGAGTTGTAAGAGTACTTTATATATTATAGATACCTATCCTTTATCAGATATATGATTTCTGAATATTTTCTCTCATTCTGAGGGTTATCTTTTTACTTTCTTGATGGTGTCTTTTAAAGCACAGGATATTTTAGTTTTAACGAAATATCAAAAATATTTTCCTTTTGTTACTTTTGCTTTTGGTGTCACATGTAAGAAATCATTGCCTAATCCAAGTGCACAATGTTTAACTCCTATGTTTTGGCTCATACATTTAAGTCTTTAATCTATATTGAGTTAATTTTTAAACATAGTGTGAAGTAAGATTTCAAATTTATTATTCTGCATGCAGTTGTCCCAGCACCATTTGTTGAAAAGACTTTTTCTTTCCTCTATTAAATTGTCTTGATACACTTGTCAAAAACGGATCCACCACAGAAGTATGGCTTTATTTCTGGATTCTCTGTGCCATAGATCGATATGTCTGTGTTTATGCCAGTACTACACAGTCTATTTTTTTTTAAGATAGGGTCTAACTCTGTCACCCAGTTTGCAATGCAGTGACATGAACATGGCTCACTGTAGCCTCTACCTACAGGGTCCAAGTGATCCTCCTTACTCAGCTTCCTGTGTAGCTGAGAGCATGGGTGGTGCCACCATGCCTGGCTAAGTTTTTGTAGAGGTGGTATCTCACTTTGTTCCCCAGGCTGGTCTCAAACTTCTGGGCTCAAGCAATTCTCCTGCCCCCGCCTCCCAGAAGGCTGGGATTACAGGCATGAGCCACTGTGCCTGGCCTCACAGTCTTGATTACAGTAACATTGCAGTAAGTTTTGAAATAGTCAAGTGCCAGTCTTTCAACATTGTTCTTTTTCAAGATTGTTTTGGCTATTCAGGCTCCCTTGCAATTCCATATGCATTTAGTCTCAGCTTGTCAATTGCTGCCAAAAAATAAAAGAAGAAGAAGACAACTGGGATATTAATAGATTACATTGAATCTGTACATCACTTTGGGGAGTATCGTATTTTAACAGTATTAAGTCTTCTGACCCATGAACAAACACTCTTTTTCTATTTATGTAGATCTTCCTTAATTTCTTTCAATAATGTTTTGTAGTTATTGGTGTACAAGTCTTGCACTTTTATTCCTAAGTATTTTATTCTTTTGTGTTACTATAAATGGAATTTCTCTATTAATTTCCTTTTCATATTTCTCATTGCTAGTGTATAGAAATACAATTTTTGTTTTTGGTTGTATATTGATCTTGTATCCTGCAACTTTGCCTAATGCATTTGTTAGCTATAATAGTTTTTTAGTGGATTTATCAGGATGTTGTATATATAACGTCATGTCTTCTGCAAATTGACATAGCTTTCCTTCTTTCTTTCCAGTCCTTATGCTTTTTATTTTGTCTTCCTTGTCTAATTGATTAGGCTAGAAACTTCAGTACAATATTAAATAGAAGCAATGAGAATAAACATCTTTTTCTTGGCCCCATTCTACGGAGGAAGGTTTTAGTCTTTCACCATTAAGTATGATGTTAGCAGTAGATTTTCATAGATACCTTTTCTCAGTTTGAGACAGTTCCCTTGTATTCCTAGTTGTTGAGTGCAGTGTTTTTATCATGAAAATATGTTGGATATTGTCAAATGCTTTTTCTGCACCAATTGAGATCATTGTGTGAGTTTTATCCTTCATTTTATTAACTAGGTGTATGACATTGATTAATTTAAATATGTTGAACCAGTCTTGCTTTCCTAGTATAAATCCCACTTGGTCATGGTGTATAATATTTTTAATACGCTGTTGAATTTGGTTTGCTAGTATTTTGTTGAGTATTTTTACATATTTATTCATAAGGGATATGGCTCTATAGTTTTCTTATAGTGTCTATCTGGCTTTGTTGTCATGATATTACTGGCCTCAGAGAGCGTAAGTTGGGAAATCCCTTATCTTCAATTTTAAAAAGAGTTTGAGCAGGATTGGTGTTAATTATTTAAATGTTTGTTAAAATTCACCAGTGAAGCTATCTGGTCCTGGACTCTTAATATGTTGCTTGATTGGATTTGCTACTATTTTTTTTTATTTTGTGTCTATGTCCATAGGGGATATTGGTCTGTATTTTCTTTTCTTGTGGTATTCATGTCTAGTTATAGTACCAAGTTTTTGGCCTCTATGAAGTTTTGGCCTCTACAACGAGTTGTGAAGTTTTATCTCCTTTCCCATCTTTTAGAAACTTTTGTGAAGGGTTGTTGTTAATTCTTCTTTAAACATTTGGTAGAATTCTCCAGTGAAGTTATCTGTCCTGGGCTTTTATTTGTTAAAAATTTTAAATTACCAATTCAATCTCTATTTTTATATCTGTGCAGTTTTCTCATTTTTTCTGTTGATTTCTATTGCTCATGTCCTTTTAGAAATGTGTCTATTCCATCTAGTGTATCTAATTGGTTTGCATACAATTGTTCATAGTATTGGTTTTTTTGTTTCTGTTTTTGTTGTTTTTTGTTTGTTTGTTGTTTGCACAGGATCTCATTCTCTAACCCAAGATGGAGTGCAATGCTGTGATTATAGCTCACTGCAGCCTAACTCTTGGGCTCAAGTGATCTGCCCGCCTAAGACTCCTGAGTAGCTGGGAGTACAGCTGTGTGCCACCATGCCCACCTAATTTTTATTTTTTTGTGGCGATGGGCATCTCTCTTCGTTGCCCAGACTGGTCGTGAACTCCTGGCCTCAAGCAATCCTCCCTCCTTGGCCTCCCAAAGAGTTGGGATTACAGATGTGAGGCACTCCACCCAACCCATGATATTATTTTATAGTCATTTTTATTTATCTAATGTCAGTAGTAATGTCCCCTTTCATTCCTGAATTTAGTAATTTGAGTCTTCTCTCTATTTTGGCATGGTCTATCTAGTGAAAGATTAATCAATTTTGTTAATTTTTTTATAGAATCAACTTTTGATTTTGTTAATTTTCCATATTATTTTTCTATTCATCATTTCATTTATTTTCATTCTTCTGCTTGCTTTGGGTTTAGTTTGTTGTTTTTCTAGTTTTTCAAGGTGGAAGGTGGAAGGTTATTGAGTAGGTTATTGATTTAAAGTATTTCTGCTTATTTACAACTATAAATTCCCCTCTAAACACTGCTTAGCTGTACCTTATAAGGTTTGGTAGGTTGTGGTTTGTTTACATTCATTTCAAAGTATTTTTTAATTTACTTTGTAATTTCTTCTCTTACTCATTGGTTACATAGAATAGTATTAATTAATTTCCATGTATTTGTTAATATTCCAAATTTCCACCTGCTAATTTCATTCCAGTGTGGTCAGAGAACATACATTGTATGATTTCAATCCTTTAAAATTTATTGAGATATGTTTTATGGACTAACATATGGTCTGTTCTATATAATGTTCCATATACTCTTTGGAACAATATGTATTCTGTCAGTGTAGAGTGTTCTATAGAAGTCTATCGGATCTGGTTGATTTGTAGTGTTGCTCAAGTCTTCTACTTTCTTGTTAATCTTCTGCCTACTTGTTCTGTCCATTATTGAAAGTGGGGTATTCCAGTCTCCAGCTATAATTGTTGAATTGCCTATTTATCACTTCAGTTTGGTCAGATTCTGCTTCATGCATTTTGAGACTCTGATCTTAGGTATATATATATATGTATTATATATATTATATGAATAATTGTTATGTCTTCTTTATGGATTTATTCTTTTATCTTTGTAAAATGCCCTTTTTATCTCTGGTAGCCATTTTTGTCTGAAAAGGCTATTCATTTGATATTAATATAGCCACTCCAGCTCTCTTTTGGTTACCGTTTTCATATCTTTTTTTCATCCCTTTACTTTCAATGTATTTGTGTCTTTGAATTTTTTTTTTTTTTTTTTTTTGTGATGGAGTCTCTGTCACTCAGGCTGGAGTGCAGTGGAGCGATCGCGGCTCACTACACCCCCGCTTCCTGGGTTCAAACGATTCTCCTGCCTCAGCCTCTGGAGTAGCTGGGACTACAAGCGCCACTATGCCCGATTAATTTTTTTATTTTTAGTAGAGACGGGGTTTCACCATGTTGGCCAGGCTGGTCTCAAGCTCCTGACCTCAGGTGATCCACCCGCCTGGTCTCTCAAAGTGCCGGGATTACAAGCATGAGCCACCGTGCCTGCTGATTCTTTGATTAACTGTTTGTCTTCTAGGCAGCATACACTTGAACCATGTTTTTTATGTCTGTTCTGCCGATCTCTGCCTTTGAATGGATCGTTTAATCTATTCACATTTAATGCAGTTACCGTTAATTTGGGATTTATGGCTGCCATTTGTTTTGTGTATGTGCCATGTCTTTTTGTTCCTTTATTTCTCCATCATGTCCTTTTGTGTTAAATAGCATTTTCATTCCCTCGTCATTTATTTTACTATATTTTTGGTGTTATTTTCTTATTGTTTGCCCTATGGATTACAATTAACATCTTAAATTATAACAATCTAGCAACTTAATTTCATAGTAAAAATAAATTTTACTCCTAAACGGCTCCATTATTTCTCCCCTCCTTTGTTCTGTTACTGTCATATAATTGCATCTTTATATATGGTATGCCCATCAACACAGATTTATAATTATTGCTTTATGCAGCTGTCCTTTAAATTAGGAGTAAAAAAGAGTTATAAACAAAAACTACATTTATACTGTCTTTTATATGTACCTCTACAGTTACGTGTGTTTTTTATTTCTTCATGTGTATTTAAGTTACTGTCTAGTGTCCTTTCATGTCTACCTGAAGAATTCCTTTTAGTACTTCTTGTAGGGCAATCCACTAGTGTTGGATTCTCTTAATGATTACTTATCTTGTGATCTTTTAATTTCTCCTTCATTTTTGAAGAATAGATGCACTGGAATAGAACACTTGAATTACAGTCTTTATTTTCTTTGAGCACTTTGAGTATGTTATCCCAATTCCTTCTAGACTGTAGTTTCTGATAAGAAATCAGCTGATAATATTATGAAGCATCTCTTGTACACGATGAGTCACTTTTGTCTTACTGTTTCAAGATTCTTTGCCTTTGACTAATTTTTTTTTATTTTTAAAACTTTTCTATTGTGGTAAAATACATGTAACACAAAATTGATCATTGTAACCATTTTTAAGTGTACAGTTTAGTGGTATTAAATATATTCAGAATGTTGTGCAACCATCACCACATCCATCTACATAACTGTTTTATCTTATAAAACTGAAATTCTATACCCATTAAACAATAACTCTCCATTTTCCGCTCCCTCCAGCCCCTAGCAGCCACCATTCTACCTTCTTTCTGTATGATTTTGACTACTTTAAGTAACTCATAGATGGAATCATGCAGTATTTGTGGTTTTGTGACCGGTTTATTTCACTTAGCCTAATGTCCTCAAGGTTCATCAATGTTGCAGCATATTTCAAAATGTTCTTCCTTTTTAAGGCTGAATAATATTCAATTGTATTTATATTCTACATTTGCTTATCCATTCATCTGTTGATGAACACTTGGGTTGCTTCAATGTTTTAACTATTGTGAATAATATTCCTATTAACATGGCTGTCCAAATACCTCTTTGAGAGCCTGCTGTGAATTCTTTTGGGTATATAACAAGACATGAAATTGCTGAATCTTACAGTAATTCTGCTTTTATAAGTTTGAGGAAACACTATACTGTTTTCCACAATGGCTGTACTATTTTGCGTTCACATCAATAGTGTACAAGGGTTCCGACCTCTCTACGTCATCACCAACACTTATTATTTTCTGATTATTTTCATAGTTACCATCCTAAGAGATGTAAGGTGTTATCTCATTGCAGTTTTGATTTACATTTCCCTAATGATTAGTGATGTTGAGACTCTTTTTAAGTGCTTATTAGCCATTTGTATATCTTTGGAGAAATGGTCTTTTTTACTTTTGACAGTTTAATTATAACGTATCTCGCTGAGGTTGTCTTTGAGTTATTCCTACTTGGAGTTGAGCTTCTTGGATGTATATATTAATGTAGTCCATCAAATTTGGGTAGATTTTGGCTATTATTTCTTCAAATGTTCTTTCTGCCCCTGTATACTCTCCTTTCCTTCTGGTACTTCCATTATATGCATGTTTGTATGCTTGATGGTGCCCCATATTTCTCAGAGGGTCTGCTCACTTTTAAAAAAATTATTTTACCTTTCTGTTTATCAGACTAGATAAACTCATTGGGCCTATCTTCAAAGGTACTGATTCCTTCTTTTGCCAGTCCAAATCTATTGTTGAGCCCCTCTAGTACATTTTTTATTTCAGTACTTTTCAACTCCAGAATTTCTGCTTAGTTCTTTTTATAATTTCTCTCTGTATCAATATTGTCTATTTGGTGAGAGATCCTTCCCAGACTTTTCTTTAGTCCTATAAACATGGTCTCCTTTTGTTCTTTGAGCATACTTGAAATAGCTAATTCAAAAGTCTTTGTCTAGTAAGTCTAAGGTCAAAGCTTCCTCAAGAACACTTTCTATTGATTGCTCCTTTTCCTGTGTGTCAGCCGTAATTCCTTGTTGGTTTTTTTTTTTTTTTTTTTTTTTACTTCTCATACTTTTTATTCACAATTGGACATTTAAAATAATATAATCTGGCAACTTTGGAAACCAGATTCCACCACTACCCCCAACTCCCAGAGTTTGTTGTTGTTGCTATTTTTTGTTGTCTTTTGTTTGTTTAATGGTGTTTCTGTACTAATTTTGTAAAATCTGAATTGTTATGTGTAGCCACTAAAGTCTTTGCTCAGTTAAATTGGTTTCCAGCTAATTATTTTAGAGAGATTTCCCTAAATGACTAGGATTA